>NC_000016.10:7510000-8135000 GCF_000001405.40 Homo sapiens
CATCTGCTCAGTGGTGCGCTGTGAAACTGAGAGTAGGAGCCAGAGGAGGAGCAAGCTGTGATTGATGGGCCAGGCCTTCCTGGCAGAAAAAGTGCCATCTGGGTTGGTTTTGGGAGCAGTCAGATGTTGAGGGGGAGGTCAGCCAGGCGGCCTCAGCCCCCCACCTTCCTCAACACCCCGATCATCCACACATTGCACAGCGCGCACACCCTCGCTCGTAATTGAGGCGTGCTTGGGGCAGATGCTTTGTGGTGTGGGACAAGAACAGCTGCTAAGTTTATGGAGGAGAAAGGAAGCAGGATGGTGCAGCAGGTATTTTTGTTTTTTTTTCCATTTAATCTTTCACTCAAAATTGCGATTTGAATGAAGCTGAAAGCTTTTCTTGTGTTAAGTCCGTGCTGTCGGTGACACGTAGCTTGCTGCTTGAATCATGCCCGGGGAAAGGAGAGGAGTTTTGGTGAAGAGAGTGTGTGTGTGTATGTGTGTCTGTGTGTGTGTGTGTGTGTGTGTGGGCGCGCGCGCACGCGCGCACGCGCGCTTTCTGCTTGATGTGTGGAACTGAGCTGATCTTAGAACCAGCAGGTTAATGGTGTCCTTTTGCATTTTTCTTCTTTGTTTGAATGCCCCTAGGGCATGATGCAGTTTAGCTCAATTCACTTCTGCACAAGAGGGTTTCTCTGAATATGCGCGATTTCTTGCCAGAGAAGTGGTGTAGACCATGCTCCTAAACTAAAGTAAAACAAACTGTCAGCAAGACTGAAAACTGCAAGCAACCATCAAGAATGGATAGTTTTCCTCCAGTGAGTCCATGCTGGTGGGGGGTCCCACTGCAGGAGCCGCTGCTTTCCTGGGCTGTGTGGGCATATGTGATCAGCTGGCTTATTAGGTTTTGACAATTCCTGTGCATGTCTTCATTATAAGGGTTGAGTTAAGGCCAGAGGAGGTTCTCCACAGCAGGAAATAAACTGGGGACAAGTAAATTCCAGATGCAGAAAGGGAGGGTGTGCTCAAGAAGTTTGACTATAAAGGTGGGGAAATACAGGTGTGTGAGTGTGCACACACACATACCCACACAGGAAAATGCTTGCCTATTTTAAAGTCCACCTGGACGGCTACGAAAGCTGGTACTTTGCCTTCTCAGTGAAAGTCAGGTAGTTACATGGAAAAGAATAGACCCATTTCCTGTTCGGCCACTTAAAGATTCTTTTTCAGTTGAAATACGGTTTACCTTCAATTTTGAGCCAAAAGGTTTTGCAAACCCTGACTGGCTACCACTCTTGTTTCTCTTGTTAGTTTCTCAAAACTACTTTATTAAACCACTCAGGGCAACGAATGGGAGAAGGGCAATGTCTTGGGGAAAAAACAACGACAACAACAAAACTCTCTCATCTTATTTTCTCTCTGACTCTGTCTCCTGAGTCCACTTCAGAGAGAAAATTCAGGGTTCAGGATATTTCAGGGACCAAAGAAATTCTCTGAGCATCAGAAGAGTGGCCCTCTTATTGCATGCATACAAGAGTCAACACACTATGCTAATAGTCAGATTACAGTGTTTGTCTTAAAATAGCAATGATAGCCAGGCTATTTCATGCTTCAGTAAAATATTTAAATTGAAATGACTTTTTTTTTTGCTTTTATGAATCAGACTTGGTTGCATTTTAATAATCCTTTTGCTCTTGGTAACTGGAGTGAAAGCTACACGTTGGGGTGTCTTAAGTAATGACAGGTTTCCATCATCCTGCTGTCGTTGAGTTGCTCTCGTTGACTGAGAGGTTTGGTGACTGAGGACAAGGAAGTTTCTTCTCTGTTTATCCTAATAAATGTTGTTTATTTCAAGCTTCTAGTCAGTTGTGCAGCAGCAATAGTGGGTCTTAAAGCGTGAGATCTTGGCCTTCTTTCATCCTCCTTTTGTGTATTGAGCAACAACTCAAGAAAGTCCAGGCACTGAAATTAAACGTTAAGTTTGCAAAAGCTCCTGAAGCATTTGCTTGATGATGTGGGGAACACTTGTGAGGCAGATCATCCTGCTCATCAACTAGGAACACCCACAAGCACCCTGACTCTGCAGATATCAGAAGCTCTCTCTGATCATTCCACTTATTTAGGGAAAGGTGGGGGTTTGGCATTGGAGTAGAAGAAAGAAGGCAGCTTCTGCAAATGAGGGAATGTCTAGCCAGAATGCTCCAAATAATTTTGCCTGTCACTGTCCCCTACATGAAGTTGGCTTCAGCTTCCAACCCAGGAGCCTGTTCGCGTGCCTAGGATTTGCTGTGACCTGGAGTGGAAAAGGTGCCCTTAATGTCAGTGTATTTTTCCAGAAAATACATTTCAGCCAAGCTAAGAATCCAGGAATGTCACTAGGGAGGAAACAAAGACATCTCTGGAGCCATTTGAAGGTGAAAAATAATTCCATAGGAAGTACAATGGTCTTAATTAAATATTAGCTGTAATTAGCCTAAAGTGCAAATGTTGGGAATATTAATTAGGGTCTCTCTGGAACGGCTGTCAGTGTTAATAAGTAACTGTAGGGGGTCCCACCAACATCTGTTTGAGAACTCCAGGTACAGGATGAAATCTGGAGTCCCATGTTCCTGGATGCTAACTGCAGGCTCCTTGGCTACCATGGACTCAGTCCCTAGAGCATGGTGCTCTGTGTTTGCCAGAATTGCACAACTCATGGTAGAGGTGGGTGGCTTGCTTTGGCACCAGTGGTGCCCCCAGCTGGCCCTTGCCTTTCCTCGGATAGCCTCAAGGCATTTCAAAGTCAGGCGTCAGGCTTGAGGTAGTGCAGAAGTTTCCCAGGCTGCTGCCCCACTCCTTTCGAATGGTCACCCACCCAACCTGGCCATTGGAATTGCTGGCATATTTGAATCAAATACCCTAGTCCCTGGCTTCCTCACAGGGAGTAACACACCAACAGCTAAACACAGGTCCATGGTGTGTGTGATAGAGAGGGAACTGCTTATTTAAAAATGGGAAGTGGACAGGCGCGGTGGCTCATGTCTGTAATCCCAGCACTTTGGGAGGACAAGGCAGATGGATCACTTGAGGCCAGCAGTTCGGGACCAGCCTGGCCAACAGTAAAACGCCGTCTCTACTAAAAATACAAAAAATTAGCCAGTCATCATGGCGGGTGCCTGTAATCCTAGCTACTCAGGAGGCTGAGGCAGGAGAATCACTTGAACCTCGGAGGCGGAGGTTGCAGTGAGCCGAGAGCCTACCATTGCACTCCAGCTTGGGTAACAGGAGCAAAACTCTGTGTCAAAAAAATAAAAATAAAAATAATGAATGAATGAATGAATGAATGAAGTGAACTCCCCACCAGGTGATTCTCTTGCTAGATGAGAAATGCCTTGGTTTAACTCTTGGCTTCCCTAACAACTACCTGTGACTGTGGCCTCGAATAATTATTTCCCAGCTTTGGTCTGCAGCATCTTTGATGACAAGGTAAATTGAGATTAGAGATGCATTGCATGAAAAGTAGGGATTCTGGACCTTGGCACTATTAACATTTGGGGCGGGACAGTCTTTTGTGGTTCAAGGTAGTCGTATACTCTGTAAGATGTTTAGCAGCATTCCTGGCCTCCACCCACTAGATGGCAGTAGCACATCCTCCCTCATTTGTGACAAAACTGTCTCCAGTCATTGCCTAATGTCCTGTGGGGAGCAATCACACCTCTGTAAGAACTACCGGTATGAGGCGCCCAGCACAGTGCCTGCCACCTATTAGGTTTTCTTCTGAGGACCAGTGAGGAGAAGGGGCTGCTTTTCATGGAAGTCTGAGGCCATCATGAACCTTCTGCTCATAAGCCCACTTATGCAGATTTAAAGCCTGTGTGCCTGTGAGTTTACAGGTCAAAGATCTGCGGATGGAAAGTAAATTCCCCAAAAGATTCTGACCCACTGTTTTTGCACCATTTTCAATATTGCCAGTCTCCAAGTCTAGCTATCACCCCTCTTTGGTTTGGAGAGTATACAGGCCCTTTCTCTCTCTTTCTACTTCACTGCCTGCTTTATTTCCTGCCCAAACTACTTATGCAATAATGGCTTCTTAACTGGTGATCCCATATCTAATGACATTCTGCCACAGCTATTAGAAAACATTTTCCACAAAGGACCAGATGATAGATCATTCAGTCTTGGTGGGCTGGGCAGTCTCTGTCACAGCTATCCAACTCTGCCTTTGTAGTACAAAAGCGGCTACAGACAGTAAACAAATGAGCATGGGTGTGTTCCAATAAAACTTTATTTACAAAAACAAAATTTGGGCCAGGTTTGCCTCATGAGTCGTTTGCTAGGTCCTCTCTTCATCCCCCTACCCTATCTCCTGCTGCCAGACTAGGCTTTACAGAGCCCAGAGGTCATTTTTCCAGCACATATTCACTTGGCAAACATTTATAAATGTCCACTTTGCAGCTAGTATGCTGTTGGACCATGGAGATGGGACAGGGAATGTGGCACAGTGTCCTGTTTTCAGGGAGCTCACAGACAAATAATCAGGCTGTGGCAGTGCTTGGTGCTGTGTGAGCTGTGGCCACCAGCTGCAGTGGAGCAGAGGGGATGGGCAACTGACCAGGTTTCAGCATCAAGGAAAGCCTGCTGGAGGAGGGACTCTTGATGCGGACTGAAGGAAGAGTAAGGACTAGTTGGGCAAGGGGGTAGGTGAGGCTTTCCAAGCTGAGGGGCAGTAAATGTGAAGACTTGATGGGGTTGAGAGGATGGAGCTCTTCTCCCTTAACTGACCATAAGCTTCTGGAAGGCATGACCCTTCTCTCTTCAATACAGAGATAGCTCGAAGTCTACAAGGAGCCTTAGCTCTTTTGCAAGAACTAGTAGGAATGGGCCACTTTTCCTGAGCTTGCTCTGCACTGATGAAAAGCCCCAGGGTTATATATGTTCCTGGTGAAAGTATCTTCTGCTGGAGGTGGAGGAGGGAAACCTTTGTCTTCATATGATCATTGTCTGTACCACTGCTTATGTGGTTATTCTGTGCTTCCCTGTAAGAGTTTACACAAGTCTACCTTTCACTTCAGAGATGGGCCAGGTAGAAGGTTGGGGAGGCAGAAACAGATCTTTGAGCAGAAGCTGCCTCTGGCACAGTGAATTTCTCATCAGATGATTCCCAAGATCCCAACATTTCTGGGGCTTTTCATCACCCATAGAGAAGTGGCATCGCTATGAAATTTCTGTACAGAAGGATATGTTCCTTGAACAGCCCAGAAAAAGAAAAGATGCTAGTTTAGTTATAAAACAGCAGAAGTTTTTTTTTTTTTTTAATTAGTCAAGACCCTTTTGGTTGTAAGTAACAGAAAAAGTAGCTTAAAAAATGAGACAAAGGGTACAAAGTGTCAGTTTTGCAAGACAGATACATTCTGGAGATTTAAGTACAGCATGGAAACAAGAGTTAAAAATACTGTATTATATACTGGAAGTGTGCTAAGAGGATAGATCTTAAATTAAATCTCTCCACACACACATACACACACACACACACACACACACAAATGGAGATCATGTAGAAGTGATGGATATGCTAATTACCTGGAATGTGGTCACTTCACAATGTATACATATGTCAAAACATCAAGTTATACACCTTACATGTATAATTTTTATGTTAATGGTATCTTAGTAAAGCTGTTAAAATATGGGACATTTACTGACTTGTGTAACTACAACAAACAGGGATGGTGCTGACTGCGGGTAAAGCTGGATTCAACACTTCAAATGACGTCACTGGGACTCAGTAGAAACCTCTCTGTTCCTCAGTTTCTTCTCTTCATTTTCCTCTAGGTTGGCCTCACGTGTAGGGAGGTCCCCTTCAAGTGGCAGTTCGTTGTTGTTGTTGTTGTTGTTGTTGTTGAGACGGAATCTTGCTCTGTGGCCCAGGCTGGAGTGCAGTGGTGCACTCTCAGCTCACTGCAACTTCCACCTCCCACATTCAAGTGGTTCTCCTGCCTCAGTCTCCGGAGTAGCTAAGATTACAGGCATGTGCCACCATGCCCGGCTAATTTTTGTATTTTTAGTAGAGGCAGGGTTTCACCATGTTGCCCAGTCTGGTCTCGAACTCCTGACCTCAAGTGATCCACCCACCTTGGCCTCCCAAAGTGCTGGAATTACAGGCATGAGGCAACATGCCCACCCTAAGTGTCAGTTCTTGGCAGCTCCAGGCTTATGATGTTTTTACAGCTGCCCATCACCGTGGAAAGAGAACTTCTTCCCCAAAACTACAGCAAAATCCCAGGGTGACTGGGACTCAGTGGTGTGACTAGGGCTTAACGCACTAACGGACTCACTAGATAGATGTGCATGAACGCAAATCCATGGGACTATCTCAGTGGGACCATCTGATTGGCCAGGCTGATGTCCTATGGCTCATCTCGTAGCGACTGGGAGCTGGGTTCAACTGTATCTGCACCATACAGGCTGAAAGTGGGACTGTCCCCCAAAAGGAAACTGGGGCTTTGTTGAAGAAACAGGAGTGGAGACAGACCAGCAGTATCACTGCATGTCTTCTTTGGCTTCCCAAGGATGGACAAGGTTAACTGCTCATGGATAGCAACTCAGCCTCAACATAGGCACACCCTCCATGGCCCCAGTGCTATGGGAAAATGTTAGAAAGAGAAAGAAATGCTCGTGCCCTTTTGTTTCCAGTGGCACAGACATTTGGCGAAATTTGTCTGGAGGAGGGAAGAGCCTGATGGGAATGATTTACTTGTAAAATGTTTAAACTTATCCTAAGCTTAGTTCTCTTCCAAGTGTCATCTTTAACATTCTAATTAAGGTCCCTTCTAAACAAATGCACCAGCTCCGTGTGCTGCTCTGAGAACAAACTTTTTTTTTTTCCTCTCTTCTTTCTGTCATCATGTTTTTGCTGCACTCAAATTGCTTTAGAGAAAGAGGATTTCGGATGTTGGTGGCAAGTACTGAAGAGATAAGGAGAAATTCTGATATTTTTGCCCTAGTATCATTATATGAGGGCCAAAGTCACATCTAATTGACCACAGACAATAGGAGAGGCAGCTATTTGGTGTGCCTAATTGCTAAGTTTTTTTCCTCGCTCTGTCTTTCTGACTGTGTGATCCCATCTCCTGAGACCATGGAAAGTTTAGACCTTTGGGTTACAATTTCTTATGCCGTGTGTGTGTGTGTGTGTGTGTGTGTGTGTGTGTGTGTGTGTGTGTGTGTTGTGGTAGAACTGTGGAGGAGGAGGTAAAGAGAGAGAGCTGTTTCCTGAAATGGAAGCATTTGTATTCAGGTTTTTGTTGTGTGTGTTTTTAAAATTCTTCTGAGTTGGCTGTAATTGTCACACTGCCTGTTTTGCCTAGATCTGAAGAATGAATTGTTATATAATACTCTGTGCTCATAAAAAAATAAGGCAGGGAGGGAGAGGCATTGACTAATGAGACTGAGAGTTAAATCCAATATTTTTCAGAAATGCTTAAAATGGGGATGTCAGAGAGGACAGTCTTTGTCCAAATTAGGCCCTGAATTTGTATCAGCTGCTTCATTTTGGCACTGGGGACATCATACACGCATACACACACACAGACACACACACACACACACACACAACATAACACACAACCACACAGACACTGGGACCATTAAAAGGATACTCCCTATTCCCATTATGTGAGCCAAGTCACATAAAACTTTGATTAAATTCAAATGCTTACATAAATTGTCTCTCCTCTCAAGAACACACACGTTCAATTTAGTCTCTCTTGGCACTTTAAGTATCAAATCAAGGTTCTGCTGTCACTGCAGACAACTAAATGCTCACAGCTTCCAAAATGGGAATGAAATAAAAAGGATCTGCCAAAAAAAAAAAAAAATCAATCTAGTAAAGCCACAGACCCTCATGTCTTTGAATATTAGGCTGGGTGGCTTGGAAAAAGCGACTTTATCTTTATCTTTCCAAGCCTCGGTTTCTGCATCTGTAAAATGGGGAGAAGTGATGGTTACTGTTTCCTTATAGGGTCTGGTGAAGATGACCTGAGATTGGTCCATCTCAGGCTGGTGGCACCATGGTGACCCCTAGAAAGTACGCGGGGCACGATCGTCCTGGGATCTGGGAGGAAGGTTTCTGCATGGTGGCTCCTCATGACGTTCTCTCCCTCTCTGCACCTTTTTGATTTTTCAGGGTAATCAGGAAGCAGCCGCTGCCCCTGACACAATGGCTCAGCCTTACGCTTCGGCCCAGTTTGCTCCCCCGCAGAACGGTATCCCCGCGGAATACACGGCCCCTCATCCCCACCCCGCGCCAGAGTACACAGGCCAGACCACGGTTCCCGAGCACACATTAAACCTGTACCCTCCCGCCCAGACGCACTCCGAGCAGAGCCCGGCGGACACGAGCGCTCAGACCGTCTCTGGCACCGCCACAGTAAGTGGACGTGTTTGCTACGGGTGGGAGGTTATGGGGAGGCGCCCCCAGCCCTGGTAATGGCAGCGGGGGTGCACCCCCATCTACCCAGGGACTCTGGGAAACAGATCAGTCCCTAAGCCCACCCTCATCATACCAGCTTCCTGAAGTTTACCTCATTTCCATGCATTCATTCTTAGCGTTCATTTAAATCAACGGATTATTAATTAATTTCATTTATTTGTAAAGGGGCACATTTATCAATTTTCTATTCCTATAGTTTTGCCTTTCTAGAATGTCATCCCAATGAAATCTCATTTTTTTGGAAAAAAAAAATTTGATGTAAGATAATTTTTCTTCAAGTCTTACGGAGGCTGGGTGTGGTGGCTCATGCCTGTGATCCCAGCACTTTGGGAGGCCGAGATGGGAGAGTCGTTTGAAGACAGGAGTTCGAGAATAGCCTGGGCAACAAAGTGAGACCTCATCTCTACAAGAAATTTAAAATTTAGCTGAGTGTCATGGTGCATGCCTGTAGTCCCAGCTACTTGGGAGACTGAGGTGGGAGGATGGCTTGGGGCCAGGAGTTTGAGGCTGCAGTGAGCTAAGATTGCTCCACTGAACTCCAGCCTAGGTCACAGAGTGAAACTCTGTCTCTAAATAAACAAAAATAAAGTCTTTGTGGAATTATAATTTACATACCTTAAAATTAGTATATTTTTAGGTGTACAGTTCACTGATTTTTAGCATATTTACGGAGTTGTGCGATGATTGCCGGATGCATCTAATTTCGGAACATTTCCATCAGCCTAAATACAAATCTTGTGCCCCTTTGCAGCCACTCCTCATTCATACCTCAGAGCTCTGAACCTCGCTTCTTTACCTTAGCCTAATACATTTGAGATTCATCCAGGTTGCGGTGTTTGTCCCTGGTTTCTTCATTTTTATTGCTGGACCAAAGGGCAGGGGCTAGAAAGAGGCAGGGTGAGAGAATTTTGATGAATAAGGGAACTGTCCTGTATCTTAATGGTGACGGTTACATGACTTTATACGCCATAAAGAGTAAATTTTATTGCGTACAAATGATGAAATGGATTAGAAACAGGCATGTAAACAGAAACATTTTATCATCACTGTAAATGAAAACTGGTGTTTTGATCATTAATCAAATATAACTCTAAATGAAAATATTTATCATAAAATTAAATAATGTTCATTTGTGTGCCACCTAAAGTAATCATGCATACCACAAAACCTGTATGGAACATGCATTTGGGAACCTTTTTCTGCAGAATTCTTTAGAAGCTTGGGAACCCCAATCCTGTCGTCTGGAACATTTTTTGAGTGTAAGGCAATTCTGCCTCTTCGTCCTGTCCCAAGACCTCAGGAAAGCAAGTATTTGTGAAGGAGTTTATGGCTTTGAAGCATGATACATTTCCTGTGATAAAAGAAAACACTGACTAACTTTGCTACTTGCCACCTCATTCATTTGGAGGCTAGTTTTGACGTTTTGTTTTTGTTTTTGTTTTTGTTTTTTTGAGATGGGGTCTCACTCTGTTGCCCAGGCTGGAGTGCGGTGGCGCGATCTCGGCTCACTGCAAGCTCCACCTCCCAGGTTCACGCCATTCTCCTGCCTCAGTCTCCCGAGTAGCTGGGACTACAGGCACCCGCCACCATGTCCGGCTAATTTTTTGTATTTTTGGTAGAGACGGGATTTCACTGTGTTATCCAGGATGATCTCAATCTCCTGACCTCGCGATCTGCCTGTCTCGGCCTCCCAAAGTGCTGGGATTACAGGCGTGAGCCACCGCGCCCGGCCTAGTTTTGAAGATTTTTTAAAAAAATGGTATACATTCTGAAATTTTTAGTTGCCTTCCTCCCTTTTTAATTTATTGTGGTAAAATACATATAACATAAAACTTAACCATTTTAATCCTGTACACATTTCAATAGCATTCAGTGTATTCACAATGTAGTGCAAAACCACCACCATTATCTAGTTTGAGAATGTTCCTAGCACCCCAAAAGGAAACCCCATACCCACTAAGCAGACACTCCCCATTCTCCCTCTCCCCGGCCCCTGGCAACCACCAATCTGCCTTGGAGATAGCTTTTTGTGTCTGGCTTCTTTCTCTTAACACGATGTTGTCTAGGTTCATTCATGTGGAGTACCCCACTGTATGGATAGACCGTGTTTATTTATTCATTAGTCCATTGATGGATATTTGGGTTGTCTCCACATTCTGGTTCTTCTGAACACTCCTGCTGCCGACTTTTTTGTATTTAGTTGCTGTGCCTTAGGCATGGGCCTTTTAAATGAGTTTGCTGGTTCAGCAGGTGTTTGTTGCTTTTGCGCTGACTACCAGGTAGTAGTGATGGGGATGTTGTTTACTGTTTGTTGGCTATTTTGTGACAATTAATAGTAGTAATGCCTGGATAGGTTATTTTCAGATTTTGAAAAAAGATCCAATCAGACATTATTTATTAAGCTAACTGCTGTGGAAATTTTACGTATTCATTTATTTATTCACAAATATTTATTAAGCTTCTATTAGGGCCAGGATTCATACTAGCTGCCATGGTTGAACAAAACAAAATGATCTTTACCTCTTGTAACTTAGTATGAGAGGCAGAAACTGAGCATGTGGCAAATAGCATGTGTGATAGATGTCTTAAGGAAAATATGGGTACCGTAGGAAAATTAAAAAAGAACAGAGGTGCTACCTGCAAACGTGTAGTCTGAGAGCATTTCTTCAAGGAGATGATGCTTAAGGTGGTAAGACAAAGCAGCCCAGGCAGAGGGAATACCACAGTCAGAGGTCTTAAAGTTGGAAAGATCTGGGCTCACTCAAAGTCCTAAGAAGAGGCCAGTATGTTTTGGGCATGATGAAGGGGATTTGGAGGTGATGTGGCAAAAGATGAACCGGGAGGAATTAGCAGGGATTTGACATCCTACAGACCTGGTGGGTCCAATAAGGAGTTGAAATTCCACGTTATAAGCAATGGGAAACCATTAAAAAGAGTTTAAGCCAGAAGAGTTATGAAATGAGACATAAAAAGAAAGGGTTAGTGATGCCTAGCTTAAAGGAAATTTAATCTAGTTGGGGAGCTGAGATGCTCCACATCTTTGCCCTGCAAAAAGAACACTTTAGAGATCAACACAATTGAATTTAAATAGCGTGTTGGGTGTCCACAGTGCCCCAGGCACTGCAGCAAGATAATCTGATGTGCAGACAAGCTCTCTTTCCTTGGAGAGCCTTAGGAGAATATAGGATTTGTTTTCTGTTAATTATGATAACGTGCCAAATTCTAGCATATAGATTTTCACAGGTTTTATCTATCATAATGACAGTAGGAGAAAACATTTTCAAAATCATAGTCAGAGGGTTATACCTTTCAGAGACTTCTGGTTACAGGAAAGAGAAAACTCAGTAGGAAGCATGTTGGCCCATACAATAAAAAGTCCAGGCGGAGGGTGGACACAGCCTGGTTTTTGGAACGTGTCCATCAGCTTCTAATGGGAAACCATCCTGAGTTGGCTTCCTCGTCCTCACCTCAGCTCTCTGGCTCTGTCCTGCAAGTTCAGGCTCCAGTCACCACCTGTGAAAAGCTCTTGGATTCATCCCATATAAGCCCTCTCGTGGGAATCAATCTCCATTCCTGGCTTGTGTGGTGTTATCTTCATTCAGTGGCTGAGGCTGGTACTGAGTGTCCCAGCCCTGGGGTCACTGAGGAGCTTCATATCCAAATACATGGAATGAAGACCATTTCATCAGAGTTCATGATGAGATGCCTTCAGAATAAATCATTAAAGAAACGAAGTAGACAGAATCTTGTCCGAGCTAAAGGTAGCATGGTGAACCTTTTGTACAAAGAAGCTTGAATTGGTGTTAATCAAGAGTAGGGAGTGAAGAGAAAGACAAGGACAGAACATTGGAGAGCTCACGGGGTGGGGTTTGAAGGAAGAGGAACTATTGAGTAAGACATCAATGGGATGTTCAGATTGGGCATTCAACCAGTTGAATGTTGGGCTATACAGCCTGGAGGGTATAAACTGAGAAGACATTATTGAAGTGACAGTTTGGATGTCTTTAAAGACCTAGAAGACAATAGTTTTGCTAGAGTAGTGGAGAGAGATGCAGAAGGGACAAGAGTTGAGGAATAACTGTGATATGTTGGAGTGGGTGGGCATTGCCCGTTATAAATATTTGGAGTGATGAGGAGAAAGAAGAGATTGCATCTGAGAAGCAAAGAAGTCAGAGAAAGCAGTTGGTAGGATAGTTGATTTAGATTCAACTAATTTATGCCAACAAGGTCCCTACGTGGGGCACAAAAGACAGGAAGCAAGAGATAGGGAATAATGGTGCAGGAAAGAAAGTGATGAAGTGTTTTATAGGCGATAAGAAGGAATAGGATCAAGAGTATTCAGAAATAGTAGGTAGTCTAGGAAAAAAGAAACCACTTTTTAACAGCTTTGTTGACATACAATAAACTGTATATATTTAAAGTATACACTTTGATACATTTTTACAAATGTACCTGCATGCACAACCATTACTGCTATCCAGATAATGAATCTGTCCATTATCTCAAAGTCTTTTCTTGCTCTTTTTTGATCCTCCCCTCCTCCTCCTTGCCTCATCCCCAGGGAACCAGTGGGTCTGCTTCTTTTGCTATAGCTTAATTTGCAGTTTCTAGAATTTTATATCAGTAACCTCAAACATTATGTGCTCTCTTTGTCTGGCTTCTTTTACTCAGTATCATTATTTTTAGATTCATCCATATTGTTGCATGTGGTTGTAGCTCCTTCCTTTTCATTGCTGAGTACTGTTTCTGCATGGATATGCCACAGTTTATTTCTCCATTTACCTACACATGGGCATTTGGGTTGTTTTTCATTTTGGGTAATGGAGAAATAAATCTGCTGACATTTGGAAGTACTTCAATTTTGAAACAGAAGAGAAGGAAGGGTGAATGTGTGAGGATGCAGAGAAATTTTCAAGTCAAGAGATAATGTGAGGAGTTCCATCTACATTGCCTTCATTTTTTCCATGAATGGAGGCAGCATCATCAAAGGAAGGATTCCTGAACTTGGGCAAACATGTCAGAAATCTGCCTTAGATAATTCCTAGAGTATTTGAATGGCAATGGATGCCCGAATTTGGAGAATGTAAATGTATGGTGGACCGGTTAGCTGTCTACTCTGTCTTCTCCAGCAATGTTTGGATGGTACACACTCTTAGAGGTAGGATTTTAAAGGAAAGACAGCCATTAGGGGCTGAAGCAGGTGGGCTTTGGGGCTGATCCTGAAGGAAGTTTTAAGACTTATATTCTGAACTGGTATTGGGTAAGTGCGGGAATCATAAAGGGGCTGTCTCGTTTTTTGTTACAAACAATTACATCTGTATACTCATCTCTCTTTGGCCAAAAAGGAGATGTGACTTTTCAGTTATCCTTTCCTGATCTACACCAGCAGAACGTGGTCTATGACAAGTTTACTTCAAATTGTCTCTGCCTCCTCCTACATTTATGGGGTGTACCTTGTCTTCACTCCAGGTTCTGAATTTCCTGTGGAACGAATTTAACCTCAAAGTGGGTCAGAACTATGGTTCTCCCCACCCTATATCCATGACCCTGTATTTGCACAAAAAGTTACTATTGTGAGATACCTAGGTCATTCCCCATAGGATAGTGCTGTACCTGGAATAGCTCTAACTCTTCTTTGACATATGTATCCACGATGCTTAATATCATTCTAAGGACATCGTAGAGGCCATTATTTCTTTGAGAAACTAAGTACTTTTGGGTAAGAGAAACCAGCCATCCATCTGGTGGCCTCCAAGAACATCTAATATATGCACATGATTTAACACAAAGTGCAGAATCTGTAAAAGGGAAGGAGGATGCACCCAGAGCTCCCAACCAGAGCTCAGTAAAATGCAGACAGAAAAGACTTACCAGGTCATCCTTTTAGTTCCCCACAGGCTGAGATGAGTCCCTGCAGGCCTTTTTTTCTGCTGAATTTCTATTTCATGTAGGCCTCCAAACATATCACGGATCACATTGCTGACAGAGCCAATACTGTATTATGTTAGATACTGTTCCTGACAAGGTATTTTACTCTTGACATATTATCATTAGAGATTTGCAAGTGGTGAATTCTCCATGTATCTCCAACAGCAACTTAACTTCTATTTTTAACGCTTCTGCAGTCTGTTGAAACGGCTCCCACCACTTTCCCACTAGCTCTAGGCCCTGATTGGAGAAGGAATGTGGGTGCCCCAGCTAGGTTCCTGAGCTGGAGGCTCTACTGACAGGGAAAAGAACTATTTAGAGAGCCAGGTTCTTCTTTGGCCTCAGCCGCTTCCCACTGAAGTGTTAACTGCGCCTCCAAATTTCCTTAATACTTTTAGGAAGATAAGGTATTGGTTGGTGATGGTGTCCTGTTCTTAACCCTTTCCATGCCAGTTCTGATTTTGAAGCTGATGGAATCACTAAGGTATAGGAAAAACTTGTTCAGGGCATTCCTTTTGACTAACTAGCTATTATTATTATCATCATCAAAGCAATTCAGGCTTGGGGTTTAAAAAGCCAGACATTGGAAAAGGATATAAAATGAAAACTAACATGTCCTAATACCCACAACCCAAATTCTTAGTCTCTGTGCCAGAAATGAGTTACTAATACCTTATATTTCCTTCCAGAAGTGTTTTATGCAAATGCAAGCATATGCCTGCTTGTCCTCTATCTCTATCTTTATCTCCCTCTATCTCTATCATCTGTCTCTAATTCAATCTTTATATCTTATAAGTACTCACTATTTCCATTCTCAAAATTACAGAATTGAAATCTAAACACCTACTTTGGCACCTGCTTTATATCTCAGAGATTATTCTGTATCATATTTAGGGGTTCAGTCATTATTTTGTGTGTGTGTGTGTGTGCATTTTTATGTACAGAAGTATCCTAATGATGGAATTTAGGTTGTCTCTGGGTTTAATCTTGCACTGTTGATATTTACCATCAGGCTACAGTACAGAGCTAGGTACAAAGATTGCTCTCCATCTCTGTTTGCCTCTGGGTGTGAATGGCTAAAAGGTACATGGACTTAAGATGTGGACATTGATCAATTACCCTACAGAGAGCTTGCACCGATTTGCACCCTCATGGACAGAACCTAAGAAGGCCTGACACCCACACCCTTGCCCAACCCAATGTGCTAGCCAACTCTTGGCTCATGTCCCTGCGGACTCTGTGTGTTTGGGTGTGGCTTTCCCCCTCTCTGACAAAAGAAAGTACTTTTAGAATTGTTGGGTGTCCTGGAGAAGAAAAATTGAGGTGTGCTGCCATTGCTTGAGGCCTCCTGTGGTCCAAAGATCATGCTAGGCCCTCTTTTGGTCGCCATCTTGTTTTGTTACATCAACCTTTTGAATGCTGTTAGAATCCCACCAATAAAGGGAGAAAGAGGTTGAAGATGTTTTGAGTTGGGAATGGTGCAGTTGAGGTCGTCACCCACATCTTGTCTGCCTGATGTTAAAGTCCAGGCTGTTTCCCCAGTCTCCAGCTGTCTTCTAAAATAGGGGTACCCAACTCCCAGGCCACAGATCAGTACTGGTCTGTAGCCTGTTGGGAACTGAGCTGCACAGCAAAAGGTGAGTGGTGGATGAGTGAGCATTACCACTTTAGCTCTGCCTCCTGTCAGATCAACAATGGCATTAGATTCTCAGAGAAGCGTGAACCCTATTGTGAACTGTACATGCGAGGGATCTAGATTGTGTGCTCCTTATGAGAATCTAATGCTTGATTATCTGAGGTGCAACCATTTCATCCTGAAACCATCCTCCCTGCCCCACTGTGTCCATGGAAAAATTGTCTTCCACAAAACTGGTACCAAAAATTTTGGGGACTGCTGCCCTAGAGGATCTCTTGACCAATGGCTTAGAATTCTCATGAAGATTGGTTTCTTCGTGGCTGCCCTCTAGCTTAGACAAACAGGTCAGTTAAGGCCTGGCCTCTGGACTTGACAAGATTTGACCCTCCATTCTGCTTACAAGCGGAAGGAGCTCAAGCTGACCATTGAACCTCTCTGCTCTTATTTTTTCTATAACTCCCTTCCTCAGCTGTGACCCTTCTCCAGATCTCCTCCCTTTTTTCTTCTAAACAACTATCAGACGATGGATTACAGAACAACAGAGTTCTTTTCCTTTGAGGAGGGTTTACGCCTCATGTACTTACATTGAAAGTTTGGCAAAATAATTGAAGGTTGCCGTCTAAAAATAGGGTGAATAGTTACATCGAAATGAGAATCAGGAAAAAGTCTCAAAAATCATAACTTTTGCTCATTGACTGTCAGACTATATTTTAAGCACTTTCCATGCACAATCTCAACTAATCTTGGCCCTCCCCACCACGTATGAAGTGTTATCGTCCCATGTTACAGAAGCAGAATCTAAGGCAAATCACTTACTGAAGGTCACTGTGGCTGAGAAGCAGGAGTCAGAGCTCAAAAACAGGCATGTCAGACCAAAATTCTTAAGGGCTGGAAGCCCAGAAGGCATCCCCCAGGCATGCCCAGCCACACTGGCCTCTTTTCTAAATAGGTTGCTGTTGCAGAAAGGAATTACTCATTTCACCCTGGGGAGGGCCCCAGCAGACCCAAGCCTGTGCAACATTACAGACTTCGAGTGTGCTCTTGTTTGAGACCTGCGCCTTGAGCAAACTCCAATAACATGTTTCGGTGGCTTCAAAATTGTCTTTTCGGATGACAGTGTGACTGAGCTGTTTTGTCAATACCAGTTCTATTTTCCTAAAATTCACATTTAATTTGAAGACATGGGTACTGTCTCTTGTTTCCTTAGGAGCCTGAGCACTATGCTTCTCACTCCCATGTATTCTCTGCAATACATGGCCCTTGGCTTTCAGGATAAACTAAAGACCTTTATTACCCAATACTGTGCCTGTTTTATTATTTTAAAGACCCTGGTCATCAAAAACTGTCTAGTCCTGGAGAGCCAAAATGAATGATTTATCCCAACTTAGGATAACTTGGCCAGGAACAGGATATCTCTGAGCATCAAAGACCCATGTGTTTGACGTTCTTTTTTGGACTGGGGTTTCAGCCTCGGATTTTGGCAGAATTGGAGGTTGTTATGACAGGTGAAAAAAAATGGCGTTGGTTAAATATCTTTAGATATTATCGGGAGAAGCAGAGTAGAATCTAGGTACAGAGCTTGACATTTTCATTCCCATTCTGTCTGACCCAGAGTGGGACCATAGGCACGTTACATAACTTCTCTGAGCCTGTTCTTTTTTATATGTGAGGCTTAGAGTTGTTGTGAAATCCTAATACAGTAATGTCTATGAAGGTCTTAGCACAATGACAAACACATAGTAAACATTCTACCAGATCGACCATCCTAATTATGAAATAATTACAGTACCCATAATGAGAAATCAGAGCGGTCTCCTTGGTTCCGAGTTCTTCATTAAAAATGTTTTATCCAGGAGAATACATTCATCATAAGAATTGTGAAATTTCCCGTTTCAAGTGCCAAACTAAAACTCCAATTCCGAGATTTATTTTAAAGGTAATTTTGTATTTAATGATTTATAGACAAATGGTTTTCAATCACTCATGTTTTAGTACAAACTATCAGTACAAGCTGTTCTTGGTCTAAGTCTAGGTCGTGGGCAAACAAAGTGAGATTCATTAGAGAAGGAAATGACTGAAGTTTTGTTTTTAAGACCCAAGGACATCTTGCTTTTGCTAAATGAGGAATGCTCAGGCATATTCTAAGGGTTTGATTTAATGTTTCCTTAGGGGGCTTCACTGGCTTATTTCCATTGCAAATATTAGAGCCATCTGACAAGTTTCATCGTGACTTTGTCCTCATTTGGTGCTTTGTGCTTATTCACACCTGTATTTATTGTCATCAGTTTACCCACTCAGGATGACTAAGCAGTCTCTATCTTTATTTTTGGTTAGGTCCTTCAAACACCCAAATCCATCCTTTCTGTAGCTCATAGAGACTGCTAGACAAAGGACTGATGTAAGTGTTTGAAGGACCTAATTCCCTCTGCATAGCTGATTGCCCCATTAAGCAATTTTATTTTATTTATTTATTTATGTGAGAGAGGGGTCTCACTCCATCACCCAGGCTGGAGTGCTATGGCACCATCTTAGTTCACTGCAGCCTGAAACTCCTGGGGCTCCAGTGATCCTCCTGCCTCAATAGCAGGGTACTGAGCTCAGTAGCTCAGTACTGCCTCCTGAGTAGCTGGGACTACAGGTGTTTTCCAGTGAACTTAGAAATAGGCATTAATCTATTTTGTGGGCAGTATTTGGGTCATGCATTAGTCAACAGTCATTTTATGCCCTTAATTCATGGTCATATAGTCTTTAGGTGCATAGTAAGTTCCTATGAATTCCATGCAATTTTTGAATTCAAGGCTGGAAAAAGAAGTTGGCTATTCTCTGTTGACAGAAGTTTCAGGAATGGCTCAGCCAGAACCTTGCAATGCTAGAGCTGGGAGAGCCAAAGAGTTCATCTACGCTATCTTCTCGTTGCACATATTTAAAAAGATCACATAAGTTATGGGTTGGAAACGGAAGGCCAGGCACAGTGGCTCACATCTGTAATCCCAGCACTTTGGGAGGCCAAAGCAGATGGATCACTTGAGGCCAGTGATTCAAGACCAGCCTGGTCAACATGGTGAAACCCTGTCTCGACACAAAAAGTACAAAAATTAGCCAGGCGTGGTGGCGGGCACTTGTCATCCCCACTGCTCGGGAGGCTGAGGCAGAAGAATTGCTTGAACCTGGGAGGCGGAGCTTACAGTGAGCTGAGATCATGCCACCACACTCCACCCTGAGTGACAGAATCAGACTCTGTCTCAAAAACAACAACAACAAGAAGAAAAAGAAAACTCAAATACTTTCACATCCAGGCAAGTAACATCCATGCTTAGAGAGATTAACTTATGTTGGAGACATTGGCAAAATAAATTTTTAGTTTTCTCCATTAAGGTAGGCATTACAAAATTACAAGCGTGATGGTATGCAACCCTTTGGTGGGGACCCTGTAGTAATTTAGCAAACAAATTTCCTGTCCACAGGATGTGGTCCCTATCCATCCATCCAATCATTGCTATTTTGGATTGTTAAACCACTATTATAATTTCATTGACATATTTCCACTGCAAATGTTTAGATTTCTTTCTTCTTAAGAATAGCAGCAATTTTTATTTTTCTGGGTTCTCCTGTTCACTACTATTTTATTCATTTTTGTTATCTGTCCAGCCTCTGAAGATACTGAATTTACAACTTCTGACTTAATCTTGGAAACTCAAGAGGTGAATTTAGGCTGGGCATGGTAGCTCACGCATGTAATCCCAGCACTTTGGGAGGCTGAGACGGGCAGATCACTTGAGGTCAGGAGTTCGAGACCAGCCTAGTCAACCTAGTGAAACCCCGTCTCTCCTAAAAATACAAAAATTAGCCAGGCATGGTGGCGGGCACCTGTAATCCCAGCTACTTGGGAGGCGGAGGCAGGAGAATCACTTGAATGCAGGAGGCGGAGGTTGCAGTGAGCTGAGATCATGCCACTGCACTCTAGCCTGGAAAACAGAGTCAGACTCCATCTCAAAAAAAAAAAAAAAAGTGAATTTAGGAACCTGAACCCTTTAAGGGAGACTGTATTTCAGGTTCATAAAAGAGACAGCTTGGATGCTTCAGTGTGACAGTGCAGAGATTCATAGAATGTTAGAGCTTGAGATGACTATCTTATCTTCCTGCTTCATTTACGAATGATGCTCAGGTTCAGAGACAGAAAGTGACCTGCCTGAGTCACACAGTGAGTATCACAGCAGAACCCAATGTAAGGATGTCCTAAGAGAAAACTCCCACTGTACCATGCCCTTCCTCTGTCCATCTCCTGGATTCTACAGCCATTTTTAAAATACACATACCCGGGGTTATCTCTGCATTGAAATAGACAAAGTCCCAATGACACTGCCTTTAGAAGCACGCTGAGCTGTACACTGTAAGTCTCTGTTTCTCTTTGCTATCCTATTTTGGTTCCTAGCCAGAGGTTTCAGCCACAAGTGGGCCTTATTCTCACAAAGACTTCCAGACTTCTTAAAAAAAAAAAAAAAGTCTTCATTTTATCTAGTTCTCTCCTGCTGCTCCTGGTGGTTGTATCAATGGGTCTGTGTGAATTCAGCAATGTCATGCGTTCCTGCCAGCTCCAGTCCCAATCATTACTTCTGGGTCAGGACACTAACCAGGGGGTCTGGGTTTCTTCCTTTGTATCCCCGAAGAATGTGGAGCCTGCCAAATTGTCAAATTATAGCATTTGATGTAGAGCTAGGTCCAAGTGACTGTACAATCTCTGCAGGAGTTCAGAAGCTGGCTTCTGCCCCTGGTAGAAACATAACCAGACTCTCAAGAGACAGTAAGCCAGACAGTCTGGAGATCCAGGGAGATGCTCATGGGTTCTCTGGCTTCTGGGCCATGGGGAGAAAGTCATCACCACCCAGAAAATAAGCCTTCACCCTGACAGCAGCAGCAGAATGTACCTGGGCTTGAGGACCTGACTTGCATGCCATCTCAGTGTCCTTAGGACAGAAGTTCCACGGGCAAGTTCTTTCAGCAGTAAACCAAGGTTTTCAGCCTGTACCACTCAAAACAAACCAGACCATCAGGACCAGTTAATGTGAAGGCTTAAATGTTGCAGATTTGTTTTGAAAGTGAAAAGGCAATTTTCTTGTAAAAATAAAAAAAAATATGTAGAGTTGCAAATCATACAATCCAAACAATATGGGCTGCCCTGATCTTTTAAAAGGGAGAAATGTAAATGCCCATTCTGATTGTCAGATGAGGAACATCAAATAGAAACTTCTTGGGCTGAAAGGAAGTTACAAAAGAGGAAGCAGCGATCATTTATGGATAACGTATGGTAATGATCACTAGCATTTAGTGAGCTCATACTGGGTACCCAGTGGAAATGGTACTACCAGCTTTCTGTGGACAATCAGATTGAATTTTTACAGCATCCAGAAGAGGCAGGGACTATAATTAACCCCTTATGGCCTAGATGAGAAAACCAGAACATAGAGAAATCAAGGATGTTGCCCAAGGTCACAAGGCTGATAAGGGCAGAGATGGGATTCAAAGGCAGCCACGGTCCACTGTCTTACCCAGTCCATGCTGGGGTCTTCCATGAGCCATGCACTATGTTGTGTATTTCATTGACATAACTCATCAAGAAATAGGTGTGATCATACCACGATTACGGATGAGGGAACTGAGGCACAGGTATGAAGCAAATGTAAACATAGGCCTGGCAGATTCCAAAACCCATTTTGTGTGATTACCCCGTTAGTAGTTTATTTTACCTAAATGACATTCCCTGCTAACTATTTCAATTATGATAATATCATTACAGGCAAATATCTTAACAATCCTGCAAGTCTGTAGAGCTCTCAACTCCCTCAATTTATACAACTAAACCCACACACATCCTTCCCATCCCTAACCCATCCCCTTCCCCAGTGGCATCCAGTGGCCCCATAGAGTGAAAGAGGCCTTCATACCATTTGGCAAGCTCACAAGAGGAAGCCTGGATTTCCCAGAGAAACTTGCTACAAGGAAATTGCTATAATTATAACCCAAATTGTATTTGACTTCTGCATTTTTGCTTTATATTGTTACACTATAATTTAAATAGATTGTTCTCTGGCCTTTTTTAGGGGGAGAAACTAGCTACCTTTTTTTTTTTTTTCACTAAGAAAAGCAACGGTAGGTGTAGCATTCCAATGACAGGAGGTGGGTTTCGTCCCCCCTCTTCCCTCTAATTGGCTTGCAAGTGGGAGTTGGGTTAGCAGTTATGCCGGGAGTTGCCTGGGGTTCCAGGCGGTGACATTCATCTGGTGGCTCCACAAAAGGGGAAGAGACAACAGTGGGTGGCGCCAGCTTCGGGGAGATGAGCCCCAGAGAGTTTCTGTGACTCCAGAAGGCAGATGTTGGGGACGAGGGGAGATAGGGTATATTAATCATTGGATTTGGGAATTTTTCCTCTTTTGAGACATTGAAGCTCTTGACAGAGAAGACCAGAGGGGACCTAGGAAAAGGGAGGACGTGAGTTGGATGCGCACCCTGGAATACAGGGCGTTGGCCATCTTTCTCCTTGCCTAGTCTAGCTGTGGATGGGGCCCAGAGCCCCTTAGCAGCTCTTCCTTTTCTCTCTTCTCTCCAGCCTTCTCCAGGCTTTTAACATCAGCAGAAGTAGCAAGGCTAGGAGTTGGCAAACTGTAGCTCGTGGGCCGATTCCTGCCTGCGATGTTTTTGTCAATAAAGTTTTATTGGAACACAGTCACACTAACTGGTTCACATATTGCCTATGGCTGCTTTTGCATGATGACAGCAACTTTGAGTAATTGTGACAGAGCTCGATGGCCCACAGAGCCAAAATTATGCTTATTGTTTGACCCTCAACAGAAAAAGTTTGGCAACCCCCGATCTAGGCCAAAGTGTACATATTGTTGGCCTGCTGGCTGCATTCAGGCATCGGGCCATTTTATTGGACTCACATTAATTAATTGCCTGCATTGTAAAATGGAAGTTTTCACAAAATAAGCTGGCTTTGATTAAAAAATGGAAAAATCTAACAAAACATGGCAGCTAATGTTGGGGATGTGTCATCCGTCCCCTCTGACTATTTGTCATAGTCGCCAGCACTGCCTGTAGGGTTTTACCAAGTGTACCCTTTTACCTGCATGGACTGGTCCTCATAGGCACTTGAGTATGATACTCTTTCAGGTCGTCTGGGTTGTTTTTAATAAAAGATTTGGTATTTCTTACTGGACTGATGAATTACATTTTAAAAATTCTTTCCATCAAACTGGACTTCCCTGTGGAACTCCAGAAAGAAAATGAAAAATGTGTTTGTGTAATGCCAGAATTTAGTGACTGCCAGAGTTGTTATATCAGAAATACAACATTTTCTTCCACCTTGAAACACCCATACACATACACACAGCCCTGCATTTTTTAAAAAAAAAATCCTTTAAAATTGAGACCTATGTCACTGCAGATGCTTCTTGACTTATGATGGGGCTATGTCCCAATAAATCCATCACAAGTTGAAAATGCATTTAATACACTTCCCCTACTGAACATCATCACTTAGCCTAGCACAACTTAAAGATACACAGAACACTTGTATGAGCCTACAGATGGGCAAAATCATCTAACACAAAGCCTCTTTTATACTGAAGTGTCAAATATCTCATGCACTTTATTATGTACTGTACTGAAAGGAAAAACAGAATGGTTGTATGGGCACTCAAAGCATGATTTCTACTGAATGTGTATTGTTTCCACATCATTAAGTTGAAATATCGTAAGTTAGGAATCATCTGTACTGACCTTGATTTAAACAAAAGCAGGATTAGTAAATACTACATTCTTCTTCAGTCAAAGAATGAGTTTCTCAGTTGTTATTATTAATAGAGCAAGTAATAATGGTGTTGGGCAATATATTAATGATTTAAGTCAATTAATTCTAAAACCAATGGTGGGCGATGTTACCTCATTTTAAAGATAAGGAAAAGAGACTCTAAACGGTTGTGTAAATTGTTCCAAATAGTGGCACCAGGAAGTGATAGACATGGAACTCAGATCCAGCCCTGATTCATGTCAAAGGTCCCAACGTTTTTTTTCTTTTTTTTTTTTTTTTGGACATGCAGTTTCACTCTTGTTGCCCAGGCTGGAGTGCAGTGGCTCGATCTCGGCTCACTGCAGCCTCCACCTCCCAGGTTCAGGCGATTCTCCTGCCTCAGCCTCCTGAATAGCTGGGATTACAGGCACCCATCACCACACCCAGTTAATTTTTTTTTTTGTATTTTTAGTAGAGATGGGGTTTCACCATGTTAGCCAGGCTGGTCTCGAACTCCTGGCCTCAGGTGATCCGCCCGTCTCAGCCTACCAAAGTGCTGGGATTACAGGCATGAACCACAGTGCACGGCCACCACAGCAACTCTTTAAACACTGAGGACACACAATAGAGCCAATGATTAACTAAAATAGGCAACTGATGCCTTTCTCTGAAGCTTACGTGTAGAATACGGTAAGCCCCAGGATAACTTCCCCTGTAGCTAGAATAACTGATCCCAGGAAGAGCCCCTGGAAGCCCGATTCGATCCACTGAAAGTCAGTTTTGGGTAAAGTCGTTAGTGCGTCTTCTGTTGTTCTCAGCAAATCTTCAGACAATTTTTTCACCAGGCTCAGCAGAGGGAGAACTAAGTCTAATGTATTTAGCCGGGGGAATGACAGGTTTCCTTTTCACAGTAAGGGTTCCTAGGATAGGAGACTATCCACTCGTAGCAGAAGAAAATCCTAATGAGCAGGATCCAGGTTTTAGGGGGCCCTTAATTCTAACACACAGTTCACCCTGGGCTGCTCAAACGTCTTGACTTGCCCCGCTATGTGTGTGTGTGGCTTTAGGAAGCCCTGCGATTTTCCTTCTTTAGCTCGAATGTCAAGCGCTGCAGGCTTTCTGAGAATTCAGTGTCCTGACACTGGGGCTGAGCCCTTGGTAATGACACTGTAGACACGAGGTAATTACAGCTCTGTTAACTCCCAAGTCAGGCTAAGTGGACCTCTGATTATTATTCTGAGTATAATAGGAGCATAACTAACATTGAAGGGAAATTGTACTTCTCTCTTTTATTAACCGCTTTTATATTCCCTTGTGCATGGCTATGATGCTATGAAATCTCCTTAAATGTGATATTCCTCAATATAATACAATAATAATGCACACACCGTAATGTATTGGATTACTTTGCAAACAGCCCTTATGAAATTGCATTTCCCATCATTTCCCTGGGCCAGCTCAGGGCTGCTGGGCTTACGGGCCCTTTCTGTAGCTGGGAGCCTGGAATCTGCCTTCACGGTCACTTAGGGTTTCATGGATGTGAGCAATTGGTCCACACCATTTTTATTCACAGCGAGGATGTTGGCCAACCAAGTTTCCAGACATCTCGCTGGACATTGCGACTCAGAGATGCAAACAGTGTTTGATACCTCAGCATAGTTTGAAAATAAACTGGGCTAGATGGTGTCAGGAAGGAAGCTAGATACAGGGAAGGGAGGCCTTCCATGCTGGAATTAAATTGTGAAGTCTTTTCCACTGACTTTGCTGGAGAGTCTATCAGATCTTTGTTCCTTTGTAAACTCTTTCCTGACACCACCTCAAAACTAGAGTTGGTTCTTCCTTTGTATGTTTTATATGTTTTGAAAATCCACCCTTAGTTTGGCATCCCAAAATACTTACTGAACTCCTACTATGTATCACACATACATTAATCTACTAAATACACATGAACAATTTTACAACCACTTAAAATTTAATATTTGGCATAAAGCTATAAACTTTTTGAGGGTACCACTGTGCCTTATTCATCACTTTTATTCTCAGTGTTAGGCAAAGTGCCTGGAACAAAGTAGATACTCAATAATTGTGTATTGTTCATTTATTCCTGAATATTTCTTGGGTTCTTACTATTTGAGAGGCGCAGAACTGGGCCTTGGAGATACAAGAGTGAATAAGACAGACATAGCTTCTCCTTCAAGGAATGTACAGTCTACCGTAACACAGAATACACACACACGTCACTCACACAGTTGAATGCAGCCAGCCATCTGTATCCACCAGGTTCGACATCCCATGGAAATAAGAAAACACTGTTTCTTCCATCTGCAATTGGTTGAATCTGTGGATGTGGATCTCGTGGAAAGGAGAGCTGACTGTAATTACATTTGCAAAAACTTCTGTGAAGGAAAGGTAGAGGGTGATGTGCAAACAAGCAACAGGGAGACATAAATCAAAGCGGAGATGCATTCAAGACTTCCTTAAAGAAGTGACTTTTAACATGAAAATTAGAGGCTGGGCGCGGTGGCTCATGCCTGTATTCCCAGTACTTTGGGAGGCCAAGGTGGGTGGATCTCTTGAGGCAAGGAGTTCAAGACCAGCCTGGCCAAAATGGTAAAACCCTGTGTCTACTAAAAATACAAAAATTAGCCAGGTGTGGTGCTGCACACCTGTAATCTCAGCTACTCAGGAGGCTGAGACAAGAGAATCGCTTGAACTCAGGAGGCGGAGGTTGCAGTGAGCCAAGATGGCACCACTGCACTCCAGCCTGGGCAACACAGTGAGACTTCGTCTCAAAAAAATAATAATAATTAATAAATAAAAGAAAGACATGCAGAGAAAGGTGGGTGGATGTCCTGGGTAGGACAGACAGCAGATGTGGAAACAAGATGCAGGGGCGTGTGGAAGCCAGCTCTTAATGGCCTGTGATTGTCGATTGTATATGTCTCTTTCCAACAGGACAGGGATGCCATGGTAGTAGCTTGTTACCTCCAGGGTGAGAGTATTTACACTATGGGCATTGGCAATGCTACAGATGAGGGCTTTTCTGTCTGCTTTTCTGGAGAGCTGGTTGTTGATCAGTTACCAGCACTCCAGTGACAGAAAGGAAGTTGGCATATTCCTGTGACAGGATGAATATCAGTGTAGCTGTGTGGACGGGCAGGGGGATGGTGGCCCAAGTTGAGGATAAACAGGTGAGCAAGAAACACTCATACAGAGCCCTGCTGGCCTCATCTGGGGGCTTTGTACCATGGGAGGCCATTGAAGGATTTTAAGCAGAAAGAATCCCATCATTAGGTTTGATTTTGGGAATGATCTGACCACCATGTGGACAGTGGATTGGAGAAAAGCAATAATGGTGTTGGGAAGTGGCAGAAAGGACTGCCAGTAAGCTCTTGCCATGGGCTGGATGAGAGATGTTGATAGGAACTAGAATGGTCTGGAACATGGGTTGGAGTCAATATCAAATGACCAAATAATCTGCCAGAGCTCTCTGTAATATACAGTATTCACACCTGTGGACTTTTGTGACAATTTGGGACGGTATAGTCCCTTGTAATTTAATTCTGAGAGTGACCATTGAGGATGTGATGATGCTCTCTTTACAGTGAGGAAACTGAGGCGTGGTCAGTTGATGTGACTCAGTGTGTTCCCTGAGGTCATAGCTGAACAAGTCTGACTTAGTAATATGTCTGACTCTAGACCTACACTTATAACCACAACTTCACACTCTTTTTGCTGCCACCTTCTTCTAAGGGGCTGGAAGAATGGAGATGCCACTGAGCTGGGGGTGAAGACATCGTAAAAAGATCTACCTGGTTCTATGAGATGCATCCATCCTGACCTTGCCAAGGGAAGTAGGAATCAGGAAATGGTGGCTTCTAACGTGATTTCATCCAGGCCCTTATGCTTGGGTCCATCTCAGGAATAGTGTTTGGAATTAACGCAGGAGCCAGAGACTAAGCAAACCCCGCCTCCACCCCAGTGCAGATTTCAGTTGAATGCAGACTAGAGCCTTTGAAAATTATGCATTGGAAAACAATTCTGGATAAATTAATTTCCATCATACATAATGCATGAGGGGAAATCCGTGGTATTTTTAAACAATGGAAATGAGAGAATCTGCCTTTTGGGCATTGATCCCAATTAAATTTATTTCAGCAAACATTTATCAACACCTACTGTGTGCCAGGTTCTTACTGGAAAACAGAGATGAGTCAGACATTGTCTGTGCCCGGAAAGAGTGAGAAATCAATGGAGGTACCCGCAGAGTGATCAGCTCTGGGTTAGACCTTGAGACTGGGAGACAAAGAGTTGTGAGTATTGCCCTGGAGGGACATACATCCTAGTAGAGGAGAACGAGGACCTGCCAGAAGATCTGAGAGTGAGAGTTTGTTGAGGAAGGCTATCTCGTGCCTGGGCTTCACTTGAATGGTTTTCTTTCATGAGTCCTTCCGCCATCAATAAGATCCTTATTTAAAGCCTCCTATTGTCCAGCAATGGTATGTGCTGTCCATCTGCCCCATTAGCCCATAGCTGCTACTATTATGCTACTTTTCCTATGGTGTCCACTGTTATTACTGCCACAACTACCTCAACTTACTGTTGAGGAAAATGTAATTCTCCTCAACTTCTATTACTATTATAGTGTTGCTGTTATTTTATTTAATGATAGATCATACATTCGAAATTATTTGTTGAGTGCTTACTGTGTAACTGGCACCGAAGATTGAGGAACAGATAAAAAATAGCTATGGTTTCTTCGTTTAGAATGTTATCTTGTAGGAGAGAGAGATGGAAACAAATAAACAATGTAACTAAATAATTACAAATTGTAATGTTTGCTTCAGTTATGCATTGCTGCCTAACAAACTACCCCAAACAAACATTTTATTTACTTACAATTCTATGCTTCAGGTATTTGGGTGAAGTTTAGCTGTAGAGATCAGCTTGGTACATATACCACTTGGAACTGGGGAGTAAGTTCCAAGGTTTCCCACAGATGTCTGGAACTTGGTGATTGTCTGTACAACACATCTCCTCCCCCGCACCCCCACCCCCACCCCGCCACTCAATCTCTCCACAAGACTAGCTTGAGCTTCCTCACAGCATGGAGTTCTATGGTCAATGAGACTTTCATATGGGCATCATCTTGGCATGTACACACTTCAGTGGTGGCTGAATTCGAAAAAGGTGTGTCTCAAGAAATGAGAGTAGAAGCTGCATATCTGATAAAGCTCAGCCTTGGCATTTGCTATGTGCTATGTCTGCCTCAGTCTGTTGATTAAAATAAGGTCATCTCAGATTCAAGGAGAGGGGAAAAGACTCCACCTTTGACTAGGAGATATGACAAAGAATGTGAAACCGTCTTGAGTCCACCATGATACTTTTTGAAGAAAACACATATTAGGTTGAAAAAGAGAAGATTAAGGAGGGAGGGACATGAGATCAGGGAAGCCTTCTCTGAGGAAGGGTCGGTTAAGCTGTGTTCTGAAGGATGGGAGAGTCCAGCAAGAGAAGACAGTGGGAGCAGCATTCCAGGAAGAGTGAAGAGTATGTGCAAAGCCAGGTGTCCCTCATCTCTCTCTATTCCCAGTGCAGCTTCCTCACCACTCCCCAACCAAATAGGAGTCTCTTCTTGTAGGTGGAACACGGGATAATATAAAGAGCGTATTTTTGCACATCTGAGAAGCCCAGGTGACATATTGTCCATGATCTGAAGCAACAGATAATGTGTTTCCTCATGTATTTCCCAATGGGATCACCCAAAGTAACATGCTTAAATGGATGAGTTGTAATCTTCTACATAGAGGTGATGCCACCAGGCATTGGTGATCCAGATAAATGAAATGCAGGAATAAGGATACCGAGACTGTTTCTGGCCACAAAGGACCAGGCAGAGTAGTCTATTGCTTGGCGACCAAGTGCATGATAGCACTGGGCTTCCTGCTTCTGCCCTCCCCAGTGAACTTCAGATGAGGCTTGGGAGATGAAAGACGAGAGAGGAGTCATTATCAGAATGGTAAGAATATAGCATCCAGATAGATGAGAAGAGACAAAAAGATAACTCCGTCCCCATACTGGCTTATTTCTCCTTTATGGAGAAGGCAGCCCCTTGGAGGTAGGCATTTCCTGGGTTCAAATCCCAACGTTGCCCTTTATTCACTGCATGACTTTGGGAAAGCTATTGAACCTCACTAAGCCCTAAAGCATAGAAGGTGCCCTATAAATTGTAGCTGCCACTACTTCTATTATTATCATGTATGTCATTATTGCTACTGCTTTGCAGAAAGACATGTGCCTCATTGGTGGTGGGATTCTTCTAACCCCCGTCTCCTCCTTTCAAAGGCTCACTCTGCTACTTTAGAGTTATCTTTTATAGTGTACTCCCAAGCTTGCGATGTTGCTTCCCTGCCTGTACCATTTTGTTTTCTCCAGATCTCGCTGTTTCCCTCGCTGGAAACTCCTTGGTCTCTGACTGTAGCAATATGTTTAATAACTCAAGGTACCTGAAAATAATGCAATATGGCACCATGTCGGCAATGTGGCTGAGAGAGTGGCTCCTGTACAGATTGCCTGACTTCACATCCAGGCTCCCTCAGGTGTTACCCATGCAAGACTTGGCAAGTAACACAACTACTCTGTGTTATTTATCATCAGTTATACAATTAGGATAATTAAAGTGTTTGTCACAGAGGGTAGTTATGAAGACAACACATGTCAATGATTGCAGAGTTCTTAGCCTGGTGCCAGGTTTATACAACACATCTGATGATCACTGACTGCTCTGTCTCTGCTGTCTCTATGGTTGTTGTCATGGACATAAAAGATGTCCGTAAACCTGCTCATGATAGTCATGACCTCTTCAGGCTTAACCGTTAGTACTTCTGGTTGTCTCTTCTTGAATGAGAAATAAGGAGATCAATAATTAAACACCTATGAGATTCTTCACCGAAGGGAGTTCATGTTGTCATCCCAGCACTCATGCTAGGCTTGTAGGAATGTTTCTGTTTTGCAGATTTAAGAAACCTAAGGCTCAGAGAAGTCTTATCACTTTCCTTAAACCCTAAACTCCTCATGTGGCCAAGGCTGGATTCATCCCAACACCATTTACCACTAAAACCTGTGTCTTCTAGGGACCTTAGTTTGATGACCCTGGTTAATTCAGTGCATTGAAGGTTTAGCTCTCTCAGAGGTTCAAGTGAGAGACACATTAGATACCTCCCTGCCCAAGACCCAGAATGTTTCCTTTTAGAAGCACCCCTAACCACACACCTGGAAATCCAAGGCTTGTGCAGTTTATAGACGCTGCTTTTCGCCCCTGACTGCTGTATGTACCTTGAGCAGCAAGATAATTCACTCTAATTACTCAGAATACATATTTAAGGACAAGCACAAAGAACTCTTAGTGAGGCTTAAAAATAAGCCATTCAGCAAAATTGCACAAGGTGCATTCCCTCAGAAGGAAGAGTTTATTGCTTCTAAAAGTGAGTGTCTACCCTTTGTTGGCTGCAAATGTGAGGCAAAGGACCAGCTCCACGTGAAGCAGCATTTTCCTCTTTCAGATTTACCTCCAGAAGGAGCTCCACTGATAGGAGATTGCTCCTTTCTGCTATGACATCTTCTGCGTCAAAGGATCTCATTAGTGTTTGTTTTTATCAGGTTTTTTTTTTTCCCGACTTTTATCTCACTCAGAGTGAATTCAGTGTTCACTGTCATTTACAGGATAGGAAATATATGTCCGTTTGCATTGAAAATCCTGCTTATTCCATCTAGACTGTCCCAGATACCACTGTATTCATGTAGGTTTGGTGTTTTGTCTTTCATCTATTTCTGAAATCAAAATTTTGTTAAAAATGTTTCGGGAAAGCTCAAAAGAATTGGCCCATTGGAATGGAGTGAATGCAGGCTTTCTCCATGCAAGCAGCCATGCTTTCCTAGTCATTAACCACCTGGGCCTTGGGCCTGTCATGTTTTTTGAGTCTCTGTTTCTTCCTCTGGCAAATGATTTTGATGGGTGTCATGAGGATGAAGTGGGATGATGTGAAGGACTTGGGGTGCTTAAGAAATCTCCCAGGCCATTCACAAGCCACATGCCTGCAAAGAAGTCTTGGGTGAGCAGATGCCAAGTTTCCCAGCAAAGAGATTTCTAAGGTGCAGTGCTTCAGCTTGACATTAGAGAGATGGCCTTGGCCGGCAGCTGAGGTTTTCCTTCTCTTTTGACCTGAGCTGGGAAGAAGTGTGGGTACTGGCAGCTTTCGTGGGGGTACCTCTAAAATAGAGCAGCAGTTCCCTGTTAGGAATGGCAGATGAGATTGTGATGAATGCAACAAGGGCTGGAGCACAGAACATTCTGAACGGACTATTACTCCCTCAACCCTATGGGCTACCTGGGCCAGAGAGATATACACAGAGAAGACTGGTCAAAGGGGAAAGAAAATAATTCCTTTTAAATATCTAGGCAAGCAGCCAACCTCCTCTGATACAGGGACCTGTGACAAAGACAGACTTGGAGCATGTAACTTGTGTTTGAAAGCATACGCCAGACCCGTAACTTCCTCTTGACTTTCCACCCCACCTCTTCTGGATTACCCGGGTCTGCAGGTGAAATTCCAGTTGATTTACCCAAACGGGTGCAAGTGCAGAGGAAGGAGAACATGGGGAAAGAGGCAAAATAAATTTTAAAAACAGAGAGATAGAAAGAAAGAGAAGACATGAAGGGCGAAGGAAGGGGAAAGAGAAACAGAAAAAGGAGATAGAAATAGAGGGATGGGGCCGGGTGCAGTGGCTCACACCTGTAATCCCAGCACTTTGGGAGGCCAAGGCGGGTGGATCACTTGAAGCCAGGAGTTTGAGACTAGCCTGGCCAACATGGTGAAACCCTGTCTCTACTAAAAATGAAAAAAAAAAAAAAAAAAAAAGCCAGGCATGGTGGCACGCACCTGTAATCCCAGCTACTCGGGTGGCTGAGGCATGAGAATCAATTGAACCTGGGAGGCAAGACTGTCTGAGGAAAAAAAAAATAGAGGAACAGAGGGGAGAGAGAAGGAGAGGGAGAAAGAGGGAAAGGGAAGGATCTAGCTAGGCACACATAATTGTTGTCTTCCTAAAAACACCACCACCACCCCACACATACAAACAAGAAAGGCAAGTGACATTACAACTATAGGTACTGACATTTGAGGCTGTGTGGCCCTGTCCACCGCTCTAGGTTGCATCTCAGTGAATGTTCCAGGTTCTGAACAATCCTATAGGTGGGGGAAAGAGGTTAGGTGGACCAAGCATGGTACTGTGGCAGCACCTCCTTCTCCTACTGTTTCTGCACCCCGCCATGCATTTAAATCACTCAGGGTTGGTGTTTAACAGACACAACTCCTGAGCTACTGAATCAAAGCCTTAGGGAATGGCCAATGGGAATATGGTTTTAACAAGTATTTTAGGCAAGTCTTACAAATCTGGCCTGACACATGACTTCACATAAAGGTTTGAGAACTGAGAGTCTCACCACTCACATAGAATGAAGGGTGTCAGATTCTGGGAGATATTTGAGATCTGATAGAAATTACAAGACTTTTTTACAGGCCTGGTAATGATCATGGAGATGCCAGCAGCTATCACTGCCAAGGACTGGGTGGGTTCTAGGCACCTGTCCCTTGTAACACCTGAATTGGAAAACTCCTGGATAAAGGTGACTTTCCCATTTTCAGAGGAGACAATGGAATCTCAGAGAAGTTGAAATGTGTGTGTACCCCTGTGGTGACACAACTGATTGAATCCAGTCTTAGGCATATTAAAATTGAGAACCATTGCTTAAGGATTTCTTAACAGCTGTATTTTATTGAGAGTCTGCACCATGCTGGGCAGTATCTGTGTGTGTGTGTGTGTGTGTGTGTGTGTGTGTGTGTGTGTGTGTGTGTGTGTTTATTTTTTATATATTTATTTTTTTCAAATGGACTCTGTTGTCAGGCTGGAGTGCAGTGGCACGATCTTGGCTCACTGCAACCTCTACCTCCTTGGTTCAAGTGATTCTCCTGCCTCACTCTCCCGAGTAGCTGGGATTATAGGCACGCACCACCACGCCCAGCTAATTTTTGTATTTTTAGTAGAGACAGAGTTTCACCATGTTGGCCAGGATGGTCTCGATCTCCTAACTTCATGACCCACCTGCCTTGGTTTCCCAAAGTGCTGGGATTATAGGCGTAAGCCACCACTCCCAGCCATGTCTGTGTATTCTAAGGTGTTTATTTCCATTTGTCTTCCCAATGACTTTATAAAGTGAGAGAGAATCCTCATTCTATGGAGAGGGGGAATAAGACCAGGAAAGCCTGAATTGAAACCAACGCTTACTCCTAAAGACTGGGCTTTGAGTTGCTACATTATATTTCACACCTCTGTCCTTTGGAGGTGAAAGTTACTTGATGGTGATGTCTTTAGGGAAATTATGACAAAGGAGAAGTGAACGTTGGAGTCAGGTCATTGTGTGTCTGATTACTTACTGGCTATGTCACCTGGTTTATAAAATGGGCTTGATTTAATGTACTGAGTGAATTAGTGTCCCCCCAAATTTATGTCCACTTGGAACCTTAGGAGGAGATCTCATTTGAAAGTAGAGCCTTTGTAGATATAATTAAATTAGATGAGGTTATACTGGATTAGGGTGGGCCCTGAATTCAATGAGTGTTGTCCTTGTAAGAAAACCATGTCAAGACGCACAAAGGTAAGAAGTCCAAGGGGCATCAAAGACAGATTGGACTAATACCAGGGACACCAAGGATTGCCAGGAGCTACCAGGATCTAGGAAAGAAGCAAGGACGGACTCTCCTTGAGAGCCTTCAGATGGAGCATGGTTTAGGCAACACCTTGATTTTGAACTTCTGGCCTCTGGAACTGTGAGAGATTACCTTTCTTTTATTTTAGTCACCTAGCTGGTCATAATATGTTATGGCAGTCCTAGGAAAGTAATAGCACATGAGATATTTTTTCTTGTTTGTTGTTGTTGTTTTTGTTTTTGTTTTTTCCTTTATAGCACTTATTGTAACTAGTAATTTTCTTTGTTTGCTTACCAATTCTGGACATACTGGAATGTCAGCACCATACTGCATTTTGTTCATCATCCCCGTATCTGTGATGCTTCACTCCAATAGCAGCTCAGTTACGATGTGTGAACGGAATGTATGAATGAATGAATGAGTGAACAGAGCTGTTGTGAGGACTAAGCCGAGCAGTACAGTGAAATTGCATCAAACAGTGTCTACTAAGAGCAAGCATGCAGAATAAAAGCTATCATGATTATCATTCGAGGCAGGAATTATCTTTTTTTCCTAGGGTCCCTCTGCCTTGCTGAGCATCAAGGTGAACTTGAGTAGTTACTAGTTACGTGGACTGGGAGAACACGGTTAAAGTAAAGGTTGTTTTTGTGGAGATTGACAGGCAAGAGCCCCTGCCTTTCCTTTCCTGAAACAGCAGTTTTCCTTTGAGACACGAAGCCCACCACTGAGAGAGGCAGGGTGCGGGTCATGGGGGTGGAGGTGGCGGCATTGTTTGCAATCCTCTTGGCCCCTTGCTCACAGCCAGGCCTCTGCCTTTATATTCTTCGGGGGGCTTTGATCTCACCTCCCTGTCCAACAGATGCACATTAGTCAGTAATTCTAGGAGACATCAAAACCCCAGCCCTGGCACCCCCCGACCTTCCCTGCAGCCTTCACAAGCCGCTAGCTGTGTTAATAGGCGCCAGACAGGACTGTGCTATTTCTTAGAGCTTAGGTAGAATGCTACTGCGGCTGTTTTACTGAACCCCAGCTCAGTCTCCACTTCTTTCCACCTCTGACCCAGTACGTTTAGAATTAGAGCCAAATGCTCTGAGTGAAGAGTTGCCCGACACGGTGACTTGATTTACCTAAGGCTGCTATATTCTTTCCGAATGTTCTTTCCAGACAGAGGTGGAGGGCAAGGAACTGGGTCCCAGGAGCTAGAAAACGTGGTCTTGGGTCTCAGCTCTGCCATTCTGACACTGAATAACCATCATCAAGTCACAGACATCCTCAGAGCCTCTGTCTCTGCATCGGGGGAGCAGAACCAGGAATGCTGGTCCTGCCTACCTGACAGAACTGTTTTGAGAGTCACGTGCAAAATCAGATGTGAGCATGCCTTAGAAATTGGAAAGTGTCGTAAAACTAGAAGCACTTATTACTATTATTCTGTGACTCTGAGCTTATAAAAAAAAAAAAAAAAGAAAAAGAAAATCAGGCCAGGCACAGTGGCTCATGTCAGTAATCCCAGCACTTTGGGGGACAGAGGCAGGTGGATCACCTGAGGTCAGGAGTTCGAGACCAGCCTGGCCAACATGGTGAAACCCTGTCTCTACTAAAAATATAAAAATCAGCCAGGCATGGTGGCACGGGCCAGTAATCCCAGGTACTTAGGAGCCTGAGGTGGGAGAATCGTTTGAACCCGGAGGGTGGAGGTTGCAGTGAGCTGAGATCACACCACTGCACTCTAGCCTGGGCAAAAGGGTAAAACTCCACCTCAAAAAATAAAATAAAATAAAATAAAATAAAATAAAATAAAATAAAATAAAATAATAAAATAAAATTGGTTACTTACCTTGTGTCAGCTGTTGCAGATCAAGAAACTAATACAACGCAATCCCTTATGGTGTGCTTAAACCCATATTCAATATAGAAAATATAGTATATCCAGATAAATAATAATAAGCATAGTTATTTCATCACCTCGTTGACCACCTGGTTGTTTATCTTTTGAGAGGCTTTGCAATGTTTGACAAAAAATTAGAAAATAGATAAAAATGCAAAGATGATACCTGCTATACTGTTTTGTGGATTTCTCTTTAACTTAAAATACCATACATACAATTCCGAGTCATTATTCAATGACTATTCAGATTTTAACTTTTTGTTTTCTCTGATGGCTTCTTTGTGTCTCATTGCCTGGGATCATTTGGATTGGACATAGTTTATTTAGCCAATCCCTTGTAGTTGGACACTTAAATTTTTTCCCATTTTTCACTGTGACAAATATCACCTTGATGAATTTCTTTCTGCAAATCTCTGCACACTACCGTGATTGTTTCTGTAGGATAAATTCCCACAAGTAGAACTTCTGGGTCAAAGAGTAAAAATGCACATTTTTTAAGGCTTTTGATAGTCAGATAAAACTAAAACAAAATCACCCTCTAGAAAGATCATACCAATTTAAACTCCCACCAAGACTGCACGGCAGTGTCCTGTCTCCTGCACTCACACCAGTATCAAGCATTATCTCAGAGTGATTTAAAATGCCTGAAGAAAGGAGTGATAATGGTTTCTAAACAGCACTGGCTAACGCACAGCCCTGCATATTGGCTTTCAGCTTGATAAATACTTTCTTATAAGGCCATAAATATTGGTGGTACCAAAGGTTAACGTAGTGTGCAATGCTGTAAAATCCAGCAGGCAACCTGCTAGCTCATAATGATGCATTAGCACCTTTCGATATGAAGTGTGATGACTTACAAAGTCTGTTTGTAAGTGGCCACTAACTCAACAAGTGTATAATTGTGTCAGTTGGCACCACAGTTTCTGCAAACATAATTTATTAAGTGAGCACCTTGCCTTCTGTTATATGCCAAAAATGAGAAGAAAAGACAAGAGAAGGGGAAAGAAGAAAATGATCATCTGACTGGGGCATTTAGTCCCTTCTGCAAGCTAGGGTTACTTAAAAGACCAACATACTTTATTGAAGAAAAAACAAAGCAAATAATCCTTTCCATATTTTAATAGTCAGTTGACCACACTGCTGGCAGTGTTAGAATCAGGATTGAGGCAGGCATGACAAATAGCTGCACCATTAAAAGGCATGTGCATTTGCAAATTAGACTTTTAAATATTTTATTTTCGTGTTTTTAAGTTTGCAACTCAGGCACCTTGCTCCTACCATTTTATTTTTGCAGGTGGAAACAGTTGTATAGTTCTTTGCTATTGTTCTGGGATGGGCTAGCATGAAGGTGAAACCTGTTTTGTGATTAATGAACATGGAGGTTGTGTGTATTTAACAGCAGAAGAGTAATCTATCCTGATAGGAGACAAAACAGAATGGATACCACCAGCCGTGTTCCCGTTTGGCTTTGCTCCTTGGTAATGGAGGAAATCCAGGTATTAAGGATAGACTTTAGTAGGCCCATCTCAGCATTTGCCCGTGTGTAGTGCCTGTTTTGGATTGCTGTAAAGAGGACACTCTGTAAACAGAAAATAAGCTAGACAGGCACATTTTGAGCTACTTATTCTGTTCATTTTCAGTGACTGTTCACCCTGTGCAATATTTTGAAACAAACCGAGGAGTTATTCACGTCATATTCTTTCTTACTCGTTTTTCATATTTTATTTTTACTTTTGAGACAGAGAGTCCCATCTGTCACCCAGGCTGGAGTACAGTGGTGTGATCTTGGCTCACTGCAATCTCTGACTCCTGGGTTCACGTGCCTCCTGAATAGCTGGAACTACAGGTGCCTGCCACTATGTCCGGCTAATTTTTGTAGTTTTAGTAGAGACAGGGTTTCACCATATTGGCTAGGCTGGTCTTGAACTCCCAACCTCAGGTGATCCACCGGCTGCGCCACCCAAAGTGCTGGGATTACAGGTATGAGCCACTGCGCCTGGCCTCGTATTAGTTGTTCTTTAAACATTTACATTTGACACTGAGCACTGGGAATACAGAGGTGAATGGCACCTACTCCATCCCTCAAGGAACTCATCCTAGTCTAGAGCTGTGAACCAATGCAAGGGGCAAATGCACACACATGCGGTTGCACGGATGAGCAGGATGCTCTGGGGCAGGAGCGGGGGGGCAGTCAAACAAGTCCAAAGCTTCTCGCCTCCAGCCAGTTTCGGCTGCTGTTCACCCATATCTCCCATCGCCTGGGAGCAAAGACAGCTTTGCTCAGAGTTTTCTTCTCCACTTGAGGCCGCCATGTTTGCCTCTGTCTGGAGTTGTCAGCCTGGCTACTGACTGGTAGAAATCAGAGAGGAAATTCCAGGCATGATGGCATGTTCCTGCCTATTAGTTAGGGACCCACTTCATTATGAATGACATAGTCACTATGAAGACCTGACCTCTCTGGCTTCTGGAAGAATGTTGAACATGCAGACCAAGGAAAAGCCACCATCCCAGAGCTCACATTCCAGGGATCCGAAGAAACACATCAGAGTAATGGCTAGCCCAGATGGTGATAGGAGAGAAACAGAGAAGAGGGTGGACAGGAAGGACTTTCTGAAGAGGCGACATTTAAGCCGATGACTAAGTATGAGGAGGATCCAGTCTGGTAAACAGTGGAAGGCAGAGGTTCCAGAGAGAAGAGCTGGCATATGCCAAGGCCTTGAGGTGGGAAACACCCTCGAAATATTTACAGAGTGGAAGTAGCTCCCAATGCCTATGACTTCACTAGCCCCCAATTTGGAACAACCATTATGGCTGCTGAATGCTGTAGGACTGTGAATAAGCAAAGAAGTGTTTGAAATGAGGTTATAAAGGTAGGTAGGGCCATGCAAACCAGGTGAGGAGTTTAGGTGTAATTCTAGGTGCAAGAGGAAGCCACTAGAAAGTTTTGAAGCATGAAGAGTACCTGTATTACGGTTCTCTAAAGGGACAGAACTAATAGGATAGATGTATATATAAGGGGGAGTTTATAAAGGAGAATTGACTCACGTGATTACAATAGGTCGTCTGCAAGCTGAAGAGCAAGGAAGCCAGTCCGAGTCCTAGAGCCTCAAAAGTAGGGAAGCTGACAGTGAAACCTTCAGTCTGTGGTTGAAGGTCCAAGAGTCCAAAAGCTGAAGAACCTGGAGTCTGTTGTTCAAGGGCAGGAAGCATGCAGCATGGGAGAAAGATGTAAGCCGGAAGACTGGGCCAGTTTAGTCTTTCCACCTTCTTCTGCCTGCCTTTATTCTGGCCACGCTGACCACTGATTAGATTTGTGTCCACTCAGATTGTACGTGGGTCTGCCTTTCCCAGTCCACTGACTCAATGATAATCTTCTTCGGAAACACCCTCACGGACACACGCAGGAGCAGTACTTTGCCTCCTTCAGTCCAATCACGTTGACAATATTAACCATCATCATATCCTTCTCTTTTTCTTTTTCTTTTATTTTTTTAGAGACAGGGTTTTACTCTGTCACTTAGGCAGGAGTGCAGTGGTGTGATCATAGCTCACTGCAGCCTTGTCCTCCTGGGCTCAAGCGATTGTCCCACCTCAGCCTCCCTAGTAGCTGGGAACACAGGCACACAACACCATGCCTGGCTAATTTTTTAATTTTTTATAGAGATGGAGGTCTTTCTATGTTGCCCAGGCTGGTCTCAAACTTCTGGCCTCAGGCAATTCTCCCTCCTCGGCCTCCCGAAGCACTGGAATGCCACTATGCCCAGCCTACCCTTCTCCTGAGTGAGTTCCTCCAGAGTCTTTTTTTTTTTTGGCTGGGCTGGGAAATACCCTTGAGTTCCGGAGAAGGGAAGTGGTTTCTGGAATCCTCTGCCCGTGAAGGTTAATTTGGCAATATGCATATCTGCTCTGGGGCTATAGAGGCAGCTGTGACGATGCCCAGAGGGGGACCTTTATGATCTGAGAGCCCGTGGAATGTTTGTAGCAGCAGAGCCGTGTTGTCCCATTGAATGTCTCTTCCATTTTTAATGAGGAGCCTGGGGGCACTGTATCAATAAAACGACCAAATTATTAAATTATCACTCTACAGGGCATCTTATATTAGTCCTAATTAAATGATGCTTTTCATATTAACAAACAGTGCTCAAAAAGGATTCTCATTTTTAATTCGGACCTCATTGAAATAGGAAGCCTTAGAAATTTCTAGAATAGGTACTATGCCTCTGGACGAATATGCACCATGTCTCTGGACTCACTGGAGGGCACCTACAGTGAGTTTTCAGACACTGCCCTGAATTTTAAAAATCCTCAGTATCCACAATGACTACCTGTCTTCACCCAGACTCAGAAATGCTAATGGGGGTCAGGTGCAGTGACTCACTCCCATAATCCGAACGCTTTGAGAGGCCGAGGCAGGCGGATCACTTGAGGTCAGGAGTTTCAGACCAGCCTGGCCAACATGGTGAAACCCCAGTTCTACTAAAAATACAAAAATTAGCCGGGCATGGTGGCGGGTACCTGTAATCCCAGCTACTCAGGAGGCTGAGGCGGGAAAATCACTTGAACCCAGGAGGCGGAGGTTGCAGTGAGCTGAGATTGTGCCATCACACTCCAGCCTGGGCAACAAGAGCGAGACTCAAAAAAAAAAAAAAAAAGAAAAAAAAAGAATATTTACAGGACTTCTGCTTTCGCCACGATAGAGTAACAGGGACTGGTGTGCACCGCTGCCTTAAAGAACTTTTAAAAAGGTCAGTCTCAGAAATTGCCACTAAAGAATTTTTTCCATGCAACCAACCACCACTTGTCCCCCAGAAACAACTAAAGTTTAGAAAAAAGTCACCATACAAGCAACAGTGATTTCAGACGTTAGACAGCATGAGGCATCCACAGAGGGGAAGCAGATGAGATGTACCCTCCAGGGGCCCCAGCTCACTGCCTTGAGAGGGTCTCTAAGCCATAGGACAAGGGGTGGGGGCCCAAATAAGGAATATTTGGGGCGCACTTGCTGGGTGAAAGCCATGAGACACTGGAGAGACAGTAGTGATCCAGTCAGCCAATAGCTCTGTGCTACTGAGCTGACATTGTTTTGAGGGAAATGGTCAATAAGTGAGCAAATAAATGGGGGTGGTTTCAGAATGTGAGAAATGTTACAAAGAACTAAAAAGGGTAATGCAGTGGAATACTGTGACCTGGAGGAGCAGGTAGGAGTTACTCTAGCTGGTTCAGTGGCATGCAGGAAGCTGCTGGAATAGGCTGCCAAGGGCCAATTATGAGCATTACTAGCCAAATCTGTGTTCCATGAGATCCCACTGGTAGCTTGAAATAGGCCATGATGTCAATATTTACACCACAGACATTGGCGGTGTTTTTCTTTTTTCTTTTTCCAACATACTACGGATGGTATGGCCAAGATAGGTTTCATAAAGAAGTGCACATTTCTGTATGACATTAGGATAAAGAACAGCCCATCATTTATGTGACAAACCCTAGGAGGAATATTCCAGCAGAAGAAATAGCATGTGCAAAGGCCGTGTGTCCACATCCTCCATTTCTTCATTCTCTATGATGTTCAGGGCAGGTATTTTTACCCCTCCCCACAATTGTATAAGGAGATTTTCATTGTCACGTGTGTCAGTCATTTTATCTCATTCTCTCCACCACCCGTTTTTAATTCCCATGTTGGTACAGTAGAGAATATCTTTATCCAGTTATCCTTCCTTCATCCTTAGATTTTGTTTCCTGATTTCTCTTTCCTTGTACTTCTTTTTTCATAGAATTTTACAACTTGTTTTCAGGTATGCTTCTTTATTTCCATGTCTATGAGAGCTTTGATCAGCAGCTATAGTTTCTTATGTAATCCATAGACTCCATCAATTTCTTTTATAGTGAGAGGCGACAGGATACTCATTTTACATCTAGAGGCAAAGTACTTCAGCACTGGAAGGTGAAAAGACTTCAGAAGACCTTTTCTGGAAGCCTTTTCTTTAGCAGCAGGGTGTCTTCAGAGAAGTTGCAGAGTTGAGTCTAATGGAACGGCCTGAATGACCACTGGGTCAATGTTAATTGATAATGATGCTTTCTAAGGCGAGATCTGAACTGAACCTCAACTCAATTCTTAATATGTGCGGCAGAAGCAAAAACAAGAAATCCATAGTTCATGACCCTATAAGATTTATGTCTAAAGCATTTCCGACACCCATTCTTTGTTGTGAACGACTAATTTGCCACTCTTGTTTTTCTTTCTTTTTTTGCAATGGAGTGTTACTCTGTTGCTCAGGCCGAAGTGCAATGGCGTGATCTCAGCTCACTGCAACCTCTGCCTCCCAGGCTCAAGAGATTCTCCTGCCTCAGACTCTCGAGTAGCTGGGATTACAGTTTCCTGCCACAACCCCCGGCTAATTTTTGTGTTTTTAGTAGAGATGGGGTTTCACCATATTGGCCAGGCTGGTCTCAAACTGCCGACCTCAGGTGATCTGCCCGCCTCGGACTCCCAAAGCACTGGGATTACAGGTGTGAGCCACTGAGACCGGCCTAATTTGACACTCTTAAGCATACCTTCTCTTTCCTCTCAGTAAGCAAGTCAGATATTTCAGGAGAAACAAGGTATGTGCTCCTTCCTTCTTTCATTCCTTCCCTCCTTCCTTTTTTCCCCTTCCTTTTTAAAAAATTTTCCAGTTTCCACATTTTAAAATTTTATTTCTTTCTCTTTTTAGAGACAGGGTCTTTCTCTGTCTCCCAGACTGGAGTGCAGTGGTGCAATCATAGCTCACTTCAGCCTCAACCTCCTGGGCTCAAATTATCTTCCCAGGTCAGCCTCTAGAGTAGCTGGGGCTACAGGTGCCCACCACCACACCCCCTAATTTTTAAAATTTTCTGTAGAGATGGGATCTCCCAGTGTTGCTCAGGCTGGTCTCAAACTCCTGGCCCCAAGTGATCCTCTAGCATTGGTCTTCCAAAGCACTGGGATTACAGGCATGAGGTGCCACACCCAGCCCAGTATCTACAATTTTAAAAGTGGTATACATAGCCTAAGATCTTCCATAACAATTAAAAATGAGTGTCAGACATGCAGGACTATCAGGCACTACTGAACATTGCTGAATACTCACAAGAGAAGGGGGATACATATGGCAAAATTTCAAACTCAAATGAAGATCTGCAAGTGGCCAGTGCACTTGAAAGGTGCACAACTCATTTCAGAAGGCACTGCTCAGCATTACCAAGATGCAGCTGTGTCCTAACCCCCAGCTACAAGGGAGTGTTTACTGTAGGTTAGAGTTAGCTGACTCAGTCCATATGTTAGGGTAATCACAACCCAATTTTGATGAACTCATAAACCAAGGAGGCTGTTGCTGGAGCTAAGAAGAGACAAGATTTTTAGTAGATAGTGACATTTAACCTCAGCTAAGTCTAGGCTGTCAGCCTGGCAGGTCTTTTTGAAGAGCTAAGTTCTGCTTAAAAGCCATTAGTGTATGTCAGGCTCTATACATTAGGATTAAAGAATGTAAGAAGGCCAGGCCCAGTGGCTCACACTTGTAACCCAAGCACTTTGGGAGGCTGCAGTGAGGGGATCGCTTGAGCCCAGGAGGTCGAGGCTGCAGCGAACTATGATCGGAACACTGCACTCCAGCCTGGGTGAAAGAGCAAGATCCTGTCTCAAAAAAGAAGACAATGACCCAGATCCTATTCTCTCAGAGCCCAAAGCTTAGTTGGGCTGATGGGAAAACTAACAGTTTCAATTTAATGTGTGTATTCTAGGATCGAGCTAGGGGAACAAAGAGTAGCAGGCAAAGGAATGCACAGAAATATTTAGTCATAGCAGGAACCGTTCTTCAACTATCTTCCAAGGACTGTGCTAAATACTTTCCATGCATTATTTTATCCTTACAGCAATCCTGTGTTTTATATACTTTTAGGTAAAAGTCCATTTTAGTCATTAGCAACCTGAGCACAGAGAGGTCAGTTAACATACTCAAGGTTGCACTGCATGTGGTAAAGAGCTGAACAGAGAAAACCAAATTCCCAAGTTCAGCCTGAGTCGTGTAGACTAAGTGTTAGTTGGAGTAAACAGACTTAGCTTCTCTAGATCTGCTTCCTATCAGAAATGTGGAGATGTTCAAAGTCAGCTGCTTACCTTTAGAATTGCCATGAAGTGAACACCAGTGAATTCAGATTAGTTGAGCACTTTGAGCCTCTAACCTTTTTTTTTTTAATTTTTTTATTTTTAAGCACCCTACACCTATAACTTAACTATTCCCAATTTGGAAAAAAATTTTATGAGTGCTGTGCACTCTTTTTTTCTTCTTCTTCTACAAAGCCAAGTGCACGACATCAAACCTGTAATCTTGGCCACATTATCACCATGTTCTAACCAAGCAAGCTTATTAGTTCAGACAATTAAGAAAATAGAAGTTGAAAATACTTAGCTATTAGGGAGAACGGAGTAACATAAATCCAAGGTGTTGGGACAATTAGCATTCGTAGTAATAAAAGCCAAGTAGAACACTAAGGAAATGAATATTATGTTTATTATTTAGCATTTAGGTAGTATTGCATATTTATAAAATACCTGGTAATTGTTTTTGGTCATTTCTTTCAGAATAAATCGGATAAAGGGTATTTGCTATTGTTGTGAGTAGGGTAAGGGGGGGTTTTTAGTAGAAGCCCATTAAATTACAATGCATCTCCCCACCCTCTTACCCTCAACTCAGATTTAAGTACAGAAAGAAAACATTCAGAAATCTTGCTGAAACAGAAATCATTTCACTTTTCTCCTTTGTTAAAAGCCTTCTGATGACTCCCCCATTTCTGTTGCAGCAAAAGGCAAAATCCTGTAAATGCAACTTGATGTCCTAGAATGGATTCTGGAACAGAAAAAGGACATAAGTAGAAAGGCTGTGGAAATTTCAGTAAAATCCATGGTTTAGTTAATAGACACCAGTGTTACCTTCCTCGTTCTGATAAATGCACGTAGTTGGGTAAGATGTTAGTGTTAGAGGAAGCGGGGAAAAGGATATAAGAGGACCCTGTGTACTATCTTTGCAACTTTTTTGTAAATCTAAAGTTATTCAAAAAGTTAAAAAAGATTTTTTGTTTAAAGCTAAAGTTCTTAGAGCAGACTACAAAGACCTGCGTGACCTGTTTCTGTGCCCTCGTCAGGTCTCTGACGTCATCTCCTTTTCTCTTCCCCTTGAACGTTCTGTACCAGCCTCACGCTTCATCACTTTCTCACCGCAGGACCTTTGCACTGGCTGTGTCTGGGACTGGGCTATTATTGCCTGAGCTCTCCCTGTGGCCCACTCTTCTTTGTCAAATTGTGATTCAAATGTCACCTTCATAAAAGCCATCCATTGAAAATGTCAAGCCTACCTCCACGGTCCCTTCCTCCTGCTCAGTATTTATCTCATGGTGCCTATGCTTCCAACATGCTCTGCAATGCTCTGATTGATTAGGTTATGCTTCATCTTCCTCCTGCTCTCCTAAAACTTACGTTCCTTGAGAGGAGGGATTTTTTCCTGTTTTCTCCACGATGCATTTCCAACACCTGGAATTGCATACTTAGTGCTTAATGGATATTAGTTGAACCTAAATATTAAATTTTATACTACAAGAAAGTAACCCTAACTCTGAATGCTTTGATAACCAAGGCATTGTGGTAAACACTCTAAATTTTCTAGATCTTGTGGCATCTTCATGATAGCTTAAAATTTGAGTATCATGACCACCATTTATAAGGCCCTGAGAAGTCTTAAGTTTTGCACAACATGACGCAGCTCTTCGGTCAAATCTGAGAGCCCAGATTCGAACTTGCATCTCCCAACACTACAGCTAGTTCTGTTTCTTGTACACCAGATTGTCTGCTAGATTTGCATGCTTCCCCTCCATTTCATTAAACCACGGCACATGAAGAAATAGCATTACTCATCAAGTCAGTAGTTGTTTGAGTAACTCAGATCCCTTTCTTAGATGATGGTACCCAAGATAAATGTATGGAACATATTATTTCCCATGATGGCCACAGGTAACTCTGGAATATTATAAGGTTTATTTGTATAAGCAACTCAGTATGAAACTTTTACCTTGAATTTCCCCTTCATGGGCCTATCTTTGTTTTCATTTTCAACATTCTCTTTTGGATACAGAGTTTCATTCACCTAAGAAAGCTTCATGACATTAGTGGAAAGGCACTGGTTCAGTTCTAAGACCTTAGTTCTAGGACCCACTCTCCTATCTGCTAGCTATATGGACCCCTTCTTAGGCTTTAATTTCCTCATCTATAAAATGGGCATAATTTTACCACCAACTTCATAGAGGTATCATGGGGATAAATGGTATAACCCATGTGCAATGGTATGCACTGCTGTTATTGTTTGAAAATAATTCTTTGTTGAATCAGATATAAAGGTTGTTATTGTTGTTTTCTGAAACCGACTTAGTTTAAAATTACTAAGTCATTTTAATATCTATCAACCATTTCCATAGTTTCTAAGGATTTCTCCCAAATGCCTCTGTTAACAACAACGACATCCTCCTCCTCATCATATGGATATCATGAAACACCAATTATATCAATTATTGAACAGTTATTTGGAGTCAGGCTTGATACAGTCTTTGTAATGTTGTTTTATTTTTTGCTGTGAGTCCACAGAGCGAGTATTATAAACCCATTTTACAGATGAGGGAACTGAGGTACCATGGAGGTGAAGTAATTTGCCTACTGTCACGTGCTACTCATGGGGCCGGGTCTCGAACCCAGGTGTTTCTTCCTATAGCTGAGGGCTTCATCAGTACTTAGCACAGCTTTATTGCCAAAGAGAATTGTAAAGCAACTGGAAAAATGACCAAAATACAATACCTCCAATGACTATTTTTAAAAAAACAAAAAACAGCCGGGTGTGGTGGCTTTCACCTGTAATCCCAGCACTTTGGGAGGCCAACGTGGGCGGATCACTTGAGATCAAGAATTCCAGACCAGCCTGACCAACATGTTGAAACCCCGACTTTACTAAAAATATAAAAATTAGCCAGGCATGGTGGTGGGTGCCTGTAATCCCACCTACTCGAGAGGCTGAGGCAGGAGAGTCACTTGAACCTGGGAGGCAGAGGTTTCAGTGAGCCAAGACTGTACCACTGCACTCCAGCCTGGGAGACAAAGTTAGACTCTGTCTCAAAAAAAAAAAAAAAAAAAAAAAGAAAAAGAAAAAAAAAAAGCATTTTCTTAAACTGTGGCCCAGAAAGCACTTTTATATTAGAATTACCTGATGCGCTTGTTACAAACACATATTGCTGGCTGTAATCAGTGAAGTGCTAGTAAATGCTTAACAACTAGCTTGGTGGGGGAAGGAGCGGGAGAGGGCTCCAGAGACTGATCTGAAGCATTTGCCAATTTCCATGGTGCAAATACTCCCATCATGGCCATTGCAAGATACCAATGCCTCGTCACTGAACACAGAGTTAGGAAAAAATATGCAGAAGTGGACCATCACGCAGTATTTCCACCATCCAGATACTCTAAACAAACAAACAAAAAACCTCAAGAGCACAGATAATATTCAAGTATGGTAAAATAATTTAATATTCAAAACTCATTATTTCTTATTAATTTTTAATATACTTTATTGAGGCCAGGCATGGTAGCTCACGCCTGTAATTCCAGCACTTTGGGGGGCCGAGGTGGTAGATCACTGGAACCCAGGAGTTCAAGATCACCCTGGGAAACATGGCAAAACTCCATATCCACTAAAAATACAAAAATTAGCTGGGTATGTTGGTGCACACCTGTAGTCCTAGGTACTCGAGAGGCTGAGGTGGGAGGATCACTTGAGCCTGGGAGGTCGCGGCTGCAGTGAGCCATGATTGTGCCATTGCACTCTAGCCTTTGTGACAAAGTGAGGCTCTGTCTCAAAATAAGACATACATATATATATACACGCGCACACACTCACACACATATATATTTATGCTATATATGTATAATTATACTGTATGTATATATCAATATGAATATATACATGTATAGTACATAAATACATGTGTACACATATTTTCGTATATGTATATACATATACAACATATATTAATATGTATATACATATACTTTCTTACTATATATGCTTTAATTATGGGCTTATGTCATTTCATTTTTTATTAAAGGTTGTGTTTAACAACAGAGTCACAGAATTCCTGACAAGTTAGCAACTGGCTTTCAGAAATCAGTATCAACAAACTTCAACAGTCCACCAGCTACCCCAGGCTGACAAAATCAGCACCGAAAAGGCTGGAGCCCTGGAATGTGCATTTCTAAAGAGCATCCAACTGCTTCTGGTGCACACTCAAAGTATTGAGCCAATGCCATAAGCCTTTCTGAGAGCACTTGTGAAATAAGTATATGAAAATACTATATAATGTGGTAAGCATCTGAAAAATGTAGATGGGATTCATATTCCTAGCAAATGCTAGTGGGCATTTATGCTAAATGAACCCCACTGTTACTCTTTTGAAGATTTTTTTCCCTACTTTTAAAATGGCATAAAATTATTTTATAGTTTTATTTTATTTTACCCATCAATGAAGAGTGCCTGGTCTCTGTTAAAGGAGAAGGTAGTAATCCTATTTCCCTTGCAGCCAGCATAGGAGAAAGGTTCAGAGGCCTTTCCTGAAAGGTTTAGGCAAAGATAACAAAATGTCAGAGAAAGCTGCAGGGCAGGGCTGAATGGAAAAGTAGGTTTGTAATCTCAAATTCAATATAAAAGATCGAAAGTATCAAATAGTCAGTGGTGAGCCTCTCCATCAGAATGTTATATCTGCCATGAAATTCTGCTTTATGATTGTATTACGTTATATACATTATACATCTCTTTCTCTCAGTCTCTCTCTTTCTCACCTAGTCTCTCTTTCTCCCTCTCTTCCTTTATATATTCTCATAGAAACTAGGGCACATCTGAGATCCATAAGGAAGTCTTGCTTGACTCCAGTCAGAGAAACCATTGGAAACATCACCTGCCTCCAACCCCAACCCCATCTGCCTTAAAAATATAAAAGTCTTTCTTTTTAGGTGGAGGTTTTGATTCAGGGAAAACACAGGCCTTGCAAATTAAGAGCAGCCCAAGAATTGTGTGCAAACCCTGATACACGAGACACCCAATCCAAGGCTTGCACTCTGTCCTCTAAACAGTGATTGTGCTTTCCAAGGTGGATATGGAGGGTAATTAAGAATGAATTTTCATGACTTGTGTCTACTGTGTGCCCACACAGTGCCAGAAGCCAGAGTAAGAACTTTGCGGGCCTTTCGCTTTTCATCTACCCTCCTTAGTCTTTGGTTCTTATCCAGGCACTTAGGAGTTTCTCAATCAGTATTCTTTGAATGAATGAATTCACAAATCCCCATTTTAAGGCTGTGGGAAGAAAGGCCTTTAGGGATGAAGTAACATGTCCAAGGTCAAATAGTTGTCTTTGGTCAACTGTTGGTCAAATGCTACACAATTACAGGATTGCCTCCCTAAGGTATAGACAGTGGCTGTTAAAAGAATGGATCCTATTTGTCACCTGTGAAGGTTATTTTAAAAGATTTATCTTGAGTGCATAGGAGTATGAATGGGTCACTCTGGGATGGGGCCCAGAAATCTGGGTGTTCCACACCCTTACCCAGGTGACTTAGAGACATTCAGCAGGCTGTACCTGGAGAAAGACCAGTGCGATTCATGTAAATCTCTCTACATCTCCAACCAGAGGCAAACCTGTCAACTTTTCTGGCTGCAAAATCTGCACCTTGCTAAAGGCTGTCAAGAACCCCCTATGGGGGGTGGACTTCTTGGCTTACCCACCCTCCCTACATCTCTGATCCTTGCATTTTTAGACGTGACAGGTGCCTGCAAGGCCACCAAATTTCATGTCTTCAGTTTATTCAGCTGCAAAAAATTTCATTTCAGAAACATGACACAATGAGAAACTGACAAAAGGTGGGCTTGAATTCAAGTCTCCTAAATGAAAGTACCCCCAGTGACTAAAAGTCTTGTTGCTGCTCCGGATTTCACATTGTCATCCTGCGGTGGGAACATATCTTGCATTTTTATGTAGAGTATCAAAAAAAAAAAAAAGCAAAAATTGTTTTTTGGAACAGCCAAAGCGTGTCCTGGAGCATAATCTAATTTGTTTCTCTATGGCCCAAGAAAAGAGGGGGCGAGTGTCATCCTTCCTTTTTCATAAATTGAGATTCAGAAAGGGCGAGTGACTTTCTCAGTCACACAGCATCATGTCTACCACCCAAGTCTCACCCGCTTCTCATTGGAGCCACAAATGACATAATTAGATGAGAGATGATCCCAAGACTAGCGGATGTTTCCCTTTCTTCATTTTAAGAGTTTGGACTTTTTTAGGGGACCTAAACATTTGCTCCTGAGCTCTGCTAATGTGTGACTGCTGAGTTTTTCTGGATGAATAAGACTTTTTTCAAGAAATTTCACATATTCCCGTCTGGCCGAATTATGTATCCAAATGTTTTTCCATCAGAGAACTCATCCGTTGTCCTGTGACTGTGTGGTTTATTCATTTCTCCTCCACAAAGCTAGGAGCTCCCTACTGGTTCAGGTTATGTCTTCTTCATCCTTCAGTCCCCATATGTAGCAAATGTTCTTTATACAAGCAGATCTTAAAATGGTAGCTGAGTTGAACAGTGTAGACACAGAGTATTTGTCCCTCTAAGAACCAACATGGGAATCCATGGAGCTCAGACCAAATCCAGCCCACTGTCTCTGCTTTTACAAATAAAGTTTTATCAAAACACAGCCACATTCATGGTTCATTTGTTTACATATTACCCCATGGATGCTTTTATGTACAGCATGGCTTATGATGCCCAACTATTCACTCTATGGCCCTTTAAAGAAAAAGCATGCTATCCCCATCTAGATGAAGAGACAAGTAGAAAGGAGATGCAGGCATTTCTATTTTCAGAGTATATTTCTTAGCATTTCCATTTCCGAACATATATTTACTCTCCTTCCCACCTGCCAATGCAGGAGAAATTAGCCTACTGAGAAACTCCGAAATATCCTGACTAGTGTCAATTTGCAGAAATTGTGCAGTTTATGTGACAGGATTCTTTCACTGTCAAATTTTTGTTCAGAGACATATCGGTGTTCACAAAGAATGATATCTCCATGTCTCAGCATATCCTGGAAAAACCCCAGTAGTCCTAGAACAAAACTCTTGGAGTGCTTGTCTCTTTGTTTGAAGCATTTATATTAATACAAAGAAAGAAGTAATTAGCCAGGAAAACCCAGGGATGTTCAGGGAGATCAGTGCCATCTTAAATTCATCACCCATTTTCTGCAACTGAATTGTGCTTTCAGCAGTTTTCTTAGGTCTGGGAAATTAGCATAACGTATAGAATTGCCATTTGGTTCATTTAAATCTTGCATAATATATTAGGGGGGAAATCTTTGAGCTAAGTGGAATTTAGGATTTAGTACCAAATACGAACTTTTGTGTTAAATTGATGTATAGGTTGGCCTTGATTTCTGAGTGGGACAGGTAATTAAAGAAAACCAGGAGGTTAAGAGGAGATGAGGAAAAAAAAAATACTGCAGGAGGAAAAGGTTGGAGGCGTCAGCCAGAAAGGGAGGCTGCTGGAAGATTGCTAAGCTAGAGAACAATGCAGCTCATTTTTATGAGACCATTAACACAGAAGACAGTGGCAACAATCTTGGGAGTATTTGACATGTTCCCAAAATTAGTTGGGTGCGGGATGTCATGGCACAGAGCTGTGTACCTGCTTTTTATCTGGGGATTTATAAAAGTGGAGCCTTGCTGGTGTCGTCCAAAACAGCAGGATGGGAAAGAGCTGTTGGTGAGAATGCATTAGGGTACCTGCCGCCTGTTCCCTGTAGTTCCTCTGGCTCTTGAAAGAGCCTGAAGTTACAGAAGAGGGCAGGAGTTCTAAGGGTGTCCAGGAGGCCAAATGCTGAAGGAGAGGACCCTCATCTGAAAGGAGAGTTGGAAGCAATGACCATTGGCAACAGCCTTGAAGACACGAGACCCTGGGCAACTATGGAGAATGACAGAGGATGGCTGATCAGTGCCCCAAGTAACCTAGGAATGTGGACTCCACAGCCCCACCACATCCATGGAAGCCACCAGTGGCACCTGAGCCCCAGCAGAATGAGATGGGAGGCAAAAAGAGGCACTTCTCATCACCAGGATGCATTTGATTTCATTAGCTGCCTTCTGCCTCCTAGGTTCCTTCTCTTCAGCCCCCAGTCTTGAAAGAAGCTTCTTCCCCAGTGGGGGAAGGAGGAGGAAGGTCCCAGAGGTTGCACCTCATCCCACTGATCCTACAAACTGCTGGAGAGTTTGGAGCCAACAGGCAAGAAACACTCTATGCCCACTGTAGGTATACTGGACCACAGATGTGTAGCAAGAGGAAGAGAGTTTTAATCTCATTGATTTTGGAAGCTTTAAAGTGGACTGGCCTGAGTTTTAACAACCAAGTGCCCCGAGAGCTGTTGCATCTTCTTTAGATGCCATTAAGGGACTTGACCCAGGGGATTGCAATGCCAGGGCTCTAAGCCACTGTGCCACACTGCCTCCCATGTAGGGACTAAACATCCCAAAGAAGCTCTGAGGCCCTCTGAACCTCAATTTCTTTGCCGTAAGATGGGCACAATATTAGAATCCTCTTGTCTGAGTCATCAGACAATGTGAAGAGATTAATAGAATGCTAATCACTCAACCAGGATTTATTAAATGGCAATGAAGTATTAATCAGCCACTCTTCTCGATGCTGGTTATTATAATAATCATGGTCCATCCTAAGCACTTACAGGTGTTGACTCATTTGGGGTAGATGCCAATAGTATTCCTATTTTCTAGATAAAGGTAATGAGACAGAGAGGTTAAGTAACCTGCTGCAGTTCACACAGATAGGAAGCAGTGAAGCTGGAATTCAAATCTAGATAATTGTGTTTCGAAGTCTATAAATGTGTCTTGTTGTTATTGCTATTGTTATATATATACATGTTTTTTTCTTTTCTTGCTTCAAACAAAGTCTTACACTGTTGCCCAGGCTGGAGTGCAATGGCACGATCTCTGCTCACTGCAACCTCTGCCTCCCGGGTTCAGGCAATTCTCCTGCCTCAGCCTCCATAGCAGCTGGGACTACAGGCACACACCACCACACTTGGCTAATTTTTTGTACTTTTAGTAGAGACGGGGGTTTCACTATGTTGGCCAGACTGGTCTCCAACTCCTGACCTCGTGATCCACCCACCTCGGCCTCCCAAAGTGCTGGGATTACAGGGCTGAGCCACCGCACCCACTCTATTATATATTTTAACTACCTATCCTGGAACCAAAAGCCAAATCTTTGCAACAAGAAGAGGAGAAGAAAGAGTGCTTTTTGTAGTCTTGTCATTCCACTTTCTGATAAGCAGACACCAACCTCCAACCCTGCCCACTGTACCACCGGGGCCTGATGTATAGTAGGTGCTCAGTAAATATATTTTGAATGATTGGATAACTGAGCACCTGATTTCAAGCCCCCAGGACAAACAATGCTTCTTTAAGTGCAGGTGTTTGTAGGCGCTGCCTCAGTAACACAGCTGTGGACTGAATTGTGTCCCCTACTCCAGGTCATATGTTGAAGCTGTAACCACCAAAGGGATGGTGTTTGGAAATGGGGACTTTGGAAGGTAATTAGGTTAATTTAAGGCCACGAGAGTAGAGCCCGATGAGACAGTATCCATACAGGAGGCAGAGATATCAGAGCTTCCCTCCCTCTTCCATCTGAGAACACAGAAAAAAGGCACTCAAGCCGGGCGTGGTGGCTCACCCCTGTAATCCCAGCACTTTGGGACGCAGAGGTGGGTAGATCGCGAGGTCAGGAGTTCAAGACCAGAGTGGCCAACATGTTGAAACCTCCTCTCTACTAAAAATACAAAAATTAGCTGGGCGTGGTGGCACCAGACACCTGTAATCTCAAGTACTCAGGAGGCTGAGGCAGGGGAATTGCTTGATCCTGGGAGGCGGAGCTTGCACTCAGCCGAGATTGCACCTCTGCACTCCAGCCTGGCTGACAGAGCAAGACTCCATCTCAAAAAAAAAAAAAAAAAAAAAAAAAAAAGGCACTCATCTGCAAGCCAGGAAGAGGGCCCTTCCCAGGAGCTGAGTTGGCTGGCACTTTGATCCTGCACTACCAGCCTCCAGAACTGTAAGAAATAAATGTCTGTTGTTTAAACCACCCAGCCTGTGGTATTTTGTTATAACAGCCTGAGAAGACTAATACAGACACCTAGACAAGGCTGTCTCCTTTACTGATGTGTTAAACACCTGGCCCCTTGTACATTCATCCTATTTTTTTCCCAAGGAATAAAAATAGCAAAGGAATTCGGAGTCAGCCCTTCTCTGTCCTCCAGCCCTTCTCCTTTCAGAGGAATTTCATCACTGGAGCAGAGCATTGAATTCATTCGAGTTGCAGGGAAATGTGATGTATTTCTTAAATCTGTGTCACCTGGCCGTGGAATCAGCCCAGCCAGGCTCGAAATGAGGCATTAACTACATCCAAAGCTGTGTGATTAACTTATTTGTTTGCCGACGGAGCTCAAATGAAAAAGCAGGAAGCTGGGAGGATCTGCACGAGCCCCGTTTTGAAGTAGGATTGTGAGAAGACCCGAAGTGTGGGTTTTAGTTCACATTCCCTGGGCTTACCATTATTATTACTTTTAATGGAAAATAACTTTTCACAATCTTGCTTCGTTTTAAATGGAGAATGTGCAATATTGTCTAATTTAGGGTGTGGAGTTGATCTGGTATGCATGATTTTTCTTCCCCCGCCCGCCACCATCCTTGGATTCTTTGTACACATTCAATATAGTTACATTTTTGCTTAGAACATATATATTTTCCCCCGAACTTTTCTCGATTGCTTTTTTATCAGGTTTACAAATCAAATCAAATAGGTATATTGCAGAGCTCTGCGATATTATTTTCTGAGCTTACAGTACAATGTATTGAATTATGCCAGCCCATGCTCTGCCCTGCTATTCTCTGCAGACTGAGAGAGGGGGACCGTGGACCCTGTAAATTCACTCGGCGCCCAGCATTACTGGCTAAATCAAGACCGCTCTTCAGTCTGCAAGAAGAGACAGAGCAAGTGTTCGTTACACAAATCAATTTGGTCCAAAGTACTTCGCAGTGGGTACTCAACCATCGCTCACATAATATTGTCAACTTAATCAAATAATGCCTCGAAGACACTCAGAAGCTTTTCTCTCTGAGAAATAACTTGATTGGTGGAGGATGGAGCAGCAGCTGGCTCTTCAAAGTACACTTTTTATTTATCACTGTGAAGAGTTTTGTGCATGGAGGGGAGGAAGCCTGTAGGAAAGGAAAGAGGCTGAATAGTCAGTAGGCTGACTGTGGGGAGAATCATGCAGCATTCATGTCGTGTCTTGGGTGCTGGGTTTCTACACCGTGATGGTGAATTTGGGGATGCTCGTGGATGAAGCAGCAGCTGGGCCCAAATCATTAGTTTCCTGGAATGATTCAGGAAAGACTTGCCGAGCGCCTACTATGTGTCATGGTAAGGGGCTTTTGATATAGTGCATCTGATACAGTGTTTATCCACGGGACGCTCATATTCTAGGAAGCATTTGATATGGTGTTTAGTCATGGGGTGCTCATATTCTCGTAAGCATTTGATAGAGTGTTTATCCATAGGATGCTTATTCTAATAAGAAAACCTGTCAGTGAGGGCTTAACAGAGGTCAACCCAGGACTCTAGTAGTTCAAACCACACAGCTGAAGCAGCCTGCTTTTGATTGCTTTTTAATTGGTTGGATGAGCTAGGGCCTCATTCACCCACCTCACTGCTCTGTTTCCAGCCCAGACCTAGAACATAGGCAGTTAGGGTTTCTGTGAATCTTTACTCCTGTCTATATGTACTTTGCAGCTGCTCTACGTGCCTGCTCTTAGACTTTCCAGAGCATTTTCACCTTGACCTTGAAAGGCCATTCAGGAGCGAAAAGAGTTTAGGATACGGAATTAGATATCCTAAGTTCAAACCTTCCATCTCCTGGCTGTGTGACTTCGGACAGATCGCCTAACCTCTCTGAGCCTCAGTTTTCCTAGTTGTTATGGCGACTCGGTAAAATAAGGCATGGAAAACACCAGTGAGATGCTTAGCTCATGGTGGGACCTCAGCACAGTTTTCTTTTCCATCCTGTATCCCAGACCATTTAGCCAGTTTCACATTTTGCTTATAAACTACGAGTGGCATTCAGCATCAGTGATAGCCGGAATCCTTTGTCTTAACTCAGGATAGGGGAGAAGCAAAAGCCTTCCTCAGTGATCCTTTTCCACATCCAAGGGTGTCTATGTATCCTCCAGGGAGCTTGTGAACTTTCTGAAATCGTATGCAAAATTTAGGTGTATGTGTATTTTCCCCCCAAAAGGTGGTCCACAGTTTTCATAAAACCTTCAGTGTATCCATGAACAAAGAAATCGATTAAGAAACATGTATTTACAGAGTAAAGGGAAATACCACCCAAAAATAATGGTATCAACAAAAGTCACAGCTGACAGCTACTGCTAATGGAACTGACTGCCTGAGCGACCCACTCTATAATTAAAGCTGGATATATATATATCTCCCTATATATGTATATCCATATATATCTCCCTATATATGTATATCCATATATATCCCTATATATATATCCATATATATATCCCTATATAAATATCCATATATATATCCCTATATAAATATCCATATATATATCCCTATATATATATCCATATATCCCTATATATATATATCCCTATATATATATCCCTATATATCCTTATATATGGCCCTATATATATATATATATATCTCCCTATATATGGCCCTATATATATATCCCTATATATGGCCCTATATATATATCCCTATGTATGGCCCTATATATATATATCCCTATATATATATCCCTATGTATGGCCCTATATATATATATCCCTATGTATGGCCCTATATATATATCCCTATGTATGGCCCTATATGTATATCCCTATGTATGGCCCTATATATATATCCCTATGTATGGCCCTATATGTATATCCCTATATATGGCCCTATATATATATATCCCTATATATGGCCCTATATATATATCCCTTTATATGGCCCTATATATATATATATATCCCTATATATGGCCCTATATATATATATCCCTATATATGGCCCTATATAGATATATATCCCTATATATAATCCCTATATATATATATCCCTATATATAATCCCTATATATATCCATATAACCCTATATATATCCCTCTCTATATATATCCATATGTATACCTATATATATCCCCATATATATACCTATATATATCCCCATATATATACCTATATATATCCATATATATACCTCTCTATATATGCATATGTATACCTATGTATATATATATATCCATATATATGTATGGATACCTAAAATTAAAGCTGGATATTTTTTACAGTATTGCCCAAGAAAAAACATTAAAATGCCAAATTTATTTCATTTAAAAATAGATGTATTTGAAACTTAGTTGACTCAATAATATTCCTCATTTCAAAGGATTCTATTGCTACTGGAAAGGGGTCCTGATCCAGACACCAAGAAAGGGTTCTAGGATCTCACACAAAAAGAATTCGAGGTGAATCCATCAAGTGAAGTAAAAATAAGTTTATTAGAGAAGTAAAGAAACAAAAGAATGGCTACTCCATAGGTAGAGCAGCCCTGAGGGCTGCTGGTTGCCTGTTTTTATGATTATTTCTTGATTATGTATTAAACAAGGGGTGGATTATTCATGAGTTTTCTGGGAAAGGGTTGGGCAATTCCCAGAACTTAGGGTTCCTCCCTCTTTTAGACCACATAGGGTAACCTCCTGACATTGCCATGGCATTTGGAAACTGTTGTGGTACTGGTGGGAGTGTCTCTTAGCAGGCTAATGCATTGTGATTAGTGTATAATGAACAGTGAGGATGACCAGAGGTCACTTTCGTTGCCATCTTGGTTTCGGTGGGATTTGGCTGGCTTCTTTACCTGTTTTATCAGCAATGTGTTTATTACCTGTATCTTGTGCTGACCTCTTATCTCATCCTGTGACTTAGATTGCCTTAACTGGCTGGGCGCGGTGGCTCATGCCTGTAATCCCAGCACTGTGGGAGGCCGAGGCAGGTGGATCATGAGGTCAGGAGATCGAGACCATCCTGGCTAACATGGTGAAACCCCGACTCTACTAAAAATACAAAAAAAATTAGCCGGGCATGGTGGCGGGCACTTGTAGTGCCAGCTACTTGGGAGGCTGAGGCAGGAGAATGGCGTGAACCCGGGAGGCGGAGCTTACAGTGAGCTGAGATCACGCCACTGCACTCCAGCCTGGGTGATAGAGACTCTGTCTCAAAAAAAAAAAAAAAAAAAAAAAAGAATCACTTAAAACTGTCTGGGAATGCAGCCCAGTAGGTCTCAGCCTCATTTTATCCAGCCCCTATTCAAGATGGAGTTGCTTTCATTCTCCTGCCTCTGACAATTACGGTCATTGTCCTAGGGAAGACTTTCTTTCTCTACTTTCCTCCCTTTTAAACCCATTATCCGTTATCGCTTTTTCTTCCCCCAGCACACCATGGCTCTAAAACAGGACCGTCCCATTGACAGTGATGAAAATGTTCTATACCTGTGCTTTCTGATGAGCGTGCAATAGTTTTCTTTTGCTGTCAGATGACCATACACCTAGTAACTTCCACAACACAAGTATATTAGGTTACAGTTCTGGAGATCAGAAGTGTAGCATGGGAATCACCAGGTTTACAAGGATTGTAGCTGGCAGGATGATATTTCTATAGGCTCATAATTTGATCTTTCCCCATGCCTTTCCTGGCCCCTGAAGGCCACTGTCATTCTTGGGCTCATGGCCCCTTTCCCCATCTTCAAAATCAGTAATGGTGGGTTGAGTTTTTCTCACGGGGTGTTCACTCTGACATTGGGGGTTCTCTTCCATGCCACTGGCCTCTGTTTCACTTCTCAGGACCCTGGTGATTATACAGGGCCCACACAGGTAATCCAGGATAATCTATTTTATGGTCATGTGATTAGCAACCTTAATTCTCCATTGCCATGTAAAGTATCCTATTCAAGATTCCAGGTATTAGAACCTTAACATCTTTAAGGGGTCATTATGTTGTTTTCCACAGAAAGCCACCAACCACAGGTGTCTGTTGAGCACCTGAAATACAGCTAGTGAGGCCAGGTGTGGTGGCTCATGCCTGTAATCCCAACATTTTGGAGACCAAGGCAGAAGGATATCTTGAGCCTAGGAAGTTGGGATTGCAGTGAGCCTTGATCATTCCAGTCTTGGGAATGGGAGTGAGCGCCTCTGTCTCCAAAAAAAACAAAACAAAACAATACAGCTAGTGAACTTGATTTAACTTCAATTTGAATGTAAGTACTGATACTTGATTGTTATTAGTTTGTTTGGGGGATCCTTCACATGTCATTTTTTCAAAGGCTAAATATAAATCAAGTATTTCCAATGACAATTCAGTTTCCATATGGAGATGTGTAAAATACAAGATTTCAAAGACATCCTCCAAAAAGAAAAGAATATAAAATATCTTTTACATGATAGCATGTTGAAATAATATCCTTAATAAATTGGGTTAAAATGAACGTTCTTAAAATTTTACTTTTTTTTTTTTTTTAAAAAGTGACTTCTAAGAATTCTAAAATGACGTATATCACTTACATTTTATTTTACAAGACAGGCTTCTCTAAAGTCCTTCACCAGCATCCTTGAGCTATATCTAATGCTGTGTGATGAGTGCATGTATTTTTCATTTCCATCAAATAGAATTTGCTACAGTTCTTATTTTATTTCTAATTATCCCCTCTCCCCTACTGAGCACAGAACTTCAACATCTCTAATTTCTGTCTGTATTCTGATTTCTACTGACAACTTCATGGTGGTATCATCTACCACATTTTACTCAACCGAAACTGGATGAGTAAGGACTGCCACCAGTACCCTGGACCCACAGACAACCCTGAGATAGAAGTCATTTATCTACGCTTGCAGCTAGGCTCAGAAGGATGTACATAGCTGGACTAGTGATGAAACTAGAGTTTTATTGCAGAGCTACCTAGCCATAAATATTCCTTCCCTGAATGTACATTAGCTCAACCATTGTGGAAAACAGTGTGGTGATTCCTCAAATACCTGGAACCAGAAATACCATTTTACCTGGCAATCCAATTTCTGGGTATATACCAAAGGAATATAAATCATTCTGTTACAGACACACATACACATGTATGTTCACTGCAGCACTATTCACAATAGCAAAGACATGGAATCAACTCAAATGCCCATCAATGATAGATTAAAGAAAATGTGGTACATATACACCGTGAAATACTATGTAGCCATGAAAGGGAAGAAGATTATGTTCTTTGCAAGGACAGTGGATGGAGCTGGAAGCTTTATACTCAGCAAACTGATGCAGGAACAGAAAACCGAACACTGCATGTTCTCACTCATAAGTGGGAGCAGGACAGTGAGAACACATGGACACAGGGAGGGGAACAACACACACTGGGGGAAGGGGCGAAGGGAGAGCATCAGGATAAATAGCTAATGCATGCGGGGCTTATTACTTAGGTGATGGGTGCAGCAAATCACCATGGCACACGTTTACTTATGTAACAAACCTGCACATGTACTCCAGAACTTAAGGAAGAAAAAAAAATCCTTCCCTGTGCTTCTGTACCCACTTACCTGGTCATCACTAGAAGATGCCACGCAGGTGGCCTCAGTCTTGTCTCCCTAGGGTCAGACAGAGGAAACCCCAGGAGGGGGACAGAATCCAAAAGGCATGTATCTCTACACGACTATGCATTTTCTCTCCAACAGTCATCCCTGGATTGGTCGATATCAAAATCCAATTTCACCAGGATTAGTCTCGGGTTGCTCAGAGCTATTCATTGAATTAGGAACGATTATAGCAGAGGGAGCCCCGTGGTTCTTTATTAAGGTCTTTGTGGAAGCACTAAGTGATCTTCAGGAGATTAAAGTGCCAGTGGTGTTTTCTTAACATTTATAACCTGCGCCGATACCTGGGGAGTTTGTGTATTAAGAAAAATTCTGCCGCACAGATCCCGCCTCCTAATAAGGCCTTCACACTGGGCCCGGGTAGAAGCTGGCATTGTGGTCCTAATGAGCTTATCAGGGAAGCTCTGCCAAGTGCCGCCTGGAAACCCACCTCTTGGGGTTAATGGACTTCCCATCTGTGTAGGGTCCTGCAGCCTTTCCTGTTTGATGGGGAGGCTGCGTCTCAGAGTTGTGCATGGCCTGAGAAATAAAACAAAAGCTAGGCCCGGCGCCGTGGCTCAGGCCTGTAATCCCAGCACTTTGGGAGGCCAAGGCAGGTGGATCACCTGAGGTCAGGAGTTTGAGACCAGCCTGGCCAACATGATGAAACCCTGTCTCTATTCAATCTAAAAATTAGCTGGGCTTGGTGGCACATGCCTGTAGTCCCAGCTACTGGGGAGGCTGAGGCAGGAGAATCGCTTGAACCTGGCAGACGGAGGTTGCAGTGAACCAAGATCGCACCATTGCACTCCAGCCTGGGTGACAGAGTGAGACTCCATCTCAAAACAAAACTGATGGTTATTAATACTGTTAATAATGATCACGATAATTATGTCCCCTCTTTATACAAGGGACTTAACCATTCACAAAGACTTGGATGTAATTTCACTCTAAAGCATCCAGGACAAGTATACATTTATCATTTTATGTATATGCAAATGGAGATCCAGAGACATGAAGTGAGCAGACTTGCAGGTCGCTCATGGTAAGGCTTAGTCATTTACGCTGCAGATATTTACTGAGAACTTACCACGGACTCCAGGTCAGCAGTTTCAAGTGGTACAGTTTTGCCTCCCAGGAGACATTTGAATCCCAGGAGATATTTTTTGTTCCAACTCACGGGTAGGCGACTGGCATGTGGTGGGTGGAGGCCAGTGATGCTGTTGAACATTCTGCAGTGCACAGGATGATCCACCCATCAAAAATAATAATAGGCTGGGCGCGGTGGCTCACGCCTGTAATCCCAGCACTTTGGGAGGCTGAGGCGGGCGGATCACGAGGTCAGGAGATCGAGACCATCCTGGCTAACGCGGTGAAACCCTGTCTCTACTAAAAATACAAAAAATTAGCTGGGCGTAGTGGCTGGCGCCTGTAGTCACAGCTACTCGGGAGGCTGAGGCAGGAGAATGGCGTGAACCCAGGAGGCAGAGCTTGCAGTGAGCCAAGATGGAGCCACTGCACTCCAGCCTGGGCAACAGAGTGAGAGTCTCTCTCAAATGAATAAATAAATAAATAAATAAAATGAACCAGCCCCAAATGTCAATGGTACTGACATTGAGGAACCGTACTATAGTGGTAGAGGGTTTCAGTGAACAGAAAAGCCACAGTCTCTGCTCTCCTCGAGTTACATCCTGGTAGAAAAGATAGGCAATATACAAAATCACAGAATAAAATAATAAAAAGGCAAGAAGAGATGTATGCTGTGAAGAAATCAGTGGTCAAGGGGAGAGAGAGTGCTGGTGCAGAGTTGCTGTAGATCATAGGGCCAGTGAAGGTTTCTCCAATGGGTGACACCTGGGCAGAGATTGTATCGGCAAGAGGGCAAGCTACAGGTGGTGTCCCAGGGAAAGAGTCTTCCAGGCAAAGGGCAGAATGAATGCAAAGACCAAAGATGGGGTCAGGAAAAGCAAAGAGGCCAACAAGCGACAATGGGAGACAGGCAGCAGGCAAAGTGGGAGGCAGTCACAGCCGAGAACACTGAACCTTATAGACCTAGAGAGCCAATGACGATCCAGGTTGGAGACCACTGAGAAGGGGGTGTCCCTGGCCACTTTCCCGTCCACCTCTAACATCCTTACTTTACTGACTGCCCTCAATTTCCTCCATTCTCTGAATTTTCTGCATGGCTATGTCCTACCTTCTGATCTCCCAAATATGGTAATGTCCATTCAGGTAGGTCTCACTTTAGAGCCAAACATAACTTTTATGGCCAGGCACAGTGGCTCAAGCCTGTAATCCCAGCACTTTGGGAGGCCAAGGCAGGCCGATCACTTGAGGTTAGGAGTTTGAGGCCAGCCTGGCCAACATTGTGAAACCCTGTCTCTAGTAAAAATACAAAAATGAGCCAGGCACAGTGGCACACACCTATAAATCCCAGCTACTCGGGAGGTTGAGGCAGGAAAATTGCTTGAACCCGGGAGGCAGAGGTTGCAGTGAGGTAAGATTGTGCCACTAGACTCCAGCCTGGGCAACAGAACAAGACTCTGTCTCAAAAAAAAAAAGAGGTCAAATAAATCAGGAGTTCTCTCAGAGATTACTTCCCACTAAGCTTTGATGTGCTACAGCTTTAGGAACTATAACTATGAATTCCGTAGCCACTGCCCTTCAGGAATGTGCATTCTAGATGGTTTGTCCTATTAGCAAGTTTCCTAGCTTTTTCACATTTTCTTTTCCTTAGGAATTACACACTATGCTTTTGTCATAACGTTCAGCAAGCTTCTCAGGGATGCTATAATGACTTCTCAAGTTGAATGAGGCACACTAGTAGGTACTGGGAACATACAGGCAGCATGTCTGTCCTTGAGTGTTGATGGCCTTTCAAGAGGCTGATGAAAGGCTTTCCAGCCAGGCGTCATTGCATCCAGGGCCATGATCGAAGGCCACTGGGGAGAGTGGGCTGGAGAGAGGAAGACTTAAGTGTTCTCTTTGGAGAGTCTCATTGAAGTGACACCTGTATCAGGGTTCTCTAGAGGGAAAGAACTAATAAAATAGATGTTTATGTAAAGGGGAATTTATTAAGGAGTATTGACTCACACGATCACAAGGTGAAGTCCCACAATAGGCCCTCTGTAAGCTGAGGAGCAAGGAAGTCAGGCTGGGTCCCAAAACCTCAAAAGTAGGGAAGCCAACAGTACAGCCTTCAGTCTGTGGTCGAAGGTCCAAGAGTCCAAAAGCTGAAGAACTTGGAGTCCCATGTTCGAGGGCAGGAAGCATCCAGCATGGGGGAGAGTTGTAGGCTGGAAGACTCAGCCAGTCTAGTCTTTGCATGTTCCTTTGCCTACTTTTATCCTAGGCGTGTTGGCAGGTGATCAGATGGGGCCCACCCAGATTGAGGGTGGGTTGGCCAGTCCACTGACTTGAATGTTTATCTCCTTTGGCAGCACACTAACAGACACACCCAGGACCAATACTTTGCATCCTTCAATCCAATCAAGTTGACACTCAGTGTTAACCGTCACAACTCCTATTGACAGATGACAGCCTGACAGGAACATTCATTCCTCCTTCTCCTAGACCTGCTTTGAGGCCACTCATCTTGAGAACTTCGTGCTGCCTGAAGTGGTGGAGGACGCATTGCCTCCTGGATAACAGCTGCTTGTTTGTACTGCATACACCTTTGCTTTATATGTTTGGTGGAGAGATGTAGTAGAGGGAATGGTGACCTCCAAAAAATATGTCCTTGTCTTCCATAAATGTGATCTTATTTGGGGGGGGCTGTGGGGGAGGAGGTCTTTGCAGATGTAACTAAGGATCAACACAAAATCCTCCTGGATTTAGGATGGGCTCAACAATTAATTATCCTTTTTTTGAGATGGAGTCTCACTCTGTCACCCAGGCTGGAGTGCAGTGGCACGATCTCGGCTCATTGTAACCTCTGCCTCCTGGATTCAAGCGATTCTCCTGCCTCACCCTCCCAAGTAGCTGGGATTACAGGTGCGCGCTACCCCACCTGGCTAATTTTTGCACTTTTAGTAGAGACGGGGTTTCACCATGTTGGTCAGGCTGGTCTTGAACTCCTTACCTCATGATCTGCCCCGCTCAGCCTCCCAAAGTGCTGGGATTATAGGTGTAAGCCACCGCACCCGACCCTAGTATCGTTTTAAGAAGAAAAAGGAAGAGGGAAATTGGAGTTTCACCCCCGCAGAGGGAAGTAGGGACTGTGGACATTGAAGCAGAGGATGGAAGGATGCAGACCCAAGCCAAGGAACACCTGCAGCCAACAAAAGCTAAATGAGGCAAGGCATGATTCCTCCCTAGAGCCTCTAGAGGAAGTGTGGCCCTCCTGGCACCTTGATTTTAGATTTCTGTCCTCTACAACTACAGGAGAATGAAGTCCAGTGGCTTTAAGCCGCCAGCTTTATGGTCCTCTTTCAGGAAACGAATATAGAGACATAAAACGCTGGCTGGTTCTAAATATGTTTTCCCCGGAAGGTCCCAGAAAAAAGAGAAAGAAAAGAGATCACACTCAGTGGAGGGCTTTGTGATGATCTCTAACCCCAACATGCGTTAGGCTCTGAGGTAGCTGCTCTGTCATCTCCTGCTGCATTTCATCCTTCCCACTATCCTGTGAGCTTAGTACCATTAGTGTCCTTTTTGTTTTTGTTTTAGAGGCAGAGTCTTGCTCCATTGCCCAGGCTGGAGTGCAGTGGCATGATCTTCCCTCACTGCAGCCTTGATCTCCTGGGCTCCAGCCATCTCCCACCTCGGTCTCCCAAGTAGCTGGGATGGCAGGCACATGGCCATGATCAGCTATTTTTTTTTTTTTTAATTTATTTAGTGGAGACAGGGTCTCACTATGTTGCAGGCTGGTGTCAAATGATCCTCCCACCTTAGCCTGCCAAAGTGCTGGGATTACAGGCATGAGCCACTGCACCTAGCCCCATTACCCCATTAATGTCCTTTGATGGAAAAGTAAAGTGAAGGTCAGAGAAGAAAAGTGACCTGCCTAAGATTAGCAAATAACAGGGATGGTCTGTGTGATTCCAAAACCCTGGTTCATTGTGCTGCATCCCACCATATAAAAGGCATGCAGGCTGAAAGAGATTTCCTTTTTCTGTTGTTTTATTCACTCCTCAACCTCTACTTCCTAACACTCTTCTTTTTCCCTTTCCATACACCCACAATGACCTGAAACACTTTTGGCTTACTTTTTTATTTTGCATGCTTTAAGGATTCTTTTTAATACACAGGTATTTCTCCATAACAGTTTATACGCATTTGTATATAAGCATACACTACAAAATGATTAATTGAGCGTTGTATGTTTTTATCAAAGGAAACAATGCAAAGATTTCTCCAAAGTGCTGTTTGACTAGAGATGATTAATTTTAATTTTCACATGAGCGGTATAATGCTATTAATCATTTAATATGTTTAATCATAATCTCTGTAATTCCTAATTAGGTTCATTAAACTGAAACATCCAGCAGTTATACACAAATCCAAATCTATGTTTCCTTCTCAGGATAAGAAGGAGCTCATTTTGTTTTTGCATTGAAACGGGAACTTCTAACAGGATGGAAGAGAATGGACTGGAAGCTTAGGGTTTCAGCTACAGCATCTGTAAACTCCGAGTCTGGGTGTAGAGTACTAAAACCCCTTAACTTCTGAAAAGTGACAGTTGCAGGATTCGAGCTCATTTCTGTGTCATGGACGTGGCACCAAACCTCGTATTCTCAGCGGAGAAAACGCAAATTCTGCTCTGTTTGGGTTTCAGTGTTACAGTGTTGCTCTTCGACTATCACATGAAGGCGGCGACATTGATTGTACACTTCTTCATGCATTTGTTTATTCGTGTACTAATAATTCATTCGGTCAGTGAGTGAGCCAACTGTTAAACAGACATTTATCATTTGTGTTACAAGCTGGTCATACCACACTCCTGCTGTGACCCTTAGGTGGCTCCTTATTGCTCTTAGGATGAAGCTCAGACTCTTGCTTTGCACAGTGTCCTTTGATCTAGCCCCTTGACTATCTTTGAAACCTGTCCTCCTGCCTTCCCTTCATACATGCCTCATCTGACCAGTGGTGCTGGAGTCCACACATACTCTCCTGAATCCAAGACATCATTTCACATCTCTGCACATCTGCACATGCACTGCCCTGTCTTGGAATAGCCTCAGTCCTTTTCACCTCTTCTCTTAGACATCTCCCACTTAACGTTTAACCTCCAGAATTGGCAAGCCTGGCTGAACCTCCAGCAGTGTCATATGACCTTGATTTAAGGTTACTCAGCCCTTTGTGATTGCCTCTTATCCCAACATTTACCAGTCTCTGGGGATGGTGGCTCACGCCTGTAGTCCCAGTGCTTTGGGAGGCAGAGGCAGAGGCAGGAGGATCACTTGAGGCCAGAGGTTCAAGACCAGCCTGGGCAACTTAGTGTGACCCAGGCTCTGCAAATAAAAATTAGCTGGGTATAATGGCTCATGCCTGTAATCCTAGCTACTTGGAAGGCTGATGTGGCAAGATTGAGCCCAGGATTTCAAGGCTTCAGTGAGCCGTGATTGTGCCATGGCATTCCAGCCTGAGTGACAGAGCAAGACCCAACTCCAAGAAAACAACAACAAAAGACAATGACAAAATGATTCTATTTATGATTGTTTTTCTCTATTGGTGTCATGCACTAAAGTTGGAATTGCATGTGACAAGGAGGGCTGATTTATGTGTCCAACACAAAGCAGTTGCTCAGTAAAGATGTGTAAACACTTTAAAAATAAGCAAATGAAAACCTTTCCTTCGTGTTTCTCAAAGGAGGTTTATTTCTCTTTTTGGTATTTAAAAAACTTGCCATCATTCTAAACATTTCGTCACTTTCCATTTATTGAATACATACCAGGAACTTGGCCAAGTTAGCACACATTAATCAATCACAAAGCCTCAAAAGGTATGAACTCATTATTCTTTATTTACCAGTTAAGAAAATGACCACTGTACTGCTTCCTATTCAATCCAACAGTATAGGCAAAATGACTAAATACATTGTCTAAATACATGACTTGCACTTAAAAGCTGAAGTCAACTGGTAGGTCTTTTGATACCAGAGCATCTTGGAAGAATGGTTTGCCAGCTAACAAGATGTCTTTATTTCAAAATGCGATTCAGGGTGTGTTAGGAAGGAAAATGCAAATGAAACCTTCCAGTACATACCAGGGCTGATGAGAAACTTGCTAATTATGCCCATGTTATCTGAGTGTTTGTTTTGTATTTCACTTTGTAAGATTGTCTTCTCTCGGTCGTTATTATTTTACACCTGGCTGCCTACATTGATAGTTTTGTCCCAATTATGTACTTCTAGATTGCTTATAAACAGGTCAGGATGATTCCTCACTCATAAATTTGATAGGCTTCTGTGTAAGCTTTCTATCATAGTTTCAAAGTTGGTATCTGATGTGGATGGCATTTACTGCCAGCTGGAGGCAATAGTTGCTAATTGCAGAGAAGTATCAAATGCTAAATGTCTGAAATGTTAAAACTCTAGAACCGAGAGTATGGCAGTGGCTATAATGATACCTAATGTGACTGTGACTTTTCCCCTCGTTCCTGCCAAATATGTGGGTGTCAATGTAACGTCATGTTATACAGCCTTATTTGGAAGACAGGGGAGGTGAAACAATCAGTTATGCTGATGATGTTACATGGTCTAGGCAAACAGAGCACAACAGCACTTTCTGCAGAGATGGAAACGTTCTGTATTTGCATTATTCAGTATGGAAGCAATAACTACATGTGGTTCTTGAGCGCTTGAAATGCAGCTAATGCAAACAAAGTTAAATATCTTGTTTTAATTCAGTTAAATGTAAATTGTCACATGTGGTCAACTGTAGTGGACAGCAAAAGTTTGTACAATTAGAACCTCAAAAGAATAAGTCAATCAGCTGGTTATTTGAACTCCAGAATGCCAACTAGTCTTTTCACATTTTTTACATTTAATTATGTTTTATCTGCACAATTACCTGAACAATTATGTAGGCATATCTTCAGATTCTGAACAGCGTCGGTTAAGAAATACACACTGTCCTGCCTTTAAAGATTATTACCCCCTTCTTGATGAGGTTCTCGCTCCCCACCTCCCAACCCCAGCAGCTCCCAGTCCCCTTCCTTTGCTTTTTCTAGCCTATAGTGCTTTTCTCTGTCTGCCAACACTCTATCTATGGATTTATTGTCTGTGTTGCCCTCATGAGAATGATGCTCCCTGAGGGCAGGGATTTTTGTCTGCTTTTCCCACTGCCTAATCCCAGATTCATAATGAGCACCCAGTGGACGCTCAGAAAACACTTGCTGAATGAATGCATGCATGCATGCGTCAGCATTTTCTTCCCTTCTCAGATTGCTTAGTTCTGATCTTTTCCTGCCACTCATGGCAAGCAAAAGAGCATCGGAAGAGAGCACTGTGGTCCACTGAGAACCTCTTCGGTTTCTTCTTGTTCTTTTAGCAGACAGATGACGCAGCACCGACGGATGGCCAGCCCCAGACACAACCTTCTGAAAACACGGAAAACAAGTCTCAGCCCAAGCGGCTGCATGTCTCCAATATCCCCTTCAGGTTCCGGGATCCGGACCTCAGACAAATGTTTGGTGTAAGTATCACCTTTCTTCCCAGCAGTGCCCGCTCTGGGGGTTCCAGAGACCTCCCTGTCTCATGTAAGTTTGGGGTATTTACAATACTAAGGTTAGATGTTTGTATGGGGAGAAACAATTTAGAGCCTAGTCTGCAGGTATATTGTGGCTAGAATCTCTTTATGGTTTTAGCATGTATTTCTGTACATATGCTCACCATGTATCTACTTTACCAAGTGGCTTTCTTCTAAGAAGTAACTTGTAGGCCAAATGGAACACAAATTCCTAGATGACCCACTGTTGAAGGAAGCCTATTGATGGTCCTAAATCCAATGGCCCAGGACATCATACTGCAGCAAAAATACACATCGAGTCCTCTTGGTTTTGCTTTCTTTTACAGTTGTCAAATGATCCAGAGGGTGACTCTTAGTGTATCCCTGCATTGCCTAGTCTTTCCCAGGCACTGTGCATTTAGATTTCAGATGCATCAGCAGAGAACAACTACTTCTGCATAAAGCTGATTTTAGCAAACAAAACAAAACCACCACCACCGACACCAAATGAGCTACCAGTTTCTAAGTCCATGTTGATTCCTGAAGTCTACGTTCTTCTGAAATCAGTGAAAAGGATTCAGAGGTACTTACTGTGGTGCTATATGCCATGAAGTGTAGCCTTGCCCAGGCACCATGGTGAAACACAGAGCAGGCCACAAGTCACCACTGACCCAGGAGAAAATAATAGCATTGCTTTTTTTATAGGTCATCTTGCCCCTGATTATTTTTTTCTCGAAGATATCTTCACTATCCACTTTGGGAAGACATGAGTTTGCCATTTCTTTGACCAGTGTTCCACCAAAGGACAAAGCTGTGACAGGGCTTGGATATCATTCATGTTTGCAGATGTAGCCAATTTGCCCATGACATCCCAGCAATGATAGCAGGTGCCTCTGGATTCAATGAAAAGAACTACATCCTTAACATTTGACTTAGAGCAATGGTGGGCTTCTCAGAGACTCTTCCTCTAAGAGTTAATAAATGGATGCAAATATCACAAAAGGAACAAGAAGATGCCCAACTTGAATGCCTCATTCCTAGCCAAGTTGGTGGTGTCTCCATATAAAATGGGAGGCTCTTGTTCACTACTCAAAGGCACTGTGTGTTGGGGATTAGCTTGCACCTTTTACTTCTTATACACACGTGATGCTTATCAAGTATGCATCTGACACAAAAGCAGAGCGAGCATCCTAATATTGAAGATACCCAGCTTTGAATGCTGACATTTCAGAGGAAAAGGTCAGCTCTTGCACTTTTATCTCTCTCATTTGGTAATAACCTTGAGTTGAGCCTTCCAACTCCTGCAGAACAGAGATACCCTCGGGCACTTTCAGGTCAAAGATGACTTTGAAAAGTGCAGAGCATTCAAAGTGAGAGTCGAGGTTAAGTGTGTGTGAGGCAGTAAGACCAGGTGTGAATGATGGGCGGTAAGAGGAGTTATATTCTCTTTGCCGTGTCAGGTTAGGAAGACATCTTGCTATGCAGTCTATTTTTTTCTCATCAAGTGTCACTGTGATGTTGGCTTTCAATGTGATCCCCTTAATGACCGTCCTGACACTCTTTCATGGTGTCACTCAGTTATCGTGAAAGTTACTGCAGGCTACAATGCTAAGTCATAGAGGTATTCAAAATATTCACAGGAATCAGAGAAGGGATCCTGAGTCTCTCTAGTCTTACAGAGGTAGGGTAGACGGCAAGGAGCAAGATCTTGCCAAAAAATTGTACTACCGGTCATCAGACCTTGATCCAAATCTACTAGTTTCAGGGCTCTTGTTTTTAAAAAGACAAGTTCTCACTCTGCTACCCAGGCTAGAGTGCAGTGGTGTGATCACGGCTCACTGCAAATTCTTGGGCTCAAGGGATCCTCCCACCTCAGCCTCCCAAGTAGCTGGGACTACAGGCACAAGCCACCATGCTTGGCTAATTTTTAAGTATTTTTTTTTAATAGAGATGGGGTCTCAATTTGTTGTCCAGGCTGCTCACAAATTCCTGGCCTCAAGCAACCCTCCCGCCTTGGCCTCCCAATGTGCTGGGATTACAGCATAAGATGTGAGCTATTGCACCCATCCAGCACCCCCCCCCCCCCTTTTTTTTGTGACAAAGTCTTAGTCTGTCACCCAGACTGCAGTGAAGTGGCATGATCTCGGCTCATTGCAACCTTTCTCCTGGGTTCAAGCGATTCTTGTGCCTCAGCTTCCTGACTAGCTGGGACTACATGCATTCACCACTTCACTTTAAAGTCAAGATTTTCAAGCAACTGACAAGATGTCAATTTGGCAAGATGATAGATACACTTAATACCTGTCAATTAAGAGAACACACCATGCATTTAGTGCACAAACTCAACCTTGTTCATCACAAATAGCATCTGTGTCCCTTTTTTTAAAAGTATGCAAGATTTATTTGTTTCTGTAAATTTTGTCTATAAAAGTGCCAGGAACATACAGATTCATAGACCCCCTTGCAATGACTTTCAAGCCTCCTTAGTTTACAACCACTATTCTAAAGAAATGCAGTTTTATGCACTAAAAATCTGTTCTTTCCTGCCAAACACCGGTGGTCATGGAGCCGTTCTTGTTATAGGATACATTTAGTGGCAGGAATCACATTGTGAAGCATCTGTAAACATTCTCATTGGCTCCCTGCACTGGAGCTTAGGGAATTTAGGAGGGTTTCCTCTTTTGGGTCATAGTTACTGCAAGAAACTACAGTTTAACTCCAATTCGGTACTTCTCACGTTATTTGGACATGAGACATCTTCTTTCCTTTTGGTGCTCTATCCTGTCTTTGTCTTCCCACTTTGACAGGGGTTTACAGTGAGGACAATTACAGAGAAAAACAGTCACAAAGATCTTTGTGCTTTTCCCCCCCTTTGTCTCTTGTTAAATATAGGCATGGGATTTCAAAGTCAAAAGCAAAACAAGACAAAAAAGCAACCTCCTTCTTCAAACTGCCTAAAACTTGGCAGTGATCATTACAACGTCTGTAACCACTAATAATTCGACCATACCATCTGCAACCGTTACATGCCTAATGGTTACTGCAGATGACTCATTTTATTTCTAATTTGTATCTTCAGCACATCATGAAGATTGGAATCCTGATTACCTTTTCCACCTTGTGCTTCATATTCTTTACTTTCTACTCATTGGAAGCATTTGTTCCCATGTTTGGCATTAAATCTTCTAGCTCATCTTTTTTTTTTTTTTTTTCTCATTTGAGATGGAACATTCCTTGGGCAAGATATATGGCTACAGTATACAAAGCAGAAGCCATCGTCTTTTAAAAATACCGGTTGAGGTTCAAGGGAATGGATCTGTTCTGTGCAGTGGCATTGATATTAAATGGTTCATTGGAAGGGATGTTAGTTTTATAGGTGGCTACTTTTTCCTTGAGCTTTGTCTTCACGTTAGGTATCATGCATGAGCATGCATTTTCTTTACAGATAAATGTTTGATGATCCCAAAAGAGGAATATATGGATTTCTAACAAATTAATTGCGATATATTGCACCCTAAATAGAATGTTTAACTTAATATTTAACATTTAAACATTCTGGGTTTGAAGTGAGACAAGTGGATTGTGATATATCCAGACTTCTGCTACAACAGATGGATGGATGTTCTGGATGCCTTCACGGAATTGTCAGAAACAGTTGCTCAATGACTACAGTTCTCAAATTTACACAACACCCTTGTTGATTCCACAGCCTTACTTTAGGGGTCAAAATACAGACCCTCTTGGCCAGGCATGATGGTGGCTTATACCTGTAATCCCAGCACTTTGGGAGGCCGAGGTGGGAGGGTTGCTTGAGTTCAAGAATTTTAGACCAGCCTGCGCAACATAGGGAGACCCAGTTTCTACAACAATAAAATCAAAAAAAACCACACCAAAACAAAATATAGGTCCTCTGGGCAGGAAAATGGTCCACTAAACCTCTCTTTATTGTCACAAAAAAACAGATCACATGACTTTCAGCACATGCAAAGGAAGATTTCAAGATCACTTTTTAGTCACGAGACGGGCTTGCCTGTACTTATGACGTTAATGGAAAGTTCCATCTACCATGATGTTGTGAGTGAAGTCATTATGGGGAGACAGGGCATGGTACCTTCTACTTCTGCATTCTGAACAGGAAGCTGACACTAAGAAAAACTGGGATGATGCCTTTCTTTGGCCTTCACGCACAATCTTTGAACTAACCTTTACTTTTACGTTTTATGCTGTATCCATTGAACATCCCTCACAGTTTTTCAGAGAAATATTGTTTGATCTGAGAACATCTAAAAATGCTTGGTAGGTATTTGCCAAAGTGTGTGTGCCTGTAAGCTTCTAGATCTTGTTTGTTTTGTTTTTTAAGATAGAGTCTCGCTCTGTCACCCAGGCTGGAGTGCAATGGCACAATCTTGGTTCACTGCAACCTCCACCTCCCAGGTTCAAGTGATTCTCCTGCCTCAGCATCCCAAGTAACTGGGATTACAGGCTCCTACCACCATGACTGGGTAATTTTTACATTTTTAGTAGAGACAGGGTTTCACCAAGTTGGCCATCCTGGTCCCAAACTCCCCACCTTGTGATCTGCCCGCCTCAGCCTCCCACAGTGCTGGGATTACAGGCATGAGCCACCATGCCTGGCCTGGATCCTGCTCTTGATACAGCTATTGAGAAACTTTGTGTGGATTTGAGGCGTTGTTGAATGCAGCTGAACATTGATGTTGAGCAAACAAATGCTAGTTATGTCTGCGAATGAGTCGTGTCTATTTAAATTGAAAATGTGCCAGCTGTGTTTACATCATTAGTAGCGAACTTCCCAATTAAACTGTTGATACTATAAATATAGTACACAACTGTCTTGGAAATGGGGCTTACATCAGCATTCTTCTTTGGGCTTGTTTCACCGGCTTTGAGAACCGTCAACCTAACAGCAACTGCCACAGAAGCAAACTTTGAGACCACTTCAGGGCAGCTGATGTCATTGTTTCATTTAGGGAATGACACCTGCCAAGATTGCTGTTTGATTGGTTCTGTCTCAATCAGATCTTATTTTAAAGGAAATGTTTTTGGGTTGACTGCCTAGAGAATGTTCCATAGATGACAGTTGCATCGCGGTTTTGGAAGAAGTCCTTTTCAAGCTTCTCTTTCTGTAAATATATGTGCTTCTAGGCTCTTATGCCTGAAATAAATATGATAGCGTCTGTGGAGACTGAATATTCAAGGGTGGTTGGTATCAAAATTACTGCTTGAGGAGTTCACAAAACTGGAGGTTTCTTTACTATGAAATTCAGCTCACGTTTGAATGGCAAATCCTTCATTTCCCCAATCTGAATGTTTTCTTCTATTTCCAGTGATTTTTCTCTGCCTAAAACTAGGGCACTGAAAATGCTCTGTAAAGGAATATTCTCTTGACCAAAAGATCTAAGTCCACAGATTGCAGGATGAGTAAGCTGCACGTTTGTTGGCGTTTCCATTGTGCATGCAAGCAATGTGACCCCTTTCCATGTTCTCTTCTGAGTATTTTCTCTTTGGTTTCTTCCTATCCTTTGCTTCTCTGAACAGAAGTGCTGGTAGTTCTTTGTTTCACAACTTGAAATATGTGCGTCTGTGATTCCCCCGGCTGTATAGTGTATGGGTCCTGAGGAACGGGCACATTTCTATGGCACAGAATGACAAACTTTTGGTTACTTTGTCCCATAGTCAGAACTATTTTTATTTCAAGATTGGGCTGTCTGTATTCAAGTGGCATATACATTTGTTTCTACTGTTTCTGGGAGGGTGGATTTCTTTGTCCATTCCAGAGGATAGCTATCTGTATGTTCTAAATAATTTGTTTCTTGAATGTTAGTAGGACCCTCTTGACATTCACTCTCTGTGTCTCTGGATACTCTATGACTGAAACACATAGTCAGGCAAACCTCCCCTGCTTCTTGTGTGGTCTTTTTGTTTGTTCCTTTTTTATCCTGCCCCACCCCTCACCCCAGTCGCTCTGTCCGCTGCCACACAGAAGCACGCGTAATGCTCTCCACTCAAGGGAGAGATGGAATACAAAACCTCTGGGGGTCATAAAGGATGCAATTAAAATCCAGAATGCAGAAGTGAATGGAATGATAGGAAAGCTCAAAACAAAACAAAAAAAGAGGATGGAAATATTTATGTTGCCCTGTTTAATTTTTAATCACTCAAAGAGCATTTGCTCTCATTCTGCATGGAGATAAAATTCCCATTTTATTTTTCCCTGGGCCACAGTACATGATTTTACATTACCCTCTCTCTCAGTTGCTCGTACTTATGCAGGTTAGGCTACTGTACTCAAGAAATGGCCACAATACTTCATGTGATCTCAGAAAACTGAAAAAATTCCAAGGTTGGGGGAAAGGATTTCAGATGATCCGATGCCCCTAGTTCTAGAGCCCATACTTCCTGTTTTGAAACGTGATCAAGAATTGCTTGATGTACATTTCTCACTGGGACTTCCAGATTTCACAAATTTAAAAAATATGTAAGACACAGTCGTTGAATTTGAAGTTCAAATAAACCACAAGTATTAAGTATAAGTATGTCCCAAATGTTGTGTGTGACATATCCTGAAAAATCTGAAATTTAAATTTAACCAAGTGTCTGCATTTTATTTGTCTCTATTTATAATCTGAGTCTCTGTTTCTGGACTTTTCATAGAGCCTATTCATGCTAGTTGTCTAAAATCTATTTGTTTAACAATGTGGAGAATTATCTTGAGAGAATTTCAGCCCAAGCACTGATCACAACTGCTGATACCATCATGATGATAGTGCCTAGATAGTGGAGTTTGCTTCTGTGTTTGTACTTTCTTGCTCATATGATAGAGCTGCTCCTAGATTTTATGTGAGCTAGGAGCCAACCCCAGTCACATCACATTCTCACTGGACATTGATTATCAAAATCACATTTCATCAAGGGTGTTTCTCCCAGTGTTTAGTGGGATAGACCAGAAGGATCATTGTATGTACATACTAGCCACTTTTAATCTTTGCTGCTCAGTGCCTGGGAAAGCAGACATGCACACAGGAAAAAAAGAAAAATAGAATTAACCTCTTGATTAATATTTTGTATCAAGCCTTGCCGGTATATTCCATAATAAGGAGAAAATATGGGTGGTTTTATTTTCTCTTGTTTCAAGCACATTAACCATAAAACATAAAATGTGTATCCTTGGTATTAAAAGAGAAAAAAATGGACGTGGGAAACAATTACTACTGTACATAGTAATGTCTACTGCATTTCTCTTCTTGCTTATAAGATATTTCTATTTCTTTGCAGCAATTTGGTAAAATCTTAGATGTTGAAATTATTTTTAATGAGCGAGGCTCAAAGGTAAGCAACTTAATTCACTTTAGAATTGTTTAGTTTATTTTTAAATGTTTGTTATGAATAAGGGGAAACAACTGCACTGTCTTAATCAGCTCATTGTGAAAATACACTTCAGTGGGAATTCCTTTAGAGACCACCTTCCGTTTTCAAAATGGTGGGAAAGACATCGGGTTCAGTTTAAAATGTATAAGGGGATAATTTTAAATTGCTGTTTTATATATATATCAAGTTTCCAGAGGAAAATTATACATGCTTAAAAAAATAATGATGTTGCTACATTTTTGTTTTTCAGTGATAATTATGTTCTTTATATTAAAAAGTGAGTTGATAGTCTCATGAGCAGGTAAATATGTGATTATTCTGTATTAATAAAGTGCAGTTATTTTCCTGGGTTGTAGGGGAGAAAAATCTCATATACACCAACCTTTTGAATGTAATTTTATTCTTTAGTATGTTTACCGATCCACATTTAGCAATTTGCCATTGCTTTGAGTTTGTTTTTTCAAGGAAACCAATTTTTAAATAGATTCCCTAGTGCTAATAAAAGTCAGGGGCTCTATGGAGAGGTTTGGGTTCAGGAGAGGTTCTGTTTCAAAACAGAAATATGGGCTGGGTGCAGTGGCTCACGCCTGTAATCCCAGCACTTTGAGGTGGGTGGATCACCTGAGGTCAGGAGCTCAAGAGCAACCTGGGCAACATGGTGGAACCTCGTCTTTACTAAAAATACAAAAATTAGCTGGGTGTGGTGGCATGTGCCTGTAATTCCAGCTACTCGGGAGGCTGAGGCAGGAGAATCGCTTGCACCCAGGAGGTAGTAGTTGCAGTGAGCTGAGATTGCACCACTGCACCACAGCCTCGGTGAACAGAGCAAGATCCTATCTCAAAAATAAGCAAATAAACAAAAGAAATATGTTGGGAGAAGAGAAAAACAGAAACATTTCTAAAACCTCCTCTCTATCAGTGGCTAACCAAGGGTGGTCCCAGACCAGGAATATCAGCATCACCTAGGAACTGATTAGAAATGCAAGTTCTCAGGCTCCAGCCCTGATCTGTTGAATTCAAAACTCCCAAGTTAGGGCTCAGCAACCTGTGTTTTAGCTCCACTGAGGAAAACAACACATGAGGCCTATAAGCAGACACAGGGGGTTAACAGGGAGAATGATGGAGAACAAAGATGTGGATCTTGGTAACCAGAAAGTGAATGCTTTCAATAGCTCTGACGGGTCTCCTGGCTGCCAGTCCCCAGGCTATTAGGAATTTTAAGTTCCCTTCTCCTTGCATCCTCAGACTATGAATGCAAATGTTGAGAGATAGTGATTTCAGCCCATTGACTCTCCTTACACAGGCGATTTGAGGCAAGTCGGTATCACGGAGGGTCAGTAAGCGGTGCTGGTTTTATTTGAAGTGTCACAGGCCACATTGCCAGCTCTTTTGGATGTGTATAACCATCTTTCCCCCATAAAACAAACCTTTGATTTTTTTTTCTTTATTCCTTGGACAGCCTTCCTCCCTCCTAAGTAAATTTAGTACTAATTAACTAGGATGATGTTGATCATATCAAGGAAAGAAAACCCCAGTATTTTCTCCTCCATGGCCAGAGTGATGTTGTAATCTGTCAGATGAGCAAAAACAAAAGCAAAACAGAATCCCTTACACTTTGTGATAATACTCCTTCAGGGACCTTGTCATTTTTCCATAGCTCCAGATATTTTACAATCGTTCTCGAACTTAAGTCTCTTCCTGCTTCTTGTAGGAAAGTTATTACGGGGACTATTGCTATACCTGCAAAGCAAAGTGCATTGAGAGAAAAATGTGCCCAGCCTAATTCTGTTCACTCGAGCCTTCTGTATTCTTGGCGAAATTGTAGATGACCCGAATGTTGACCAACTTCGTTCTGACCCTAGGTCTGTCTATAGCAGCACTGCCTTCAAAGATGTGTTGTTGTTGTTGTTTTTTAATATGTTTAATTTATATTTTGTTTTGTAACTTTTGCCAGTTACAATGAAGAAAGCTGTTTAATTCCTTCTGAGAGCTGTTTTGGGACATTAGAAGAATATCATTTGCCATTTTGAAAGTACAATGGTGATACTGTTTTTAAGACATCTTCCGTCATTCCCATGATTAGCCTGTCTCTGGGGGCTTCAGGAAAAAGACCATTTAAGTTTGCTGCATCCAGAGCCTGACTTTGTGAAGCTGCCTTTTTTTGGTCTTTATTCTTTTGGTTTAGGAAACATCCAAAATAGCCTCTCTCGGTGGGTATGCGCCCTCTGAAAGAGCTTGTCTTGCAGGTGTTGGAGCTGACTGTTTAGGTACTGCTGGAATGGCACTGAGACAGTCCAGTTGGGACTGCTAAATGGGGGCAGCAGCTCACACAGGGATATTTTTCATAGTTGACATTATCCTTTATGGGAAAGGGCCTTATTTAGAGGAGCATTTCCATTTTAATGGTTCAGAAACCTGAACTGTTGCTATGGCCTCATTTTCATCGTTTGGTGCTGGACAGACAGCCAGGAAATGAGTGGGCCCTTACGAGCCAGGAACTCACCTTCTTGCCTTTCATTCTCTAGAGCAGTTCTTCAGGCAGGCCACTCAATGCTGAAGGCTGTGTGTGCTGGGTGTGTGTGTGTGTGTGTGTGTGTGTGTGTGTGTGTGTGTATGCGGACATATAAACCCATATGTACTTAAGGGATGGACGCAGTGTCTCATACCTAACATTCTAGCCCTTTAGGAAGCTGAGGTGGGAGTATTGTATGAAGCCAGGAGTTCAAGACCAGCCTGGACAACAGTGAGACCCCATCTCCACAAAATAATAATTTAAAATTAGCTGGGCATGGTGATATACACCTGTAGTCCAAGCTACTTGGGAGGCTGAGGCAGGAGGATTGCTTGATCCCAGGAGGTCAAGGCTTTACTGAGCTATGATTGCACCACTGCATTCCAGCTTGGGTGACAGAGTGAGTCCTTATCTCAGAACAAGTATCTATATTACTTTGGAATATAGATCCAGTATCTATATTCCAGGTAGTATCTATATTATTTTGGAAATGTATATAACTCAAGTATTTAATGTATGGGTGAATAGCAAGAATGCAGAAAATCCACATTTTAAAGAGATGTCAGAGAGAAAATGAGAATTCGTAAGCATTTAGGGGCGAATGATCCTGTAATTTATTTTTCCTTTTTACGAGATTTACCCAACCATCTCGTTTACCTCTGATATGGTCTATTTAAGGGCTGTATGCAGATATAGCTACTCCCTACGTATATACTTAAGATATCTGGCCGTGTGCGGTGGCTCACTCTTGTAATCCCAGCACTTTGGGAGGCCGAGGCAGGCGGATCACCTGAGGTCAGGAGTTCGAGACCAGCCTGACCAACATGGAGAAACCTTGTCTTGACTAAAAATACAAAATTAGCAGGGTGTGGTGGTGCATGCCTGTAATCCCAGCTACTCGGGAGGCTGAGGCAGGAGAATCACTTGAACCCGGGGGGTGGAGATTGCAGTGAGCCGAGATCAAGACATTGCATTCCAGCCTGGGCAAGAAGAGGGAAGTTCTGTCTCTAAGAAAAAAAAAAAAAAAAAAAAAGCTACACTTTGATCTTTGATTCAGTAGATATCAGTAAGTATTTGCTGCATTTCATGAGAGCCAACCATGAGTAAGACAGAAGTACTTCCTGTCCTCCTGGGCTTTCCTGAGTAGCAGGAGAGATGGACTAGGAAGATGAGTGACTGCAGTAGCCTGTGCTGTTCTGCGGTGATGGGAGAGGCCACTGAGAGTCCGGACAGGCAGGCTGATATTGTGAGAAGGCTTCTGGAAAGAAGGAACATTTAAGCTGAGAGTGAGAGTTGCGTAAGAATTTCCCAGGGAGGGGAAAGAGGGATGTGTCTCAGGCAGGAGAAGTTGCATGTGCAAAGATCACTGGAGTAAAAGTGAGATGAGAGGGCTCATAGTCCCATCGGAAAATGAATCTTCAGATGCTCATCAACAGCTCCCCTCTTCTAAATATGAATTCTCTGCACCAGAAACTAGAGGACTGGATTTTTCATCTAGGATGAAAAATCAGTACCTTCATCCATCCAGGGTGCTTTATTTAAGTCTTTAACATATAAAATGGTGTATTTGCATGAATGCAAAAAAGGAAGATATCACCTAAAAATACAAAAGATGAAAAAAGAACAATAACTAGGATACAAGAGGATCAGAATGTATGATTTGCGAAAATATTTTAAAGTAAGCAAGTCACGTTGGTCTGGCAATCCTCTTAAGGTCCCCGTTATCTGCCCTACTGATTATACCTGCTCATGACAGGGCACAGGCCACCAATCTCTTTTCTTCAGTAGCATTAAAGGTAAACTCTGGGAAGGTGTGTCTCTGACTCCCCTTCTCTGTACCCCTTCTTGCGGTCTTGATTTTTTAAGCAGTTACACATCAGCATCACACCCAGCCCTTTGCCGAGCAAGCCAAGCTCAGAATGTGCTTGTTTTGTTCTCCTTTTTAAGGCAGAGGTAAAAATATTCATCATCTTTTTAAAAACTGCAAATTGCTGCTTCCCTGAGTTAGAATTCCGACCATGAGGCGGGTCAGAAAAAACAACCTTAGCACCCGCTCTCAAGGTTGCCTGGCACCTGTGCATCGTGGCAAAGGTTCCCTGCTCATAGAGAGGACCAGGTGAGGTCTTTCTGGTTACATTGCAACCCTCAGGTGAGAATTTTGATAACCTGATAACCCAGGGAGGCCATGCCACTTCTTGTCTGGGTGGGAGGTAGAATTGCCCAACGGAACAGGTAGGAAAGTCTGTCTGGCATTTTGAGGACCGTCTGGAGCACATTCTTTCTGCACCGAACTTTGTCAAATCTCAACTCTAAATGAGGAATACCAAGTAGCTGACAAGCAAAGAGAGAAAGAAGTTTCGCAGAAAAACAATGAGAATAATAAAAAAGAATGTATTCTCTTTGCTTAAAAAGTGAGAACTTGAGAATAGATGAGGCTATTTCCTTTTTAGTTCATGCCCCTTCCTTGGGATTCAAAATGTATTTCTCTTTCCACCTTTGTCTTTCCTAAACATACTTAATGCTGATTTCGGGGCAGTAGGTTTGCCTTGGGTTCAGACATGAAGCATGAGAGCAAGGTTCTGGAGTATAATGTTGGACAGGAGGGTGAGTGTTCAGTCTCACCTGGCTGTGTTCTTCCCAGTGCTGTGGTAATAATGACTGCTAGTTCCAAAGGGCAGAAATGATACCACCTGGCCCTCCAGCTATACCAGTGGGGCTATGGATTTTCTTTTCTTGCCGGGAGAGAATATAAATCCAAAGCCCTCGTTTCTCTGATTCTTTTTGGAATATGTGGCATGGCTATGGTTGCTAGGAAGTTAGGCCCATCAGGGAGGAAGAGAACGTTGCCAAGAAGCCTGGGACATGTGCTTTTGGCTGTACCTCTACATGTAAGCTCCAAGTAACTGAGTCAAAATCTATAGCCAAAAATCTATAGATATCAGCAATATAAAATTCTATTTATTACAAAGGATGAAAACCTCTTTTTCAGATAGGGTGTCACCCAGGCTGGAGTACAGGGGTACAATCACAGCTCACTGTAGCCTCAACCTCCTGGGCTCAAGCAATGAATGCTCCCACCTCAGCCTCCCAAGTAGCAGAGACAATAGGTACAGGCTGTCACACCTGGCTTTTTTTTTTTTTTTGGTAGAGGTGAGGTTTTGCCATGTTACTCAGCCTGGTCTCAAACTCCTGGGCTCAAGTGATCCTCCTGCCTTGGCCTCCCAAACTGCTTGCATTACAGGTGTGAGCCACCATGCCTGGCCCAAAACCTTCTTTTGATGGTTTCGATCACACGTAGTGAAATGAGAGGTCATGGAAATCAAATCACTGGGCCACACATTTTAAGCAAACACATTTCTGGACTCCAGTCTGGGATTCTAATCCAGTGGATACAAAGCAAGGCTCAGGAATCTTAATGTTTAATGTCCTCCCAAGTTCCTTCTGATATGCGGCTAAGTTTGAGATATACTGGCCAAGAGTTAGAACTGTCAAATAGAGCAAAATCCCCCTAAATTCTCTCTTTTTTCCCTTTGAAGAACAATCATTTCCAAACTATACAGTTGGCGAGTGTATTTGCATACCCAATATGGGCATACTTTGTGCACAAGACTAAGCAAGACCCTTCTGTTATGGAGCAAATAATCTTAAATGAATCAGATAATTCAGGCTTATCCTAATCACAGAGCCTCACTATGGGAAAGATTATGGAAGGTAATTTGGTTCAATCCCCTAAAGTAAAGAAACGTTATTTTTCTCGATACAGTTCACCCTTGAACAACACAGGTTTGAACTGTGCAGGTCCACTTACATGTGAATTTTTTTTTTTTCCAACCAAAGGCAGTATTCCCAGGATGTGTGGCCTGTATATATAGAGGGCTGATTTTCTTCTATACTCACATTCCACGGGGTGACTGTGGGACTTGGAAATGCAAGGATTTGGGTATCAGGGGTGGGGATGTCTTGGAACTAATCTGTAGTGGATTCTGAGGTACAGCTGTCTATAGAATCCCGACAAATAATCATCTACCCTCACTTGAATACATCCACATCCCCTGTCTTCTGTGGCTGATGAGCCTATTCCGACTGTTGAAAAGTTCCGTTAGCCAGCCCATTGCACAATACTTTTTTTGTTGTTTTATTATACTTTAAGTTCTAGGGTACAGGTGCACACTGTGCAGGTTTGTTACATAGGTATACGTGTGCCATATTGGTTTGCTGCACCCATCAACTAGTCATTTACATTAGGTATTTCTCCTAACGCTATCCCTCCCCCAGCCCCCCACCCCGTGACAGGCCCTGGTGTGTGATGTTCCCCGCCCTGTGGTCAATACCTCTTTAGCCTTAAATTTGGAGGTGATTATAGAGAACTAATGTAGGACTGGGAGTTATCACCAGTTGGTTATAACTACCATGTATTTGTAATTATTGTGCATTTCTTTAGTAAAACTAAGTATTATACTGTCCCAACTCAACTTGGAGCCAACAAGGATTATTTGATGCTAAGAGGAGCCCCAACATATTGCATGATTTCACCCAGTTTACAGTGAAAAATCTGAAAGAGCTGGGTAAATTTATGTGGAAATTGTTCGAAAGGTTGGTGTATATTTCTGAACAAGATGTACAAATATTTTTAGGGGCTTTAAAAATAATGTGTCGTATTTTCTGTACTTAGGAACAATGTCAGTGAAGACAAAATACGGATTTTGACAATATAGTTTAGTGGGGTTGATTTTTGAGGCTGAAATATTAAAAGCCAATGTACCTGTGGTAAATTAAAAGGTATATATGTTATCTATCAGTAAAAGAGGAAGTGGCCAGAATATTATTACAAATTACATTCTATTAACAAAGTTTCTTTGCTACCTGTTGATATGAAAAATAAATATTGACCTAATGCCAGAACTTTACAATATGGGTACACCTTTCCCTTTCTGGTTAACAAAGTAGGATGGAAGGTTGTCAAATTCAAAAGCGTGTATGCAATTTGAAGAGTGGGGAAAGTATGAGCACAAACATTGAATTGTTTGTATTATTAATCAACTGAAGTTTATTTCTGTTCATTTCATGTGACTTTTTTGTTTATTAGACCAAAGAGTTTAAGATTTATTATAAAAAAGGTCTTTCCTTTTTTAGGCTTTTAAGTTTTATTTTTGAGAAGTAAAGGCTGTAGAACTGACAAATTTGAATAACCCTAAAACTGCATGAAGAAGAGATGTTCTTAAAACCACACGGCATGACTCTGTAGGCAATGTTAGAGGATTTTGGCATTCATTGTTGAATTTCGTGCACACGTTTTATTTTATTTTATTTTTAATTTGCATGTCAAAAAAGTGGTTCCCTTTTCTTTTCCTCATTATTTCATTTTATTCTCTGTGAAGACACTGTAAATTTATTTTGATCTCATTTTCTTTTCGTTAGATTTATTTTCTTCTGTAGTGACATTTAGAAAGGTATTTTTGGTATCCTTCTTTGAATACTTCAGGGGTTACAGCTAACTGGTGACAGAAAAAAATATCTTGTTCACATTTGTCGCTTAATTATTGCACATCTCAGTACTCTTATAATTTCTCTAATTTGCATGTTACAGAACTGAAGCCAGGACAAGAAATAGAAATTAAAGCGAGAGAACATTACCAAGTGGTCGTTGACTGAAATAATAATCTGCATGTTGTTTTCCCTTCTCCCTCCTGCATGCAGGGATTTGGTTTCGTAACTTTCGAAAATAGTGCCGATGCGGACAGGGCGAGGGAGAAATTACACGGCACCGTGGTAGAGGGCCGTAAAATCGAGGTGCATGTTCAAAATATTTTCCTTTTCATCTTTTTTATAAATGTCTGCTTCACGCTCATTCGTTGTTCCAGATGCATCATTGGCGTCTTGTATGTGACCCTATTCCCCCTCATTGTTTATATATATATATATATTTTTATATATAAAAAGGAAAACTGGCCTTACTTTTTTTTTTAATTTTACTTTATTATGTTACTCTTATACCGCTGAAAGGTGGATGGCAAACGTGAGACAAAAGAAAGGTTAATCGGAAAGTGTTTTTTTGTTGTTATTTTCCATGTTTTATAATCAATGGGTGCAGTAGGTTCCAAAGAATAGACAGTATTGCAAACCAAACAAAATACAGAACAGTTTCTTTTTCTTTTTCTTTCCACTTCAGGGTTGAAGAGGGATCCACAGTGGTTGGCAAATTAAACCAAATTGGGAAAGCAAAAAAGATTGTTTTTTTGTTTGTTTTTTTTTGTTTGTTTGTTTGTTTTTTGTGGAAAAAAAAACAAAAAAAAAAACGAGAGGTTTTTACTAAACCTCTCGTTTTTTTTTTTTTAAGAAGCCAGTTTGAATTTCTGTATTCTTTTGATAACAAAGTGAATAACCAAACAGGATTTCCTGTTCAATATCTGGCCCCTGTTCACTGAAAGCATAAATACCAAAATACTGACATTCAGAGTCTGCTATTTGTCCCACTGGGATCTCCCGCAACATAGCCACAGGGTCATATTTGTTAATTTTTTTTTTAATACCAGTTACAAATGCTTTAGTCTTTGGAGTAAGATGTTGCATATTTTGCCTTTCATTTTCCCCTTCGACGATAACGCTTAGGCCCCTCACCAAACTCTCAGTAACCATGGTAACTGTATACAAACCCATGCTGGCGATGGTGGTGAATGGTAAGTGGTGAAGTCCATCTGCCGTTTCACGTATTTAGTGCTGATATATCTATATACATATATATATATACCACGTGAATTTTTTTGACTTGTCGTATTAAGTTTTCTTGATGCTCTATTTTTTTGGATATTGGTACGCCTGTAATTGAGTGTACGTTCTAAGCTAGCCTGGGAGGCACTGACTGGATTGAGTTATGACCGGTGCACATCTTACTCAGATTGTTAACCCCATATTGTGTTAAACAATGCACCCTCTCTTTTATCCTTTTGTTAGCTGTGACGTTAAAGCTTGAATGATTTTGTTAATTCTTGCGATGTAAAAGGCTCTTGTTCCAAGTGTTGAATGCTAGATGTTGCTTTCCTGATGGTTCTTTCCTCCTAAAGTGTTGCACACGGCTAAGACTTGTTTGTCCCTTTTTTTGACATTTATGTTCCCTTGTACCTTGTCTCTTCTCTCTTCTCCACTGCATGCTCCTTCATATGAATTTTATTTTATGTTTAAAAAATATTTCTTGTTTCTGTGTTACCATGGAGTACACGCATGCTTTTAAATCTTCAATTATGCAGAATCTTTTAATTTGCTTTTACTGTCCCTTTATTAAACACTCTTAATGATATGACATTGCTTTATTGAAATGATTTGTAAGTTAAACGGTTATGAAGTAAATGTAATTTTAAAAATGTATGATTTTGTTATGCACCTACTGCCTTTTATAAATTAAAATGCATTTTACTTTTTAGTTTTCTTTTTTAATAAGTAATCACGGTCATAATGCATGCAACTAATTGAATTGGGAGCTGGCCCTAGAATATGTGCTTACTTGAGTTTTCTATGTACATAGGTAAATAATGCCACAGCACGTGTAATGACAAATAAAAAGACCGTCAACCCTTATACAAATGGTAAGTAGAGATTGGCCTTTTACAAGAAATTCTCTCTACTTCTGACTCTTTAAGTAATTTAACCAGAGATTCTATTACAACAAGCTGTGTTTGCCTGGGCATTGACACTGTGTTTTTACTACTGACCTGCTACAGTGAACCACCTACATCAATAAGATCATTTTCACAACAAAGGCAAATGGAGTGTTCAGGTTAAGTGTGCCTGCCCTTCTTCCCTTCTTTCTAGAATAACTCTGTTTGGGATTGAGATGCACTAATTATTTGGAAATTAGTTTGCTAATTTCATTGGTTATTACAGTAAGTTGAGGGGAGAATTGGAGGTTTAGTTTGTTTGCTTTTCAATACCATCTGCTCGTTGATTACTAATCATTCCTGGACGTGCAGTCACGTAATTTATTCTGTCTTTGAGTCTTCTCCAGAGAGATTAGTCATTTGAAGTGGTTTAGAGTATACCTCATGTCTGAATTCCACAGGGTTAGCAGAATGTGTGAGTGGGTTATTTGTTCTTCTCTGGGCTGCTCAGTGTTATTTTGGGCTAGTTGAGAATGTTGCTTTGTATTACAGACCCCATCAGGACAATGCAATTTCTGTTTTTATCAATAAAACTTCTGAAAACTCCTCCTAAAAAGCATTCACATATGAGTTATTAAAAATGTTTGAACATTTTGATTCTTTAATTCCTCTCAAAATAAGTATCTCTTAAGATATATGGGGAAGAAACCTGCCACTGTGTTAATCACATACTTAATTGTACCAAAAATTAAAGCAATGCAGTAAGTTAAAGTATATACACATGGTAGAATATTATACCCATTAAAATGAGCAGGATAAGGATCATAAAGGGTCTCATAATTAAAAAATTGACATAAATGTTTGTCGCATAACTTTAGATAAATGATGATAATATGCCAGAATGCTAATGGTTGTGCTGAATTGTGAGACTGGCAAACATTTTTTCTTTGATTCAGGTTCATAAAAATAATATAACTTTATTACATCAAAAGGAGATATATGGAATTTTATACTTCTAAAATTTTAATTGCACATGGAGATACGGATTTTTTAAAGTAAAAAAAAAATTAAAAGAAACGTTAAAGACAAGTCTAAAATATATTTTAAATAACCCCATTGCCACCCTGGTTTCCTACCTCCCCCCTCACAGGAAGCCGCTATTACAGATTGTTGTCTATAGTTTTATTTTGCGTATTCATGCCTATATATGTAGTAGGTGTTCATTTATAGTATTCATAGTGTTGTATACATTTTTATGTGAATGATATAAGGATACACCTGGCATTTTTAATTGGGTTTTTTAATAAATCTATATAGAGTTCCTTTAATTTAATATATACAGATTAGACTAATTCATTTCAGTGGTTATGTAATATTACACAAAACAGATAAATAGGTTCAGTCAGAACTAAATACTGATTGTTTATCACAATAAAAGAAAACAATGATCTAGCAATGTATTATCATTTGGTAGTTTTGATTTTCCTGTTTCTTTTGCCAGTGACTACCAATTTGACAGTCAGTTTGCTCTTAATTTTAAAAGGGGCATCATTCAACAGGGACATACCGTCTATATAATAGGGCTCTAAGTTGAAAGACCAGAAGAATTACCTATTCTGCTATTTTTCTCAGCTTTGTCAACCAAGACATGCCCTTAAATGGTATAGACTATTTTCACACCAGACTTTAAATGCCCAGTGCTGAACTGAAGCAAACCTCTGATTTATATGTCATACAGCCTTTCCAGTTGGGTAAAAGTAATGACTCTGAAACTTGCCAGATTTCATATATGGTGACATCAACCTGACGGTTGGGCATAGTCTTTAATTATGAAGTTGCACTGGTGCCCAGGCACATGTGTGCTTGTCTACATATGACTAGCTGCTCATGTGTGCTGAGTGAGAAACTGGAGCGAGAAAAGCCAAATATTTCATAAGCCATGTGCATGTATATTTATTTTAAAAGAGTTATTGATCAATTTTATGACCAGGGACTGAAAACTAGACCTGTAGGATTTTTTAACACAATTCAAAGCCCATTTATAAATAACTAGCCTTTCTGGAATATGAGGTATGCATTATGTGAGGCATTTTAAGTGCACTGGACACAAATGAAGTCCTATAAAGAGGACATCATTATCCCTATTTTAGAGGTGCAACATTGAGGCTAGAGAAGATGAAGAAATTAATAAAGACTTTTTTTTTTTTCTTTTTTTTTTTTGAGACAGGGTCTCACTTTTTCACCCAGGCTGGAGGGCAGTGGCATGCTATTGGCTCATTGCACCCTCTGCCTCCCAGGCTCAAGCAATCCTCCCTGGTAGCTGGGACTACAGCCACATGCCACAATGCCTGGCTAGTTTTTTTTTTTATTTTTTGTAGAGACGGAGTTTCACCAAGTTGCCCAGGCTGGTCTCGAACTCCTGAGCTCAAGTGATGTGCCTGTCTTGGCCTCCAAAAATGCTAAGATTACAGGCATGAGCCACCACTTCTGGCCTAGCCTTTTCTTTTTGTTATGAAGTAACAAAATCTTGTGACCATGCCTGTGTGTATCAGGCATCGCTTTCCCTTTGTCTTCTTGTAGAAATGCACTCAAGTGGCAACCAACTACAATAACAAAAAAATTATTAAATGTGCAACCTCGTGTTCCTGCCAGATTTTGGCATGCACATCCCATGTCCCATTCCAGGTAGCCATGCACTCAGTTTCCAGGAATAAGTCAGTCATATGGGTCTGTCATCCACGTACCTGCAAAAGGGAACTCAGAGAATTGTTCCTGTCACACATACTGTGTATGGCACCTAAGGGGTTGATGGATAGACACAGTAGAATTTATTTAAAACACAAATGTCAATTCTAATTATATAAAGACTTTGGCTTCTGTAGTGGAGATTATGGAGAACTTTGGTGTTCAAAGAAAAGTAGTTCTCCAAGCTATCCCAAGTTTCAACTCAGGAGTATCACCACTACAGATAAATTCCCTTAAGTGGCAATACAATATAACTGAAAAAATATAGGGCCCTTTCATATCCTTAATAAGCAAGACGATAGAGTTATGGCAAAAGAGGGTAAGTCGGGACCAATAAAGTCACATTGAAATGAGAAAATTAAGCCATCGGTGAGGTTCACTCATTAGCTACATAATTCATTCTCACAAAGCATAGAAATTGTACTTCAGCAAAATTATAAATTACTGGAGCTATCAAAGTTTCAGGTCATCTCCAGGTGATGAAATATAGTTATCAATGCCAGCATCACCTTCATGCATTACTTCAATCATGTATCCAGAAAAACTTTTAGCAGCTGCAAAGTTTCCAGTGATAAATAAGACTGAATTCTAAATGTGATGAGATACCTGTCCATTATAGAGGGTTACAGTTAATAACATGGAGGGTGTAGATACTATTCTCAGGATATTTAAACAATGACATAATGAAAAGCTGTAGAATGAGCCGTAGGCTTCTGGACATTCTATTAAAAAGTTCCACAAAGAGGGGATTGGACTATTTCTCTATTGCTATTTCTCTGAAGGACACCTACCCACACGGAGGAGTTGGGGTTTGCTGTGTTCTTTGGGGATCAAATGTTGGATCTGCAATACAAGATTGAGAGCTGAATTCACAAGGATTTCCTGGATGCTGGGGAAGCATGGGTGCTAGACATGGCTTTTTCATTTTCTTAGAGATGTTAGGAAGGATGAAAATGGGGCAAACATATTCAGCGCTCCAGAGAGAGGCATACTTTGTTGCCCGGATCAGTTCTTCCATTCACTGGCTCTTGAATTGTAGGAAGTTGTTTAAACTCTCCATGTGCCAGCTCTCTAGTGGGAACTGTACAAATGATGGGAACTACATCACAGTTCTTTGTGATAATTATGAGAGAAAGTGCTCAACACAATGCTAGGTATGCAAAGTGGCCTAAAAGATTATTTTTACTACTATTTATAGCGCAGTAGTATTTGATTACACATAGTTTCAATATTAAGTCATCATATTATTCCTTTATTGTCATGGGTAGTTGAATTCCCTGAGAGATACTAGTTTAAGGATCAATTCTTCAGATGCTAAAAGGGGCTGAACAGGTAAAATCAGCAAACAGACAGTCTTTGAAAAACTCAGTCTTTTGGGACTAGCTATTGTTTTCTTACTGAAGTAAAGCAAAATATTTATCTACGAGGAAAAATCAACACCACCACCACCACCACCACGAATTAACAATAAAAGATCTCAAACATTTAATCTCCCTATCAGTCTCACAATGGGGAGCAGTGGTAAATGTGACTAAGTGGGGAGTTGAATGCAGTAGCCCTTGACCACCTCTAATAAGTCTGTCTGTGAGGCATTCTCAACTTAAAGTTACCATTTCTACCGATGTTTCAAGAGAAATAGAAATCCTGTATTTTAGACGGAATTTAAATTTTGGCAATAAATACACGCCGTTAAAGAATATTCAGTGAACCCAAACAAAACACCTTTGTACCCAGTGCGAACCTCACTTCTTTTTGTTTGGTATTTGAGAGTTGCCACCTGTACCATGTCAGCTGCCAGGTCTCTGACATCCTTAGTATATGTCTTTAGAAAGCATTGACAGGCAGTTTTTGTAATTCCTGTAGCGTACATAAGGGTGCTCTCTGGAATGCGTTTCTTTGATATGTAACCCAGCAAAGCCTTAAGAGAAAGCCTGTGCTGATGTTTTTTGTGTACACATTCAGACTTGGCCTTTTAACACCCAATGCAGTCATAGTTAACACTGGAGGTCTTAACCAGCATATTTTAGAAATACTGACACTTGACCTTTGACAAGCTAAATTTGGGGAGGGGAGTGCAAATTCAGATGTGGCCCCTTGAGTCCTGGCCACGGAGGGGTCTAAACTGCTTGCGTATCTGATACAGAGCCAGACCCCAAGACGTCTGTTCTCTGGCTCCATTGCCTTGTTGTGGGGCTGGGGGGGCCCTGGGAGGCTGGGACCAGTGGGCCTTATCAGCCATTCTCCTTTTGTTGTAAGCCTCATTGTTCAGTTTAATGTCCTTGATCAAAATCTCTGAATTTGCAAGGCCTGGGGACATACACAAACTGCCTAAGAAATTAAAAAGGGGATCATTTTGTTCATCTTCCTGACAGTGCAGGCTCTTATCTCCAGCAGGGTTATCCCAAGGGTCTCTTTCAGGTACGAGGAGGAGTCACAGGGAATGTGGGTTCATTTGCATGTGATTTGCATATATTTACATAAGCCCGCATGAGCTCTGTAAGTCTGAGTGGAGGCGATTTTCAAGGGCTGGATTCTAGACCAAATGGACATAACAGACATTTACAGAATACCTTTTCCAACAGCTGCAGAATACATCATCTACTCATCAACACACGGAACATTGTCCAGGATAAGCCACATGTCAGGCCACCAAACAAGTCTCAACAAATTTTTAAAAAATCTAAACTATATCAAGTATTTTCTTAGACCATAATAGAATAAAACTAGAAATGAATAGCAAGAGGAACTTCAGAAACTGTACAAATACATGGAAATTCAACAGTGTGCTCCTGAATGTCCATTGGGTCAGTGAAGGAATTTTAAAAATTCTTGACATAAATTAAAATGGAAACACGGCATGCCAAAGTCTATGGGATACAGCAAAAGCAGTGCTAATCAAAAAGTGTATAGTAATAAACGCCTACATCAAAAAAGTAATTTCAACTAAGCAACCGGGACAACAGTCATCCCTAACACGATTCTTCTTTATTTAATGTAGAGTCTATGGAAGGAAGCAGGTCCTTGAAGATTGGAAGGAGACATAATCAGAGCCAAAAAAAAATTTGTCTATTAGGAAAAACTATATTCCTTTAGTTTCTTTAGAGAAAAACCAAGTAAATATTTATGGAATGCTTACTTTGCCAAACAACATTTTAGGTGCTGGAGATTCATGTTGGACAGCAGTCTTGCCTGCTTGACTGTTAATTTTAATGAGGGAGAATGGTTATAAAAGACAAGAGCAAGCAAAGAAAGAAAGAAGCTAAATCCAGATAGCATTAACGGCAATGCAGAAAATAAAACTGGGAATGGAATCATGGAATCCAAGAGTAACTCTAAGAGGAGGTGGGAAAGTGACATTAACTGGCATGTTCTGAAAAGACTCCAGAGCCCTAAATAACATGAAGTCGACTTTGTGAAAAGCTAGAGAGTTCTCCAAGAAGAAGGAGAAGTGGATACAAAGAGACTTTGATATACGGTGGTCTTGGGGGGTTTTATAAAGATGAAAATGGCCAGTGTCACTGTAGCTGGGAGAGACGGGGAAAGGGAAAAAGGGAAGTGGTACCAAAGAGGTACCAAATAGTTTGGTTAATGGTTAGTGTGTGCTGATTGACTAAGGTAAGACATGTGTGCTTATCTCAAATTGGGAAGAAGCTATTGAATTCTGAGTATCAGGATGACAAAGCTGATGTTTTTTTTAAAAAAATTGCTTTGGTCACCATGACCAGAATGGACAGGGGGAAGGAGGAGGAAGAGGAGACAGTGAGAATTAGGGCATTTCTGCTGTTGAACTTGTCCAGGCAGAGATAGGAATGCCTTGGTCTGCAGTGGTGGCAATGGAGAAGAAGGGAAGGACTTTTCAAGTTTTAACCAACAGGATTTTCTAATGGATCACACATGGGGTATGAGGGTAAGAGAAGAATCAAGGAAGTGTTGATGAATTTTATTTTGAGCAACCAAGTAGATAGATATGCCATTTGCTAAAGGGAGAAGGACTTGCTGAGTAACAGGTTTCATGAGTGGGGGGAGAAGAGGGAGACTAGAAATTGGGTTTTCATTCCCATCGCAGAGTTCAGAAAGGTCTTTGGTCTCCAACAGTGGGAGTGGAGTAGCCTTGTTTAGAAGGGATCAAGGATGGGAAGAAGGTTGACACCTGCACTCATGTTCCCATGATGACCCAAGCATTTCATTTTGCAGCACACAGATTCCCAGCTGGTTTCTTGTAGAGGAGACTTTATCAATTACCTTTCTCACGATTAATACTTGCAAACATGAGATAGCACAGATCTCCTGATGAAGGAGAGTATCATTTATTTTCTTTATTTTTTTATGAAGAGATTGCCATGTGCAGACTTGGCAAACTCATAACTTGCAGAAAGATGGGGAAATAAACAGCAGATTATAGGGGGATAGACAGATTATAGATACGTTTATAGATAGATCAGTAGATAGATGGATAGGTGGGTAGGCAGATGAGATAAACATGATTTCTAGGTAGCCTCAAATGCCTCTGAGAGATCTGGAATTTTTTGCTTTGTTCTTAGAAAATGAGAGATCATTGGCAAATTTATAATCTTTAAGAGCTACACCAAAATTCACTGATAAGTATACCTTCAGTGAAAAGGAAAAGGAAGTCTTATATGCAAAAGAAAGTATTTAAGGTAGTAAGGATATTCAAGAAACAAGACCTGAGATGCACAGTATGGGAAAGACACCATCTCCACTACCAATAAGAGGTAGGAGCATCAGTAGAGTATGAGATGGGTAACAGTGGAAAGATGAAGAGTGATCACTTAATAATTATTCATTTAATATGACCCCATATAGAGTTTACAAATTCTAGGTTTCTGTGAAAAACTAGAAAGAAAGAACATTAAATATGTCTGCAGCTTTATTTTCAACTAGTTTTTTGTACTTTTTCTTAGACTCCAAGTTGAAATGTAGATATTAATTCCCATATCCTCAGGAATTAGACTTTTTTTTAAAAAAAGGAAGCAGTGGAATTTCAGTTGATCAAATTGAAGTCATTTCCATACTCATAAAACACATTCTGAAATGTCTGAACTAATATTTATTTTTACGTCACTATAGAAATTCTTATAAGGCAAGATGTGATTAATACAAGAGAAGAGGGTGTCAGTATGAAATTTCAGAAACCGCTAGGGCAGTAGGTCTCAGAATTTCATGTTTCTTTCTGTCACTCTAAAAAGGGGGCCCAGGAATTAAATATGCCTCCCAGGTAATAGAAGTATAACACTTTGAGAATCTCTATTCTGAGATCATCCCGGGGGCTGTAAACCACCTAGCTTCTTCAGGTTGGAACTGAAAGTTCTTAGAAAACATTCTTATCAAGTTTTAGAAAGTTCTGGATTTCGATAGACATACTGGCCTGTCTGTTGAGTTAGTGAGCCTCTGTTTTCCTTAGTGGATGTTAAGAACACCTCTGGGCTATTCTTAGTTCGGGCAGAAAATCACACCTCTCTCTTCTCGGCAAACCTCAGAAAGTTCTTACTGTCAAAAATACCTTCCTTCACATTCAAACTTTAATCATTGCCTTCTCTCAAAAACATTTATTAAAGGACCTTTGGTATTTGGCCTTCTGCTCAAGGACTCAGAGCAAAGGACTACACACCTTACCCTCCTCTGTCTTTCAAGGTTTTTTTTACTTCTTGAGACAGAGTCTCACTCTGTCACCTAGGCTGGAGTACAGTGGCACCATCTTGGCTCACTGCAACCTCTGACTCCCAGCTTCAAGCGATTCTCATGCCTCAGCCTGATTAGTTGTTACTACTTTGTATTTTTAGTAGAGTCAAGGTTTCGCCATGCTGGACAGGCTGCTCTCTGGAAACTCCCAACCTCAAGTAACCTGCCTGCCTTGGCCTCTCAAAGTGGTAGGATTACAGGCATGAGCCACGGTGCCCGACCTGCATGGATTTTTTTTTTTTTTTTTTTTCCCGAGAGAGTCTCACACTGTCACCTGGGCTGGAGTGCAATGGCGTGATCTCAGCTCACTGCAACCTCTGCCTCCCAGGTTCAGGTGATTCTCCTGCCTCGGACTCCCAAGTAGCTGGGATTACAGGTGCCCACTATGATGCCTGGCTAATTTTTTGTATTTTTAGTAGAGATGGGGTTTCACTATGTTGGCCAGGCTGGTCTCAAACTCCTGACCTCGTGATCTCCCTGCCTTGGCCTCCCAAAGTGTTGGGACTACAGGCATGAGCCACTTCACCCAGCCCGCACGGATGCTTTTATGAAGACTTAGCCAGCAGGAGCAGGAAACAATAACAAAACCCTAAAACGTGATCAGTCTCTGGAAATTGTTCCCCTAAATAATGCCCAGCATATATGTAATGTGCTTTCCAATTTGAGAATATTCTTGTATGCTCTTTTTTTGTGAGTAAAGATTTCTAAAGGGTCAGGATTCATTTTACAAAAAACTCTCCATCCAGAACATTTGGAAAATTACAGGATTCCATTAATCATATATACAGATTATTTGAAAGTTACCTTAGATATCATACATTGATTAAGAATTTTTTACAGTTCCTGAATGCATCAAAATGTAGGCCACAGTAAATCTCTAGGGGATAAAATATCATTTTCTTTGGTTTTTATGAAGCACTTTGGAATTCTCTAGTATCTCGAGGTTATAATTTGGAATGACAATTGTTAGAATATATTGCTGCCAAGAATTTTGTTTATGCAAGCTTTCTAATTTTTGTGAACTTAATGCAGAGGGGTGTGATGGATTATCTAGCAGTGATATATAAAATAAGAAAAAATTAAAATTATTATAGTAGTTCTAAAAAATATTGATGGAGTAGAAAATTAATTACCATGTCATTTTCAAAGGGTTCACTTGTGGCTGGTCAGTAGTTTCCATTCCATTAACTTGCACTGGCAGAAAATCAAAGAAGGGCATAAATATATTTTCTTATGTGTGGTTTTTAAGTATTTTTATGCATGCCCAAACGACACCTCCTTTACATTTTAAAATACAAAATGAGATACTTTAACCCATTTGATTTGTGATTCATTTGCAATTATATAAGATGTTGAATCAAATGTGATAATAATGTTTTTGTGTATTTGTTTTAAGGCTGGAAATTGAATCCAGTTGTGGGTGCAGTCTACAGTCCCGAATTCTATGCAGGTACAGAGTTTCTCTTTGCACGAAGTCTTCTCAGTCTTTTCTAAATGTGCTTTGCCTGCCAAGAATGAATGAGTTTTGTAAAATAACCTGAAGCAAGTGAATTCCTATCCTAACAAGTTCTGAATGATTTCTTTGGGCAAAATCAAGAGTGCTTAAAACAGTTTAAAAATTACAAGGGAATCGTCTAAGTTTCATGGTTGGGGGATCAGCGTGGAGCCACTGCTCCTTAGGACAATTCACATTGATTTTGCCCTAAAAAAAGCATTGTGACTTTGTTCAATAGTGTATTGAACAAATGGAGAGCTGCTCACACCCATTGTATTTCAATGTGCCTGAATGTGTGTTTTAGCCATACATTTCCATTTGGGGTTGGCATTTTCTTTTTCCTGGCAAAGCAGAGAGTCGAGTTGGCTTAATTATTCCAATAATGTGGGAGTGATTTAGAATTGCCAAGGGAAGGCCTTTTTCGATAACTAAAAAGTTGTCCGTCTTCGTTCATTAATCAAATTCCCTTAGCAATTCCTTTTCTCTCTACTTTGCCTTCCAGAATATGTCTCTCTCCTCACCCCTTCCCTGCCTAAGCACCAATTACCTCTCAGCTGGGAAATCCATTCTCTTAGAAATTTTGGGAGAGCATAACCCAGAAGCAGTAGTGGCTGAGATTTCATGTCTCGATGTCCTCGGCTTGGCCCGTCACTACTGCCTGTATGTCTCCTTGCTCTTGAACAAGGCTGCATTGAATACCTAGGACCTTAGTAGGTTTGCCACATGGCTATTTAAAAGAAGTCTTTCTTTGATGTGGCTCTTGCTTTTTAATAAGGAGAAATAAATAATCCGTTGACCTAGAGCCACTCCCTTAGTAACCTCTTGACGGTAAGTCATACCCCTTGCTTTGTTTCTTCCTGGGCTGCCTAACTTTTGTCATTTTCCTAATACTGAACACTGACCCTTGTAGATGAGAAAGGAACACAGAAAACTTAGCTACTCTGGCACAACAACCAGTCTGACAAAATTTAAGTTAAAAATCTGGTAAATCTGGAAAGGCTCAACAGGATAACTGATTCCTGGATTTTACGTAGGCGATGTTTGGAGTTGTTCTTCATGTATGAGTTTTACCGGGAGCCTGGGTTAAGTCCAGGGATTCTAACACTGCAAAATAGCTGTGTTCACTCTTGTGGGGGAAGAGACTTAGCCGTCAGGCTTTCCATGATCATATTGCAAACCCTACCACCTGAGAAGACACCTCTGCTGAGTAAGGAACATGGAAACCATGCCTACACAGCTCGGGTTCAAATTCTGCCTCCCCTACTCACCAGCAGTGTGACTCTGGGCAAGTTACTTAACCTCTCTGTGCCTCAGTTTCCTCATCTATTAAATGGAGATGATAGTAACAAACTCATAGTAATTTATTAGAATTAAATGGGTTAATATATGAAGAGTGGTGTGTAGCCAGCACCGTGTAAACATTTAGTAAACAAAAATGAATATGTTAATCTCTTTACCAGGAAGGCAAAGTTAGCTGCATATTCTGCTGAATTTTGAGTATGCTATGAGACAAAGAGATTCTTTCCTTCATTGATGAGAGTACTAGTCCTTCAGTTCTCAGTGTGTTCATTTAGGGGGTGTTAATTTCTGGGATCGGGGGCATGGCAGTTTATTCAGGGGACACACAGAACATGGCATGTATTGCTGGGATGCATCTTTGTGCAAAGCTGCAAGGAAATCAAATACTCCAAATGGTTGAAAAGTCAGACAACAGCTTCCATGTGTCCGCAGCAGGCACTGCCCATGAATGGAGTAGTTAGACTAAAGAAATGTCAGTTTCTCCTATATGCACATATCTGAGTGCATATTTTCAGCCTAAAATAGTCCAGTGAAGAACAAGAAGCCTTCTTGTGGGGAGGAAGGGTATGGATGTGAGTGTTGTGGTGGAGAGGGCAAAATGCATTTTTACATTTTTCTGGTCCTGTGCGATGGAGTTGCCAGTCACCCTTGGGTCTATTAAGCAGGAAAATACCTAATATCCCCGTTACTTGTGCTTTCGTAGCCACAGACATATCTGTGGGTGTTGAGGAGGACATTAAGATGAGAGAAACAGTTAAGACTGATTTGTAACTATAAGAATAAATTCATCTGCATGACTTCTAGAACATTAGAGCAGCTATTCAGATTAGCCCAGGGCCCAGGTTCAGAAGTTAGATCATTAAGTTAGAGGAAAAGAAAATGTTATAATGTAAGTTAATATTTACTGGATACTTTCTATGGGCCAGCACTGTTCTAAGCACTGTACATAAGTTTAATGTATTTAATGCTCATGGCGATTTTCCAAATGAGGATACCAAAATGCAAAAAGTTGGTATTACTGCTCTGAGATTTCAGCTGGTCAGGAGGAGGCCAGATTTTGAAATCAGGCTTTGATCATCTCAGAAATCGTGTTCTTTACAACCAGTTGATACTGGTGGGGTTTTGTTTGTTTGTTTGTTTGTTTGTTTGTTTTGAGATGGAGTTTTGCTCTGTCTCCCAGGCTGGAGTGCAGTGGCGCGGTCTCAGTTCACTGCAAGCTCTGCCTCCCGGGTTCAAGTGATTCTCCTGCCTCAGCCTCCTGAGTAGCTGGGACTACAGGTATCCGCCACCATGCCCGGCTAATTTTTGTATTTTTAGTGGAGATGGGGTTTCACCCTGTTAGCCAGGATGGTCTCCATCTCCTGACCTCATGATCCGCCCTCCTCGGCCTCCTGAAGTGCTGGGATTACAGGTGTGAGCCACTGCGCCCGGCCCCCTTTTTTTTTTTTTTTTTTTTTGAGGCAGTTTTGCTCTGTTGCCCAGGCTGGAGTGCAGTGGCATGATCTCGACTCTCTGCAACCTCCGCCTCCCGGGTTCATGCAATTCTTCTGCCTTAGCCTCTCGAGTAGATGGGATTACAGGCGTCCACCACCATGCCCGGATCATTTTTGTATTTTTTTGTAGAGACAGGGTTTTGCCGTGTTGGCTAGGCTGGTCTTGAACTTCTGACCTCAAGTGATGCGCCCAGCCTGTTTATTTATTTTTTTTTTTAATATTAAAGGTCATGATTCCAATCGACTGTCTCCTATGATCATGCTACTGCTCTGTGTGCAAACCAGTGAAATAAAAGAAGAGAGGTAACATAATCATTCTGTATGATTCCAGCTGCCACCACCACCACCATATTCACAAGTGTTACATGACAAATCTGAGTATCTGTGTTTCATGCTGCCACTATCCGGATTATCCGGAAAATCCACATGCTTTCCTCTTTTCAGCTGTACGTTTGTATGTAGGTAGACAGAGCTCATAATATTCAGAAATGTGGGGACATGTAGCTGTAATTTTAACACTGCAGAGCAATTCCTTTGAAATATTTGAAGACCTGCAAACACTGAAAGTCTGGCTGGCTTAAATCTGAAGTTTCAGGCACCTGCATCTATGGAATGGACCTATGCAAAGCGATAGATGCAGAGTGCATTCATTTCCATATCCAGGTATAATTATTACTGTCACGCATCTACAGATCCATGACTAAGAATTTATGGGGCATTTAAAATTTCCCCAGCTATAAAAATAGTCTGAATTTATCTTGCAATTCTGAGTGTGCCTCAAAGCTGAAATGAAGACCCCTTGTCATTGATTTGCTTTGTATTTTTAGTAGGCTGGCTCTGTATCTGCTTAAGATAGAAAGCCAGACTTATTAGTCATTTCTCTATATAAGGTTGTGTGTTAATGACATGTTTTATAATATTCTCATAGTGTAATTATTTGATTTTCTGAAGCTTATGCAGAATTAACAACCCAGCCTCCCGTTGTCTCTCAGAATGAGGCATGAAAAGTTCACATATTTTGTAAATTAAAATCAATATTTTCAATCTCTCCTAAAGGTAATTTTCTTAGTTTAGTAGACTTGTCCCTAACATTTATTTTCTCTTTTAATTATAAAATGGCAAGTTATTGACCAGGCGTGGTGGCTCACGCCTTTAATCCCAGTACTTTGAGAGGCCGAGGAGGGTGGTCTCAGGAGTTGGAGACCAGCCTGGCCAACATGGTGAAATCCTGTTTCTACTAAAAATACAAAAGATCTAGCTGGGCATAGTGGTGTGCCCCTGTAATACCAGCTACCTGGGAGGCTGAGGCAGAAGAATCACTTGAACCTGGGAGGCAGAGGTTGCAGTGAGCCAAGATTGCACCATTGCACTGCAGCCTGGGTGACAAGAGCAAAACTCTGTCTCAAAAAAAAAAAAAAAGGCAAGTTATTGATTTTTGTATGTAATGTTTTGACTCCCCGAGTATGTTTTTATTGCAAACTTGGGTGGGGTGGGGGCGAGGCAGGAAGAGCCATTGCACTTAATGAGGACCTTTAATTACTATTTGCATTGATAAATTATGACATTCCTTCTCCCTCACACGTGCCTTCCAGAGGAAGCATTGAGAACGTTCTAATGTATTTTGGATGGTTTTTCTTTTCTGAATTCTCATCAAGTCATACTTATAAAAATCTTTCTAAATGCTTATTCCGTGCCAGTCTTCAGAGCAGATACACATACATCAGCACATCCCATGACATATATTAATATAAACCTTCTCCCAGGAGAGATGGGTAGTTTTCTATAAAGCAAAAACAGCATTGATAATTTCTTCTAAAATCTAATCATCTCCAGAGTCCTTGAGGCTTATTCAAGACAAATGATTTGCCGGGCGCGGTGGCTCACGCCTGTAATCCCAGCACTTTGGGAGGCCGAGGCAGGTGGATCACGAGGTCAGGGGATTGAGACCATCCTGGCTAACACGATGAAACCCCGTCTCTACTAAAAATACAAAAAATTAGCCGGGCGTGGTGGTGGGCGCCTGTAGTCCCAGCTACTTGGGAGGCAGAGGCAGGAGAATGGCATGAACCCGGGAGGCGGAGCTTGCAGTGAGCCCAGATCGCGCCACTGCACTCCAGCCTGGGTAACAGAGCGAGACTCCATCTCAAAAAAAAAAAAAAAAAAAAAAAAAAAAAGACAAATGATTGTAAGTCCCCACACACAAATCCAGGTGAGTCATGAAGTCTTTGGCCAATGTGTATGGCCCTTCTTTAGAGTTTAAGTAAAATCAAGGCAGTAAGGAGAAGTAGACTCAGAATATCTCTACCCAGTAGCAGGCCTCATGTTATCTAGTGTAGTTAAAAATAGTGTTTCCAAGAATGTGGAGGAATAGGCCTCAGAGGGGATTCTTACACTTTCTCTGTCATTGTGAGAATTTCCCTTGTCTTCTAATAAAAAAATATATATATATATTTTTAAAAGCAGTATCTTCTAGAGATAATCACGATATCCAGCCAATGAAACTGTTGATTTACGGCACCTTTAATCTTCATGAATAAGTAAAGCAAAATCAAAATAAATAACAGAAGGTTACACAAAGTTGTCAGCACGGGGCTGTCAAATGGTAAATTTATCTGTTTCTCAATTGCCAGTAAAATACACACTGCAAAGCTCACCCACGTTGTATATCATATCTGCCAACTCATTTCTGTGATTAAATATTCCATCAGCGGGACTATAAGGCAGCAAAGCTTAACAAGATTCATAAGATGCACCACTTGAACACACATAACTCACTTCCGTGGATGGAGAGCACCCCGCCTGCAAAGGGAAATTGGAATTGAGTTAAATTACTCCATGAGACGTGATCAATAGGGAAAGGCAAAGATCTTCTAACGGAAATGCAGATCTAAGATATAGTTAGGTCCCAGAGATGAGATACATACAATTAAAGTAAAAATAAGGAGATGCAGAGTAGATCAACTTGAAAACCTTGAAGAAAACAAAAACCACCCCTAGGGATATTTATTATTAGTGGAATTTGGGGGGAATAAAGAGATTCTGAATGGATACTCCTGAAAAGAACAATTTGTGGTTTTGAGAGGGAAAAGAAAATGACAGGAACTAAAAATGCGCCATGCCTGACTGCAAAGTCACATTTGAAAGGTGGTCAGGTCTTGAAACAAGCTCACCCTAGGGTTACAGGGGCGATCAGATAATATGAGCATCAGAGAACATCACAGACTGTAAAATAGAAATAGAAGAGATTCATGTGATCACCAAAGTCACCTCGACTGATTATATCCATTTCAGAAAGAACCTGGCCACGGATCACATGACTTGATGCTGGGCTAGGTGATGGGAAAGTGGATTTGGATCTCAGTATGAAGTTTAAAAATGAAGAGGGTGGTTATAACACTCTTTGATTGCTTATCTCAAAAGGGCAACTGTATTTGACCTCGGATTTACCCATACCAAAGGTATTGGTTTTCTGTGGGCTAGAGTGAACCATGATTCATCTCAGAATTGGGTCAAAAGAAGGTCTATGAAGGCTCCCTCACATTTTTTCCTCCCACTTCCACCACCAAGAGTCTATTACCGTTAAGAGAATGACTTTTAGTCATACTTTTAGCTGTACCTCTTTTCAATTCCCTTCCTACAATTTGGATACAATAGCATCTGAGAAAAGTTAAGATTGTCTAGAACCCACCTTTGATCACTGTGGTCCCTGACACAAGTTTGCTCTATTTTATTCAGATTGGCATTGGGCTCAGGGTGATTTGGCTATAAAAAGTCCTAGGTATAAAGCATGCCCTGTTTGGGATGAAAGAGCACAGTGTGGGTTTACAAGGTAACTGTTACCATCCAAGCCCTTCAAAGCAGCAAATATTCAGGTGCCCCTCTTGGCTCCAACACTTTCTCATACCCACCAGGAGGACTAGACTCGAATCAATGGCCATAGGGAGCAGTTCCTCATGAACCATTGACCTTTGGCTCTGGGATGTTTTGCATAGTTTACGCATCTGCCAAATTCAAATGCAGTGCACTTCAGTGAACTGGAACAGGAGAGTCCAGATTTAAGTCCCCGAGCAAAGGATTTTCAGCCTGGAAATGTTCCACTTCAAAGAGTTTATCTTGCACATCTGTTTACCTTTGCCTCCCCTTTTAGTTGTAATTCACTTCGCTTCTCTCCTCTCCTCCCCTCTTCTGTCTTATCAGATTTTATTCCAGCCCTGCCCATATTTGGCCTTAATTTTTATCTGCGTCCTTCTAGATCCCACAGAGGGAATGCAACTCATCTTTGATGAAGCCTGTGGGGTTTTTTGATCTTCAGATAAGATCAGTACTTGCTTATGTGCTAAAAACTGCATTTTTGAAGTAAATTGGTTCTTTTTCTTGTGTGTGGGAAGTCTGTCAAGAACTGCTCCCCCCAAAAGCAGGGGGTGTCAAGGTAGTCCTTGTACAAGAAGCTTCACATCCAGGCTATGGGAAGCGAATGAGGTTTGGATATCCGACTCTGGAAAAATTTCACAGGGGAAGTTTTAAGTTACCATTGTCCACATAGTGAGAAACTCAAACCATCAACAACAGCAAGCCACTTGCAGGTACTTGCTCTGTGCTGAACACCTTGTTTCTCCTCAAATCCTTATGAAAATGCTATCCCATTATTTTCATGATCAAATTATGAAGTCAAGGTTTCTGGGAAAGCTTACCTCATTCGCCAAATCACAGAACTACCATGTGAAAAATTCTGGTTATTATATAAAGGTCTTTTTTCCTAAGTTTCAACCCCATGTTTTTTCACTGCTTTGCTACGCAGCATCCTCAGGAGGTGTAGATGAGGGCATGTCCTCAGTGTCTTCTATTCATGAGGTCACAGAATATAATAATGAATGAAGGCCGGGTGCGGTGGCTCACGCCTGTAATCCCAGCACTTTGGGAGGCCAAGGCGGGTGGATCACGAGGTCAGGAGATTGAGACCATCCTGGCTAATACGGTGAAACCCCATCTCTACTAAAAATACAAAAAAGTATCTGGGCGTGGTGGCGGGCACCTGTAGTCCCAGCTACTGGGGAGGCTGAGGCAGGAGAATGGCGTGAACCTGGGAGGCGGAGCTTGCAGTGAGCTGAGATCGTGCCACTGCACTCCAGCCTGGGCAATAGAGCAAGACTCCATCTCAAAATAATAATAATAATAATAATAATGAATGAAAACACATTTGCATTTAATATTGTCTGCCACATGCCAGAGTTCATGTTGAGAACTTTACATATATGTACGTAAATTAGAAGTTTTCAGGAGAAGTATTGTTACCTTCGATTTGCAGGTAAATTAGATCCAGTGAAGTTATGATGCCAGTGGGTGCTGACTCTGAAAGTTAAGGAGTAGGGCCAAAGCTGTTATCTTTGTGACTCCAAAGCTCATTTTCTACCTACAAGCTGCCTCCCACCAATGCTTTAGTTAACCCAAGTCCTAGATTAGTGATTCTTAATATGGAGTGACCTTTCTCTTAGGGGAATTTGGCAATTTCTGGAAACATTTGTTTCATTGTTACATCTTGGGTGGTGGTGGGGGCGGGGATTGGGGAGTGTTGTTCACTGCTGACATCTAGTGGGTGGAGGCCAAGGACGCTTCAAAACACCCTGCAATGCACAAGACATTCCTTGACCACAAATCGTTATCTGGCCCAAAATGTCAATAGTGCTGGGTTTGAGAAATTCTGTCCTCATTGACGCTATTCGAGATGCCACATATTCACGGAATACCTTAACAACTCTCATGCCCCACTGGTTGCTACCACTAATAATGTATGAACAGCTGCAGTCATCAATGGCAGTCAAAGAATTTGAAGACTTTCATGTAAATGTTTCATCTTTGGAGCATTGTATTGTGATTATTTACTCCAGAAGGGAAAAGCATAAACTTTGATTTGATACCACACAGCTGTGTTGGGAGTCCCCAAGACCACTCTCAGGCTCCATGATTGATTAGAAGGACTCAGAGTTCAAAAAGGCTGTTACACTCACAGTTAGTTTATTATAACAAAAGGATACAGATGAAAAATTAGCAAAGAGGAAAAGTACATGCAGTGAAGTTTAGAAGAAACCTAGCAAAAGCTTCCAGGTGTCCTCTCACCGTGCAGTCACACAGATGTGCTTAATTTTTCCAGAAATGGCATGTGACAGCACAGGCATAGTGTTATCAGTGAAGCTCACCTGAGCCTTAGTGTCCAGCGTTTTTGTTAGTGGTTACTCACATAGGCAAGCTGCACCTGCATGACTGACCAACTCTCAAACCTCAGCCCATGCTATGGAGGTGTGAGGAACAGGAATTCACCATAAATAGTTACCATAAACAATTGGATCAAACCTATATGGTGTGGTCCAAGGCCTCAGGCATACAAAAACAATTTTGTTTTTGTTTTTGGGATGGAGTCTCTCACTCTGTCACCTAGGCTGGAGTGCAGGGGCGTTATCTTGTTTCACTGCAACCTCTGCCTCCCAGGTAGCTGGGATTACTGGTGCCCGCCACCACACCCAGCTAACTTTTGTATTTTTAGTAGAGATGGGCTTTCATCACGTTAGCCAGGCTGGTCTTGAACTCCTGACCTCAAGCAACCCTCCCACCTCGGTATTCCAAAGTGCTGGGATTACAAGTATGAGCCACCATGGCTGGCGCAAAAATAGTTTTATCAGGCAGATAATATTCTAAGGCCTGATATTTTATCTCCCAGGAGCTGGCCAAAGTCCAATCCTAAGGACAAGCTGTTGTGGAAAATGTGCAAGGTTTGAGATAGCCCAGGCCTGCTAGAATCCACCCTTCCCTGCACAACCATTAAAAAAAAAAAAAAGTAAACTTGCAATTTATAGTGACATCTGTAATGATGGTAGTAGTGAGGATGATGATGGCATAAGAAACATGATACCACTGGGTAGCTTGACTGTAAGAAAACCAAGCCAAATTTAGTTATGAAAGAGAAAAGAATGTACAGCTTGTTAGCTTAAAGCAGGGGTCTTCAAACAACTTATCACTGTAGGCACAGATAGTGTTTTTGACTTTGTAATCCCTATGATCCCTGTTTCAACTACTGAGTTCTGCCATTGCCGTGTAAAAGTAGCCATAGACAATGTGTAAATAAATGGGCATGATTGTTTTCCAGTAAAACTAAGGACGTGGAAATTTAGATTTTATACAATTTTCATGTGTCACAAAATAGTTGTTTTTTTTCAAACATCCAAAAACGTGAAAGCCATTCTTAGTTTATGGCCCGTACAAAAACATTGTCCCTACTTTGCTGAGCTTGGCTTGAAGAGCTCAGCGGTAATAAAGCCACCAGTTTAAGCCCTTGAGAGTTTTTCTTTTGGTTTTTTAAATTGCACAGCTTTAGCGGTTATATACTACATGAACCCATGACCTTAGCTGGATGGCACTCAGTTGTTTGATGTTCATCAGGGAAGGGCCAAAGAGACAGACCGTGTATTAACACTTAATCCTTGTTTCCATGAATTCACCTTTTATTGCAGAATTATAGTATCGGGCGCTAGACACTGTGCTAGGTGCCGAGGTACCAAAACAGACCCAGGCTTTCCCTCTAGAAGTCAACAGGGTAGTAGAAGGATGCAAAACAAACTGTCAATGCGGGTATAGTACACAGTGATACCTGCTAGAGCCAAAAGAATAACAAGGCTCTCTGCATGAGGAGTCAAGGGGGTGGTGTAAATTGAGTCTTAAAGGGTAAGAGTTCACCTGGTAAGAAAGTGGGTAAAGATCATTGCAGGAGGGAATATGGAGGTGGTTGGTAGGGTCCCAAGCTGTTTCTCAACCTTTATCTTTAGAATCCATTGAGAAAACTTAAAAAAAAAATACACATGCTTGATCTTCACCTGATACCTACTGATGGGAATTTCTGAGCCAAGTTGACGTTTTTTCCAAAGGCTAAGGTATATTGATCTGTTGAGATTAGAGAGTACCTTCTAGAGAAAGGTTGCATAAGACCTTAAAATTTTACATAATGAAATCTGAATTTTGGAATTTATCCTTTCAGTGGTAGGCAGCCATTGAAAGCTCTATTAAAAATAACAATTATAATTAAAAATAAATAAGGAAGACACCTGTTGGTGAGTTAGTACTTGTATCTATATTCACACTGAGTAACAGTCTTATAATTAAGACTTGTATTATTACTAATATGTGCGTGAAGCCCTGTGGTGCTGGGAGACTTAGGAGCAGATTATCAACTGTTCAGCAACCCTGCAGATTGGGTTCTTAATTACTAATCTAGTGCCTAGGACAAAGGCTATTGTGAAACTTATTTCGTGGTTTTCTCTAAATCTTTTAAGAAAGTAAATTACCAGCGATTTCAAACGCAAGGTGACATGTTTTTTTTTAATGTTTTAACTTGTTATCATTAGATTATAAACTCTTTAGTTTGAAAGACTTTTTGCTTCCCACTTTCATTGTTCTTTTCAAAATTTATTGTTCTTATTTCCCCAACAAATTAAGTTGGTGTATAAATAGAAATAAATTCACCCAATAGTGTTTAATACCCTTTCTGTTAATTACATGTAGATACTCATTCTCTACATATAAAACAGAGCTGTCCTGTTGTCTTTTGAAAATGTAGTTTTGAAGAACCAACTGACAAATGGCAAAACCCTACTTTGAGTAACTTCATCAGTGACAGTTAATGCATTTCTAGAACTTCCATGGAATTGTTATAACACATTACAGTCGACATATTGGTTTATGAAAAATTAATAAAGCCAGTGGAAAATGGAATTCCGCATCTGCATTAGCTATTTACACCAAAAGAATCAGCCAGAATTAATTATGCCGTATGCTACGTTCTAATGAGTTTTTCATTAAACTGTATACCATTATGGAAACTAAACAAGGATTATTCAAAGAATAATGCCAACGGCTGTTATTTTGTTGAGAGATTAAATTAGTTAATGGGTTATACATTTAAATCTGATGCAAAGGTTAATCGATGCACACTTATTGTATTAAACCCAGTATCATTTTAAAACACAAACACCCCAATATCACTGATATTTCCTCTGGAGAAAAAAAAAACTATTTGTATGATTCTAGTGTTTGGTTGATGTGCATGTGATATTGTAAAGATTGAAATCCACCCTATTCTCTTTCATTTTTGAAAATGATTTTCACTAGCTGAAATATTATGTTTGTTTTTAGCCATAGCAGGGGAAGGGGCAGTGTGTGCGAGTATGTGTGTGTATGTTGTGGCAGGCATAGACAACTTCATCCAATCACTCTTTGAGAGATTGAAAGGTGACGTGTATTTTCTACTCTCACCAAAAAAGTCAGGTTAAAATTTTAAGCCTAATCTGAGAAGGCTTAGAAGGCAATTCAAGATGAAGGATCTCATCCTCATTCCACAAATAGAGTCCCTCCTAAATAGTTCTGTAATAGTACTTGAAATATGAAAGAAGTGACAATAGAGAAGCCTGTCTAGACAGCTTTTTAGGCTCTTACAGCATCTTAGAGGCTCTTATTCCCAAGAAGATAAGAAGAGAGTATAGAAGGCCTTCTAGGTTCTTTGCACAGACTTGTAAATTCCACTGTTTTCAGTTGAATGACAGTTTCTAATTTTTTTTTTCCTAATCAGAGATTGCAAACTAAAATGTTTTTAGGAACAAGCTATGACATAAATAAGTGAAATGTGCCAAATTGGAGGAGCTGTGTCTCAATTATAGCAAGTAGTGGCTTCTCACCTTTGCCTACAGTGGCTCTGCCGGACAGGAATCCTAGCCCAGACACCTATGGTCTGTCCCCTGACTTCCCACTAGAAGCTAGACATATCTTATCACATTAAAACTCCTAAGTTTAAGTGCTTGCAATTCATTTAATACTAAAATATTTGCCATTAACTATTATGTTTAGCATTATGTTTAGTGGCCAAACACAATAGTTCAATAGCTATAAATTTGCTATTTCCTTTCTGAAAACCAAAGTAAGTCCTCAGAGCATCATTGTTTTAGATACCCAATAATAATTGCTATTTCCATGATTATGATTGATTCACTTACTGATTACTATTTGCCAAACACTTTCATGCCATAGTTGTAATCCTCACAGCAATATTCGATCAAGTACACATTTTTATCTCTATTTGACAGATGTAACCACTGAGGCTCAGAGAAGTACAGAGTTTTACCCAAAGTCAACTCAACTTCCAGTCAGCAAGATCAGGAAACAAAACAAAGTTAAAAGTTTCAAAGCCTACACTTTTTCAGTGACACTATAGAAATCTCAGACGTTCATTATTTCTCCTCTGCATTTGCCTCCTCTATGTCTTATTTCAATCTTGCAAGTAGGATTTTTCTTATCTGTAGAAGATACATTCTGCCCAAAGGCTTCCTTGGTTGGATTTAAAACCCTATCACAGATTCTTAAACATGATCAGGAGGTTCTAGCTAACATCTTTAGCCAGGAAGAGTCAGGTGTTTCCTGCCAGATGGCAGCTTCGGAATTCTTAGATGTGGCTTTGTTGTAATGGGGGTAATGGATATTGATCATTCTCATGCTGAAGGATATGTTTTTATCAACTCAGGACCAAGTATCACCATTGATAAACAGGTGTAGCTTTGAGAGAGAGTGTCTGAGCTTTGGAGTCACACAAAACTGACTTATAGTTCAGTTTTATTATACTTTTTCTCTGAGCTTTCATTTCCTCTTGGGTTTGATAAGAAAAAGACGTGCATGTGGAGTACATCTTGTATAGCACCTGAAACCTAGGGCCACCTTAATGGGCACTGTCAATATTAGCTGTACATGAGGTTCCTATGTAATCCCTAGCAATTTACTGTTGTCAGCACCATCTGCATCCCCTGGAAGCCTATGAGAAATGCAGAGTCTCAGGCCCCACCCCAGACCCCCTAGATAAGAATCTGCATTTAGAAGAGTCCCAGGGGATTCAGAGCATAGTAGAGTTTGAGAAGCAAGGCCCTAGTAGTCTTATCATCTATATATTGACACCTATAACTTTGAAGGACAAACATCTTGCAAGATAGAACTTATTTTCATTGTTTTTGTTGTGGCTGAATTGATAGACCTCCACAAATACTCTATGGAATAACTTTTTGAATTTTTTTTTTTCTTTTTTGAGATGGAGTCTCCATCACCCAGGCTGGAGTGCAGTGGTGCAAGCTCAGTTCATTGCAACCTCTGCCTCGCGGGTTCAAGCAATTCTTGTGCCTCAGCCGCCCAAGTAGCTGGGGTTACAGGCATATGCCACCACGCCTGGCTAATTATTGTATTTTTTTGTTAGAGACGGGTTTTGCCATGTTCTCCAGGCTGGTCTTGAACTCCTGGCCTCAAGTGATCCTCCTGCCTTGGCTTTCCAAAGTGCTGGGATTACAGGCAGGGTCACCACACCTGGCCTAATTGTTTTATTGTTTTGAAAAACAATCCAAAAGAAATTTTGAGCAAATATTTTTAAAAGCCTGTGTTTGAAAAAAGTTTGTTTTGAACAAAAATGAAATAAAATTAATTTTTTGGCAAGTATTGATCAAATGATAGCCTCTGAAATACTTAGTGCCAGCTCCCTTGGGAAGGGCTAATGGTGTACTGAGAGACAGTTACTGTTAGTATTTTTGCAAGCAGTAAAGGGATCTTAGAACACTGATCAGCAAACTTTGTCTGTAAAGGGCCAGACAGTAAACACTTTAGCCTCTGCAGGCCATAAGGTCTCTGTGCAATTACTCAGCCCTGTCATTTTAGCAGAAAAGCAGCCATACACAAAAATGAATAGATGTAGCTGTCTTCCAATGAAACTTTACTTATTAGATACTGAAACTTGAGTTTCATGCAATTTTCACTAGTCAAATGTTACTGTGATTTTTGTCAACCATTTAAAATCGTAAAAAGCATTCCTAGCTCACAGACCATACAAAAATAGGTGGGGGCTCGGGGGAGGGGAGCAGTTGGATTTGGCCAAAAGTCTGTAGTTGGTCAGCACTTGATTTAGAAGATGATTGTTAGAACCATGGGTCCAGGAATCTGGTTGGTATGACTTGCAGTTTCAGCATCACGAGATCTGTGTCACCTCAGGCAAGGAAAAAGAGTTCTCTATGCTTCAATATCCTCATCTATTAAATGGGTATAAAAATAGTGTCTGTCCTACAGGGTCATTAAGAGTAAATGATGATCTAAGTTAAAGTTGAGCAGGATACCCAGTGATTCTCAGGTATTCAGTAAAACACTTTGGGAACTCTTATTGTTAGGTTTATCATATTAAGTTAAATATTTCCTGTCAATGCCACTATTAGCCTACATTTTGGCTGCAGGAGATTAAGTGAACAGTTGGAGTGAGTCATTAAAATTTTCAAACAATAAATAGTCAAGGAACAAATTCTTCTTTGTATTATTCTTGTGACTTTTCCAAAAAGTCTCAAGTTATGTCAAAATAAAAAGCAAAAAGAAAACAAACAAGAAGTGGTGTATTTTTTTTTTGAATATTATGAAAACCAAAGCTTATGAAAATAAATTGGAGTGAGGGATTATTTACACTATAGACAGATGCGCTTCAGGGCCCCTTTAAATATGGAAATCCCTTGGTACAATTAAAACATGATTTGATTTATAAGAAGTAAACATACAGAGCAACATTTTTTCTGCAACATCTGTGCCCAAATGGAAATATCCCTATACTTAAAACTCTACCATAACCCTTCAGAGAAGCTCATCTTTCAGGCTGGTGTAAAAGCATTAGGGATTAACTGTGAAAATATTCTTACATGGATTAGCTCAATGCTAGTCTTGCGTTCAAAAATGCATGACTGTAAAAGTATCCACCGTCCATTCGGGCTTTGGGTAAATTTTGGAAAAATCTGTCAATTGAAAGCAGTCACCTCCATTGCTAGGTACCTTATGGCAACCTCTTTGGCTTCTAAGTCCAAGAGAAGTTTGAGGCTTATGGGTCACTTTGTAGGGGACTCTCATTATAAGGTAGGAAGGTGTAGTAGTTGGCTAGTGCTGCCATAGCAAAGTATCACAGACTGGATGGCTTAACAAGCAGTTCCCAACCATTTTGGCACCCGGGTTGGGTTTTGTGGAAGGCAGTTTTTCCACGGGTCGGGTAGCAGGGATGGTTTCAGGATGATTCCAGTGCATTTCTTGTGTACCTTATTTCTATTATTATTACATTGTAATATATAATGAATTAATTATACAACTTGCCATAATGTAGAATCAGTGGGAGCCCTGGGCTTCTTTTCTTGTAACTAGACAGTCCTGTCTGGGAGCGATGGGAGGCAGTGACGGATCAGGCATTAGATTCTCATAAGGAACACACAACCAAGATCCCTAGCTCAGTTCACAATAAGATTCACACTTTTATGAAAATCCAATGCTTCCACTTATCTGACAGGAGGTGGAGCTCAGGTGGTAACATGAAGTAACATGAACAATGAGGAGCGGCTGTCAATACACATGAAGCTTTGCTCGCTCACCTGCAGCTCACCTCCTGCTGTGTGGCCCAGTAGGGTCCGTGGCCCAGGGGTTGGGGAACCCTGGCTTAAACAACAGAAATTTATTTTCTCATAATTCTGGATGCTGGAAGTCTGAGATCATGGTGTTGGCAGGGTTGGTTTCTTCTGAGGCCTCTCTCCTTGGCTTGCAGATGACCATCTTTTCTCTGTCTTCACCTGGGTTTCCCTGTGTGTCCTCATCTCCTCTTCTTGTAAGATCTGTCAGATTAAGGCCCACCCATATGACCTCATTTTAACTTAATTACAGCTTTAAAGATCTCTCTGCAAGTAAAGTCACATTCTGAAGTACTCAGAGTTATAGCATTTAAAAATGATTCTACAACAGTGGACTGAAGGAAGGACTCGATGAAATGAGTGACAGTGTAGGAACCCAAATAGCTTGTTTTTCATCTAAAATTTACCTCTGGTTGGTAAGGTTTTTGGTAAAGGACTTAGTTGTTCTGTGCCACCTTTGTAATGCCAGTAAAGGAGGACTAATGGCATCAGACGCCTACTATGGAGGGACAAATGCAAAGTAAATATTCTTTGGCAAATATTGAAAAAAGCTTTTTCTTTATGTAGAATCAAAACATTTCTAGCATTGATTCCTATTACTACTAAACTTTCAGTTATGATAGAATTATATAGCAGAAATAGAGAATTTTGGCCAAAGCCATAATAGTTATATCTAATAAAAATTGTTCTCGAATAATTATACTTATCTTAGTGAGCAGTGTGACTAATTATGTAGGCTAAGGTTTGGTTTGATATTCAGAATCATTCTTTTGTTCCTTTTCATGTATACATTTGTTACTGAACCTATGAGCACTAAACGTGATAACATGTCATCCTCTGGAAAAGCACATGGAGTTCAACAGATGTACCCCAAAGCCCAGCACAGTGCCTGGCACATAGACGAGTAGATGCCAATAAGTACCAGCCAAATGAATGATAATACTCACTACATCATAGTTGCCTAGCTGAGCACTAGAGGCAGAGGGACTAATAAGCACTTGTGCTACTCAGACATTGCCCTGCAGGGTTCTAGGGTTCTCCTCTTAGCCTTCTTCCCTGAGTAAGCTCCTTTCCTCGGCTGAGTGACATTAGGAAAGCCAGACATCAGTGGAGAGTTCTATTTTTGTGTGACTCTGCACCACCACACAGTAGAGGTTTGTTGAGGTGATACGGTTCTGATGACTGGAGAAATGCCAAGGTTGTTGGTTTTGCGCCGATTGGATTAACAATGTGAACACACGTGGAGTGGTTTTAAGGAGCGAAAAGTGTAATAGGCAAGAAAGGAGGAAGAAAGAAAAGAACAGCTTCCCCATACAGAGACCGGAGAGTGGGGCCTGGAACAGAGAAACCTTGTGTGTGGCAGATAAGTGGTAGATTATAGGGGAGGCTTGAGGAGGCGGTGTCTGATTTGCATACAGCCCAGGGGATTGCTTTGGCCAGGTGTGTCATTTATGCAGCCTGCAAAAAACCTGGCTCTCCCACCTTAGTCCTTTAATGTGTAAATGCGGGTCGCCATGATGTTCTGAACACATGGTGTTATCTGGAGGTGGCCATTAAACTGGGCACAGGTGGTGACAAGGAGAAGACAGCAGGAATCGCCACATTGAGTGAACCCTGTTCCTAATGGCGGGTATTTGCATATCAAAGCTTGCCCACCCAGCCCTTCGAGCAGTCTTTTCTGTTATAAAAGAGATGGTTTGGGGGTGGTTTCTTATTACAGGAAAATTTCCACCTAGAACCTTTACCCTTACTATCTGCCTAAAATAATTTCTTAATAACTCCTGTATTAGAGGTACAGACAGTGCATGACATATACAGAAACTTCCTGCATGGGGGCCCCAGAATACTCATTCCATCTTAGGTATTTCATAAAGTCTAGCTGTTGTTCTTTGTGTCTTCAAGAGCATCCTCCAGATTTCCTAACCCATTTTAATCTTCGAGCTCTTGAAGCTAATTGGCCACTCCCAGTTGCCAGGCAGTTGAGATGTTCCGTTCACATTTTTTGTTTAAATTCAGAAATTATGTAGGAAAAGTTCTAGTTATTCACCATGTACTGACTTGGAACTGTGCCCATTTGATACTAAAAGGGAACGGGCAGACATTGCCAAACAGCCTTTCTTTTCTTCCTTCCCATCCTCCATTTTAATTTTATTTCTTGGAAGTGTAGCATGGCTGCCTATCAGAAACCTTTGGATTCTCACTTCATTTGCTCCCTGCCTCTTAGTCTAGGTTCCTGGACTCATGAGGATAGGAAGATAAACACATGATTCCTGATCTCTTTGAATTAGTAGCATCAATGGGGGAAGACACTCATTAAATAGATTACACAACACAATTTTAAAAAGAAGAGAAAGGAAGCTGAACTCTGCCAGACAAAGGTACATAGATAGGGTTTCTAGGAGAAGCCAGAGCTGAGTCCAGAAAGGAGTTACCTAGAGCAAGGAAAAGATTTCCTGGAAAAAGACAAAGCCTCTGCAAAGGCATGGAGGTGTGAAACTGCACTGCTGTTCCGGTTTGAGTCCAGTTTTCCTCACTTAGGGGGTTGGCAGCAGAGTAAACAGTTTTCGACACTTCCTCCTTCCTGTCTGTGATGGGAAACATCCCTTCTAGGCTTGTGCCTGCCCCTTCAGGGGCCAGGAATGATCCCCTGCATGCCGTATGGAGACTACTGCTCAGCAGAAAGGGTTCCGATGCCCCATCTGAGACCTTGGCACTGGCTTACTCCCTTCCTCACTGGAGGATTCAAAATCCTGCTGGAGAGTGGCTGTGGGACATCTTGCCAGGTTGTGGGGATGCCGATGATCCCGGCACTCAGAGTGGGCGAACGTGACAGGCTTTGGAACGGGCTCTGATTATTCTGAGATTGAGGTCTGTCCCATGGAGCCAAATGTCTGCCAGGTGCTGATACAGTCATCGACAGTCCAGGCTGCGCAGGTTTCTTGTTAGAGTGGGTGAGCCAACTTTATAAGAACCAGGAAAGAAGAGAAAACACGTGAAGTAGATTGAAGCTATTTCAATCTGTAAAAGTTATTTACATGTAGTGTGTAAATCTATTTGAACTTCAGGCATGCAAATTTCCTGCCATGAACAGGCGGAAGAAAGATTGGTTGAAAAAAAACACTATTTTTAGCAAAGAGGGTAGAAGTGGAGACTTGTTTTTAAAAATGTATTATAATTCAATCATATGCATTAATCCTTCTGAGGATCAGGTATTTTCCTAGGTGTTGGGGATGAAAAGATGAGTATGATTTGGCTCTACCGCAGGTGGATTTTGTAGTTCAGACGACCAATGTCTAAGTAGAAAATTGTAGTAGAGGACCACGAAGGATCTATCAGGGAGGTTTAAAAATGCAAGATAAGAGCATAGTGTAGGTAATAACTAATTCACCCCTGAGGACAAGGGAGAGAAGAGGTCACTTTTAAACTATGTTGGAGGAGGACAGGGGAAGCCCCTCCGCCTCCTTTTTTTTTTTTTTTCTTTTAAGTTGAACCACATGAACTTGGCAACATTCAATTCTATTTGACAAAAAAAAAAAAAAAGTCAATTTGAAATGGTTTAATCTAACTCTAAGAGCAGGAACAGCATGAAGGTTTCATCCACTTCACCAACTCTAATCAAATGGGAATCATTGCCTACTGGCTGTGTTGAGAATGATTGTGAGGATTCCAGGCCAATAGGAAAGGATAATATTGAAATTGATTAATTCCGTTCTGGCTAAAGAATGGGTAGGTAGTGGTATAAATTGACCCCATTTGCCATCCCTAGATTATAAGGAATTTGATAAAAGCACAGAAGTCTGAGAAGTACAGGATGTCATCATGTGATACAAATGAAGGTTCCTGGCATTTGGCAGTAGAAGGTTTATGTTGAAGGCTAGGGACAGATAGAAGATCCAGCTCAGTGGACTCAATGAAGAGCTATGTTGAAGCTATATTGAGAAGTGCTTTGAATGACCTTGTAGGCCCTCTCCATACTGCTGCTTGTACCTTATTACCTATTTGACTTACTTTTTAAAACAAACACACTTACCTTTCCCTGCCCAAAAAAATGCATGGAGGTTGCAGTGTTCTCTGCTGCTTTGGTTTTGTCGAATTCAAAGCGTCCTTTTAAGAAAAGGTCACAAAGCACTAAGGGAACATACAGTAAGTACTTTCCAAATTAAATTGGAGGATGCTTTTAGATAAAACAAAAACCAAGTCCTGTGAAGGCATAGATTTTGTTTTACAAAAGGTCAAAATCATTGCATAAAGATTTTTTTTTTTTTTAACTACGAAGAAAGTATCCAAAGAAAATATTTCAGTCCAGGTTCTCAGAATCCACAGCATTAAAAAAAATTAGGAATGCTTCATTATGCCGTGCCAGAGGTTAGCTTTCCAGGCAAAAATCTGTGCTGTGTCCCAGTGGAATTCTATAAATTGCATCGAGGATATTGAAAATTGACCCAAGGGTTTTAACCATACAATACTGAAATGTCCTTCTGTGTATGTTTGTGTTACAGTTATACATTTTTCTTTTGAAATTTAGCACCCCAAGAAACTTCATAGCTGATTTTAAGTGTTTTTTTAAACCAGGCGTGCACAGGAGAGAAGGTTGAGGAGCATTCCCTAAATCCACTTGCTAGGATCCTATCGTAGATGATTCCGACCTGATAACTCTCTGTATATCCTATAGAAACACATTCATTTATTTCTAAGATTTCTAGCAGTGAGCAGAAGCACATAGATAACCGCTGCAGAGTCACACAGGAGTACTCATTGATAAACACCACTGACTGTAGAGGGGACTAACTGTCTTTCCTGGTAGGTAGCTTGCCTCCCCTTGCTTGGTTTCATATCCCAATCTCCATTCTTTGGAGTTTGGTTTGTTTGCTGTTAATCCCCAGTGACCTGCTAAAACTGGAAATACCTGAGGCGAGGTTAAACCATGGAAAGTATCATCTCATACGTTGTGATAAACTTTTTTTTTTGAGATGGAGTTTTGCTCTTGTCACCCAGGCTGGAGTGTAATGGCGTGATCTCGGCTTACTGCAACCTCCACCTCCTGGGTTCAAGTGATTCTCCTGCCTCAGTCTCCTGAGTAGCTGGAATTACAGGCGCCTGCCACCACACCCAGCTAATTTTTGTGTTTTTAGTAGAGACAGGATTTCACCATGTTGGCCAGGCTGGTCTCGAACTCCTAACCTCAGGTGATCTACCTGCCTTGGCCTCCCAAAGTACTGGAATGACAGGCATGAGCCACTACACCTGGCCGATAAACTGTTTTTAAATGAAGAAGAAAGAACTATTAGTTTAGCACAGGTGAATCATACTGACACTCCGCCAGACTCTTGATATATTTACTACCCAGAGAAGGTTAGTTAATTTCGAGTTAATTTCACTGTTGTGTGAAGGGCTATTTTGCGGGTGGGGGTGGCTGTTCTCCAGCTATAAGCATGGGAAACCAGATCGAAAAAGACCATGGGACATTCCTTCAGGTAGAACCTCTGGCCCTGGGCTGCTTCTCCCTGGGAAAAAGTGGATGGAGTTGTCAGACCGGTAACAGGGGAAGAGTGAGATGGGTTAGAAAGAATTGTGTCTGGTTTACTGTCCCTTGATGACATCACCGTGCAGTCCCTCTGTGTGGCAGGACCCCACACGCTTTGGAAGTTTTAACTACATTTTTGTTGATCATAGGGAAGATACAGAAGGAGCATAGAACCATTCCCTAGGGCAAGTCTCCAAGGATATAGAAAAGTTCCCTGTTCTGCGGGTGCACTTGTAAGGTTGGCTTCTTATCATGGGAGATTGCTTTCCCGTTGCGGTCCTGACAGGGGAATCCAAATCAAACTGGGGCGGTTGACCTTCCCCAGTCAAGGAAGTGACCAGAAACCACAGGGAGGTATTTCCATCACCAGTAATGGCCTTAAAACTCCTCAGAATTCTAATTATTTTCAAAGTCTTGGAGTTTGAGCTTTGCAGCAGTGGGAAAGTAGCACTGATACCCTGACAATTCCTGACCCCAGTCATCCCTGGAGTGGGTGGTTGTTCAAAATCTGTCATAGATTGAGGAGGTATCTCAGGATTCCACCATTATTTGCCGCTGTAAAATTCCACCTTGCAAGGATGAACCCAGTGCCCTTCGCTTTAAATCAGGAGGAGGCAAGTCATTGCTGCAATGCAGCCGCAGTTTGCAGGATGAGCTAGGCAGCCTTTCTGGCTGGAAGGCAGAGAGCTTTAGGGAAGAAAGCGGGAATACAGAAGCCGAAGATTCTCTCATCCAGTGTCCAGTGTGGGTCCAGGGTGGGTCCCAGGGATGGCAAAAAGTTGCAATTTTTCTTTCTCCGCCTTACTTCTGTTCTTCCTCTGAAGAACTGATTCGGAAAGACTGACATTTGAAGGAAGTTACCGTTTTCTCTAAACCTATCAACATGTATGCTTACTATTGATTGAGTGATTATTACATGCCAGCCCCTGCCCTGGGTACGTCTCCAGTCATATGATGCACAGCCATTCTCGGAGGTAGGTATATTTACCCCTGTTTTCCAGATGGAAACACTGAGGCACAGAGAGGTACAGTGACTTGCCAAGATCACACAGTGAAGAGGTGTCTGAGTCAGGCTTACTATCTAGCTCCCTCCAATATTTCTCAAGTTCCCTTTTCAGTATGCCACGCTGCTTCCATTCCTGATCTGAACCTGGGCCCTGGGGCAACCAGAGTCCGCTACACAACCCCGTGTGAAAAGTCATGACGTGTGCTTGGTGGGCCGGGTTGTGGTGGGTGGGGGGGCTTCCATTGATTCCCTTTGGCTAAGGCAGGGGGCTTTGTTGGGTACCCTTGTCCTGCGCTCTGGGATGTGGCTATGTTTTCATTTCTCTGCATTTCTCGGTTGCATTGCCGTGATCTCTCAGGTGTAGTGTACCGATTCCCAAACCAGATACCATCTCTCTCTCTCTTTCGTAGGCACGGTCCTGTTGTGCCAGGCCAACCAGGAGGGATCTTCCATGTACAGTGCCCCCAGTTCACTTGTATATACTTCTGCAAGTAAGCCCACTGTCGTGGCTCTTTTTGTTTTGTGACATAAATCTGAGTCCAATCACCTTCCCTGCCATGTAAGTTCTCTCCCCCTCCCTCTGCCCCACCCTCTCTTGTGGCTCTCTCTGAGGTGAAGTTAATTTTCATAAGCATGTCTGTCTCCCATGCCACTTCCCAGATGTCCTGGACATTCTCTGTTAGATCCGTCAGGATTGGGTCCAATGGTTGGGAATGTGGGCATGGGGTTGGTGGGGAGGGGCATGGGAGGGTGGGAAGCTTTAGCTCATTGCCTGCCTTCTATCATAGCTTTGCAAATTAATATAAAAATAATTTAAATAGCATATACAGGCCACCCCAAAGGCACCCTTGCCTAGTAAAAGATGCTTAACCAGGATTCTTGTACACAGTTGTCTCACGATGGAAAATACCACTAGCCTGCAGCTAGTCACTTGTTTGCAAGGCTGTTCTGTCCTTTGCTATGTAATTCCAATGAGGAGGAGGAGGAGGAGGAGGAGCAGAGAGAGAAATGTGGTTCCCCCCTCATTTAATCAAGTGCAGGGGCAGCAACATTAAATAACTGTCTTTTAAAAAATCGGGGCACTTTTAAACGTAGATAAGTATACCCATCCAGTGCGGGAGGGAAGAGACCCAAAATAAATACAGGAAGTAGATCACAACATTGACATGGAAGAACCGAAGATTTCTCTGCCTCGGATGGATGCTCTGGGTTCAAGGATGCCCTATCCTCACCCCAATTCCCAGAGCAGGTAGAAGAATTAAAGCCGCCACTGACTCTACCATGTTCTCCCAGAGGGTATACCCCTTCTTAAAGAATCTCCCAGCCACAGCTGAAACTTTAACATCTGTTTTATACAATGTGTGTAAATCCTGTGGAGTTGCCGTAACTGCAGAATGAGTCGTCTTTAGGGTCAGTGCTTAAAAGTGAGTCTGGGTGCCTGGAGTGGGGGTGGGGCTGTTTCTCAGAGTAGTTGTAAAAGGCAGGGATGGGGAGGAGAGCAGGAGTACCAGGCTCAAGGGATAAGAGACGTAGGAGAATCCTCACCATCGTGCCAAAACCAAACATCTTCGTTTCCTAAATTGTGAAGCTGAGGAAAACCAACCTCCTCACTGTTGGGGCAGCACCTCCCTGTTACCAGCAGTCACAGGGAATCAAAAATATAATGTGACACACCCAAGGGTCTGAAGTCTTCAGGAGGTCTGACAGCCAGTTGTTTCTCACAGTTAGAGGTTTTGAGACAAAGTCTCACTCTGTTACCCAGGCTGGAGTGCAGTGGTGCCATCTCAGCTCACTGCAACCTCCGCCTCCTGGGCTCAAGCAATTCTCATGACTCAGCCTCCCAAGTAGCCGGGATTATAGGTATGTACCACCACTCCCACTGATTTTTGTATTTTTAGCAGAGATGAGGTTTCCCCATCTTGGCCAGGCTGGTCTCAAAGTCCTGACCTCAGATGATCCATCCACCTCAGCCTCCCAAAGTACTGGAATTACAGGCGTGAGCCACTGCCCCTGGCCCAGACTATAATCTTTAATGGCAATTTTGGCATTAATTAAATGCAAGACATTTTTCTGTGCCTCCCAAGAAGCCCAAATCTAATCATATTGGCAAGAAGTGGTTCTTTCTGAATTTGTGACAACAAATTCAGAAGGGCCTCCTTGGGGCCAGTGTAAATGTGTGTGCATGTATCTCCTGAAATTGTAATGTTACTACACATTTTCACATGTCCAGCCTTGTGTATTCCTCTCAAAACCAGCACCAGGTAGGTATCACAATGTTTGCTTTACAACTGAGGAAATGGAGGGCAATCCCAGAGCCAGTGTGTAATAGATTTGTCTTCTGAACCTGGGAACATTATTCAACCTTCAGCTACCTTTCTGAGTCCATTTGACTAAATCTGATCGCTGTACCATTTACCTAGCCTTCCTCGTCTATATTATTTTCTGAAAGAGAGTTGGTGTGCCAAAACTTACCATAGGGCTGGGTCCTAGAGTATTATTTTTTTCTCTAACATTGCGGTCCTATAGAAGTGTCTGGGATAAAATCTTTATGCTATCCAGCATAGTGCTGATGGAACTGAGACACTCATTTTTATGTTATATTAATTAGCCATATAGGGGCTAATGGTTACCATATTGGACAGTATGGCTCTATATGATGATATGACATATCTATATTTCAATTTTCTTTACAGAAGTGAACAAAACAATCAACTCCAAAAGTGTGCTAGTTTGAATTGGTATAGCTATTCTAAAGTGAATTGGGGAAGCATCTCTCACATCACATGAAAATATTTCCCAAATTCTCCATAATAAAATAGCTGAAGCATAGAGAGAAAATGAAACCATCTAAAGCGAGGGCCACCCAAGCCAGCCCATGGCCTGTGTTACAAGGCTTATGAATGAAGAATGATGTTTAGATTTTCCAAGGATTGAAAAAAACAAAACAAAAACAAAGAATGTGCCAGAGACCAAGGTGGCCTGCAAAGCCTAACGTTTTAACAGTCCGGCTCTTTACAGAAGAAGTGTACTGATCTCCAATTTAAAGGGTCGATTTTAGTATTAAAAATACAAAGTGGCAATATCACTGCACTGTGTGTAGCTGTACCTTTTTCTATGTTTAAAGTAAAAATTAACAATTATGAAATTGTATAATGTGCATCCAACATCCTTCATTTCTAAATTGTATCAGTCGTATTACCTGCACATTATATGCCATGTGCTTTTTATAAAAATATGTTAATGAACCCATAGTATTGTTTCATTATATTATATTTTAATCTATTCCCCCATTCTTGAGAACTTAGGTTCATAGCAATTTTTTTTCAAAAATATTAAACAAAATAAACACCCTTCAATAGAGCAGTTTTAAAGAAAATAGCTAATTTTACCACCCCATTAAAAAGCAAAATGAAAACTAGTTTCTTACATTAAGAATCTTCACTTGTCGAGGCTTAAGCAAGGGCATTCAGATGGTCAATCTCGATTAGTATTTTGTAATGGTGACCAACTCTGAGACCCCTCCCTCTCCAATTGGGTAGGCAGAGGGGCCTTCAGTTATTTCTGTTTGCAGGCTGTGCATTGGTGTTGAATGTTAAGTTTATCCGCAAATCCCTAAGACACATTGCTGCGGTTTCCTTTCTCTTTTATGGCTTTTTGGTCTAGGCTGTTTGTGGATTGCTGGCTTGGCAACATTCACTTAGGTTTTTCTCTTCCAGATTAGGTGCATATTCTACTACAAAACCATTCCCCATTTCCTGCAACAGGTCAGCTGGCACATAAAGGGTTATTTTTACATGCAGGCCTGTGCGCACACACACACACGAGTTATATTCATGGTCATCCAGGATTTTTCTTCTCCCAACAGTTTCGATTTGCACAGGGCTGAGAGTCACATATTTTATCTTTGCTCTCTGATGGGTGCAGACTTTTTCTCTAGGAATCCAACCATTGCCCTCAAAGCTGAGGCTACCATACTTTTCAGCAATTGTGTAGGATGCTCTTGTTTTTTAACTTGAAAATGCATATGTTCCTCATTTCTGTTTAACAGCTGTGCTCCTGAAGGAAGGTGTGTGTAAATTACACTTTTGTATGTTGGATCCTATGTGTCTACAGACTTGCAAGATAACTCTGGAGCTTCGTTTTTGTTTTTTTGCGTTTTTTTCCTCCATGGATCTTTAACTGGCCTTTGATGTTTGTTTTTTTTTTTCGAGACTTAAATTGTACCTCTTCCTAGTCAAATAGCTAATCATCTGTAAATAACATCCTTAAATGCAGTAGGGGAGATGGTTTTTAAAGGAACCCTGCTGAATTAGTCTGTAATGAAAATAATTCCTACTGAAGTTATCTGCTTTTGATATGCATTTTTGCATAACAGTGAGGTTTTCTCCCCCATTAAGTGAATCATCCTAACAATGTGACCCAGGACTCATAAAAGTATTAAGAGAAAGATTTTCACTGATAACTTTGTGTCCATACAACTAATTCCGTAGACTCTTCCATCGGACCCCAAATGACTCCAGTTTTTCTCCGTCACCCCTGAACTTCATGCAGGTTTAAAACCCTAGTTCAAATTGTGTCACAGGTCATCATGCATCCTCTTACACGTCCTAATAAACTACTCTCATCCAGAGTGTAAAATGGGCCTGCTTTCTATGAAACTTAAATGAAGAAAGAACAAAACTCTAGAGAATTAGGCAACATCACCTAGTGTCAAATGGAAAACATTTGCAATTAATATTTTTCAATAGGCTTTCAATAGAAACAATTCAACCCCTTAACAGAAAGGTTTAGTGAAATGGGCAGGGCTGCTTGGTATGTGGACTGTTCATTCCATTCCGAAGGCCAGTGGTCAGCCTGCTCCTCTTGTTGAGGGGAAAGGTACTAGGTGTATTATTGCCAGCGCTGTTTTGCATATGGCGAATGCTCAACATCAAAATTGGCACCAGGCAGAAATAGGAAGGTAAAGAACATACCACATCTCTTCCAAATTAATACATGAGTTTCATTTTCATTAGTTGAAGTATCTAAAGGTAAATCATTGGTTCCATGAATGAAAAAGTTCACTTCTGATTCAGATTAGCAAAGCCAGCTACCGCAGATCCTTATTTACATATGAAGTAGATGTTTCCAGAAGCACGTAAATGTTTATTTTGTTTTCTTCAGGATTTTATGAATATGTTTTAAATTACAATAGTAACAGGTGCTCATTGCAATCAATGTGAAGTGTGCAAATAAACATACACACCATTGTAATAATGTGGGAATAATATCCCCACTTTATCCAGTAACATAAACCCTTAAAAGTGTGTGGACGCCCAGTATCTTTCTACATTTTCTCCGTGGTTATTCAGGAAAGGACATACACACATGCAATGGTGGGGGCGGGGGACGGTGTGTTATTAGTTTGACTTTACAGAGGAGAGTATACACAGATGTTACATGGACATTACATATATCAATCATATTTAGTTTCACATAATACATTGTGACCGTCTCCCTTTAAGCCTTTTAGATATTTTCATCCAGTTTGTTTAATGACATAAATGGTTGACAGTCAATTCAACCATTCTCTATCCATAGTCATTCAAGCCACTTCTTTTTACTTTTTATTTTATTTATTTATTTTTTTATTTTTTGAGATGGAGTCTTGCTCTGTCACCCAGGCTGCAGTGCAGTAGCGCAGTCCCGGCTCACTGCAAACTCCACCTCCTGGGTTCACACCATTCTCCTGTCTCAGCCTCCCAAGTAGCTGGGACTACAGGCGCCCGCCACCATGCCCGGCTAATTTCTTTGTATTTTTAGTAGAGACGGAGTTTCACGTGTTAGCCAGGATGATCTCAATCTCCTGACCTCGTGATCCACCCGCCTTGGCCGCCCACAGTGGTGGGATTGCAGGCATGAGCCACTGCGCCCAGCCCAAGCTACCTCTTTTTCTATTCCCTCCACAAGGAGATAGTAAAAATATTTGCAAATACCCTTACGTGCAACTACATCCATTCTACACTTAACATTGCCAAACATGGAACTGTTGGTTCCCTTCCAGCATGCTTGCCAGCACTGCCATGTTTTGCTCTATTTTGCAAATTGCATAGTGAAAAATAACATCTCAATTTGTTTTAGTTTGTCTCTGCCTTTCTCCTATTAATGATCACCGTCTTTCACATTTTTCATTTAGACTTTACCTCTTTGAATTTCCAGTATACATCTTCCTGTTTGAGATTTTTCTTATTTTATTATCAGTTCACACGTGAGTGACACTTGTTTACTAGGATAACCTATGAATGGTTCAGATGTTACACGTGTATTTCCTGTTTTGACGATTGATGTTGCTCAGATTCCACCATACATTTTTAATTACATAGGCAAATGTATCTGTCTTTTCTGATCATTTTAGACGTCATTTTGGATTACAAAATCCCTGTCAAGAGCAAGTTTTGTTTTGCACTGTATCAGTCAGTTTGGGCTGCTATAACAAAATACCGTAGACTGGGAGGCTTAAGCCACAGACATTCATTTTCTCAAAGTTCTGGAGGCTGGAAGTCCAAGATCAGGGTGCCAAGAAAGTTAGGTTCCGGTGAGGGCTTTCTTCTTGGCTTACAGATGGCCACCTTCTCCCATGTTTTCACAAGAGAGAGACAGAGACAGAGAGAAACAGAGAGAGAGAGAGGAATAGAGCAATCTCTGGTGTCTCTTCATATAAGGGCATGAATCTTATGAAGGGCCCACCCTCAGGACCTCATCTAAACCTAATTACCTCTCAAAAGGCCCCATTTCCACAAAGCATCACATTGGGGGTTACGGCTTCCACATATGAATTTGAGTGGAGAGGACATAATTTAGTCCGTAGCAAGCCCCTTGATACAGGGATGTCAGTTTTATTTGTCAAGGGCTAGAAAAGCATTTTCTGGAAGAAATTTCTTTATTGTTCCGTATGCTTATCAATGCCAATGAGCGCGTTTTCCACAGTTCCATGAAAGCCAGAGTTGAACAGTAGATCCCCATCAGGATAAATCCTAAAGTTAATAGAAGATTAATTATCGTTTCCCCTGAAATTTTCACCCTGATACCCTTCCCTCCTCAAAAAAAAAAAAAGAAGGAAAAAAAAGATATCATGGGCAAATGCTTGGGAACCTGAATGTTATCAAAATGCAAAATCAATTCCTCATTTATTGACTTCTATGAAACTCAAGGGCAGGTGGTAGGGGCATAGTTTCAACTGATATATTGATTGCAGATTTTAAGGAAGTAATTGTGTGGAATTCATAAAACGATGATTTAAGTGGCAGAAACATACATAAATCAGGCCTGTACTATTTTACTTTTAGGTAATTGATAGAACTTCCATGGGTTTCTGTAATTAAAGTAAGGACCTAAATTAATTTACGGCTTCCTTTTTCTTCTGCACAATACAGAAAATGTCAGTGGGCTGGACTCAGTTACTAGAAAGGACACATACAGGTCATTTTGTTACTGACACATTGGTGTAAAGAATTGTGTCTTCTTTTTCCCTCACTTGCCAGTGTCTGACAGCTTCTTGCTTTCCTCCTAGATATTTTTCTACTATTTTATGGAGGGGGTGCTTAACAATAACTAGCTCCGGGACTAGGGTAAGCAAGTGACGTGCTCACTTCAAAGATTAAAGGGGTATCCAAATACCTCATAAATAGCATTTTAATGCAATATTTTTAAAAATCTAAAGTAACAGAAAAAGATCCATGATTAACAGAATATCAAGACAGAATAAGTTTTATTCCTTTTTCCTTTTGGAGCCTTAAGATCCCATATGGCTTAATCCAGCACTATTTCAATTTTGATAGTCTGCTCATCGTGGATTTAAAAAATAATTTGGGTGTTAAAAGATTGCATTAAAACATGATCTATCTCCATTACAGAGTTTTTTGGTGTTTCCTCCCTTCCACCCCCCACTTAAGTTCTGCAACGACAGTGAACGCCTGTTAACCTAGTTGCAGCCCTGAAATCATGATGATATCCATAATCATAAGTAGTGGTTATTGGGCACTCACTATATGTCAGGCATTGTGCTAAGCCCTTCTCATTAGCTTTCTTAAGAAGGAACTATAGGACAGGTATGATTAATTATGCTACCTTTTCTCAGGAGGAAATTTAGGCTTGGGGGCGTTAAGAAGCTTGTCCGAGATCACCCAGCTAGATCAGCTTTGAACCAAGCCTGTTTAAATCCCAAGCCGCCTTCTTCACTACTCTCTCAACTTACCCCAGAGGCTGGAAACAGGATGGACTCCAAGAAATGGCTGAGCAGGGAGTGGTCACGGGGAACCTCTCAGCAGCTGTCCAGCAACTCTATTTGGGCCAAGGCTGTGCTGTCTCCTCCCCATCCCATCATGTTTGGAGAGGCAGTTTTCCCCTCTTTGAGATGTCTGGCCAGGGCTTAGCAAAATTATTCTGTAAAAGGCTGGATGTTATTAATATTTTCAGCTTTACAGGCCATCTAGCCTCTGTTGCAGCGACTCAACTCTTGTTATAGCTTGAAAGTAGCCATAGACTACTGTACATATAGCCATAGACTTCTAGGTTGAAACATGAATGAATAGGCGTGACTGTGTTCCAATAAAACTTTATTTACAAAAATGGTCTGTAGGCCAGATTGGGCCCAAGCGCCATAGTTTACCCATCTCTTTGTCAGGCCGTAATTCTTACTTAAAAGGACAGAACATGGTGGCTGGCTGCTTGGGGGTGGAAATAAGGAAAATTCTTTTAAGTGTGCACCCTCATGTATTTTTTGCATTTTGTACCATTTTATCACATTTTAAATGACGTGAAGTAGTACATAAAGATAGGTACCCTTCTCCTGGTACCTATTAAGATCAAGATACAAATTGATCTTGATTTAAATGATACAAAATGATCTTGACTTAAATTTGATCAAGATACAGGAATTGGGTGGTTAGTTTTGCTTGCACAATGATCAAATCTGGTTTCAGAGGCTTAATTCTACTGACATTAGTCTAAGACCTGCCCCAGTTTCCTTGGGCAAAATGTGAAGACTCCATTGTCTTACCCAGGATCTTCTGTCTGAACTGTTTCCATTTCTATCCCCACACTTTCAACAATGCTGGCTCTAAAAGATCCTCTGGGCTGGACCCTTCCCATCAGGGAATCAGACACTCCTTCTTCTCTTTTGCTATGGTTCAGCATTACGGTGGCAGCCTACCTGTGTCCTCTTTGTCATTTTCTCAGAGATAATTCCTTCTAGTTTTTAGTCCTTTGATCGGAGAGGGGGTTGAAAGGTGTTACTTCATTCAACCAATCTTTATTGAAGTTTTTTCTATATGCCAGGTGCAATTCTACATCCTGAAAATATGCTGTGAAGATACTCTCAAGTTGGCTTCTATTATACCTATATTCTTGGGGGGACACATAACAGACAAATATATATAATGCTAAGGTTTCAGAATTTCAAACGCAGTGCTCCTAGGGGATATTTGGGAAGTAACACCCAACAGGAGACTTATTCACTGTTAGCACTGCCATTGGGGTGCCTCTCAGTAGGTGAATTAAGTGTCCCTATTTTCACCATTCTTCAACACTGTAGACAGGTGCCCTTTGCTACTGAGACCCTATTTGCTTCACCAAACCCATGGATTGAGGTGTTTTCAGACACCTACTAGGTGCCATGCTCTCCCTGCCACCTCAATCATAGCACTTATCTATTTATGAACAATAGTTGCCCACAGCATTGCAGAATTATCCAGCTACCCCCCACCCACCAATGGTGAACTCCAGAGATTATTCTTTCTCCATCACTGAAGCACCATCTCTGCTTTTCTCCATCTGCTCAACTTTTCCCATGTCCCAGCACATTTGATTAACAGATGATTTCTAAGAGGCTTTTACTAGCTCTGATATTAACTTAGTTATTCCACCTGGATCACAGTCCTCAGAATAGGTTCATTTGTATTTTTAATCCCTGCAACCACTACCCCCAACTTCTTCATCCGTGTGTTGTTTCTTTGGCTGTCATAATCATAACCCACTTTGTTGTTTGTCCTTTTTAACCAATTCCAAGAAAGAATTAAAACCACTAGTAGAACCTCTCACCCCCAGTTGTTTAAAGGGAAAGTTCTGCAAAGAGGCAGCCACATTTCAGGCAGCTGCCATGCAGCTCTCTGTCATTGCTTTCGTTATTAATCTCAATGCAGAATGGTGATTTTCATTTTTTCAGATGGGTGTCTGGCTGCAAAAGGCCGCCAGTTGCAAAAACTACCATCCCATGGTGTGCCCCCAAACATCTTATTTGTCTTGATATTTCTTTCACAGAAATACATATGACAGATAAGGAGTCACTAGAGGATGCTTTTGCTTTGTGTCAGACAGATATTAAAACAATAAACTATGTTGCCCTGGGATTCCAATGCATACACAGCCAGAGAACAAGGCCGAGATGAGATGTTTCAGAAAGGCAGTGAGGCAATTATTCTGGGGGAATTCCCTGGAAACCCCAAGTCCTGTGATAGCATTGACAGAAAGTGTTTTTTAATGCTCACATTTTCTTAAGAGGATCAACTGGCTAGTGCAGCTCCTGCATTTAACTCCTTGACAAAACTCACCCTCATCCGGCCTCATCAGAGTCAAGAGAAATCCTTCAATAGTTTGAGAGGCTTATTTTGAGAGTTTATTTTTTAAGCACTTATCTGCCCTTTATTTGCTTCCCCAAACTAATGTGGATTTACATTAAAAAAAAAAAAAGGAATCCATTTTACATTCAGAGCTCTGAGCAGGTAAGTTGCAGGGGCCAACGGCAAGATCTTGCTTGGTTCTTGGAATGTAAAAGAGGACAGTTTGATGCAATGGAGCAGGTGCACATTCCCAAGGGCCCCAGCTTTATAAGTTGAGTCAAGCTCTCTCTGGGTCTACAGAGCTGGGAAGGAACAGCTTAGGAAGGGAGAGGCTGAATCCAAGGGCACTCATAATTCAAGAGCTGGAGCAATCATTCTTTCATCAAATACCAGTCTTCTTGGATAGAAATGTGTCCAACCATAGAGGTGGCTGCTGCTTCTTCCCTTGCCTTATTTCTTTTCTAAAATAAATCTCAGTGCAAAGACCATGAGGAGCAGCTCAGGTTGCCTCTCATCCAAGGGAAAAAGAGCCTGGTGTAGTTCATATAAACCCAGTAATGTAAACACGTGCTTCAAACACCATTTTCTTAAATCATGTTTTTATATAAAAGAACTGTCATGCCAAAAGCTATTTATCCCTAATGGAGAACTTCGGAGCACTGTTAAGAAAATGCAGTTTCAGAACCAAACACCACACCACATGTTTTAGATTTATCTCCTTGAGTTTTGTTTGTATGCAACATAGGCTCTTGATGCCTAATACTTTTCATATGAAAGCAAACAGAAAGGCACAACCATCTATGGGTATTTATTATCCCTACCCTTACTATTTGCTACAGGAGTCTCAAACATTTCCAGAAGATCATTTTTCCTTTCTCTGGCAAGTCCTAATTCCCACTAGTGGTTTTACAGCATTTTTCTTGAGCTACAGCGTGACTTAGTGAAAAGAGCTGGATTCAGGAAAGTCTGGGAGTAAACTGTCACGGTAGACTAGTGCTGTGACCTTGGCCAAGTCTCCTCGCCATGTAAATAGCCATGACTACCTACCTACCCATGAGCACTAAATGAGATTGTTGTGCAGCGTCCTCCAGGCTGCTTGAGGCGTTACAGCTCCTCAAATGCTACTCTTTCTTTTTCTGGCTCAGAAGCCACCTTCTCCAGGATTTTTTAAAGTCCACCAAACCAGATGTGATGGTGTACTTTTATAGTCCTAGCTACTGGAAGGGCTGAGGTGGGAGGATGACTTGAGCCCAGGAGTTTGAGATTGCAGTGATCCATGACCACGCCACTGCACTCTAGCCTGGGGGAGACCCTGTCTCAAAAAATAAAGTTCACCAAAGAAGCGGGTTTGGATGGTTTATATTAGTCCAGTGACTGGACTGGTGGACCACTCCTGGATGGTAGTTCCTTAGTCTATTCTATATGGGTGTTTTGGAGGCTCTGGCTCAGATATCAGGCAGATGATCCCTAGGCTCAGACAGTACCTGTCCTCCAGGTTGGCTTTGGGCATTGATCAAAGGATCAGGACTCTTTTTTTTAAGTCTGAAAGCTGATGCTCAAAATCAGATGGCCTCAGCACTGACACACAGATCAGCTATCCCCACAGCTATGGCTGGGACTGAAATGAACAATGCATGTGCGTCGCGTACCCATCTTGTGAGCCACCGTCAGACCCCTCTGAAGGCTTCATGTTCAGGAGCTGCGTCAGCCCAAGAGAACCTTGGGAAATCCAGCCCAGCATAAGGAAGCTAATTTATCTCACTTGCCCTGTTTCCTACCTGGAGAGGCAATTCACCGAGCTTGCTGTTTCAGCCAGCTGTTAGATAGAACATGAATGATTTAACAATTGAAACTTCAGTATGTATATGCACTGGATAAAGTAATTATATAAATTATTTGGGTTTTTTTTTTCCGTGGTTTCCCGGGAAACAACAACATGGTTATCAGTACAGATTTTGTTAAACTAATAGATGATGACGAACTGCTGCATCCAAATTAAAATAAATCTCAGCTCTTCAGGGCTTTGTCTTCTCCTTCAAAGGACAGAAAGCACCTTTGCAAATGCCTTTTGCAGTTCTGCCAAGTTAAACACTCCAAGACTGAGACTCATTCTCATTTTGCCGAATGTTACAAAAATCCTGCCCGGCGGGGGAAATTGTCGATACCTGTGAGTAGGCAAATCACAAATACCTCTTCTGCATAGTAAAAACATATCACTACACATTTAGCAGCCATGACATTTGCCACTTGTCTGTTGGATTAATCTAGCCATTTATAACCTGTGAGGAAAGATACAACAGCTAACTTTGGGAGGTAAGCAGGAACAGCACGCCAATTAGTTACCACCAATTCTACTGCCTTCGCTCAGAGACACAAGGACCTTACATGATCAAAGAATATTCATGTGTGTGAATGGTGTGTGTGTCTTTTGCTGTTGCTTTAATTTGTTAAGTTAGGGGAACTTTCTCCTTTGGGAACACCAGACTCGTTGCTCAGAGTAAATCCCAGTGTGCTCATTACATGTAATTTTATTTTCCTAGATGACTATTTTTATTTCCACAAAAAGAAGACTTATTTCAAAAACCCAAGTTGTAATGTGATATTTGATAACATATTAAAAAAGCAATTATATATAGAAAAACGTGCAATAGCCCAAAATGTTATGAAGGTTTCTTATGCAGATCTTCCAAGGCTTTGAAATAAGTTTCTCATTCCAGTCTTCCAAATTAGAAATTTCTAGCTGAATTTAGTTGTAAGGAGCTCATCATTGTGACAGTAATCAGGTTTGTGTTCATCTGCAGCCTTTACTCACACTGTACTAGTACAAACCTGCTCACTAACTCTACAGAATCTGCATTCCCAATATTTTTGGGTTGAACACAACCTCCCCCTCACATCGAGATGTAGAGGTAAACCCTAGTGGCAAAGGGAAACAGCCTGCCTTTGAACTCTTACCAGGAACATAAATCAGTGGTGATCCCTATGGCCGGCATCCAATTAGCAGAAAAGGAACAGGGCCTTTCCAGGTGTCTTGAAATCTCAGAACTTAAGTATCTAACAGAAGAAATGGCGGGCACACACACAGACCCTCTAATGTCTCCCCTATCCCCCAACAAGAAGCATATTGAGATCTCTGGGAGGACTGTCAACAGATTCCCCTGCAAATTAACCCAGTCTATGATGAATTGGGGCTGGCTCTGTCTCAGATGTGGTATGGATATAGGGAGATGATGTAGCAGCTTGTACAGGCAATAGGAGGGAATCCAAACTGAGAGTCTCTAAGAAGCAGAGAGAGAGTAGAAGTAGAAAGCTTTTCCCGGAGCCTGACTGGGGTTGCCTTTATGTTGCATGATGGATAAAATCATAGGCTTTGGTGTCAGGCTGCCTTGGTTCAAACCGCTGGGTGAGTATCTGAGCCACTCTATACCTCCATCTCCACCCCAGGAAAGTGAAGATAGCAACAATCATGGTTCATATGGTTTTGTGAGGCGTTAGTGGGTTAATCTCCGGGTCTGGCAATTAGCAAGTGCTAGTAAATCCTAGCTGTTATCATCATGCAATTGAATTTTCTCCACCTGATAATGGAGCCTCAGAGGTTGGAATTTTGCCAACTGCAATCACATCGTTCCTTGAATTACTCCAGTTATCACTGCCTGGGTTTTTAGACAAGGGAGGTCCAGGATCCCTTATCACTAACTCCATCACCCCAGAGTTTCTGTGGGAATATGCATCCCTCACAGGCCGCTCCTTAGCAACTCTCACCCGTTTGAGGATTGCCACCCATTTTCTTTCGTAACTGTAGGACTATGGCATTCCGAGTTCATCACACACCGTAGTCAATACACATATCAGTGATCACCTTGTGCTCGGTCATCTTCTAGATGTTGGAGACACAGTAGGGACCAACATAGAGTCCTCAGGACATCCCTATAGAGAGATGTATAAGGAAGTTGAAATCAACTCAGGTGATAAGAAACTAATGGGAAGGAAAAAGAAAACAACAGGGTAATATGATGGTAACTGGTAACAGTTGTGGGTGTCAGGAGATGTGAAATTAGATAAAGAGGTAAAGCCTTTGGAGGGAGCGATGTTTGAACTGAGAACTGAATTTGGGAGTCAAGTTCACTGTTAGAGCCTGGACAAAGGAGAGAGAATCTGCCAAAAGCCACTGAAATACAGCCAAGTGAGGCTGGAGAAAAAAGAGACATTTTAGCCTCTTACAATCTTATTCCCGAAGTCTAGCTGAAGTCGAGATTTAGATCAATATATTCAGCTTGGACAATCAGGCCAGCACGTTGTCACCATCTTTTTTTTCCCTTTCAAAAATGTGCATTTCTCTCCAAGTTCACATTCTTGCCAATTCCTTCGATGCATCCCAATCAGACCTATAACAGCCTAGAAACTTCTGGCTAATTTGGATTTGACTAAAACTTTTCTACCATGACGTTATGTAAAGAGATTCAATTATGGTGCGCAGTGTTTTGTGAGTAACTACCACCCATAAAAAGTTAATTAATCAGGGCTGTGTCAATTTCCTCGTGCCATGTCAATTTGCTGCAAGGTAATTAATCACTAATCACCCACCAAGCAGCAGGCTGAGGGACAATCCCTGAGTCATTTATTGTCTTTCCCCAAATAAATGGCACACGCAGCCAGGAAGAAACACATCTTGCCTTTCATAATATTTTTATCGACACTTTTGCATGTTGTAATAGACTGCAGCAACAAGCAGCTGCAGTTCAATGGAATATGAATATTAAAGAAACAAATGAGCAGAGATTTATAGGACATTGCGTTTCTGTAATGTCAGTGTTGAGATTAAACCAAGCAAATGAACAGTGAAAAATTACTCTTCCATGTGGAGCATGGTGATTAGACTTGTACATTAATTAGAAATTTTTGTTTTCCTATTCAATGCATTTCAAATGAGAATGTCCTAGAAGAAACTGTTTGTCCAAAATGTAGATTTATTCACTTCTAAACAGCAGTATTTAATATCAACATGCATTTCATACTGAAACAAGGGTCAATCCCAAATGTGTGTTTCAGGGATAAATGTATGTGTATATGAGAACTGGAGATTCGACAAATTAAGTGGCCGTTTTGGTCTTTCTATCAGTGACCGAAAGGATGGAAGCTTTCTCCCCCACCCACCACCCACCCACCTTTTTTTTTTTTCTGCGAAACTCTGAAATTACTGGATTTTTTTAAAAAAAGAAAAACCTTTCCATTTTTGTTTGGAGCTAGAACTTAATAAGTGCCATCATGTTAAAATTTTAATTTAAGGCCATTTAAAGAGAGTGACCTAGTTGTCTGTAAAATCCTATGTTATAAACCAATTTGATGTACTTTTGAGATTCGTTCTGAAAAAGGAGAAAACATATTTTGCCATTTGGAAAAAATCAGGTTTTTTGATTCTTCATTGTGATGTTCATTGCACGATGCCCTGCCTCGGAAATTGCTGCTCTATGAGCTATGGCTGGTGGTTTATTTCGCCTCAGTATGTTACCTATTATGCCACTTCTTAATTTATGGTCCAGCACATGGAATGGGAGTTCCCCCAAGGGGAATCCTGCAAAACCATCAACCCGCTGTTGAAAGCACATCTGCACCCCCAGAATTGTGTAAGTGAATATTTCCTACCATAAATTACCCACAGAACAATTTCACCCCAAATTTGCATGAATCTCTCTCCATCTTAAAACCTTCCAAGGCTGGGGAAATGTGTCATTATGGAGCAAAGGGAGAGGAGGAGCAGGACAAAGAGAGCCCCCCTCATCCATTCGGATGCCCACCTTTTCCAGGGCATCTGGCAGTCTCATGCAAATTCAAACCAGTGCACAAATGCAAAGAATAATTGCCCATTAAAGCGGTTGTATATTTTTATGGCTTTGGTGCAGAATCCGCCCCCCTGTCGGGTTTTGCATCTGCTACTCTTCCATCTCCCCCAGAGCTCTAAAACTTTAATATGCAGTTTATAACCCTCAAGTATTTTCCACTGGTTTTGTGTTTTTTCTCTTGGGATTTCCTGGCTGGTGAGATGATCTCATTTGTGTTTATTTTCGAAGGTAAGCACCATGTTCGTAAAAGAGGGAGAGAAGACACACTCATCACTGTAAATACATTGAGTGCAGGGCTCATTGGAGGTGGGAGGTGGGGGCTTTGTTTTTGAGGGGGAGACAGGCAGTTAGCAGTTGACACTTTAGTAAATGGCCCATTTGGCTGGTGGATACACCCACACATCTTCCGTTCTAAAATGTTGATTTGCCGTGATACTTGAGCACCACCACAGCGTGCCTCTTGTTACATCCCTAAAGCTTCCATTTCATCGAGTTCCATGGGACAGAACTTCTTATTCCCAAGAACTGAGATGGTTACTCTACTAACCTCCCCCAGAATATGCTCTGTATATAAATCTAGCTGAAGGGTGAGAGTGGGTGGGCTGGAAATTCTCATGTGTCAACAAGATGCTCAATTGGTATTTTCTCTGAAAGCTCTTGCCTGTTTTGAGAGAAATTCATTTTTAGCTTATGAGCTGAATCCAATTTGTGTTGTAGTGATACCAGATTTTTCTCTTTGATTCATGCTGGATAAGGCTTCAGAAGGAATCTCTTCAGTATAATGAACCTATGGGTTTTCTTGTTTCCCTCATGCCAAAAACTAAGGATTTATACTATATCCACAAATCAACCTGCGTCCTTTCCATTGTTCCTTATTGATGGTCTGCTTACATGTGAGTTAACTTGAAATTGAACTAGGAAAAAAAAAAAAAAAGCAAACTTGCAGTGCTGGGGTTTAGAAATGACCATTGTTTGGTGTCTTTTTCCCCTAACATTGTTTTTTAATTAACAAAGAGGCATTTACAAATACTGGATAGGGTGATGTTTGACTTTTAACATTGATTTAAATATTTTATTTCATATTCTAGAAATGGAGAGAACATTGTGAGTTTCCACTGGGCATTTTGCATTGGCTTTATTAAATAGTCATTCATTGCCCACTTACTGGATCTAGACTTCTAAGCCAGGGTATTTGGCATGTCTGGATCCAGACATCTAAACTAGGATAGATGACATAACTCTCACTCAACAAAATATAAGTGCCATACCTCAAAGTAAACATGTAAGAGGTTCTCTTTCTATGTGGTCAAAAAACAGTTTTAGTCTTGTTTAATTTGTGTCTGAATCATCTGTCCAGGTAATCATCTCAAATATACATTTTACCATGTTCCAGAATCCTACAGACCACCACACCTGTAGGCAAATAATAAAAGCATCCATTCTTCCACACTGTGCTGGGTTTTTTAAAGGAAGTGTGGCAAACAGTTGTGTGTGTGCATGTGTGTATTTTGCCCTTGAAATGGATTATTCGTGTTAGTGGCATGCGAAGAAGCCATGTTGTCCCTAAACCAACAATTGAGGAAAAAATTATTTATTTATTTATTTTTTTTGAGACTGAGTCTTGGTCTGTCACCCAGGCTGGAGTGCATTGGCGCGATTTCTGCTCACTGCAACCTCCTCTACCTCTCCTGGGTTCAAGCGATTCTCCTGCCTCAGCCTCCCAAGTAGCTGGGACTACAGATGCATACCACCACACCCAGCTAATTTTTGTATTTTTAGTAGAGACGGGGTTACATCATGTTTCCCAGGATGATCTTGATCTCTTGACCTTGTGATCTGCCCACCTTGGCCTCCCAAAGTGTTGGGATTACAGGTGTGAGACACTGTGCCTGACCAGGAAAATTCTTCTAATAAAGATGGGAAGAAACACAGAAGGCACAGTCATAAGTCAGAAGAGTTTGGAATTATCAAGATTGTTATTTTCTATTGTTCCTGGTTGCACATAATTATTTTATTCAGGGACTGTTGTTGCTGGGTTGTCAGAGAGCATGGTCTGGGGCTATATGGAAGGGTGAGATGTGATGAAGACCCTTTAATAGGTGTTACCTGTCTGGGGCCAAAACTGGAGTCCCGCTTTTCCCCTGAACAAGAAACAATTTTAAATCCTGATAGTGTGCTGCCATCGAGGAGAATTTAAATGAATTGAGGGCTCTGACAATTCCAAGTGCAACAAACTTGGTCCAAGCAGCCTCCCCTTGCTTGATTGAAATCATACTCTTTCAAAATCTGGTTACTTTTTCCGAGACAGTGAAAAACGTACAAGGGTAGAAGTGGAAATTATCTTTCTAGGGATTGTGACTAAGTTTCAGTTGTGTTACAGGAAAAGGGTTCCTATCCAGACCCTAAGAGAGGATTCTTGGATCTTGTGCAAAAAAAGAATTCGGGGCCAGTCCACAGTGCAAAGCAAAAGGAAGCTTATAAAGAAAGTAAAATGGGGAAAGTACAGCTACTCCATAGACAGTAGGATGTTCCCAAAAGTAAGAGGAGGAGCATGTCCACCCCTTGGTATAATACTTGTTTATATAGGATAAAAAAAAATAAGATCATGGGGAAATGTGCTCTGCTACAAGGGTTTGTGATAAAGGATTAATTTTCTTAATTACTATATTTTGCAAGAATCAATATTATCTTTAAAGCAAATTTAGGAATGCTTCTGTTCACAAGATATTGGGATATCAGGACACTCCTAAAGTCTGGGTCTGTTTAGTAAACATAATCAATCTGTTTCCTTAACCACAAACATCTAGAGGCCAGGAATACCTAACTTTCTGGAAATGTAGTCCAGCATGTCTTGGCCTCATTTTTCCTAGCCTTCACTTACGATGGAGTCGCTGTGGTTCGAACACCTCTAATGGTTGTGTTGCTTGCATGCTGTTTATCTGCAAATTCTGAGCAGGTCACTTTGTACACAGGACAGTGTTATAGAAGGTGGACAGTGAAGAGGTGGTGGCTGTACTCTCCCAGAAGGAAGACAAACATTGGTTAACCACTGACAGGGTGTCCAGGCACAGTATTAGGTACCTGATACCTGCTTGGTACCAGTTACTCATCCTAACTGATGAGCAGAACGTGGAGATCACCACCCTTACGCAGCTTGCATGCACGCACCAGTAAGCGTCCTTCTCCTTCATTTCTGTGACTCAAGCTAATGATTTTTACATGAACCAGGGGAGGAACAGGGCAGCCCTCTTTAGAAAAAAAATTCCAAAGTGACTGAAAGGAAGGATTGTAATGAAGGCAGGAATTAATAAAGAAATGAAGGGAGAGGAGAGGAAGAAGAGGGAGAGGAAGAAGAGCGAGGGGAGAAAGGAAAAGGAGGAGGGAAGACAAAAGGAAGAAAGAGGGAGGGAAGGACAGGAGGGAGGGAAGACAAAAGGAAGGAAGAAAAAGGGAGGGGAGAAGGAATAAAAAAGGAGCAAGTATAAGAAGGAAGGAAGGAATGTAAGAAAGAAAGGAATGTGATCGATGAGCATTTTTCTAACTAGAGATTTCACGAAAGGGCCCCTTGGCCAGCCCTAGATTAACAAGAAAGAGACCACTGAAAATACCAACCACCCAGGACACTTGAATCCTCCAGCCCTTTCTCCATGAAGCCTCTGGCCCAAAGCATGACCTGTGGAACTCTCTTTTTTTTTTTTTTTTGGCCAAGGGTACCTAGCCTTCCAGGAAGGCACTATTTAAGCCAGGAATTGATTTTCAGTCCTTCCTGTGTTCTTTTCACAAAATAAGAAGTCCCCCAATGTGCCCTGCTTGGGAGAGCCCAAAGAACCTCCTAGGAAGCCTTGTAAATATCCTGCCTCAGGAAATCCATTTTCTCCCTGTAATGAAGAGGGTACAAAATGGAATCCTGGCTCCACGCTCTTAACAGCACGTGCTCCCCTCTCTCTCTCTTGCCAAGCTTCTGTTTCATGTTATATCTCAACATCTAAATCCTCCAAGAATTATTGTAAAAGCTGCTTGTGGCTGAGAGGGAGCTTGTCTGGCTCACTCGGCTCCATAGCCAGTGACAATGAATGGGTCAGCATAATTACCGTGTTTCCTCACACAGGCAGCCAGCTGCTCTGCCAGATTGTGAATTTTTCATTTTCTTTATTTCAAAATCCAGGGTGTTCCTCTGAAAACTTAATAGTTGAACTGTGGCAAGACAGATTTGGAGTCAAGGCCATTCCCACTCATTTTCTCCCCAGTCCTGAAGCAAGCGTCTCATCTCTCATTACTTATGGGCTTTTATGATATTAGGATTTACTCGTGTTCCCCATTAAGACCCCACACGTCTCTGCGGTTTCAAGCATACCAGTTGCCACGTGATCCAAGAAACTCAGGTGCTAGGAGCTGGCAAAAAAAGTTAAATAAAATGGCATGATCTATCTTTAGCAAGAATAAAAAAAGTTAAAAATAACCTTTATGGTCTTCTCAGATACAAATAGAAAGACGGAATCATTCTGGGTTCTACAATCCTCGTATTTTACCCGCATTGTGATAGAAAGATGCGGTAGAATCCATAGAACAGGACGGCTGTGGGACCTTTAAGAACACACAGAATTCCAGATAATAGCCATTTGGTCTTCACTTTGGTCGGGTTCGGGGGTTTTATTTGGGCCCTTAAAATTGCAAGAGTAATTTGGAATGGCTGCTGTGGCAAACCCCACCCGCTCCCTTCACCCACCATGTAAGTACAAACATACCCTATCTATGGGTGTAGGTGTAATTCTTGGAGTTCTAAGTGCACTACATGGTCACCCCGTCCAACCTCCTTGGTCGCAGCCAGGGCCTCCAGTGAGGCTTCTCATGCACATTTTTTCCTTCCAATTCTTTTGCCTTTTGCTCCTTCTGCAACCCTCACCTGGGTCCATGCATCAGTGTATGTGGAAAGGACTCTGAATAATGGGGAGACATAAGGTGGAACGCTTCTACTCCTGAAGCTGATAGCGGGAAGGGAAGAAGCTCTTCTTGGCAGTTTGGATAGAGGGTGGAGACAACTTTAACATGAAATGAACTACAACCCCTGCCCCTTGAGAGGTTTGCTCTTCTGCAGAAAGCCTGGAAAAGGAGTTGGTTGTGCTGGGTTAACTAAGAGCATTTCCTTCATGGTGGGCCTTTTGAGCCTTTGCTGTGGCTCTCCTGGGACAGGGACTTACCAAATGCATTTTTTCAGAAAAGCATTCTCTGTGGACACAGTTTGGGAAACAATACCTGCTGCTTAGTGAGATGGGACAAGCGTAGTGAGTATGGTGAGAGCACTGGGAGGGTTAGAGAAGCGAACTGAGCTTGAAGGAAAAGTGGTTTGCTGACTCTGTGGGCCCTGATGAGTTAGGATTTGCATGAGAAGGGAGGAAGGGCATCCCAGGTAGAGGAAACAGTGTTGGTTATCAGGGGACAGGGGTAACCGGGGTAACCATCAGGCATCCTCTGCGGACACAGTTTGGGAAACATTGCCTGCTACTTAGTGAGATGGGACAAGTGTGGTCATTATGCTCAGAGCACTGGGAGAGTCAGAGAAGCCAACTGAACTTAAAGGCAAAAGTGGTTTCCTGGCCCCATGGGCCCTGATGAGTTAGTTAGGATTTGCATGAAATGGGAGGAAGGGAATCCCAGATAGAGGAAACAGCAGTAGTTATCAGGGGGCTGGGGTAATCATCAGGCTTAATTCCCCTTCCTAACTCCTCCTCACCTCCTCATCTTGCTCAGAGAATTTTACCCAAGGGAAGATATCCCCGCCCACATTCTTCTTCTTATTTGAGAAAAAGTCTTGCTGTGTCACTCAGGCTGGAATGCAGTGGTGCCATCTCGACTCACTGCAACCTCCACCTCCCAGGTTCAAGCAATTCTCCTGCCTCAGCCTCCCAAGTAGCGGGAATTATAGGCATGCGCCACCACGCCTGACCAATTTTTGTATTTTTAGTAGAGATGGGGTTTCACCGTATTGGCCAGGCTGGTCTCGAACTCCTGACCTCATGATCCACCTGCCTCAGCCTCCCAAAGTGCTGGGATTACAGGCATGAGCCACCGCGCCCAGCCCCCACATTCTCTTTTTAAGGGTCGGGGTCCCAGACTTATCGCGTATTTGTAATCATGCTGGTTGCCTTTGCCTTTAAATGCTGCACAGGAGTTCAGCAGACTTATCAGATGTTGGTAATAAGCTGTTTCTCATGGCATGTGTGGTTTGTGCACTCATACCACATACATGTGTCAGTGGGAATACTTCAATTAGAAGTTTTAAGAAGTGATATCTGTACATGAAGGAAACTGGAAAAATAGGATGGGGGAAAGTTATGAATAAAAACCACTCATGCAGTTCGGCCCCAGAGATTGCTAGCATGTGGAAAGTTGTGTGTATGTGTATACAAATATGTTCATATCAGCATATGTACATATATGTATATATACATGCACACATTCATACACATGTACACATGCATATACACATATGTGTATTTTGCATGCAAATACACCTGTACATATATACATAGGTATATGATTGATAAGACATGACACATCTTGCAATCTGCCCTTTTAAAAATATGTTTGTGGGTTGGGCGTGGTTGGTCCATAACTGTAATCTCAGCACTTTGGGAGGTGGAGACAGGAGGACTGCTTGAACCCAGGACTTCAAGACCAGCCGGGGCAACAAAGGGAGATCCCCATCTCTACAAAACATGAAAAAATTAGCCAGGTGTGGTAGCACACTTCTATCTATGGTCCCAGCTACTTGGGAGGCTGAGGTAGGAGGATCACTTGAGCCCTGGAAGTCGAGGGTGCAGTGAGCCGTGATTGCACCACTGCACTCCAGCCTGGGTGACAGAGCCAGTCCCTGTCTCAAATAAACTCATTAATTAAATACTCATGCAGTGAGCTTTTCTCCCGTTATATAGAATTATTTGCAAATGTTTGTCAGTCACCACATTCTCCTGGGCAAAGGGCCCACTGTGTTAACTACTCATCCTCTCTGGAGTCCCACCCTGGCCACCGTGCTGCTCTCTGCTTTTTAACCTCTTGATTCCGGGAAGCGGGCGGGGGTCCTGCTGGGACCCTGTGCAGGGACAAGGGTTCCCGGGGCAGTTCCCTCCACAGCAGGGTGTGCATCTGACAGCCTGTGCTCTCTCTCTCTCTCTCCTCTTGCCCCGCAGTGCCAGGCTTCCCGTATCCAGCAGCCACCGCCGCGGCCGCCTACCGAGGGGCGCACCTGCGAGGCCGCGGTCGCACCGTGTACAACACCTTCAGGGCCGCGGCGCCCCCGCCCCCGATCCCGGCCTACGGCGGGTAAGTGGGGCAGCCTCCTGGGTGGGCCTCCCTGCACCAGCCCTCCCTCCCCAGAGGCACGGAGCTGTTTGCGAGCGCATGATGGTCTTGACTCCCCCTCCGCCACCCCCAGAACCGCCCCCAGCATGCAGCCCGGCCGCGCACCTGCAGTGGAGCACCTTGCTAAGAGTATTGAAAAATGAGTGTAATTTGTCCTGTCATGGTTGGTGCCTTTAAGCATTCTACATGTCACATGTTGTTATGTAAATTCTCTTTGAGACTGAATGCTGGAGAACAGAGAAATGGTTACAGCCAAAGATGTATTTCTGATGATTGCAAACATCTGGTTATTAAGGAGGTTGGACCACATTTGCCCCTTGAATTCCTCCACAGAAAGAAGTGAGGTTTTCATACATAAAAATCACTGGGGTCGTCTTGCTCGCCTCCCCAGGGATATCTTGGCTTCAAGGGTCACGAACCTTTGCCTGCAAAGAGAAAATTAGGTGTTGAGTCACATGCAAACATACAAGAATTAATGAAATTGGAGTTAAGATGCGTTGCAGTTGCGTTTTCCAAAATGGCATTTGCCTTCCTTTCTCCTCTGTGGGAACAATGCAGATTAGTTTGTTTCCCATTGCCAATTTGGTCCTTCTCTGCACAGACTTTGATATTGCCAGGCGAATGTCAAGGAATGGTGTGAATGCTCAGTAAAAGAAAAAAAAAAATGATACTGGTGTGTTTGGTGGCAGTCTTGAAATGCTAGTCTGTCCCTCTTTTAAGGCTCCTGCTAGAATATTCTTGCACCTCTGCAGCCAGGGAGAAAGGGATACCTCCAAGGCAGTGGCCCTAGACCAGGGGACATTTGCAAGGTCTAGAGACATTTTTGGTTGTCACAACAGGAATGGAGAGATGCTATGTCCTCTATTGGGTAGAGTCTAGGGATGTTGTTTGACAGCCCCCAACAAGAAAGAATTATCAGACTCAAAGTCAGTCATGCTGCAGCTGAGAAACCCTGCTCTATGTTAAATTCAGCGATCCCCAGAAAGCCTGGCACTAGGCTTCCCTGGCCAGTGACTGGCTTTCTGGTGTGTAGAAGAAAATATGGCTGCATTTAAGACTGTGTGAAAAGGGTTAAATGCCCTTTTCATAGCTCTGTTGCTTGTAAATCTTTCAGAAAATCTACATTAGCCTAGATCATCTATTATACTCATGACAAAAAGAAACACTTTTTTTCATTACATATTCATTCTAAACCAGAGCATTTGAAATGTTTGTTTCAAAAATAAATGCAATAAAGTTAATGGTAAAAAGAAATGAGAGTAGGTAAAACCATCAGAGAAGGGAAAGTTAAGGAAAAGTAGTAAGACAAAGTCCATCAAATTTCTTGTGTAGTCATTTGAATTGGGTCAACTTTGAGCTTCTTGGACAAAACAAGAGCTCTCTCTATGCATACACATATTTTAACTGAAAAGACGGTGGATAGTAACAAACCAAGAATGAACTGGCTATAAATTCTCCCTAATGCCTGTCAAATGTATTTGTATGTCTTAAGCCTTTTATGTGACCATGCAATATAAGGAGTTGTCGATAGTATAATTTTTATCTCTGGTATCACAGCAATGAGCCCATTTTATGGATCCAGAAATGTAAAAATAAAGATTTGTTATTCCCAAGATCATGTAATGAGTTATGAAGGAAAAAGAAAATCCCAAGTTACCTTTGGGCTCATGTAATTACTAAAGCAAGATTTGTATGCTATAAATCCAAAATTGCACTTATACCACATTCGTTTGAAAATTGTTCTCAGTACATGGGAGTTGAAGGGTTTTAGTATATCTACCATCAGTATCTCACTACTATATTGAAGAGCAAAAGAAACAATAGAGGAAAATTATATGGTTTATCCTCACATGACCAATTTATAAACATCTCAGAATGACACACCTGCTGTAAAATCAAAATTAAATTAGCTAACTTATAATGAACATGCTCTTTGCTGGGAATAACCATGCATAACTAATTAATGCCATGTTTCACCAGGGAGAGACACAGGCATTTCCAAATGATGAAACAATGTGTTTGTAACTACTTGGGATGAAAATTAATTTTAATATTCCAGCAATATCTGTGATCAGTTTGGTTATAGTGGTGGATTGTACCTCCTTGCTGATAATAGTATGGCTGGCATTCTAAAGCCATACTTGGAAGCAAGATCAAATTCTCAGCAGAGAAGCAGGAGCCCCAGCAGGACTAAGATTGCAAGCATTCATGTCTGCAATAACCTATTAGAGCAAGGTACTGGTCAAAAAGAAGGAAATTCGTCTTGTTGCCTGGGTGTTTCACTGGATTACAGACTCCTGGGAATGAATTGGCACGGAATGAAAAACTTTGAGGCCACCATCTTAGAGGTTTCCTTTTCCTCTGGAATAAACAGATTAGGTTGCAGGAGATGGCAAGGGGATGGCTCCTCTTGGAAAGGAAGAGAGCAGAGTGGGACCCAGGGCAGGAGCTGGCTGGAAGAGCAAGAACCCCTATCTTGTGTTCAGGGAGAGCAAGAACCCCTATGTTGTGTTCAGGGAAAGCAAGTAGCATAGAGGTTAGAAATACTTGTTTTCAGAAAGTAACATCATCAGGATTCAGGTGGTCCAGAGAGCAGATTTCCTGTAGCCTTTTATCTCTAAATTCCTTTGGAGGAAAACTAAGATTTGACTGACGTCTTTACCCCAGCCCAGTGCAGCTCACCCTATGACTCACACCTATTGTGTTTTAGGCACTGTTGTGTGCTGAAGAGACAAATGGCACCTTGAGAGGTATTTCTTCTGGTTGGGGCAGGGGGTGACATACAAGCCAACAATTTCAATAAATGTGATAAGTGATACAAGAGGATATTGTGTGAACACTAGGGAAAGGTCCTTAGCCCAGCTTGGGTGTTTACAGAAGGCATCCCAGAAGAGAAGAAATATGGGGTATATATAAGTCCAAACATTTCCTAAATTGCCACAGTGAAATCTTATCCTGTGACCCCTCCTCCACCCACACCCCCAGCAATCTCCATCTTTTCTAAGATGTCACCTAACAAACTACATTTAAGAATTTGTTTCCACTGTCACCAATTGAAGGCATATCTGCCAACCTAAATCTGTTCTTCCTGAAGTATCCAATATGAATCTATATTGTTACTAAAATACCAGTCAAAAAGGTGTCCTAGGTCCATGCATGGCTTCCACATTTTCTTCCTCCTGGGAGATTGAAGAAAATATCCTTTAGGATCTCCATGGCTACCTTTATGGAAGCTTGGGTAACCCTTGGAGATATCCAACATAAAGATAGTCACACCAGTAGAGTCCCTAAGGATGCCCTACATTCATCCATTTCCTTTTAAAAAAAATTTTTTTTGAGACGGAGTCTTACTCTGTCACCCAGGCTTGAGTGCAATGGCACGATCTCGACTCACTGCAACCTCCACCTCCTGGGTTCAAGTGATTCTCCCACCTCAGCCTCCTAAGTAGCTGGGATTACAGGTGCCCGCCACCACACCTGGCTAATTTTTGCATTTTTAATAGAGATGGGGTTTCACCATTTTGGCCAGGCTGGTCTTGAACTCCTGACCTCAGGTGATCCGCCCATCTGGGCCTCCCAAAGTGCTGGGATTATAGGCGTGGGCCACTGCGCACAGACATTCATCAATTTCCTTTTATTGATTTGCCTTTTCCTTCCATGTCTTGATATTTTCTGAAGCCCTTCCATGCAGCTGAAGAACATCGGTTATGAAGAGGCCCTTTTTTGTCTCACATGCCTAAATAGAAACCTCTTGGGACATTAACACATGATCATTCCTCCAGGGGTAGGGAAAGTTGTGGACCATGGTGGGATCATAGGTACAAGTGGAAAACCCTGTACCAAACCAACCAACTCCCAATTGATTGCCAACATCAATTGAATGAGACTGAAGAGTTAGAAAGTAATGTCTACATAGCCTATGGAATTTTATAGTCCTAGGAAGACACTGGATTTAAGGTAAATAAGACTGGGCCCCAATATTCTACCCATACTGGCTTGGATAGCTTACTTAACGTCTATAGACACAGTTTGCTTAAGCGAGAGTGGGGGATATATCTGCCCCCATAGAGTCGATAGAGGGTGAAGCAGGGAAATCCATGTAAGGTGACAACTTGGTCCATCTTATGACATGCATTCAGTGAACTGTACCTACTGTTCTCCAGGTTGATGAACTTAGCGACTTTATTAACCACCCACAGTCTTCTTTCTCAACATCCCCCTTTTGCTTGTGGTTGAGTACAAAAGAAGATCCCATGTCTCTCCCTCTATGCATTATTTATCTTTGCTAGGGGGCACTTGCAGTTTCACAGACCTCCATTTCCTTCAAGCCACAGAAATGGTTGAGGCACTTGCATTGCTTATGGAATATGTAGATTGAAAATACAATATTGAGTAGGGAACAGTCACAGAGCAGAGTAGAGTTTTCCTTATTTCTCCTTGCATTTGATCCTGGACTCAATTTGACTGAGAAGCCACAATGCCCAGTCTAGCTTCCTATGACTCACATTTGGGAGGAATTACCCATCAGGTAATTGCTGTTCAGGGAGCTCACAAGCTGATTATCTGTGCATCAAGACAGCAAGTGGAGGCTTTGGAGACAAACCCTGTAGACTTAGTATCTTTGATGTTAGAAAACAGCAGCTAAATCCCAATCCCCTCCCTCAAAGAGGAACTCGATGAGTACCTATTAGGTACCGTGCATATTTCATGTGAGTACAATGGGGTGCTCTAATGGAGCATCACATGAGTTATTTTTGAGATGGAGTCTTGCTCTGTCACCCAGGCTGAAATGCAGTGGTACAATCTCTGCTCACTGCAACCTCCTCCTCCTGGGTTCAAGCAATTCTCCTGTCTTCAGCTTCCCAGGTAGCTGGGATTATAGGCACATGCCACCACACCCAGCTAATTTTGTATTTTTAGTAGAGACAGGGTTTCACCATATTGGCCAGGCTGCTCTCAAACTCCTGACCTCAAGTGATCTGCCCACCTCAGCCTCCCAAAGTGCTGGGATTACAGGCATGTGCCACCGCCCCCTGGCCATGTTTTTATTATTATTCTAAGCCTAAGCATCTAGTGTCAGCTGTAGGCTTTTGGTCTTGTTCTCTAGGTATCTCTGAGTAAGATTTTCTGCCCTTTCTCAGGTAATTGTCATACATCTGTGTAAACTTCCCAGAGTTACCTTGAGAAGTATTTGAGAAGACTCTATATTATTTGGGGTATAGGAAAGATAGAGCAGTATCCCAGGAGAAAACTTAAAGCTGGTCAGTGGAAGAACAAATAGATCCTTTGGAAATGTTTTCACGTTAAGTCCTAAAAAAGTCTCCAACAACAGTCTCTGGGACTATGGGCATATCTTTCTGTGTACAGATCAGCCATGCTTTCTGGTTTTATCTTCTAAATATCTAAATCCGCAACCTGTAGTATCTGATGCTTAGGAACTGTATTTAGTATAAATACTAGGAACAAAAGTCATCATTACCCATTCTCAGAATACTTTAGACACAGGGGCGTCCAATCTTTTGGTTTCCCTGGGACACACTGAAAGAATTGACTTGGACCACACATAAAGTACACATACACTAACTACAGCTGATGAGCAAAAAAAGAAAAAAGAAAAAAAAGAATCTCATAATGTTTTAAGAAAGTTAATGGATTTGTGTTGGGGCTGCATTCAAAGTTGTCCTGGGCCACATGCAGCATATGGGCTGCGGTTTGGACAAGCTGCCTTTGCAGAATTCTTTTTATAAAGTGTGACTTCTTATTTGCTAGTTTTAAAATGTAATCCAAACAGCCTCTGAATAGCATGAACTTATAGACAAACATGATGAATAAGTGGTCTTTAAAGCCTTTTTTTGGAGGGGAGAATGTGAAAAGACATTTTCACAGATGCCTTTAATAATCTGATTAAAAATTCTCTAGGAAAATACGTACAAACAGCACACACACACACCCAAATTCTATACACATGCCAGCTAGTTTCTGATCCCCCCAATATCCATTAAAAAATAGCGGTATTTGAACACCTTAAAAAGTTTATTTTCTAGTTGGAAGGGGCCTCAGGGTAGAACAATTGTAAACAGCCTTTTCTATAAGAATATACTTGTGGCTGGTATATATCATATTACACGAGCAGATTGTATAGTTTGGGCATTTTATACTTTTTTTTTAAAGTAAACTAATTTTCTGTAGTGCAGTCACTCCCTGCTCGCATTCATTCAAATATTTAACTACTGGTATTACTTTTCTAAGAAAATAAGATGTGCATTTGCATTATGTCCTTGCAAAAGCACATTGAGTCCCGATGTGATTGACAAACAATACAAGTACCTTTGCATGGCTAGACGGACCATCTCTGCATTGAAATATGACTGCGCCTGTTTAGTGCGCAATGGTAACTCCCTTCTCTCCTAACTGTTCCGTGGTTAATTTATCTATAGCTGCACCGCAGACATGGATCCCTGTGCCTCTTTCCCTGCATATCTTATATTTTAAGTGCAGCTGTTTGATGAGGCTTTACAAATTATTTGGATACATTTTTGGAAACTAGCATGAGGCTTTGTGATGAGAACTTTCCCGTAACCAGCTCCTCCATTAGAATATAACCTAGGAGGCTGACCTTCAGTTTTGTCTCAAATGTAAAGTAAAATAACACTTGGAGGATGGTGTTGCATAGAGCTATGATTCTCATATTCCTGGGACCAATAGCATCCGCATCATCTGTTAACTTGTTAGAAATGTAAGCTCTTAGATGCTGTCATCCGGATCTATTCAATCAGAACCTGTTGGCTGGGCATGGGGCCCAGCCATCTGTGTTTCAAAAGTCCTCCAGGTGATTCTGCTACACATTCAAGTTTGACCACCACTGCCTGCCATAGTACTTAAGAGTTTGCACTGTGGAGCCGGACCCCCTGGGCTCAAATCCCAGTTCAGACAATACCCAACTCTCTTTCAGTTTCTACATGTCTAAAGAGGCAATGATCATATTGTCCATCTCATGGGGGTATTCTAAGGACTGAGTGGGATCATGAGCACAGAAAGGCTAGACTAGGGACTGATCCATGGTAAGTGTTCTGCAAATGTGAGTAGTGGGAGTAATGGTGCTCGTGCTGTTACTATTAGGGAGAAAAACAATGTTTTGGTAAAATTGGCTTCCCATTACATGGCTTTATTTCACACTGCCGGTGAGGATGGCTACATTGCTTCCACATTTTTTAGAGTTATCCTAAAGATAGATCACTCGTCCTTTCCATTTCTCTCCAATACATGTGCACTTTGAAAACAAGTAATCCCTTCATGATGGGGTTTATAATGGCAGCTACAATCATCTTTTTGCTGTGAAGCCACCATATTTAGACCCTAATGCTTATACGTTTCCCCCCAGCCCTCCAAGAAGCCAGAGCGTGGGTCTTCCAGCCATAGGTCTTGCCTTGCAGTACCCTCACCCCACCACCCTTTGCCTTGACAGCACTTCACTCCTCTCTACCGAGCCAAGGCTTTGAGGTTTCTGTGCCATTTGCTTAGCCTCTCTCGTCTCTGCTGCTGGCCCTGCCTCCTTCCGTTCCACATTCAGGGCACCTCTGTTGCTGTCTCCTGCAGTATCTATCTCAGCTGTGATTCTACAGTTTTATGCATAATTTGTGACTGTGTGTCCCACTTCCTGTACACTCTGGGAGGGCAGGGTTACTGAGGGGGCTTTCTTCTTCGGTCTTCATGCCTTCGCATAGTAGTTGGGGTACAGGAAAGCTTTCAGTCACAGAGAAATAGTATGTATTTGGCTTGTTTGAGCTTTTCACAATGAGAAAGCTACACTAGTTCTTCTTTGGTTCAGTGTTTCATCAATGTAGGATGTCAGCAACACCCAAGTAACTTTCCATAGCCCACAGTGGAGGACAAAGCATGGCAATCAGGTTACCCTACTGAGCAGAGACTCCTAAGAGCAAACATCCCGGCATGTTCTTTCCTCACCTCTGGGCAATGTTGGTACAAATAGGCTTGACATGGAGGCACAAAACTGGCCATGGTGCATAACAACTTGTCTTAATGAAAGAAGGGATCAGTTTCTTGGCCAGAGCTCAGCCTCAGCCATATCAAAGAACCCCAACTCTTGGCCCACACCCATGCCATGTGCCCCGTTGGAACAGCCTCCAAGGCCTGGGATCAATTCTTCTCTCCGTCATTTACAGAAGATCAGAGACAGATGAGGTTCCACCATTGAGATCTTTAGAAGTCATTATTTCCCATATTTAAAAGTATGTTTCATATCTCATGAAAAATACATTGTTTACTTCTAGACTGCTGTCTAGTCTCTTGCCCTGGTCTCCTAATTCAGGTTCGAGTCTGTTAATCGTATTTCTCCTCCATTGACAACAGCCACTGATACTGAATAGCCAAATCAGAGACAAACCTCAGACTCCTCCCGACCCATTATTGAATTCTACCTGGAGTTGGTAAAGCAATGACTCAATCTCCTTCTGACGCCTTCTCATGCCCACCCTTCCCTCTAAAATATGAACCCTATTCACCCAGTTATTGTCCATCTTCTAGGTAACAAGCAGTGTGTCAGGAACTGAGAATAGAATGTTAGTTAAGCCACAGGGTGTAGCTTTTAAGGTGCAACGAGTCACATGCACACAGACCTTTAATGTGAGGCAGAAATTGACGAGTGGCTCTGATAAGAGTCTGAAAAATGATGCTGGTGTTCATAATGGGAAAAGTCACCCAGCTGCAGGTGGGCACCGGGTCTCAAACATGGTGACCTCGTTAGAGCTACAGTGTTAAGCATGATGCCACCCATCCCTTTGCAAGCATTATCTTACGAAACCCTTTCTTGAGGTAGGCACTTACCTATTTTCCCTTTTTAACAGATGAGTAAGTGAGGTTCAGATGTCTCAAGTAATATGTGCAAAGGCACTGCACTGTTGATTGAGGATGCTGCAGTCTGATTCAAATGCCCATGTGCTTCCCATCTAACTTGGCTCTTGAATGGTCATGTCACTGCTTTTGGATGAGGATACTAGAATAAAGGGCATTGCCAGCACAAGGCATTGCACGTGCAAGGGCATGGCAGCATGAAAGAATGGGATGGAGCGGTTTTGATATGGCTAAGTGATCAGTCCTGTGGTTTGGGACCCAAACTAAATATCTGTTGCTCCCTCTCTTTCATCAGACCTTGGCAGAGGGTGGCTCTGCCTTCTGACCCCCCAACCGACATTCTCTATGTTGGAAAAGTTGAAAAAGAATTCAAAGCATAGCTCAGGACGATGCACACCTCAGCATCTTGGATTAGGGCTTTATGCCACTTCACAAGCGCTCTTGTGAACTGTAGCCCTCCCGGATCAAATATGAACAACAGCTGAAAGCTATTCCTACCAACCTCCTTAGTGTGTGAAATCCCTGCCACATTTTTAAGGACAATGGTACTTGGAGTTTAGTCAATCAACTCTGAAATACTCTAAGCAGCACACTAGAGTGTTCTCCAGCAAACCAGTGTCACAGCTGCGTGTGTGTGTCAGTACAGCGTGTGTGTGTGTGTGTGTGTGTGTGTGTTGTAAAATGCCTTCCCTTGGCTCAATATGCTTTGCTTACATGTGGGTTCATTCTGCTACAGAAACCTGCTGGAATCCTTTGGTATTAAAGTTGTGTTTCTATTAGAACCTCAGCTTCATTCAATGGTGGGGCTCATTGGTCCTTTGCCAGAATCATAAGTCATCTAGAAACATCATGGGAAGGTATCGGGGAAGATTGTAAATAACTATGATCCTTTTAAAAATAGGCATTTAGAAACAGCTTCATATGCAAGATGCCTTGTGATCCTTACAAAAACCTGTGAAGGCTACATATGATTCTCGTTAAACTCGTTTTCATGCTTAGGAAATACAAATCAGTTTCTCACGACCACGTAGCTAAGAGCTTCTTTTCCTGGTTGTTTTACTCAAAGCATACCAAAAAGCTTCTGGGGAATCATTCCCTAACCCCTGTCCCCAGCCCTCTGAAGTCTCTTCTTTCTGGGATGGTCACTACATGGGTGGCAATCAGAGAGCTGCTATCAGATTGGGCTTGTTCAATCAAGGTGTGGGTCTTTGTTTAGTCTAGATATAATTTACGTGAACATGCAGATATTCACATGTATACACCCTTGTACATATAAGTACACAAATACATATAAATAAGTATACACATGCATATATACATGTTTACATACGTGTATACACTATAGACAAATACATGCATTCCTGCACTTGTCCATATTAACACACACAAATATGCACACAATGCACTTGTACACATGAAGACATGTCTGCACAGAAAACACATTCTTGCACATGTACCCATGCTCACCCACATACTATTAGAGATATTCTCCATTAACCATAAAATAATGCACGTGCAATTACCAAATATAATACAATGTGAAAGAATATAGAAGAAAATTTTTGAAACCATATGTGTTGTCCACCTCACCTAAGGCCATTCAGCTCTAGCCCATACTGAGAATGCTGCAATCTGTGTGTCGACCTTTACAATCCGATTTTTAAATAGATGTTTTGGGTTTTTATTCTGTGGGGTAGGGGGCTATGTGGTTTGATTGCCAACTCTGACCTGTTAAGATGCTCATGTCTGTCTGGGCCACTTAAATCTCAGTCCTCTTTGCATTTCAAAGTCGTGCCTTTCTGTACCCACTCCTGAGAGAGTGGGAAGTTTGGGACCTAGCACACCGCCACCACCACATCCTAATTCTGGGCCAACACCAAAGCCCGGCCTAATTTTCTCGGTTTGCTCAACTGCCGTTGTCTCCAACCTCCTTAATCCAATGTGAAAACGATCCTCGGTTCCTGTGTTTTGGATCTTGTGACCAGACTAACCTCGCCAGTGCAGGGGTTGGTGTGTCTGCATGGGAAATGCACTAATATGGATGTTTCTCTTTGTGTGTGCACCCTTGCAGTGTTGTTTACCAGGATGGATTTTATGGTGCAGACATTTATGTAAGTATTCATTCACGTGCATGCCATCCCCGTTTCCTCCTGGAGTCATTCTTTTTACAAGTTTGCTGTGAATTTCTCTACTTGGCGTAGTTGAGTTTCTCTCCTTGGTCTGTAGGAAATAATTCCGTGGTTTGTCTTGCAGGACAGAAAGCCTTCTGCTCTTGAACTTGTGGCAGACATCACTGGCTGTTTAGTGGGGTGGAATTAACCCCTCGATCAACTTCAGAACGAATGCAATTCCCCCAAAAAGGTGGCATTTCTTTCATGCCAACTAAAGACCCCACTTCACCCACAAAGAAATTGTCTCTCAAGTTCTCGATATGTTCTTCGTTTTCAGTATAATATTTAGGATAACAGCTGTAGTCACCAGCTGCAGAGGGTTAAAAGATATTTTCATGGCTGCTATTTTTGATGTTTTCCCTAAAATATCACAGTAGCCTTAGGAACACTCTTTCTCTCTCTAGACATGGACAAGTTTAGCCCTAAACATCTCCTGATTCTCTTAATATGTATGTCAAATTGAACATTGAGCCCCCATTTTCTTTAACCTTTTATTCCATTTCCCCCAATTACCTGACTTAAAATTGCTTGCTAAATAGTAACACTTTAAGTTTATTTTTAGAAAAGAGTAGGCTATTTCTCATTATGAGAACAAGAATTTAACTATGTTCATCTAGAGGTAGTTATTCTCCGACATTATGATATGAGCATTGACGATATGAAAATGACTTGGAGTAAACACAATTTTGAATAAGTAGGCAGTGTTGGGAGATATTCCCTAAATCACAATTTTTATTACAAAAGACCTCAGTCAATGGGATTATATTTGTTTTACAGACTAGATAGCAAAAAAATCATATTTCTGATGAAATTGGTATCATGTACTAGAAGATGAATAAGGCACTGATTATTGTATTCCTTTTGAATTTCAAATCATTACAATTTTGAGATATAGTATGTATCTCCATCAATAATAGACTTAGTTGAGTTCTACTATTGCATCAAGTATACTTACTATAATCTGTGGGTTAGTATTTTTTCCCCCGTAATAAAATGAGTGAACAACCCATATGTCCTAATTCACTCAGTGATCAATTTTCTTCTTTTTTGTGGAACTTAAGCTTTTCTGTCTCATGTCCTCTTTTTTCAGACTTTCAGATTTTAAATTATGAGGCAGGCTGGGGCTGAGCAGTCTGAAGCCCATTCATTTCCTCAGGCACCTGCTAAACCCAATCACCAGTCCTGGCTCTCGACTCCATGCAGCCCATGGGTAGATTATTGCAGATGGGAGGAGCCAGAATGGTAGTTGGCATCGCAGAATTTAGGGCTTTAGAAATGAAAGGGAATAGACAAGGGATAGAGAAATGGTTTTTTAAAAAATCCACCAAAATGGAAACTATCTCCAGCAACACCTACCCAAGAAAAAAAAAATGCAGATTTTCCTGAGTTTAGTTAAAAGTATTTCACAATCATTTAGTGAGTGTCCACCTCTTCACGCCTCAGTTTCTTCAAACTGACAATAATTTATTGAATCATTAATGTGTGGTGTCTTATGCAGATATCAAATTGGTGTCTTCTTGGCCTCAGATTCTTGAGTAGCAGGAAGGAGAGGCTGCCTGAAGGCAGGGTCTGTGGAGCTCCCACAAATAAGGAAAAAGAAGGGACTCATTTAAGTGAGTGCGAGTGTGTGTCTGTATCGATTGGGGCATATCGCTGCATCAGAGAATCCACAGAGCAATGCAAATAGAGAAAAAACAAAGTTAGAAGAAGGAAATATGCCAACCACTTGACTAGAGAGGAAAAAGAAAATTTATTCAGGGAAGAAAGCCACAGAAGTGTCCCTTTGTGCTTTTCTAGTTCCTTTAGGAGATTTTGTCTCTCACACATTCATCATGTTTGGGCCAAGCCCACTGGGTGCAGCGGTGCAGCTCGGGAAGCATCAGGGTGAGCTTCAAGGACAGAGTTTCTTCCAGTCCTAAGTTGTCTGATATGTTTGTTCATAAAACTGCCCTTTCTCTGACTTTTCAGGCCACGACCCCCAGCCAGAAATTATCGTTTTCCCCACTCTTTATATTATAATGACAATAAGATTTTTCAGTGGGGGAGCATCACATATGCAATCAGGTGGCAGAAAAAGTTCCTGCAATATGAATTTAGAGATTTGATTACCCAGCACATGTTTCTGTCCTGTCTCTAACAGTCTCTGGAATCTGGTAGACCTTCCTGAATATTTTGCTTTGTCTGATGATGACTTTAACATATTGCTGCTGGTGTGCATCCGTGTGTATACTGGACAGCAGGAAACTAGCCTGTGCCACTGCCCAGCTCAGCAGCAGAACAAGAGGTCTTTGATGACCATAAGTTTAAGAAATATAAATATGTTCTGCACCACAGAATATACAGAACAAGATTCATCCTAGCTAGAAATATATCATAATCTTGAATGTGCTTTTTAAAGCCACTACCCTACCTCCCTTGAGATACCAGCATGTTCTGATGAGTGGAAATATCCCCAAGCTTCGTTTTTAAAAGAGATGATGGTTAAACAGACTCTTAGAAAGTCATGTGAGCTTCTACTTTAAAGAAAGATTTTGGCTTACTCCTTCAAGCTCGTTAAAAGTAGTACACAATAAATAGGTTTAGGGCAATTGTCAGCGGCCCCGGGATATATGTTAGACACATCAGATACCTCGAATAGATTTAAACCTCTTTTTGTTATTATTATATTTTTTGAGACAGACTCACTGTGTCGCCCAGGCTGGAGTGCGGTGCAATGTCATCTGTCTGCAACCTCTGCCCCCTGGAAGCAATTCTCCTGCCTCAGCTTCCTGAGTAGCTGGGATTACAGGCGCCTACCACCACCCCTGGCTAATTTTTGTATTTTTAGTAAAGACAGGATTTCACCATGTTGGCCAGGGTGGTCTGGAACTCCTGACCTCAAGTGATCCATCCGCCTCGGTCTCCCAAAGTGCTACGATTACAGACGTGAGCCACTGCACCAAGCCATAAACCTCTTCTTTTTAAGTTTATTGGGTAGTCAGTTTCTAGCTTCGGTCACTGCTAAGGAAGACAAAGGAGGATACTGTCAGATTCTTCCTGCTCAAAATGTTCTCCATCCTGGCAGTATATCAGAGCAGGTCAACAACTCAACAGCTTGCATCTCAGAACTACTGGGCTTTTCTAGGTGCCCTGCTCTCTCCCCTCCCCCGTCCTTTGTTCTTCAAGGTCTTTCCATGCCTACCACCTGAGGTTGGAGCCCTCGGGCATTTTTTAGTTCTGCCAAAGCACATAGTCATTGAAAGACCTGCGTGATCCCTGTAACTGGCAAGCCACAACCTCTTCTCTCAAATGACCTCCTTCTGAAAGTTTTCAGAGGAAAGAGGATTGAACAGAGAGGGACAGATGATCACAGATATCTTGAAATTGCCAAAGGGAGTAGACTTGTTATGAAATGCTGTGAGCCAGACACGAAGGGAAAAAACCAGGACAGCTCATTTGGGCAGAGAGCAAAGACAAAGCCTTCAATCCTATTCAGGAGCTGAGCCCTGCAGGAAACCCACTGCCTCTAGCCACAGTGGAGAGGTGCAGGCACAGTGTGGTTGGCTACTCATCGGAGGTGATGCGGGGGTTGTCTGAGAATGGAGGGTAGGAATGATCTTTATCTGAGTCCCTTCTACCTGAGAACAGAACAGAACACACACACACACACACACTTTTGTATAAAAAGATAGATAGGAATTTAATTTTCATAATGAAACATATCAAATCTTTTGATATGTTCACTATTATTGCTTAGTGGTGCACCTTTAAATACATTCATTTTAATTAAAAAGTGGATCAAGTTAAGCAAACTAAATGGTAGAGTTTATACAAACAGAGTTGCAATGCAAGGACTAAGGTTCTTAGATCTACAGAGTCTCTCATACTTGGAAGTGAAGCTATAGATGTTTTTTGAGGTGGAATCTCGCTCTGTCGCCCAGGCTGGAGCACAGTAGCACGATCTCAGCTCACTTGCAACCTCCGCTTCCAGGGTTCAAGGGACTCTTCAACCTCAGCCTCCTGAGTAACTGGGATTACAGGCACTCGCCACCATGCCCAGCTAATCCATGTATTTTAGTAGAGATGGGGTTTCGCCATGTTGGCCAGGCTGGTCTCAAACTCCTGACTTCAAGAGATCCACCTGCCTTGGCCTCCCAAAGTGCTGGGATTACAGGTGTGACCCACCATGACTGACCCCTGAAGCTATAGGTTTTATGAGGCTAGAAGTTGACCAAGGAGTGGAAAACAAGCATTGCTTAACTGAACCAAGACATCTGTTGGTTGACCTTCTCAGAAAGAGACCAAAAAGTATAGCATTTGATCAAAAGATAACTATTAATATTACAAATGAAAAGAGGGAGAGAAAGAAATTATAATGAACTGTTAAAAAGAATTGACAAACGGATAGAAACTGGAATAACATAGTGAGGTGTGACAATGGTAAGAGCAGAGAGAAAGAGTGAGAGGATATAGAGTATAAATGTTAACCTTGTTCCTTTTTATTAAGAACATCCTAAGCGTCCTAACATTAGACGCAACCATGAGGGCCGCCTAGCAAATATGTCTTGAGATTCCAGTGCATTTTTATACCATTCCTAAATTCTGTATAACAAGTTTCTGGTTAACACCATGGCTAAACACAATTATTTCTGAATTCCTGTCACTCTGCCACCCATATGTTTTAAAACAAAGAGGTATCCTCATTTCACTGATGTTTAAACTCAGGAATGAGATGTGTCAGTAGCTTTGGGAACATGTAAAGCTGGAAAGTAGGAATTCTTTAAATAAAAACTCCTAGTCTTTCTTCCTGAGACCTTGCTTTCAGTGTGAGGTGGCTGAGGATTGGCATTTGACTTGCCGTCCGCAGTCACCATAGTGGAGACCTCAGTCCACCAAGAAATCAGGCGAATGCTGTGTTTGCAATGGGAGAGACAAGATGTTGAGTGTTTTACCTGTATTACGTCATCTCTCCTCACCACAGCCCTTGAAACAAGGAATCTTACCTCTATTTTTCTGTTGTTCCAGAAGAGAAACTTTTTTGGGAGACATAGCCTCCCTGTATCACCCAGGGTGGAGTGCAGTGGCATGATCTCAGCTCACTGCAACCTCTGCCTCCCAGGTTCAAGCAATTCTCCTGCCTTAGCCTCCCAGATAGCTGAGACTACATGCATGCACCACGACGCCTGGCTAATTTTTGGATCCTTAGTAGAGACGGGGTTTCACCATGTTGGCCAGGCTGGTCTCGAACTTCCGACCTCAAGTGATCCAGCTGCCTTGGCCTCCCAAAGTGCTAGGATTACAGGTGTCAGCCACCACGTGTGGCCAACAGGAAACTTTTTTTTCCAGAAAAAAAGAAAATAATTTGTCCAAAAATCTTCAGACACTGGGCCTTGAGCCCACATGATTTGACTACTGAGTTTAATGCTGAAGCCCTGAGCCCACAAACTCAAGTCATTGCGCTAGTTGAGCAATATTTGAAAAGTACGGTGAAAGATGGGAAAGGAAGAGGGAGAGAAGTAAAAGCATAACGGGGTGGTTAGACCACTGAGAATAATATTTGTACTGGAAATATTCAAGTAAGCAGTGAACTAGGAGCGAAAGGAGGAGAGAGAGGAACAAGAATGTTATCAGGCATCGCTCCGTAAGCTTAGACTTTTAACATAAGGAAGCAAATTTAAACTGGAAAGGCAGGCTATGTAGGAAAAAGTATACACAAGCCTTTATAGGGTACGTCCCTCAGTCTCTTCAAGTGTTCAGCCATCTCAGTGTCTGCCCTAGAATTGGAGAATTTTATTTCAAACTGTGACCACTCACATGGAAGATTAATCTTGACCATGAATGACTCTTATGTCAAAAAACTGCATCCTAGTCCGCACAAGGATTCTACAGAGACCTTCCTTGCCAGTGCTAGATTTGTATGAAATGATAGCATTTTGATATGTATATTAACACTAGTTTACACACACGCACACACACTCATATATACTCACAGTTCTCTAGTCTGAAAGTATTAAAAGGAGCCATCGTAGCTTCAGTGTAATTCATGAATTCATGAACTGCAATTTTGCTGTTAGTTGAAATTAATTTAACAAGTAAAGGCATTTATGCAGTTATGGTTGCTACTGTGCTGTTTTCTTAACTACTTCAATAATAAGGCATTCATCTTAAATCCTTAGATATTCCAGAAAATTCCAATCATGAGATAAAGAGATGAATGTGAAATAGTTAATTTGGACTGTTGGAATATGCTTTAAGAGGCAAGAAGCCATGAAATTATCTTTTTCTTCTTTAGAAATAAACACAAGTTATAACACAAAGTGGTTTGATCCCCATCTCCACCTTGATACTCTCCATTGCAGAGATTTGCAACTAAAAATGTTTGTCGATGCCCAGTGCCCCTTTCAGCTTGGTGGGCCAGTCCCAAGGCTTGGTGAAGTAAGAGAGAAGCAAACTTGTAAATGAATTGCTCTGGAATTTGTCTGACTTATGCATTCTCTTTTATTTATTTCATTTTTGCATTGAAAACATTACATTTCTGTTTCCTTATAGAGTAGTGTATCAAGAGCCTGTGTATGGCAATAAATTGCTGCAGGTATGAAATCCCGACTGGTGGAGAAACTCATCACTATGATTGTGGGTTTGCTGTGAAATCCTTACTAACAAGATAATTCTGGGGAGGGGAACAGTTCTCTAACATAGGAGGAAAGACTTAACTGAATTTTCCAGTTTTAATATGAAATCTCCTAGAATAGAGGTGAGGTGGCTATCCCTGTATCTATCAGTATATCCACTGTGTTGTGGCAGTTTCTTCCAAATATGGGTGCTGTTTCCATGACTGAGTGCTGTTAGCTGGCCTCAGCCATGAGCTTTGTTAGATCCTGAGTGTGTCAAATGGTGGTCTAGCTTGGCTGTTAATTTTTTAGTTTAAAAGCTATCTGGACTCAATCAGTATAAATCCAATGAAAATAATTCAAGGTTCTAATTGAACCAATTGTCTGGATAATTTTTTAGTAGGTTCCCAGAGTGAACCGGAATGGGGTTAAATCAAGAATCTCATGTGCAACATTAAGGGCCAGCATACCTGACATCTAACATAACCCTCCCTGGTCTTAGTAGAGCTGATCAGAAATTTATTTCAAGCCTGTTGTTATAGCTTTTAAACCTATTTCTCACTGCTAAAGCAACCACCAACTGAACAAATTTGTAGGAAGAAAAAAAGTCAACATATTCATTGGAATGTGGCTGGCCTAGAGTCTCCAAATTTGGTCTATTACCCACATTGAAACCGTCAAATAAGATGAATGTCAAACTGAGGATGATCAGTGAGAGTTGTAGGACATTACTTTCCCTATCTCTGCAATTCCCTTTTTTCTTCAGTATTATGAGTGAATTACGAAAGTACTTTTTGTAAACCATGAGAATTGACTGAGTTTTAATTAAAACCTGAATGTGAGAAAGAGGTACTTTGACCTAGTAAAGAGCAATATGGTTAAAATTCCTGAGATGAACTTTCACTGTCACATTTCAAGAGAACTGGACCTCCAACTGCCACCCTTCAAAAATAGATGGATGTGGCCAGGTGTGGTGGCTCACACCTGTAATCCCCGTACTTCGGGAGACCTAAGGCAGGCAGATTGCTTGAGGCCAGGGGTTCAAGACGGGGCCAGCCAGGCCTATGTATCAAAACCGCATCTCTACTAAAAATACAAGTTAGCCAGGCGTGGTGGCACATGCCTGCAGTCCCAGCTACTCGGGAGGCTGAGGCAGGAGAATCGGTTGAACCTGGGAGACACAGATTGCAGTGAGCCGAGATTGCGCCATTGTACTCCAGCCTGGGTGACAGAGAAGACTCCATCTCAAAAAAAAAAAAAAAAAAAAAAAGAACATATAGATAAATTAGGGAGATAAATTTTTCATTTTAAAATGTTCTTATAAGTATTATATAGTAAATAAGATTTAAGTTGTATGTGTATATACCAGCACACCTGTTTTGCACCAAGTGAGACTTGACCCTTGCATATTTTCATCATAAAGGGAGCCTTTACCCCTAGTTAAGCTGATTTACTTTCCTATGCACTCCAGCTGAAGGAAGCATGCGTAACACGTACATGTTACAGTCCTACCGACGCCCACGTCTCCCTAGCACACACAGGTTTCCCCTCCCCTATTTCACTGTTTGGCCGGTAGAACATTTATTTTCAAAAGTGATCTAAAGTGAAAACTTTGATTTAAGCCTCAAATTCTCTGAGATGCCTTGGAGGTCCCTCAGTGTTCATGAATATTGTCCCAAGGAGTTCCACAAACAGAGTAACCAGTTTAATTTAACTGAGCATCTGCCAAACCAGTTTGGTTGTGGAAATTTTCCTTTCCTTGCCACCATTAATACCCCACAAGCATAATTTTGAAACTGCTTTATTAGCTAGGCACAGTGGCTTACACCTGTAATCCCAGCACTTTGGGAGGCTGAATTGGGAGGATCGCTTGATCCCAGGAGTTTGACAGCAGCCTAGGCAACATAGTGAGACCCCATCTCTAGTAGTAATAAGAGAACAAAATGCTTTATTGGAGCATCATTTGAGGTGCTTAATGGGTAACTACCTCAAAGGACCTCTAGAGGTTTTGCTAACAAAGGAAACTTCTCAGTCCACATGAGTGGATCACTTTGGTGGCCTCACTCATTTGGTGGTGGTGGCAACAAGATGCACAATGACAATTTGAAATTTTTATATAAGGTTACATTTATATTTTGCTGCCCATCCTGTGAAGAAATAAATGTTTCATGAATGGGAGCGTAGAACTATTTTGTGTTTGTCATGCCTCGTTCCTTTGGTTTGGTGGTGGGAAAAATTTAATTGTCAATGACACATTTTTGTCAAATGATCTCGGAAGACCAGGTTCAACATGAACATGGTCTGGTGACAGCAATTGAAAGTGAGTGTTCCTTTTACAGACATCACTGTGGAACCTTGAAGAAGTTCTGGATATGCTCAGTGAGCTGCAAAATACAGAGCGATAAAATTGATTCAAGTCACCTGTTAGGAAAATTAAAGCAATTTGTATTTTTGTATGTAAAGCAATTTATATTTTACAGTGTATGTACACATACACTGAGTTAATACACAACTCTTATTTCCCTAGTATGAATTGCATACAGAAGAAAAATAGCAAAGGAAGACCATGCAGTAAAGATAGAGGAGAGATAAAACCACCCTAATCCCTTTTTCCCTAATTATTACATGTTTCAGGGATCATTTAGGCTGGTATTGTCCAATCCTTTGGCCACCAGTCCCCATGTGGCTATTTACATTTAAATTCAAATTAACTGAAAAGTAAATTTAAAAATCAGTTCATTGCACTAGTTACCTTTCAAGAGTTCAATAGTCATTTACTAGAAGTAGCTACTCTGTTGGACAGCACAGATATAGAACATTCATCTCCAAGTGGTCTACTGCACAGCAATGAGACCACTGATCAAGGTTTAAAATCTCTCCGCTGGCTCTGGAGAGTTAAGGAAATTGTGATCTTAACCCTGGAATCAGGAATGCTCACAAGCAAATTTCTAGATAATAAAGTCATAAATAATATCAGAATATTGACGACTTGTGCCCGTCTTGTCTGGAAACACACATTTTCTGTAACTGGCCAAGTCATATGCAAACAGAGTAGAGGTCATTTTGAGACCTTCATAGATGACCACATTTGCTGTGCAGCGGAATCCCAGGTGTACACACCTGCATTTGATGTTTCTACTATACATAACCTACTAGTCAGTGTGGTTCATTTAGTTGTTTGCACCGCAGCAATTCTTCCCATTTATCGGACTCGCTGCCTTCTTCCATTGACTGAAACTAAGGCAGAAGGTGGAGGATATGCAAAGTTCAAACCAAGAGGCTTGCAAATAGGATGTTGCTAGACATCTTTGGTGGGACCAAATTCAGTCACCAAATCATGATTCACATGGCATCTGATTGCTGCAAATACTTTTTCTTGTTCCAGAGAGAAACACATTCATACCACACACATTCTCTCCACTCAAAACTTTAAGCCTGTTGCAGCTAATGTCTTCTGGAAATCAGCTAGCCAGTTCTAGCCCCTCCCTACCTCATTAAGTTTAATGTATGTACCTGCACACCTGTATCTTTCTGTGAACTTTATGAAAGCCAAGAAGATGAACAAGCTATATAGAAAAATGGCTCCATAAACCTGGTGACCCAATTTCTCTTTAGTCCGTCACTCTGTTGAACTCAGTGCTGTTATAACTGCTTTGGTTTTATAACTCCTCAGCACATTTAATGAGTTCCCCATTCCTAATTGGAGAACATAGTATTTGGAACACCAGGTGGCATCTGGCTAAGACCTCTTTTTGTTGTGGTTAACTTCCATTACCTCTTTAAGGGAAACAAAAAAAAAAAAAACTGGTTCTAAATTATTGGTGATTATGTGGCAGGATGTTTTGGATGTGTCTTCTCCAGGACTGATCCAAAGAATAAACTTTAAAAGATAAACTCGTTTCTTTGAATTGCTGTGCAAATGATAGCATATTTACTCTGAAAGTTAACTGTGCAGGAAAGAGGCAGAAAGAAATTGAGACCCGTGTACCTACATCTTGAAAGAGGCTTTTTGTAGCTTCCCTGCTTCATCTATGTCTTATCGTATTTAGTTTCATGAAGCCAAATGCCATGAACCTACCTTTCCCTCTCATGATTCTGCTGTTGTATACCTTCTCACACACTACTTTGTCCTGAGTTGCCCCTTTATGGTGATGGTGAGGACACTTACCTCAGAGGATTATGGGACTGTGTGTTCTAATTAGAACCTGAATGGTCCTGTGTTATCAGCGGACACTGGATCCTGTTTAACTGTGCTGAGTTCATTGTACACTGGTTGATGTATCATTGTGGTCCACTGAGCAAGAAGCTCTGTTATATTCACAGTTTGATCATCAACGCTCCACTGAACACAATTCCTTTTGAATATGCCTATTTGCTCGTCCTCTTTGCTTAATTGAACAATTGCAATTACTGGTACATACAACTAAATGTTAATTATTTTTTCTTTTCAGATTTTTTCTGTTAATGATTTTATTTACAAATTAGAAGACTATCATATTTTCCACACCAAACAAATTCTCCGTCTGAAGCAGCATGATACATAACCATGTGATATCTTTGGCCAAAAAGAAATGTTCAGTCATTTTTGTAATAATTGTGTAACATTTAGACAGCTACAGACATTCTTCAATAACATTAGTGGTTTAACAACCAGATAGGTAAGAGATTACTAATAAACTTTCAATCAAAGGGTGATTTAATAAATATAAAAGACAGGAAAGCATTCACTTTATAAGAAAATAAGAACTGTTTGAATAAAATTTAAGTTAATATCTGATAAAGGTAAAGCAGAAACAATTTTGAAAATCTGGAAAGTTCAGCAAAGTATAAAGAGTATTTAAATAATTCCCCATAATCCTCTCCACCCCAAGACAATCGCCATTAACATTTAGGTACATTTTCTTCCAAGGGCCTCTAGGCTCTTCTTTTGGGATGTGCTTATGACCGCTAACCTTTAACATCCAGCTGGGGTTGGTATTCCACCCCTTGTTTCTCCAGGGTGTTTTTGTATTTTCGCTTTGATACTAAGCTTTCATTAACCTCAACTTTAGCTCAGTAGATTTGGGTAACAGCTGCTCTGGTGTGGTCTTGCCACTGGGCATCCCTGCATTGGGCTCCGCTACATTCCTGAGTCACATTTCTCCTTGTGTTTTAGGGTGGTTATGCTGCATACCGCTACGCCCAGCCTACCCCTGCCACTGCCGCTGCCTACAGTGACAGGTAAGGGTCATCCTTCTTGTGCTTGACAACTACTTGTAAATTAACTTAGTTGATGGGAGAGGAGATTCTTGTATGGTCTTGGTGAAACTGCATGACTGCTGGGGGAGGTAGCACCCCAAAAGTTAGGTCCCATGGTGAACGTGAACTCAAGTCCCCATAGAGAGAGGGCAAATGCTTCAGCCAATTCTAAACTACTCTCTCTGCTGAGACACAAAGAAAATGATAGCCTTGGTCCTTGTGTAGTTTTTCACATCTCTTAATTTCTGTGACAACGCACCTTGCTCACATACACATACACACACACACACACACACACACACACCGTACAACCTTCTTATGGTCTTCCACATAAGACCACGGTTTCATCTAACTCATAGGAAGAAAAACAGACCATGATCCTACAAGGTTTACTTCAATTTCAAGCCCCTTTCCTTTTTACAAGGTCTTATACCCAATAAATCATTCCCTCCATTGCATTATTACAATTCTAAATAAAGGAGAGGGAGAGTGTCCCTGGCATTCATAAGGAGATTGATTCTTTCTAGCAATGCCCAGTGTCCAATCCTACAAACATAAGCCAGCTTTTATTTGTAATGTACACCACATGTTAAGGCAGGCAGTGGAAGGAACACAGTGTGTTTGAGGAATGCAGAAGTCAGAATGGATGGGCAGGTTGCGGGGGTGGGGTGGAAATCAGGGGTTTCTATCACCCAGGCTGAACAGATGAGTTGGTTCCTGAAACAGCAAGCCGTAGCTACTTTTGTATGGTTGCCTTGAAAAGGAAAGTGTGTGTTTTCATATTGAATGCAACTCCTTGGCTCTGTTTTCTGAGGACATAAATGTGAATGTTCAGATGCTCTGCATGCACAAATGTCATTGAGGGTGCTTATTTTGGTAATGAGTCCTTTATTTTAAAAATATGTTTCACGAATAAAACAATGATAACAATTTGCATGTGTGGCTGGGGCATGCTGGGTCAGACAGGTAAGCAGGCGATGTATTTGACTCCTGAATGGGAAGCGTCAGCAGCCTCTGGTCCTCCTACCTGGCCTGTTGTGATGTAGTTCCTACCTCGGTTTGCTGTGGTGTGCTTTCTCTGCAGTTCCATTCCATTTCTCACGAGACGTGGTGTTAGCTAATTGTAGCTACAGAATTCTTGCAATATAATAAAGCAGAATAAATCCCTGAATCCTAAAAGCTGCATTTTGAAAACCCCATGCATACACTTGTAACAAATGGCTCTTTGGCAAGATGGAGTTGAGATCTGCTATCTGGTTCTATGCAGGTATCATTTTCTTATAAGCAGCCATAACAAGTTCTCAAGGCTGTAGGGGGCCTTCAGAGAAATCCAGACAATTGTCAAGACAAGGTTCTCAATACATAAATTATACATTTACCGAGTAATCAGTTGCCAAGATGCAAAATGTGTTTCATGTAAGTTGTTATCTCCAACACACTTTGACACTGGATTAGGAAAGTAGAGAGGGTCAATAAGACTAATAAAAATGATGACAATCTTGAAATACTCAAGATCATTCTACAAAGGAAAAGGCCTAATGTTATTAAATTCTGCACTGAAGCTTCACAAAGTATCAATTGTAATGTGGTTCAGCTGCAACCCTTAATTATTTTTTATGAAAATATCTCTAGATGCTAAATTCTCAAACACCCACTTTGTATATAATTATAATCATAGTAACTCTAGCCTGCTGTATAATTATAAGAATCTTAAACAGATTTGATTTATCTTGCTTTTCAGTATAAGTGCATCTATCCCCAAGTTGAAAAAAAAAGATTACAAAGATATGATTTAAATGGACTCCTTCAATAAGACTGGTCTAGACATTTAAACAATTAACAATATTTAATGCTATTAGAATTACCTGAGATTCTGGCCATCCCTACTTGCATTCATCTAAACATTTTTAAATTTCTGCATTTTGGAACACCATACATGTAAAATCTGTTATTTTGATATTATTCAGATTTCTCATTGGCAACATGTCCCACTGAAAGATTGCCCTTGTTCTTGGATTGGTGAATCTTTAATAACTGCAATTCCAACTTTAGTACCATAGTTTCAGTTGAAGAAACCAACTAACTAATACTGTTGTCCATATAATTGGCCTCTTGTTGTTCATTAGAGAAATTTGCACATTTGGTCTTCTTGGTTGCTGTGGAAATTGATAACTATTCCTATTTAACTTTATCATAAGCAAGACACTTGCCACATGGTATTATTCATTGAAGTAAATTAATTAATAAGTAAATGGACAGAAAGCAATCTTTAAAGTTGTATTTCTGATGTTTTAAAATGTCTATTAAATGGTGCTACTTCCTTTTATCTGTAATAAGCAGATATTGAGAAAGAATACCTTTTTATAGAAGACACGTTTAGGGGAAAATGTGAAATTATCAGAATAGCTTTTGAATCTAGATTAAAGATGCCAAGTACCTATAATTTCTCTCAGAAGTAGCAATTGTGTAACCAATTATTTTTATATCATCACAGCATAGAATCAGTAAGTGATGGAAGCTTAGTTCCTCTTCTGTAGAAGACAGGCAAGATAAAGAAAAACTTAACAGAAAAACTTCGTCCAAAATAGGAAGTAAAATCAGCAGGCATTGAGAATGTTTTGGTAATGCTCACTGGTTGTCAGTTGATCAAAAGAGAAACAGCAACAAACTTTCCCTGTAATCATGAGATTCACTCTTCAGACATCTTGAAAGCAAAAGAAGTTTGATGTCCCCAGTTGGTAGGATTTTACCTTTTTTCAGCACAAATTAAGCCCTCATCAAATGAAAGATTCAGGGATCTTTGAAAAATATTGAACTCCAGTAACCTCAGGACTGTCCAGAAGGTCCTTAATGGGCACCTTGCAACTCCCTGCCCATCATCTTCTTGGTTAAATGATCACATGCTGATTATCTCGGAGCAACCTGAGAGTCTCTGAATGTTGACCTCCAGAAAGAAGACCATCTGGTGTGGGCAGAGATTTCCCCAAAAGAAAAATACCTGACTGGACTAGGTAATTTTATAGTCTCATTGACAAATTTAATGGGAATAGGTGAACATCTTTTCTTGGCATTTAGGAAACATTTGGCAAAGCACTTGACCTTCACCAAATCTTTATTTCTAATCTCACTTTGATTTATGCAAAGCCAACTGTCTGAACTTTCAAAGGAGAGCGTTTCCTGAGCTTGAACCAACTGAAGCATGGCAGAGGGGCCTTTGGTCATCCGGTCATTGCATGCCACTTGGTGTTGCTGATGTGTCTGTGATACGTTCTGGATTGGACAGGTCCATCACATCAGCTTGATGAATGGCTTGCTTGAATTAAGCCTGGGGGCAGGCTTCTCTTTATTGATTGGCTCATGGTTTGTGTATTATGACTTGGTTGTTGTTGCATCTTGAAGCAGCCAAACTGGGAGGTGCGGAGGGGGTGGAAAAGATTCCCTGTTTGATCAACTGTGCCACAAATATTTGGGAAAATGTGATGTGTACATGGCTTTGATGAAAGTGTTATCTCCCCAGACAGACAGACATTTGTCATGCTTGTCCTGCTTGCTAACACTCTTAACATTTCCTAATGATCAGTGCATGAAAATGTCCCTCCACGTCAGGGCTGAAAGTAGCTAGATGCAGACCGCCTAGAGACGGAAGCAAGACAGTTTTTCACTCAGATTTCATCACAGTCCAATTACACTGATAGTTACCAGGGGCCATTTCTTCCACATAAAACATGCATTTCTTGTAAAGATCCATGAAAGCCAAGAAGCTTTTGACATTAATTGCGGCACCAGGCCACACAGGTATCTCTAAACTGAGCAAAAGATGGCAACCAACATAATTTTGTTTTAATGTATACCTTTTTGGATTCTGAGGCCTTAAAGTTTCACTGCTAATGTAGAGTTAGAAATTGCTACTTTTGTGTGACAAAAATGACATATTGGCTCTGTTGTAATATGAAAATATACATATATCTACATAAATGTTACGTAGCTCAACTTAATAGAAATCCAAATAAAATGCCATATTATCTTCCTCTCTGCACACACACACGTACACACACACACACTCACTTGTGCCTTGGGGCCTCACAAGGGACTTATAAGTGTTTTCAGGTAAAGCTTAATGCAAAGAGACCAGGGCTTGTTAATTTCAAGTGGTCACAAACTACATGCTAGAGAACGTAAGTTAAATATGACATTCATAACCTATGAATAAAAGGTTCTATTTCAGAGACAGATTTGTGTTTCTTAGAACCTAGTAAGGATAAGTAGGCATATTTTCAGGTTCATAGAGGATTTAGTCTTATTTTAAAATTATTTAAGTGACAGAGATAGACATATACATACATCCATGCTTACACATACATAGATGGGTGAAGGATGGGTAGATGGATAGATGGAGATAAATCGATACATAGGTGGGTGGATGAATGGAAAAAGAGGGAAGGAAGCAAGGAAGGGACCATCTTTCTGCCCTCTAATATTTCATCATAAGCTAAATACAGAAAATAGGACTAAATCCTTATGCACAAAAGATTGTACAAGCTGAACTAAAAAAGTAAAAGGATTTGAGTTGATTTCCATTAGCGCAGGCTACTTCCTGTCTATTTTAGAATTTTTCTGGCCTCAGATTAAGTAGTAGAGAAAGGCTGTCATGAAAATAGACAGGCAAATAAGTATATTTACAGTGATATTCCATTTTAATTGGAGTTCTTATCCGATGATATATACTAAAAATTAAGGAATTGTCAGCATATAAAGTATATGAGCATCCTGAATAGAAAATTTAATTTACCATTTAAGGGCTTATTTTTGTAGGAAGGTTAATTTTTTAAGAAGATGTTGTATTTTATGGACATTATGTTTTCATTTTTTTTTTCCCATGGGATAGGATATAGTTTAACCTGTGGATAATTTGGAACCCTTAATGAAAGTACACATGCAAAGCAGACAAAGGGGGCACTTGCTTTGCTTTCCCCAGTCCTCTTATCTGAACCAAGTTTGATAGGGATTGAAAATATTTCTAGCTAAACAGCAGTAGCAGCCCTTGTTCTTATTCTTTGTGATGTGTGGCAAGGAGAGATCTCAAGATCTTATTCTAGTGCCGTATTGAAAGCAGTATCTCCCAAGGCCAGTTCAAGACCTGGCACCTGCCTTTGATGGCATATTTACGGTTTATCAAAACGGAAGAACACCAACCATGTAATATGGTTGTCAACCCTCTTTTCTGGGAAATAGGCTGTATCTATTCTTCCTTCTCACATGCTGTTTAAAAAGATTTATAAAATTAGAACAATAGCAAACGGTAGTTTTAGACATCCAATTTTGTTTTTCATGTTCTTCCTTGGCAAAGTAAACATTGGCAACTTTATGCTAGACTCTGTATCATTTTATTTACATTTGCAGTCTCTGAGAAATCTGTTGGAAAAATATAGTGAGAGCATTGTAAAACATGGCCATGCCAGAGATGGTATTCTCAGATCAACAAGGAACTGAGGATGGAGTTCTTGGGGGTTCAGAAGGGATGGGAGAGTTTTCCATGCCATCTTCCCAGCTGGGATACAGACCCAAAGGCAGAGAGAAGCCACTTGCAAGTTTGAGTCTAGGCTGTGGAATCAATACGTGGCAAATAAGCCAAAGTCATATCTCTGTGCCATTTTTGATGGTGCTTTGAAGAAGCTGTTCTTGGTTTTAGTTTTTTTTTTTTTTAATCTTTTATTTTTACTCAACCTGATGAACTCTCTTGGGTTCTATAATTTTTTTTAAAAAAAAGATGATCTGTCAAGTTGTAATAAGAATGTAGCAGAAATGAGTCACTCATGCCTTTATTTACATCCTCCTGTGCCCCTGTGTCTAGAAAAGCACGTCCAGGTTTTAGTTAGAACTCCAGGTTGAGCACGTGTACATCTATACATATCTACATGTATAAACACACACTTTTTCTTGTTCATTTAAAGTTTACTTTCCTAACAGATCCATTTTGTTGTTGTTGTTTTTTGGGGTTTTTGCCTATTCAGACTCTCCTTAGGAAGAAAAAGTGAAAGCAATTGTCCTAGACAGCTTTCGGGTAACTAGAAACACACAGTTATACCTGTGAGATTCCTATTACAAAGCACACATGCCAGATAAATTTCTTAATACTTCTATGTGTGTGTGTGTGTATATATATATATATATATATATAAAACAGTGCTCCTCTTAAAGTGATGTTGATTGTATATTCTCCAAAAAATTAGGATAACTAAGATAATTCTATTTCCTCCTGATCTGCTCTGTAGACTGTCACTGATGTATGGAGATGGCTCTGAAATAGTGAGGAAGGGAAGGTACATCTCAGCTTTTGATAGTAGAGTCACCGTAATTTTTTAAAATTGGGTTTATGCATGTCAAGCTCTCAGTACTGAGAAGTAATATGGCTGTAACTGATAGATATATTTCCTGAGTTTCTCTTAGTTTATAGAAATCACACACACACAGAGACAGACAGACAGACACACACACGTTAAAAGAAAATGTGTTCAACTTTCTCTCTCAAGAACTAATTGCCTTTGGTCCATAATCTATAATGGCTTCATAACAACTGTTATGCACTATTGGATGAATATGTAATTGAATCAGTTTAAAAAAAGAACCAATCCTGTAACAGTCAACAGACTGGACCACCAAGGAGTTGGGGAGAGATTAAAGGAATTTCCAAGCCCAACAGACCGTAGCTGTCACAGCCACGTGGGTAGACACTTTTGCCAGTGACAAGGCAAGGTGTAACAACTCCTTTGGTCATGTCATGGCCTAATTACACACTTTTTAGGTCGCAGATCATTGACTTGATAGGCCACAAAAAAGGAAATAAAGCCTGTCTTTTCAGTAGCAGCATCAGAACCCTTCAGCTGTGAAGGGTTTAGAGGCAGGTTGGGAAAGCCTAATGCTTTCTAGGTGTAGCTCTGTTGAGAATATACGTGCAAAGCCCTATGAATGAGCCATTTCTATTGCTAAAAAAAAACCTGCATTCTAGAAGACAGTAATCCAGTAAAGCAGAAGATAGAATATCTTAGCTCATGCAGCATTTGTGGATGTGGCAATAAAAATTAAACCGCTCCACTTTGTTACGTTGTTCTTTGTTTGGGTTTTATGTCACTAGGTAGTATACTATGGATGGTAGTATACTATCTTTCAAGATAAGATGAAATTTTTCAGTAAAAGTGTCTAATATTTCATTTTAAGTTATCAAAGCAAGTTCTGACTCTGTACTTACCACAAGTTGAAATTCTTTTCCAGAAGAACTGATTTCTATTTCAATGTGGCCTCTAATTTATTTCCACTTTTGTGTGTAGTACATGCATGTAAGCAGTCACCAGACAGAAATGACTTATGGCTTCCTTGGTGTAAATCACAATGCTTGGTTCCTGTGGAATTAGGCACTTCTCAAAAACTATGATGAATTTCATATTTAATTAACATATGAAACATTTAGAATAGGGGCCACTATTGGAATTTGAGGGGATGGGAGTCTGTGGGGCAAAAACTAGGGAGAATAGAAGGAGTAACTAGTCACTTTTCTTTTTTTCCAAGCTAATTATTGATACATTATGATGTGTGACTGTTCAAATAGATTAACAGATTTCTGAAAGCTGAAACATAATCAAAGCCAAATATTCTCGTAATTATCCCAATCATTTAGATTGAAATGCTTTGGCCTGAGATTATAGAAATATGCCACACATATGATAAGCTAAATCAGTGGTTCTAACGGGTCTTGGGGACCTGGAATTTAAAGAAAAAAAAAAACATGATTGTTAGATGCTTCTAACATCCTCTCAATTCTTGCCTTTCATGGTTTCAATTTTGTAATTTAAAATTTTAGAATGTATTAAGAGATGAAGAACTTGTTTTTTCCACCATTTCTGCTTTGTTAGAGTGTTTGTGGATGACTACTACCAAACAGAATATGAGCCCAGGTAGTGGGAGTGGAGGCACTTTAATAATTCTTCCTGGACAATACCAGCTTCCCTGTTTTTTCAGAATGATCGTTTCCCCACTATTTTTGTTTTCTTCCATTTCTGTCTCCCAAACTTAGAAAATGAACAAATGGGGGAAAAGGAGGATTAACTTGTTCTGTTTTGAAATTTCAAGATTTGAGTGGATCATCTAAAAAGCCTGCAGAGCCTTGCCTTGTAAAGTGTAGTTTCCAGACCAACACCATTGGGCTCACCAGGAGCCTGTGAGAATGTAGAATCCCAAACCCCAGTCCCAGCCGTGCTGAACCAGAAGCTGCACTTCCCAGACTCCAGAATGACTAGTGAAGTTTGAGAAGCCCCACTTTAGAGAACAAGCTTCTGTTCTACCCCGATATGCCATAATGTTGACAAAGGGTTGTCCTGCCACAAACCTTGCAAGAGATAAGAGGATCTATCTTTATAAATTATTGACTTTTATTACCATTGCCTCTCTACTCTCCCTTCTTCAATGAGAGAGTAAGAACTATCAACAGCTGAGTGACTTCTTCCCTCTCCTGGCCCAGGGCCACAATTAATTCTTTACCCCAAAAGATCCGTGGACGGAAACAGTTATTTATGCTAACATCGTGTCATTAATTGCATAGATTCACGCTAATATAAAGGAGTACCTGAAAAAGTTCCATCTGATTTCACTTTACTGACCCTCAGTTTTTTCCTATGCTAAGTGGAAAGCATGGTACTAATTAGAATCAGAAAGAGATGAAGAAGGTGAACATTATAAACTGAAAGAGGTGGTGCAAATGTTATCAATAACTCGGTTTCAGATTGACATATTTTGGAATGTATGCTAGTATTTGCAGTGAATATATAGAGGCAGTAGCAAGTACATTAAATTAAATGCATTTAAAAATGTAAGGTTATTTTTAGTCTAGGCAATCTCTAAGACACACTGTAACACTAACCCTCTGGGAACCTGTGCCTTGCTTAGCATCCCAGGTCTTGTAGGTAACTGTGTCAAGATTTGAAATCAGATCTTTTATTCTCATTGGACCTACTCTGATATAGACATGCACTAGCAAATCATTGCTGTTGATACAGAGAATAGGATTACAGATTGAGATTTACACGTGGGTCCTGAATCTCTGTGAGGTTACTTACTACACGAGATAATTTGGGCAGGCCAACATTGAGCTAGTTGACCCTCAACTGCCTCATCTATAAAGTGGGATTAATGGATGACCATTGCTTCTTTGCGTGGTTGTGAGAATCCATTGCTGTCATGAACAGAAAGCCCCTCTAAGAGATCCTGACACTTAGTTCTCAGGATATTAGCAGCAGCAGCATCACTGAACTGTGGGATTATCGTGTTCTGTTCTCGAGTGAAAAAAAAAACAAGGAGTTTCCTGTGGAAACGGGTTTTATGAGTTAGAATAATTTTTGACTAAATACATTTGTTTTTGGTTGTTTTAAAATCTTGACTTCTACCCTAGAAATATAAACATAGGTTGGGGAATAGAAATTGGGAACCGCAAGATCAAATATCCTATCCTTCTTTTTCAACCTGTGCCTTGGATATTTGTTATCTTTTCTGCTCATGGATCAGCTTAGGCCACCACACATGCATTAGCTTTGTAGAAGAAATGCCCAATCTCCCAGTATAAACCCAGCCTTCGAACTATCACCGCTTTGGATTTTTGTAAAACCAATTGCCTGCCCTCTTCTTTGGGTGGAGAGAGAAAGAGACTTTCCTTTAGGAGTCTACACAGACAAAAAAAGAAAAAGCCAATTTTTCTACCAATAAAATGACTTCACATTTGTTTCTCATTCAACTTGCACAAAAGGTCTGGGAAGGGCATGTACTGTTTTTATATCTCAATTTTTCCAAATGAAGAAACTGAGGTCCAGACAGGTGAAATGAATTTTCTATTGGAATACAGCTTATATGCAACAAAGCATGGTTTTCAGATTCACGGTTGGTTCTCTTTCACCTGAGCCTAGACAAGAAGTGCAGTGGGAACTGGGGAGAATGTTAAATGTTGGAGGAACTAAAATGACAAAAGGGAACTGTTCAAGGTCTCCAAGTAATGGAGATGAACTTGGGTTTGAATTTCCAAAACTCAGATCTTTTTTTGGTAGAATAGCCAAACTGGGGAGAGATTCACAGACCTTATCTTCTTTCTGTTTAAGCTTCTTTACGAATATCATGTTAGCAATAGGAACTGTGTCTAAATGAAATGTTTTTAAGTGTATTTTCATGTGTTCCCCCTTTTCAAAAAGAGATAGGTGTAGGACCTTTGAGAGCTTTCTATAATCAATCTGTTTGGTTACTTGTCTGTGTATACCCTGTCTCATTCTACAATTTGCCACAGTGTATTGAAGTACACGTGACAACACTAAACTGAATAAAAGTGACAGGGCAGGTAAAAAATATGAATCTGAATGGGATTTGTACCATTCTGGAGTAGAGTATTAGTATTTTATGTGGAAAGGAGGTAAAATACTGATTGCAAGGAACCTCCCTTTGAAGGTGATAAAACTGAAATATAAATTAGATTATGAGCTTCCAGACAGGCAAGTCCAAGATACTCCAGTGATTTAAAGGATATGAGCATAGCATCAGACCCCTTAGACTTAGCTCAGTGCCTGATATGTAGCAAGCCCCTCATTTACAATCTGAGGGCTGAATGATGTGAGTCAACTCTTTGGTAAGATCAGCAATATGAATTTTAATAGGTACATCCTATCTGCATATTATGTTTAATATTCAGAAAACACTCATGGCTGAGTTCCATATGGCACGTCTAGCAATTTTAACAACAAGAATAAACTGATTATTGTGACTTTCCACCTTAATTTTACATGTAAAAAAGGAAGCAACCTGGTAAGCATGATTATAAGACAATTACTAATTATAACTACTGTAATTAGTATAATTAGCAATTAAAATATTAAGTATAAAATGTTAAAAATCAACACTAGTGCAATTTAAACCCAAAAGACACAACTGTTTCCTGAAGAGGCAAGATACATATGTTCAGAGAGGTATTCATACAGTGAGATGAGTTCTCCGTGCTGGCTGACAGATGAGAATCAACCCCAGGGGTTTTTCAGGCATATCTGTACATGGGAACCACTCTCAAAGATGCTCAAGTTAAATGACCGGGGTGTGGGCCTGGTCATTGGTATTTTATTTAAAAAACAATCCTAGCTGAATATTTATTAAAAAACAAAGTATTGGCTGGGCAGTCAGGGCTAAAAACCTCTGCCTTATAAACAACAGATATCCCAATACGTACAGGTAGAATTGGATTTTGTCCCACTGCTATCCTGGGGCATCTTGGCTGCCATCTACCAGGCCAGAAGACCAACTTCTCAGCTGTAGGGATTGCCTAGTAGGCATCCTTGGCAGGTTTAAATGTGTGTGTGTGTGTGTGTGTGTGTGTGTGTGTGTGTGTGAGAGAGAGAGAGAGAGAGAGAGATTCAATATTCATAGCATTGGATACAAGAAGAATCTTGCTATGAGTGATATCGATCCTGAGATATATTTAACAATAGCAATGTAACAGAATTAAGAAGCCAAATAATGAGAAGTGAGCAGAATCTTTGCCCATAAGACTTAAAGACAGTATTATTTGCTATGGGGAATGTTTACGTCCCACCTGCCCGCACCAAAAGTTTTCTCTGACTTGATATCTAGCATCTCATGTCCCCTCCAGCAACACAGGCTGGCTACTGTTTTAATTTAACTCTGAGAATTCAGCTGTGGGTAATTTTTCAGAAGGAAAACTGCCAAGAGATGAGATTTAACCTAAGGAACAAAAGTGGGCTATGAGGGTGATATGCGGCAATCCACAGGACTAATTTAAGTGTACCACCAGCTGAGGCAGATAGAGTATAGATGGTTGATCTATAAAACCATCTTAAAAGATTAGTCAGGCTAGTGACATAAGAGTGAAAGAGACAGACCATGGCATATGCCATTTCATAATCAAGTTGTTGTTAGAATATGTTTTTAATTCTTTCTCTCAATTATTCTCAAAGAGGAGTTCAAATATTTCTTAGAGGAAATGAAGATTCAGAATGTTAAGTTACTCCACAGAGACATCACACCTCACTGCTGATTAAATACCCCCTACGTGAATGTTCCAAGCAGAACCTTAGATAGTAAAAGCTTGGTCTTGAGCCAAGCCAACTGTGTTCAGGTTTCACCTCTACCACTTAACAGCTGCTCGCATTATGTAACTTTTCCATGCCTCAGTTTCGTCATCTACAAGACGAGGATAAAAAGAAGGGTTATAAGAAAAATTAAATGAATACATAGGTATGACACTTGGCAACTTGCAGTCATAAGTGCCCCATCAGTGTTAGATAGTAGCCGTTGCAATCAACATTCCCATGAGCCAAGACAAACACAGCCTTCTCCCTTAAACTCAATTTGGCCATTTCATCATTTTTCATACATTGGTAATCCTTCCTCTTCTCCACCCCCAACCAAGCCTTCCCAGTTCAAAATAATCTTCCTGGGACAGGTGAGCTTTGAAGTGAAAATGGGAATGAACTTGCAGATTTTTCAGCAAGGTTGCCCAAACTTCAAGGTAAGAAGCAGCAGGAGGCGTGATTCCCTCACAGCAGAATCTGCTACCTACAGAACAGTGAAAATGAGTGCCTGTGGAGCTGATCAACAGGCAGGCCTGAGTTCTTATTAAGTGTATAGATTACCAGACCTCTCTCCTGGAAATTCTGATTCAGGTGGTCAGAGTTGAAACCCAGGAATCTATACCTTGAATGAGCACTCTAGGCATTCTTATCTTCAGGGAAGTTGGAGAAATTTTGGAGTGGAAGAGAGGTAGAATATAGAAAAGTTGTGGGTGACAGGAATGGGAAAATACAGAAGTAGGGGCCAACTCAAAGAAAAATGGAAAAACCCAAGCAAGGATGATCTTGAGTAAATGCATAAGAAGTGGTCCATTAAGAGGAACAGGTAAGGAAGAACTCAAATACCAAGAGTATGATATGGCCACTGTAGAGCAGTTTCTCTTTCAGGATGAGGTTTAAAGTCAACTCTTAGAAGGCATCTAGAAACTAGAAGTACCCTTTCTTGGATACTGTATCAGGTTTGTGTGGTTGCATAGTCTAAAACCTAAGTAGCTAGGTTGCCCTGGAGGCAAGCATGGTGGCCAAACAGAAGCTGCAAAAGTAGAAACCAAAGTTGGAAGAGATTCAGTGATTCAACTCCCTTGAATCCCTTCCTTGAATCCACTTCCTTGAATCTCTTGAATCCCTCTGCCTTGGTGCCATAACACTGCTTCTCAGCTGGGCCACATATTAGAGTCACCTATAGAGCATTTTCCGAACTACTTTCCAGGCCCTACCCCAGATCAATTAAAGCAGAAACCTCAGGAATGGGCCCTATCACTGGCACTCTCTTAACCTCTATGAATCTAAGGAGCAGCCAAGGTGAGGACCATTCACCTCAACAAGTGATTTTCAAACGAAGAACGTTAGCACATTAGAATCACTTGGAAGCATTTAAAAACTGCTGAGGCCCGAGACCCAGTTTCAGAGGTTACCATTTAATTGGTCTTCAGTGTAGCTTGGTAACCAGAAATTTTTAGAAGTGCACCAATTATTTACAATGTGCAGCCAAGGTTGAGAACGACTCAGCCAGACTTGTTTTATGAACAACTAAGGAACAGACCAGTTTGTGGAAAATCAGGTGCATTTTGAAGTTTAAATTCACGGGTCTGTGTTGAGAGAAAGCAGCACACTAGGGTTTGCATAAGGAGACAGACCCTGGTACCAGCCTTCTTTCTTCTCCTGAGAGGCAGCCCCACTGTCCAGAATATACCTGCATTGTTCTGATCTTTTAATTTTTCTGAAGTTGTTTGGATATAGCGGAGACATTCGTCTCTTTGATCATATGTGTCTCTGGTCATCTGGGGCAAATGGCTTGAGAGAGGGTCATAGATGATCCATTTATGGGCCCTCTAAATCAATAGTCTTAATGTTCAAGGTGAAACAGCTGTACATAAAATGGCATAACATGGTGAATATAGACAGCAACATGCAATCTCCCCTTAGAACTGTACCAGAATTCTTCTGTTGTCCTGACACTGCAGGCCACCAAAGCCAATCTGATTTTACAGACATTTCCTGTTAATTGCACTTACCGATTGATGAAAGCATTGTTCAGGGAAGTAGTGATCACACAGATTGAATTCATGGAATTAATTAATGAACTCTATAGAAAGGCACTTTCTGACACCTTATGGTGACCTTTCTGGGATGTAGTGGGATTGTTTATGTGGATTAAAAAATAAAATAGTACAGAATGGATACGTCAAAAAAATACTTAACTGGTAGCTGTTAACTCCTTTTAAATGTCACTATTATTGAGAACTCTGCCTTGAAACAGATGTGAATTTGTAGTCAGAAGTAATCTAAGCCAACTCTTTTGAAGAGGGTGAGTTGTCAAAGGGAGTAGTCCCTTTTGTTCTGAAACTTAGGGATCAAGAAGAGACCAGGGGTAAAAAATAAAATAAAAATCAATACACATAGGTTTTCAAAAAAAAAAAGTGGGGGAGAGAAAGAATGAAGGGAAAATGAAAGGAGAGAAAGAACGGAAAGAAAACGGAAAGGAAAGGAGAAAAGGAAGGAAAGGGTAGGAGAGGAAAAGAGGAAGAAAGGAGGAAGGAAAAAGGGTAGTTTAAGGTTAAGTGCAGACTCAAAAAGAATACTTTCAAGGACACCATCATACTATAAAATTCTGAAACAATTTTTAAAAACAAGCCTAGTTTCTTAGAGGGCTGTTTCTATTCATACTTGTAGGTTGCATTTTAAAAGTTACCTATTCGTTCAGTCACAATTTTACATCTGTTTTTGTCTCCAAGTGGCTTTCCTGATGTCTAGCACATTGGACAGTTCCTTAGGGAAAATTGCAGAAAGGGAACACAAGCTAGCAATCTGTTCTAGGATTAGGCAGTAGAAATTGGGTAGAGCTGCCCCACCCTCCTGCCATAGATATGTGAATGCCTAGTGCAAAGACCTTGCCGCTTTGGATAAATCATGTCGCCATTCTTGCTTACGGTAGCATTCTTAGGAGCATTCTGTAAATAGAGGTTATTCTAAGTGCCTGTTTTGTGCAGCCCAGAATATCATACCTGTAGTTAGGAATTCCCGTGTTATTGCCCCTTCTATAAGTCAAAGGTGAGTAAGTCAAATATTCAACCAAAATATCTCCTTTGTTTTCAGGGATAAATTTTATTGCTCCTCTAACATAGGGAATCTGGGGCCAGATATTCATGCGGCTCAAAAAGTCTGTGTCAAAAAGCCCAAAATCTTATGTTAACTTTTATTGTCTTAAGGAAAGTGATAAACTTAGTTGTGACTTGTTATGTAGGAGAAAAGTACTAAAAATATTATTCTCAAAGCATGTATAACTTGTTTATATTTTATTGGTGTAGAAATGACTAGAATTTAACTGAATGTGAAATTCTAGGGAATATTCAAATGGCAGCTCTATTTATATTCCAGGGTGTACCTCTTGCAACAGTAAAACTTTCTTAAGATGTTTTAAGAAATGCTCCATCACTAGATACCTTTTGAAGCACTGAAACATTTGAACAAAACCAATCATACTAAGAAGAAAAATGCATTTATCTTGGTTCTTGGTGATCCATAAGCATAATAAAAATCTAACCGATGAAAACCCAGAGCCCCTGTACTGCTACTTTTGAGGCATTTACGAACCTAGCCAACCTCATTGTGCCATTTTTATAATTTGACTCAGACGATCTTATTTGTAGACGAATTAGTACCTCTGAATTAGAACACATAATATCGTGGAAGTGTCACAGTTGGAAACGTCTTAAGAGAGTTTTATCATCTTTCTGGGTTTACTAAAAGTAAAATAGCATTTTCTATTTTCATTATTTTTAATACTGCATCATTAAAAATAATTAGGGTTTATTTCAATTGACAAGTTCTCTTAGCTCTATGTAGCAAGCTGGGTTTGATGAGGAAATTATTATCCATAACACATCACCATATAAAATTGTCTTCTGAAATGACAGCACTTTTTCTTATTTTTTTTTGATATTATAAGTCTAGAATTTTATAATTTTTCTAGCTAGCTGTAGTATACCCTATTTCTTAATCATTAGTCCCATTTTAAAAAGTAATCTCTTTAGCATAGAAAGTCATATGAGCACAATTTGAAATGCTTTAGCCTTAGAAACATATCCTGGCATGTTTTGGTAACACATAGTATTAATATTTGGTGCAACAGCTTGTACATAGTTCGTATTCTGACATTACCATGACTTTAAGAGGTCCCCGCATGCTTATTTCATGATCTTTCTAAACTCTGAGGTACATCAGCACATTTCCTCGCAACATCCATTCACACGCAGCACCCTTCCCTCCCCTCATCTGTACACATCGAAGCAATTGGCAGAGAGCACATTTCCCCCTGAGCGAGCAGTATTGTGAATTTTATCTTCTCTTCCAGAAATCAGTTCGTCTTCGTTGCAGCAGATGAAATTTCTTGTAACACCTCTGCAGGTAACAAACGTTGCTACTTCTTGATGCATCCATCCAAGTCTCAGTATCCTTTTTTTTTTTTTTTTTTCTTCTTCACATGCTGCAGTTGGTCACTCTAGAAAGTTTAGTTAAGAAAAAAAAAAAAGATCTTATATCTTTGGAGTACAGCTGAAGCCTTGAGGCTCTGCCATATAAGACGACATTAGGCATTTTGCTAACTTTGATGTTTTATTTCTGGTTTTAATAATACATGGTCCAGAAAAGTAAGAGTATGTTGAATGAATCCACAAGAAAATCTTACAGTATAATCAGTGCTCTTATGGTAAAATAGGGAACAGGAAGATTAGGTACACAGACGTATGACTTCCATGTTTTTTGACGTGTTATGTCTGGGTTCATAGAGACTGATGTGTGAATTATTTGGGATCTTTATGGAATATTAGAGGCTGTAAAAGACTGAATCTATAAAGCTTAGAGGCATTCGAGAATATAATTATCTCTGTCTTATAAGAAGGGGATCTTCATTCTATTAGCCAAAGATCCTCTATTTCCTTTCTTATAAAACATCTCTCAAGTAGCAGGACTTAGAGAGACCAGGTCTTTTGGTTTTGAAACCAGGACATTGGCAAATGGAAATTGCATAGCTGCATGATACGTCCATCAAAATAACACCTGTCTTTTTTCTTTGATGTGGTTCAGAACAGTTAAATTTGTACTTTGATTAGTATGGAGTTAATTAAATGCCAAGATAGGTGAATGCCTTAACACTAGATTTCCTTCTTTTTCCTTTTGTCGTTTTTAAGCCTAAACTATGACCAAAACAATCACTAGGAAGTCTTGCCAATGTGTTGCTTTCAGCCTGCGAGGGAGGACGTTACAACTTATCACTACATAACTGAGCATCCCATGACCTTCAGACACATACATTAAACTGAACCTTACAAATAAACACTCATCTGTTACCTTTTATCAATGCTGCAGTAAAAAAAGGCTTATGTGCCAATGTTTCACTCCCTATTTACTGCCTTTGGTGAGAATGAATGAATGAAAGGAAGGACAGAGAGCTAGGAACATGCACCCAACTATCTCTGTTCTAAAAGGCAGGGTCAGTTTTATTTATATGGTCAGCCTCAACCTTCATAACGGGTTAAAGTCTTACCTGGTGAGTTCAAGAGGTATGCATGATGCATGCTGACATTTTAAAACAATGGTATACTCTTTCTATAAAACCTCTTTGCTGATGGTCCTGCAATTTCCCTCTTAACCCCTAGACTCGTATCTCTGCTTCTCATTGTGAGAGGTGGCGACATCCTTAACACTTTACTAATGCCCAGTGCTAGGTGCAATGGTTAATTGAATTGCTGGGAGTGGCAGGGAATGTTCCTGCAATACAAAAGTTGTTTAACATTTTCAGAGCCTTAGTGGAATGGAGCATGAAACAAAAGGGGAGACCGCTTGGAATGGGAGGTAGGGGTGGGGAATAATGTTAATTTAAAATGTTCATAGGCCTCATGTATAGATGCCTCAGTGCACTAGAGCTTCTGCCTTCTGTTAACCCCTGTGCATGTTCCAGTATGTTAGGTTATATTTGGACATCTTAGATCAAACATGAAAAAGATATTGATTTTGCCCCGTGACTTAAACCCTGCCTTATAAGCAAGTGATCCACACACAATATTTCTAAGAAAGGCGACAGAAAATGAAAGTTTGCATGCGTGTGGTGAGTGTTTCCATCTACCTAATCTAGATGGCTGCTCAGTAAATTCTTAATGAATTGCTATTGATCACATTTCAGATTGAGAGAGATATCCCTAGTCCTTTGATGGCCATTTTAATATTATGTTGCATGCTTCATAAGGTTCCGTTTGAACTCTGAATTTTGAATGAAGCATGAAAAAGGAGACACCCATATCCATCAAATGTCAGATTATCTCCCAGCAAGTTCACCTTGCTCATAGAGCGAAAATGAAAAATCAAAACTGCTCAGTCAACAAAGGTTGTAACTCGTGGTTTCAGTGAAAGCCTTCTAGGGCATCATCTCCTACATGCTGAAAAAACCTGCTTTGGGAGGCCAAGGTGGGTGGATCATGAGGGTCAGGAGTCTAAGACCAGCCTGGCCAACATGGTGAAACCCCATCTCTACTAAAAATACAAAAATTAGCCGGGTGTGGTGGCACATGCCTGTAATCCCAACTACTCAGGAGACTGAGGCAGAGAATTGCTTGAACTGGGGAGGCGGAGGTTGCAGTGAGCAGAGACTGCGCCACTGCACTCCGGCCTGGACGACAGAGCAAGCCTCCATCAAAAAAAAAAAAAAAAAAAAAAATCCTGCTGTGCCCACTACCCACATTCTAAACAGCACTACTGTAATGAGCTCTCACCTCCTTATAAAAACATTTATTAGAGCAGGTGTATTGAATCCTGCTATCTACTGGATATCAGAGTTTGACAAAAGACAAGTTCTCTATTTTTAAATGGAGAAAAAAAAATCAACATGCTTAAAATCTCAGTGTGGGGTTTGATGGATGTTATAACTGAAATTCTTATAAAGAGGTGCTATTGTCACATTGATGCCCATGGTGGATGGGCTAAGCATAGGCAGCCATCAGGGGCTTCGGGTGGAGATAGTGAGATGAAAATCATTAAGCAGTAGAACAGCAGCATTTCAGGATTTGTTCTTCACGTTTCCCAAAGAAAAGCAATGCCTTTTACGTGGGTCTTGTGTCGAGAGTGCCAACACATCTGGTCTGCTTTTTCTAGCCACATGGAATAGGCATTTTTCATTAACATTTGTGGTCTGTGAGACTAATTTACAAGGATATCTATTTTCTTACCTAGGAGTTTCAACAATGCTATTAGTTGTGTTGTTTTGTTTTGGTTTTTCCCAAAGAATGTGTGCTCTGTTGGGTATCACTTGGGACTAGGCTTTTATAACAGGGCAGGACACCTCCTAATGCATCCAGCTTGGACAACTGAGTAGGTCCTCATTCAGTAACATCAAGAACCTTTGATGAGTTGGATTCTTCAATAGATGGTGAAAAGGGAGTAAATGATTTTCCCTTCTTAGACGGGAGGTCTCCGTCTGTGATTCATTAGGAATTTTCCAGGGTGGGCTAGTGATTGTAGTAGTTGCAGAAGAAGGGTCTGGTATGAGAATGGAGGTTGAAAAGCAAGTTACTTAATCAGTGACTAGAAATTCATTTTAGTCGATTAATATCTCTAGTCCTTTGTGGGTGTCAGGAACTGTTCTAAGCCCTGGGGACATAGCATTAAATGAGTCAGGAGAAGGTCTCATCAAAAGACCTTCATGGTATGGGAGAACAGATCCCAAAGCACGTATATGAATAAGCAGATAATATATATGCATAGTAAGTTATGTACTTACTGTAATGAATCAAAAAGCAGGGGAGGGGATGGAAAGTAAGGTGCAATGCTATTTTAGACTCAGCCATCAGAGAAGGCCTGTCTGAGGGGGTAACATTTGAGCAGGGATCTAAATATAAAGTGAACGTGTGACCCATGAAACATACAGCAGGTGCAGAGACCCTGTGGTTGAGACATACTTGAGGTGTCCAGGAGTAAGACATCCAGTGTGGCCCACGGATATGAGTACAGGTGAGTTTAATAGATAACATCTAGGAGGTAGACAGGGGTCAGAGGAAGTTAGGACTTGGAGGCTGCAGAACATATTTGGGATTTTAACAGTGATGCAGAGGCATTGGAGGGAGGGTTGTAATCTGACTTTAATGATCAGATAAGACTGCTTTGTGGAGACCAAACTGCCAAAGAACAGAAGAAACAGCACCGAAGGGCAATGGGGGGGCCCTTACAGCTGTCCAGAGAGGGGTGACAATGGCTTGGGTTAGTGGGGTGGCTGTGGGTGAGAAGTGGTCATCTTTAAGCTGTATTTTGATGGGAGAACAAACAGGACATACTGGCAGATTAGAAGTGTACAAGCTCGAGTCTGTTAAATGTCCACTCCCCACTCTTGTTCTAAGGGTCTATCAGTTAATTCCATGGAGCACCAAGGCTTTAATCCCTGAGGAAAGCAAACCCTTTATCCCTGTAGTAATTGTCCCTTGTTGAGGGCTTTGCTGAACTCTCCAAGGTGTAATAGTAACTTACTGTCATTTATTGAGCAAATTATGTGTGCTAGTATGATATACATACATGCATGTATATGTATAATGCATGCATATGTATGATAAACTATATATGCATGTATATATGTATCACAGTAGTTCAACGAGGTGTTATCCCCATTTTGGAAAGTGAAAAAAACATACACTCAGGTCCAGAAACATTTAGTAGCTTGCCCAGTCACACTGGAGTCCATCTGATGCCAAAACCCTTCCCCTGGGTCACACTGCCTCCACACACACCTTTTTCTTCACCCTTGGAACTTTGGCCTTCTCACTCCAGATGGAATTCTACCTTCCCCAGTATGCTATCTTGCTCCTATGAAACTAGTATTTTGAGTCGGATGACAAAGTTGTTACTATTTGGAAGAGACCCAAGGGCACTGTATGATTCTTTAGCAGTTGTTCCACTGGAATTTTATTTAACTTGGCTTGTCCCCTTCAGGCAGCAGGCATATGTTTAGTTCCGTGTGCTGGGAGTACTGGTGTAGTTGTGGGGACAGAGGGAGCAGATGTCAGGTCAGGAAGCATGTTGCGTATTAGGGAAGAGAGGGTTAAACAGGCCAAGTGTGTTCTAGGTTAATTCACCAGACGTCTTTTTGCTGAAAGTTAGTGGCTGAAAAACAATTAACAATATGCTAGTCCCTGAAAACCCCAGACAGGTTGAAACAGTTGTTTTAGACACAGAGTCCAAGAGGGTGTGTGTGTGTGTGTGTGTGTGTGTGTGTGTATAAAGGGGGTAGGTGGAGGCTGGGACTCACTAGCAGGAAGATATGCCCCTTCCACCATGCCAGGACCCACCATGCATTCCCTTAGCAAATCTGGGGACATGTTTTCATCTCAGTTCCTGATGAGTATGGGACACAACCATGTGGGGTGAGGGTAGGGTCTGCAAGAAAGCCTTGAGCAAATGAACAATCTGCAAAAGCTGTTGAAACTGTTCTCTGTGGGGCAGGTTGCTACCCAAGTTACCAATTAGAAGCAAGTTCAGGGGTACAAGGAGGTGTCACCAGCGCCTTTCATTTTTCTATCCCCACTTCTCAACCTACACATGCTGCCAGCTACATTAAAACTTTAGGTAATATTTAATATTTAGAAGAAGTTTCCCAATTGGCCATTCCTCTAACTGATCCTTCAGCAAGTCTCATCTAATTGTCTTTTCTGCATTTTAGTGATTTGATTATTCAGCAAAGTTGTCATGCAGTAAATTGATTTGTGGCTAATTGGTCCATTTCCAATAAAGTGTGATATGTATTATAATAGGGAAAGTACAGGGAGCTAAGGGGCCATATAAGCAAAGGAACTTAGGAAACATACTCCCACTTATTGAGAACCTTCTGTATATGAGGCATAGTCTCAGGCTTGCTGCATGCAATAACAATACCCTATAAAGTGTGTGCAATCAATTTGTGAAAATTAAAGATGTCTAGATAGTCTGAATTAGCCTAAGTGGGAAAGTGCTGTATCCATGCATGCAGAATTTTAAAAAATGGAATGGTGGTTATCAAATTCTAGAAGAATGCACCAAAGTCACCTGGAGAACTTGTTACAAATGCAGAGCCTGTTTTGTCGCCTTCCCCTGCCCCTGAGATTCTGATTCATAAGTCCGGAGAGGGAGCCTGGAAATCTGCATTCTAACAAGTTGCCCCAGATAATTGTAATAGAAAAGACCTCACACCTTGGGACACACTAACTGATCAATCAGGGACCTTTTCTCTTTGAGATAGGGTCTCTGTCATCCAGGCTGGAGAGTTCAGTGCAATAGCCTGATCTTAGCTTCCTGTAATCCTGGACCTCCTGGGATCTAGCGATCCTCCCACTTCACCCTCCCTAGTAGCTGGGAGTACAGGCAGGTGCTACCACACCCAGCTGATATCTTAATTTTTTGAAGAAATGGGGTCTTGTTCTATTGCCCAGGCTGATCTCAAACTCCTGGCCTCAAGCCATCCTGCCCCTTTGGCCTACCAAAGTCCTGCGAGTACAGGCACGGGCCCACCACACCCAGCCAACGTTTTTTGTTTCAATGGTAAAAAGAGCACACAATAGGACTTGCTAAAGTTGTGTTCACATGTGGCTGTGGAGCCCTTGAGATGTGGCCAGTCCACACCAGGATGAGTTGTAAGTAAAAAATGCATGCTGGATTTCCAAAACTTAGTACAAAAATGATGTAAAATATATCAATAATTGTGAGTTACACATTGTAGTGATGACAGTTTGAATATTCTGGAGAAAATAAAAATGAGTTCACCTTTTTTTTTTACTTTTTAAAATGTTACTGTAAAATTTAAAATGACATATGTCTTGCATGTGTGGCTTTTATTATGTTTCTCTCAATCCCATTTTAGAACCACATTTTTCATTTGGCTCAAATGAATATTGAAAGAGTTTGTGTGTCCCCAAGAACTGGTCATTTGGAGGTGGGGGATGTTCACCAGGAGTTAAAATGTTGTGACAGATAATCTGGACATTGTCAGTGTCTTGGTATTGGATTTTAACGTTGCCTCCTGGTGCTAGGTGGGTGTGTTGGTGCTGTAGAGGGACATTCCTTGGGGTTCAGGGCCCAGAACCTCCCTACTTCTCAACCTGCTTGTTTTGTCTTAATCTTTGATCTGCTTGCTTTGAGGATGGGAGATGCCAGTACATAAGACTTTGGATCATCAATCCAATTCAGGGGTAGCTCTGACACATGTACCCCTGGGGCTTTACCGGGAAGCTCACTGATCCCACATAAAATAGACGAGAGGCAATAGCTGCAGTCCTCTCAGTCTTAATAACTGTCACTTGTTTAGTCCTTAACTAGTAATCATAACCCTCCTCTCACCCTCACTGTAGCCTTGTACGATGAGGATGCACCATTATCATCTCCATTTATAGATGGTATAACCAACTCAAAGAGAAGAACTTTGAGATAGCTTAGCAAGAAGTAACAGTCAGTGTTTGACTCTAGAAATTCTGACTGAGGGATCCCCAGCTGCTGTTCAACCCTGCTTCATGGAAGGGTATTGAAAATCTCATAAGGGATACAATTTGTTTTTCCTCCTATGGGGTAAAGTATAGCTGGGGTGCCATGGTGATTTCAAAGCACAATAAAAATTCTTAGTGATTTTGGTAGAGCAGGAGTAGACAAACAAAGGAGAAATGAAATTTCTAAGAGAAGGATGGCCTTGAGCTCTGCATTAAAGAGAATGTGCCTACAGCTCCTTTTTTAGAGGAGGTATTCTAGGGCAGGAGAATTTCATCACCAAAAGTGGGACTTACTTACTGTGTCTTCTCTACTCCGAGAGTGGCTGCTATTCTGCTTTCCCTCAAATCTGCTGTTGGGTTTCAGAATAGGAAGAGGTTTTCAGAATAGGAAGAGGTTTTGAATGGCATTGGTGGGCTAGAGAAAAGATGATGTGATCTGATTTGCCATGGGTAAATGGTCTGAGTCTTTTAGATGCCACAGTGTTGGATTTGTGTACGTATTATGTATGCATAGTTCTGATGTATGACAGGTATCCATGGGCAAAAAAAAGCAAGTTCTGTGGCTTCTCATGTAGGGTCTAAAAAGCTCAGATGTGTTCCCTCCTACTTCTCAGGGGAGGCAGGGAAATCACGAGGTTGAAAAATGTGCTAAGTGATTTCTGAAGTTAAGCGCTTTAAAGACAAGCTAAGGAAGTCAGCAGCAATGAAACTCAAACAGAGCCAAGTAGAGATGACTCCATGTTATCTTGGAGCATTTCTTCCACTTCTAGTTTTATCATTTTTGGAGACTTTGCTGCATTTTTAGTCATTTTGTAGGTCAGGGGTCCCCAACTGGACACACAGCAGGTGGTGAGCGGGGTGGGGGGTGAGCAACGCTTCCTGTTTGCAGCCGCCCCCTCTCACTCACATTCCTGCCTGAGCTCCACCTCCTGTCTGACCAGTGGCAGCATTAGATTCTCATGGGAGCACCAACCCTACTGTAAACTGTGCATGTGAGGCATCTAGGTTGCACACTCCTTTTGAGAATCTAATGCCTGATGATCTGAAGTGGAACAGTTTTTTTTCCTGAAACTATTCTCCACCTCCCTGGTCTGTGGAAAAACTGTCTTCTACAAAACTGGTCCCTGGTGCCAAGAAGGCCAGGGACTTCTCCTCTAGGTGTTTAGGGACTGGTTTAGTTCCTCCAACTTCAGTATCTTGAGAAGCTTTGAGGATAAGTGAGCTTGGTCATCCCTATGGTCAATAAATGTATAAGTCATTGCTCAAATTAAAACTAGGAGAAGGCTATAGTAACCACAGAGGAGTATTTCCCTAAATTCACTAACTGACCAACAGATCTGAAGTCCAGAACTCAGTTGACCCTTGTAGAGTGAAAGTGAACAGGAACATTTCCTAGATAAACCATTGCTTTCTGAATTTCCCAATACATCCAAGTAGTTATGTTAATGCTTTCAGGAGGGTTTCTCCCTGTTGCAGCAAACCAGGGTGCATGGCCTGAGGTTCTGGAAACCCTCTCAAATCTTTCTGTAGGGCAGAGGTGGGGTGGTTGGCACCTGTTGTCTCTCCATGTACCTGCATAGTGCACTGAGATAACTTGTCCTTTCCTTGAATGGCTCTTCTCCTGCAAGATTAAAATCTTGGCCATAATTACCCCAACATTTTCTCAAATGGATGCGCACTGGGATTAGCCCAGACCTTACAACCTGGGATTCTGCGATTTGAAAATGGAGATTTTGGTTGTGTGGTAAATATTTATTGGCATGAAGATAAGAGACTGATCATTTCAGAGATATACTGAGGTGTCCTAAGCTCGGAATTTTTGAAAGATCTTCTGTGAAGTCCCATATTCTGGGCTACATTTCTTTGTCCTTTGAAGTGAGCTTTTGTCTCCATTCTGACCCCACAGAATCCCCAAGAAGCTGAGGGGACCTCTCTGCAGTTGCAGAATTGCCAAGAGATTTGTCAGAAGCCTTCAGCCTCTTTCAGTAGGACTGTGAGATCTTACTGTTTTGCTGCATTTTCATTTAGTGACGAGTATGGGATGGTTGAGTTGGAAAACATAAATGCCCATAACAGTTTATGATTGACAACGGATTCATTTATTTCTAGTTGGATGAGAGAAGGAAGTAAAGCAGTAGCTGGGGCAGTGCTGCAGAACTCAGAAGCCATGCGCCCTCCCCTTCTGGTCTTGTTCTTTCTTTTCCTGGCCAATATTGGCTGTGACTCCTTTCCAGCCCCTGAGAATTGCTGAAAGCCGAGCATTTTGTCCAAACACAGAACACTTGGTCTGGAATGTATGTTCCAGATGCAGTTCCTCCGGATGGGCAAAAGCAACAACTCATTGGTAATGATACCAGCAACAATGCAAACCAAAGGATTGTCTTCAACACATCATTTATTTTTCATTTGGAAAAGTCCTCAAACCCCAAAAATGAGGGCAATGAAATAGGATGAATATCTGAGTGGGATGAGAATCACTTCTTCCTGGGTGCAGGTTACCTTCTGATGTCCCCCTTCTTACCTGGTGCCCCAGAGCACCCCAACCAGGGGGGTAGACAGCAGAACTGCTAAATCTCATTTGACCCTATACAGGGAAGTGAAAGAGAACATCCCTTTAGCTAGACCATGGCTCTCTAAAGAGCATGCTTTTAGAACCACTGAACCACAGTTGGTGCCCTGTTGCTATGCTGTACGGTAAGTGTGCGACTTGCATGGATTCATTTTTCCAAATACTTAAGACTATGCCTTAGATATAAGGATAAAGGAGGCACTGTAGTCCCTAATTGCATTGCAGAGACCCGGGCCATTCATTGATCCCTGGTGAGACATCCCATTTTGAATGCATACTCTGCAGCCCTTCTCTGTGTTGGGAGGGGTACAAGCCCATGCATTTTCTTGCTGCCATTTGGCTGTTTAGGATGTCTTTGCTACCTTCTGAACTTCATCTGAGAGCTGAGCAGATTTCACTCATCTTTCTGCTCCACAGGATTCACCCAGCTATCTCTGGGGTGAGAAGCATGGGGAGATGATACTAATGGAAGAATAAAAAGTTCCCAGGGCATAAACGCTCCTCATCAAAATAGGGAGTAAAATATAGTGAAATTAATTAGTGTTCTTACTGTGGCCCTATAAGAAAATTATGTTAAAACCCTGGTGTGGAGTACCAACATGGGCCCATTGTATCTCATTAGCATCCAGCTTGTTTCAAGTAGGTGTACATAGTACTTCTTGCTAACGTGTCTCAGTAGAGTTGATAAAGCACTTTAACAAACACGGGTTTATATTCCCATTCAAGAGGCTGCATACTTATTCATTTTGCTCCAACACAACCTTAAGTTCAAGTAAGTATATCCATTTGAACTACATCTGTAACTCATAAATTAGATCTCAACTCCAAAAGCATCTGTAATTTGATCGGTAGAGCTGCATGTGATTATATTAGAATGGAATTTTTCAATTGCCTCTGCAGACCAAAAGTCTGGGCAAGGAGGGAGAGATTGGTTTGTGAAATACAATCTAAGAAGCCATGTATCATAATCTCCTCTATCTGTAGGTGGCTTAATATTTACCTGGCTTTCTTGAATGCACCTTGAGTTAGGTAGGGCTCAGTCAGAAAACTACTGCTTTACAAATGAGGAAGATGAGGCTCAGAGAGCATGCTCTGTCCAAGTCATGAGAGCAAGGACATCATAAAAGCAGAACTCAAACCTGGATCTTTTTGCCCCAAGTCCTGAATCTCCAAGCCCTCGGGTTGCTTCCCAGTTTTAACTTGTTGCTAAAGGTCAAAAAGATGAGGTCTCATGATGGTTGCAAGCCATGGTGAATTAGCCAGGAAAGCAGTCCTCTTTTATATCTTTGTTTAGTTTTTCCCTGAAGGCTTTTGATGAGTTTTATGGCAACTTGGCCAGTGTTTTGCAAACTCACAGAAATGATGTAAAAAGTGTACACTATTTCTAGAGTCCCCAGAAAGTTTTCTTCTGTCTTGAAGCATCCTGAATGTGTCTGGGAGCAGCTGACCCAGAGTCTTCAAAAAGCGTATCTGAATGGGATCATAATTACAGGCATGAGTGTCTCTCCCAGGCCCCATTTCTCTCTTTACTCCTTTGTCTTGCTGCCTCCTCTCTACCTGCACTGTTCTAGACAGTGGGGATGCAATGGCAGACAAAATAGACACTGCCCCAGCCTCCATGGAGTTCTCGTTCCAGGAGGGTGAAAGGTAAATGATCAGGTGGAGTGGGAAATAAGATTATTAGAGTTGCTATACAACATGAAGGGGTAGGGATGAAGTTGGAAAGTGCCCTTAAAAATAAGAGCAGTCAGGCTGGGTGTGGTAGCTCATGTTTGTAATCCTAGCACTTTGGGAGGCCAAGGCAGGCAGATCACTTGAGGTTATGAGTTTGAGACCAGCCTGGGCAACATGGTGAAATGTTGTCTACAAAATGCAAAATTTAGCCACGTATGGTGATGGGCGCCTGTAATCCCAGCAACTGGGGAGGCTGAGGCAGAATCGCTTGAACCCAGAAGGCAGAGGTTAGAGTGAGCCGAGATCATGTCACTGCACTCCAGCCGAGGTGACAGAGCAAGACTCTGTCTCAAAAGAAAAAAAAAAAAAAAAGGCAGAGAGCCAGAGAAAGAAGCATCTCTTCATCTCTCTAGGGAAGGGACATTTGATTTGAAACATAAAAGATGAAAGTCAGGTGGAGGGTGAGCAAGTGCCAAGACTAAGCAGAGAATGGATTTGCATGTGTGCAGGAACGATCAAGAAAGCCTGTGTGGGCCGGGCATGGTGGCTCATGCGTGTAATCCCAGCACTTTGGGAGGCCGAGGCAGGAGGATCACGAGGTCAGGAGATCAAAACCATCGTGGCTAACACAGTGAAGCCCCATATCTACTAAAAATAGAAAAATTAGCTGGGTGTGGTGGCAGGTACCTGTAGTCCCAGCTATTCGGGAGGCTGAGGCAGGAGAATGGCATGAACTTGAGGGACGGAGCTTGCAGTGAGCCAAGATTGTGCCACTGCACTCCAGCCTTAGCAACAGAGCAAGACCAACTCAAAAAAATATTAAATTTTTTAAAAATCCTATGTGCCTGGAGCACAGTAACCAAGGGAAGGAAGATGAAGATTGAAAGAGGGACAGAGGCAGCTTATTCAAGTTTGGATTTTATTCTAGGATCAATGGAAAACTATTGAAGGGTTTTAAGCGGGGAGTCATAGGATTAGATTTATATTTAAGTGGAGAGATGGACAGACTTGAGAGATTTGATACATGTAAATAGCTGCTGGTTTGAAGGAGCAAGAGTTGAAAAAATGAGACAAGATTTATGGCTGTTGAGTTGGTGTTGATGAACTAGTGGCATATATTAGTGTAGTCATCATGTGCATGGAGTAAAGTGGACACATTGAAGATTTCTTCCGAAATTACTGATGGATGGGAAGTGGGCACATGGAGATCATCATGATCTGACTGCACTACTGCCCACTTTGGCCAGGGATGCATGGTGTGGAGGATGACCATATAGCTGGTCGTGTCCTAACATGGCGACCGTAAGACCTCTTCCCATCATTCCTGTGGACATCCTGGGTATTGCTGTGCTCTGTCTCCGGGCTGTGCTTAGCCAGCTCTGAGGACATCAGATTGCTGACGTGCTTGGCATATCTGCTGCAAACGTAGCACTCAAGTCCACATCTTCCCCAATAACCTTGTGACTAAATTGTAGTGTCACACAAGGGCGTGTTCAGAAATTAGCATTTGAAAAGAAGCCTCCTTGCTTTCAGTTTGAGCTGACATGATCTCTTTTCCTCTGGGGAAATGAAATTTATTAATCATAATAAAACCATTGGATTCTGAAGGTAGAGGTCACCCTGAAGAGAAAAGGAGGCAGCTCATTTCTGAGGAGTAGTTCAATGCTGCTGTATTTTCCTTCTGCCTTGGAAGAGAATACTGCCAAATTGTTACCTTGGGTTTTCCACAAAGGTTGAAACTATGCCCAGCGTTATAGAATTTACCACTGAAGTATGCAGTAGGAAAAGGTGGGAGCTACGCTTTTATTAAATACATTCAAATTGCCCATATAGTGTCTCCCCAGAAGAGGAAATTATTGCCACAGTAAAACCATTTCCCCAATTTTTAAAATAATATATCTGAATTTGCATCTTTTCACATTTGTTTTGAGGTAACACCTTGCCATAACATCACTTAACAAACTCTCAAGGATTTCAGTTTGCCTCTGCACTTCATATCCTATTTATGAAACAGCTTTGCCAAATTTAAGTACCTTAAAAATAACCCTATTAACAGATTTTTCTCTGGACCAATCAATCACAGACTTCATTCCCTCATGAAATAAAGAGCAGTACCAAGGTTATAGTTTTCCTTTTATGCCTGTTACTATGTACTTCTAGTTAAGTGGGTAAAGGCCCAGGTCTCAGGAGTGAGCTCTCTGAATATATTATTATTTTATCAAAAACTTTTTAACACATCTGCCCTTGGACCGATACCTGTTTTTCCTCCCAGAAAGAAGGATAATCGTTGATTAAAGGCCATTTTTGATAAGAAGGACTGAAGGGTGTCCCCAAAGAATGAAAGGCAAGAGGGAGATGACTGTCAGTTTCACTGACAGATTCACCTCAGAAGAGAGGCATCCCTTCAGGTCCTTGTTTGAGGATCAGGAGAATCCTCTTGAAGCTGAAAGCCTCATCTAGATTATTTGCACTCATCAAGTGCCCTTTGACACAGGCAGATGGGCTTGAGAGTTGGAAGATGCCCAGTGCAAACCTGGTATAATCAATTGTTTTATTCCACCTAGGGTCTAACTTGGAGTCTGAGAAGGTCCATCATCACGCTTTCTTCACCTTCTCAGACTCCATGGTGTGAGGTGGTCAAACATGTATTGGATTGGTATCACTTATCTACCAACCATGAGAAAGCTTGGAAGGAAAATGGGGGGAAAACAGGAAAGGAGAGGGAAAAGGTACGTGCAAATTGGGCTCTAAGGGATGAGAGACGAGCTGAAGGTTGATAATACAGACAAACCATTTCTTCCACCAGCCTTGTTCCTTCATTCAGGAAATGGTCAAAGAATCAAAAAACGATGTCGATCCCAGTGAGTGTCTGATGCATTCATGCCGAGCTGCTGTGAATGTTGGTTGCTAACAGTACAGCTGTTCCCTTCTCCAGAAAATTGCCCCATGTCAGAGGAAGCCACTTTAACTCAATGGTGCATCACTCACTCCTCAGGAAAGCCCACAGCTAATGCCGAAAACTTATGTAGGCATTAAAAAGCCAACCCACTTGCCTCTAGGTGGAACCTGCTGTAGCATGAAACCCATAGGATCAGGTCGCAGATATTCATCTCAGACGTTGCGTTTTTTTTCCCCTTGCTCTGACCTACTTGCCCCTCTCTTCCTCTTGAGGACACCCCATTCGGTAAGTCACTTGCACAGGAATCTATTCCAGTATCAGCTTTCAAGGAAGGACGTCAGCTTCAGTCAGTATTAAGATAGCAGCATTCAAACTATCTCCAGGAAAATATCTGGCAGGGCAAACAAGTATGGGCACAGGATACGGTGGACCAAGCACGCAAGTTGCCCTAAGAGATTCAAGTATCAGGCTGAGTGCAGTGACTCACGCCTGTAATCCTAACACTGAGAGGCTGAGGCTGGTAGACTACTTGAACCCTGGAGTTTTGAACCAACCTGAGTAACATAGCAAGACTTTGTCTCCCCCCTCATAAAAAATCAAGATCTGCCCTGTCTAGTTATGCGACCTTGAGCAAGTGACTTCACTTGATTCCTTTAAAAAAAAAAGTTAACTTCCAGATATTTAGTAGGCATTCAGCACGTTTGGTTTCCATCTCTTCTCCATTTTTATCCTAAAGCCTATACCAGAAGCCATGGCAGGTAGTAGGATGGTAGAGAGAAAAACACAAAGATGAGTAAATGTCATTAAGATTTGTTGTTTCAAATGCCTCCCCCTTCCCAGAACCTGGCCATGGATTAATGTGACAGAAGTTCTGGAATAATAGGATCAAAACCAAATCAGTCTGATTGAATGGGAATGGGAATGGGGGTCCCACAGACCCTTTAAGGCTGCTTCCATTCAAATATACTTGTTCCTTTCCATTCTAAGATGCTGGACACTAACTTCAGACAGGTTCACTTCACCCTTTCTGATTCACCCTATTTCACTTGAATGGTGACAGCTGAATCAGGAGAAAAAGGCACTCTCTTGAGAATTAAAATACCCTCTGTGGGTGCTGGGCTTAATACTTGAAGTTGTTTCTTTCTTACCTACCTCAGTCTCTAAGGCAGCTACTTGAGCAGTGTAGAAACAGTATTATGGGGGGAGGCAGGGAAAAGCATATGTAAGTACGTGTGTATATATGTATTTATCTGTCAAACATAGCAATAGCAACCATGTTAAATGCACAAAAAATGTATCATGTACAGATGAACTCTTCTTATACTACACAGCAGAGTAGAATTTGCTTCTCACTGGAAGATGAGTAGGGCCCCTGCATACTGTCTTGGTATTTTGGATTTTATGATTGTTATTGTTTTGTAATTGCATACTGTGGATCAATCTTCACCTCTATTTTCCTTTCAGTTACGGACGAGTTTATGCTGCCGACCCCTACCACCACGCACTTGCTCCAGCCCCCACCTACGGCGTTGGTGCCATGGTGAGTACAAGTTTCTCCTTGTCCTCACTTCCTCCTGCCTCCCTTCCCTTTCCCCAGCTGGGACCTCAGTACGGGTTGACGTCCTCTCACTTCCCGTTAATTGAATTTGTCTCTTGTGCTAACAGCAGCTAAAATGCCACATTAATCCTCCCAGTAAACTTGATAAATGTCTTAATTTCTTGGCAATGTAGTGCATGTAAGTTATTATATTTCTAATTTTGCAAGTCTCACCTAGCAGAGCACTTACCTTAATGGAATAATTAGTCATTTTGATAATTAAATCCATCACTAACAGAATGCAGTGTCAATGCAGAACTTTTTTTTTTCTTTTTTTTTCCCTCCCTTGCTGCTCATTCACATAGCCCCAAGGTTCCAGCCCCAGCACAGACTTCAGAGGAGCTAAGCTGCACACTTCCAGGCCTCTGCTGTCAGGCAGCTGAGAATCTGACTGCCTCTCCTCCCCTATTACAATTCATGTTTAAAGTCATAGTCGCCCAGGAAAGAAAATAGAGAGGGGCACACTTTGTGTGTGTACCTAGTACATAAGAAAGTAGAAGGAATCAGCTGGGTTTGGGGGTTGCCTTTTGTTTTGGGGCAGGTCTGGGTTTTTGTTTTGGGAGGGGGTGGGGGGAGGGTAAAAAATGGGAGGTAAGGGTGGGGTGAACTTGCCTGTACTTGTTCAAACTTCTATGCACTGAAACTCTTGAGTACAGTAAGACGTGCCCATCACGTGAGAGCATATGCAATCATTACAAAGCTTTGGCATGCAGTTTTCTGCTTGGATCAAGAATATCAGTCCTTACCCTAAAAATGAATCCCCATAGGCATTCATTTGAATTGCCAATACTTTTAGAAAAAGGAAATCGTTAAGTGCCACCTTGTAGCCATTAAAACCATGGCCGGACAGTTCACTGAAGCTCAGTCATAGAAATTCAGCCATGATTTGGAAGCATTGTTTTGCACAAGCTTAATTACATCAAGCAATTCATCTGTACAACTCCACAACTCCCTTCTCAAGATCAGATTCCATACAGCTTACAGAGCCAAGTTAAGTAAGAAGTAGGTTGAGATTTTCATCCCAATTCTGCATTCAACAACTCTGCTTCAACACCTAGTCCACATGAGGAATGTGTTGGAGAGTTGAATTACATTCAACAACTGGTCCAAATTCAACCTCAAGTGCAGATTATTCTGTTATAAAAAAATGAGACAGTGAAAATCCTTCCATTGTCCAGCTTATAATAGAGTCCTTTTAGCTAAGAGGACTGGCTGACAGAATTTGGTTTTGCAGGGAATTTCTTTAGGAGGAGCTATTGGGGAAGGTCAGGAATGGCCCTATCTTTAGTTCTCCAAGAATGACCTGGGATGGGTAGGGGGTGCCTCCATTTCGGTTGGTTTTGAGTGTCTATTTTTCACATTAGTCTTTTTGATGATCCACATGTTGCAAAAGGAAAATGTAAAAAACACACCCCTCAAATTGCTTTGTTTCAGAATGCTTTTGCACCTTTGACTGATGCCAAGACTAGGAGCCATGCTGATGATGTGGGTCTCGTTCTTTCTTCATTGCAGGCTAGTATATACCGAGGGGGATACAACCGTTTTGCTCCATACTAAATGACAAAACCATAAAAACCTTCCAATGTGGGGAGAAAGGAAGCTTTCCGAGGCCTGAGTATTGCAATACATGCAGTAGTACATCATTTTAGCAACTCTAAAAAAAAAAAAAATACAAATAAAAAGGAAAAAAAATTACATTTTTTATCTTATACCTCAGATATTTTGTTCTGTGTATTTTAATATTGTGGGTCTTTAATTTCTGAAGGTTCCGTAGTTTGGTTGCTGGCTGTAGGAGTTTTTGTGGTTGATCTAGACAGATGCTAGATAATGAATAAAAACTGGTTTAGGGCCATATCCAGAGTGCTATATTATGTAAATGAATTATATATGCTGAATATTAAGCTACTGGGGTTATCAGCTATTTGGGAAGAGTGTAAGTGACTACAGTAGTCATTTTTTTCTGCACCTGCATTATTTTATTTTGCGAAAGGGGAGGTTGGGAGGGGCTTAGGGGATTGGAACTGGGGTTTGGCTGAAAGAAAAAAAAAAAAATGTAACTGATGAATCTAAACGACCCACTGCACCAACAATCATTTATCAATGGTTCTAAGTTACTCATTGCCAGTTCAAGCCAAAGGTCATGTTGTTAAGGGGGTGCTTCTAGTAGCACTTGTGCATCTGAGTTGAATGAAGCTGTGCAAACCCACCCTTTAAACCATTCCACCCGGCAGTATTCAGCTTCTTAACCAGTCGCTATTTAGGAAAAAAAACCCACTAGTTAGGCCATCAACAAGCATTCTTTTTATATTTCTTCCAGTATAATAAATTATTGATATCACTGCTGACTTTTATATTATGGGAGGGAAAAAATAACATTAATAAAAAGGTGATAAAAAAGCACTGTTTCTATTTTTTTCTTTTTTTCCAAAAAAAGAAAGTAATAAAAACTTAAATTCTTTGTACCAGTTAAAAAAAATGTATAAAATTTACATCTGTGCAGTGGAGTTGTTAAGTTCTAGAAACAGTCTATGAAGCTTTAGTTTTAGCCTAGTAGAACAACTGTTAGAGACAGACGTATAATTTTTATGGAATTACATGATAATCATATTCGGATTTATAGAAGCATTTTACAAGTATTGCAATCATTGAGTAGAGATAATCATGGTATTTTCATCAGCTTGGTACTTTTTGAAACGTGACTGCGTTGTGTGAACAATCTGCAATTTTTCAGTCCGTGAGATCCTGCCCTTCCACCTCTTTCCCATACCCCCAAGGATTATCTCAAAATGATCTCTTTAGTTCTGTCTCCAAGGCCCAGGACACTTGTCAGAAGGATGCAAAAAAAGAAAAAAGTACATCCACCCTCTTAATCCCAAAAGAACAAAGTCTCCCCACCTTTCTCGGATGCAGGGCCAGAGTGACACAGCCGAAAAATTGCAGTTTGTCTGTACTTCTGTTTGAACTTTCCACGTTGTCCTGTTTACAAGTTAACTTAAGTTGGGGTATCCGTCACGGGTCTTCCTGTTTTGTATTTAAATAAAAACAACAGCAGCAGGCTGTCCCTGAGTAGTTTTGCTGCCATAGGTTAAGTCCTCATGTGTACAGTGCAGGCCCTGTGGCCCGCACTTCAGTAAGTTATCAACTCTCACCGCTGTGAACCTGCCAATCCGCTGTAACAACTCTGCTTTAAAACAAAACCAAACAAAACTTTAAAAAAAAATGTGTGATCCAGCTTTCTCTTGCCATCCTATGTGCATGCCGTAAGATCAGTTGGATATTAAACCATCAATAAAGTTTCACAAGATTTGAAAACAAAGTTTCTGTAGCTTCGATACCTAAGACAGACGATAGTGATCTTGAAAAGAGAAAAGGGGGAGGGGGGAGCTACTTATCAGCCAAAAGCATATAAAGTGTTCTTTTCACCAGACTTCTTTGGGTGGGTGAGGGGAGGGGCAAGAGGGTGTTTTATAGCATCACTAAGACATTCTCATTCCCCCACCTGGAAAACAGTGTTATGGCAATGGGTGCCTGGTTGATGTTCTTAAAGGAAACGAATTATTAAAACACTATGACATCCTCCAGAGGGAAGAAAGAGTAGGAGCAGGGGGCTATGGAGAATAAATTTCTCCCAATTGCCGCCTCAGATTTCAAAATCCAGAATTTGTATTGTGTTTCGAATCACAAACATAGAATTCTTACTGTGTTGGTTAAAGTAAAATTCATTTGCAGTTTTGATTTTCATCAATGAGCTGTACTTTCCCCCATGACTGTATGTAGTTTTAATAAAATCATTTAGAGTGAGTGAGTGCCAACCGATGTTGCAGAATCTTTTGTCTAGGCACTCCAAGATGCCAATAAGTCATTTTAAAATGTATGTCAGAGATGTAAACAAACATTTTGGATTTTTTTTAAACAGTATTTATTTGGAATGTTTTCATTTATCTAAATAACTATTGCTATTATGAATTATGGAAAATTAATATTATGTGTGGCATATAGTGACTTCTTAACACACACATCACGCAATCTGCAAACCCAGAAAATGTGTATATCTGTCTTTAGAAATTAGTGTTTATATCACTTACAGTGGTTTGTGAATAAAGAAAACTGGTTTGTAATATCAAAAAAATAAAAGCTTAGTCTGAAAAGGTACAAGTTGGTGTTCTGAGTTATTTGGCTTCCATGGGTTTTCTCTCTCAGTGGGTAGATTTGTTATCCACAGCTGTGATTGCACTTGGGCCCGCCCGGGGATGTGGGGTGGGTGTTGCCCAAGTGAGCAGGAGGCTGCCCTGGCCACCAGTAGACCAGATGCCTCCTGCAAGTTCCCTGCTTTTCTGGATTAAAATCTTTCCCTTCCTCACTCATTTTCCCAAAGAAGTCAGTGGAACTCACCCTGGCTGTTTAAGAAACTGAACTAAGCTTAGCTATCTCCTAGCATGGAAGTATCAAGTCTTCAGTTTAAAACAAAATACATCACTCATCTTAAATATGTTTGAGCTATTAATTACTTTTTGGGACACCTCGGATAAGATGAAAAAAATATAGTAAGTGCTAGAGTTCACATACATTGAGTGCTCATTAGGAGCCAAAAATCGTGTGTTCCTTATTTAAAAATCAGGGTTGAACTGTCCACCCCATTTAGTTACTTAATATCTTAATCCTATCTCATTATATCTTAATATTCCTATTAAGTTGGTATCACTGAAAGATTTTTAACATGTGCGTTCTAGAAACATATTCTGAGTGTGCACCCTGATTCTGTCAACTTGCTGGTGGCAATCCAGGATGAATTAAACCAAAGTGCTGTGCCTCAGTTTCCCCAACTGCACCTCAGGATCATCTCACTGACCTAATATTGTTATGCAGAAGAAAGCAATCTCAATAAAGTGCTTGCAGCAGTACTTCATAAACTGTAAGCTATTATCCACAGGTGAAGCAACTGAGACACAAAGATTCATTTCTCCAAGGTCACAGAGCAAGCAGGTGATCACCCTAGGATTCCAGAACGTGCACCCTTAACTGACGAGGCATGTTCTCACCTGACCAATAAGAACTTTATACATGAGCAGTTTAACCCTGTGTGCCACCTGCAGACTCTTTGTTCTGCAATCATTTTTTTTTCCACACTGCAGGTTGTCTTCACAGCATCTATCTTATTTCAGTATATTTAATCATCCCTTCTCTGTAAACTCCTTATATATGAAGACCATGCCGGTTATAAATCAACTTGTATTGGCCTATGTCAACTGATCCTTAAAGATAGGGTTACCCTTATTTTATGAGGACAGGAAGGATCCGATAGGTCATATGATTTGCCCAAAGCTGTATCTAGCAAGTGTTGAAAGAGGGCACAACATGAAGAACTGTCGGACCCTGAAGTCTGTGCCTGCTTTATTATCGATGGTGATGGTGGTAGTGGTGACATTAAATTTGGGATTCTTGTGCTCTCCTTACACAATATGTATGGATGTTAATTAAAACAAGTCGCTAGCTTTATCCTCACAGGTGGTGGGAGGGAGGATAAGGGTTTCCTAAAATACTGGTTTATACCTGAGCCCTTCTCCACTAAATAGGAGGATATAAGAGGTGATGACAGATACAGTTTACATTAGAATCTCCAAAAGCAGGCTGTTATCCAAAATAGAGAAGCATCTAAATTTTATGTGAAATGTAGAGACAATTGATGGCAGAAGCAAACAAGTTTAAGAGACCTGGCCAGTGCATGCAGATTCTTGCCATCCCACTCCTGTCCTCCCCCTGGAGTGTGGGCAGAGGTGAGAAAGGAAGCCCATATGCCATGCATATGCTTCATGCAGAAATAGAGGCTGGCTGGCATTTTCTGTGGACAATGCCTGAGGGGTAGCCATTGCTTCATCCCACTGGCTTTTTCTTTTTTGAGATGGAGTCTCGCTCTGTCACCAAGCCTGGAGTGCAGTGGCATGATCTCCGCTCACTGCTACCTCTGCCTCCCAGGTTCAAGTGATTCTCCTGCCTCAGCCTCCCTAGTAGCTGGGACTACAGGCACGTGCTACCATATCCAGCTAGTTTTTCTATTTGTAGTAGAGATGGGGTTTCACCATGTTGGCCAGGCTGGTTCTCAAACTCCTGGCCTCAGGTAATCCACCTACCTTAGCCTCCCAAAGTGCTGGGATGACAGGCACGAGCCACGATGCCTGGCCAGCTATGTACTTCTTAAAGCAATATATTGAACAGTAAAATCTTCTCCACGTTAAACTAAAATATTACAGATACAGTTCAGTTAGCTTGGACCACTATCTTTAAGTTCCCACTCAACATCCTGACAACTTTTTTTACCTATGTCTTCTGAAGCCTGTTTCTACTTCCTGGGAAGTAGCCATTTTGGAAGGAAATGTAGTTTTTGTGGGCGCACACTCACGCATACACACATGCGCACACACAAGCAAAAGCATTTTACTGCTGAGACAGTGTTCATCCAACCTATGCGCTACAGATTTTCTTAGAACCTGGTGAGCTTGAAAAAGCAGATTCCTAGACCCCTCTGCTTTCAGAAAGCATTTAGAACCTCTCCTAACCTCTTTCAGTTACCTCACCCATAAACTGGGGATAATTGCACCATTAACTTAAAGGGTTCTTACAATGAGATGTATTAAAACACACAAAACACTTAACCTAACATAGCATTTTCTCTAATAAATCACGTATATATCTATATAATGTACATGTATCCATATATTTTATGCATTCAAATATTTTAAAGATCAAATAATATGCACATTTTGGCCAGGTATGGTGGCTCACGCCTATAATCCCAGCACTTTGGGGAGGCAGGCAAAAAGCGGAGGGTCACTTGAGCCCGGGAGTTCAAGACCAGTGTGGGCAACACAGGAAAGACCCTGTCTCTACAAAAGATTAAAAGATAAGCTATGTGTGGTGGTGCACACCTGTGGTGCCAGCTACTAGGAAGGCTGAGGTGGGAGGATCTTTTGAGCCTGAGAGTGCAAAGTTGCAGTGAGCCATAATTGCACCACTACACTCCAGCCTGAGCAACAGAACCAGACTGTTAAAAGATACATAGTATATATAGTATACGTACATATACACATATGATATTCTACACTATGTTTATACACAGAACTCTATGCAATCGTATACATATAAATCTCTATGCATAGAGACCAACTGCTTTTTAATGTCTCTGTGCATTAGCATAACTACCATATATATATTATGAGACCATAAAAATATATGCCAATTCCTACAGAACATGTAGGTACTGATAGAGTAAGAGATCAGCAAGTGGGACTTATTACCGTTATCTTAATCCTTACACCCTGGCAAGATAAATCCTATTATTTCCCCAGTCTACCTGTAAGGAACCAGAAGCTTGAGCAAGGCTAGGGACATGCCCAGGGCATATGGCTATTAAGTGGTAGAGCTGAATCACGGTCACCGAATCCAAAGTTGTTGCTACATGCTAAACACTTAGCATATATCCTGGCACTTAGTCCTTGCAGCAGCCTCGGGAAGCAATTTGCCCCATGTAACAAAGCATATGAAAGCCTTGGAGCTAGGAGCCAAAGCCAAAGCATTCTTCTCTTTACTGCACACTGCACTCGGATGTCTGGTTTTACTAGCTGCCTAGCGAGCACTTGTTTAGATGGTGGGGTATCAAGAGGGCCCCATCGTCTTCCTTTAAGGGTGCGCACCACCCCTCCCATGATGATTCCTCATGAAATCGAGCAGGTGCCTGTGACTTTGACATCCAAGCGCCCTGACTGAAATAGACAGATGGCGTGTTGCTTGAATGAAGCAAAAAGTCAGCGAGAGCAAGAGAATTCCCCAGGCTCTAAAGAAAAAAAAAATAATGGCTGCAGGTAGAAAATAGAAGAGCAGAGACCCAGGAAGTAGGGTAATGGTGCTGCTGTGGGCAGGTGATGGCTGCAAAGGCGCAGAATGCAAATTGGCAGCTCATCAGCATGCAGACTCCAGCAAATCTTATAAAGCAAGTTAAACCCTGCACAACCCCCCTCCAAAAATCTGCCTTAAAGCAGACAGCAATAAAACTACAGGCCAGAAAACGAAGCCCTCATGCTCACATCTGGAAAGTCCAACTTTCTGCAACCACACCAGAAGTTGTCTAGAACTGAAAACCAGGTCAGACGCACAGCACACAGCTCGACTTTTATCTCCCCCAAACACTCCTAGGCTGGCGAGTGGCATTGAAATTCATTACTGTAAGTAGGATTTCAGCAGCAGCCGAACTGCCGCTCAAGCTGGACGGGGCTGTCAGCATAACTGGCTTGCTGCTGCTTTTTTCCTTTATTTTCCTAAATTGCATGACTAGATGACGTATTGTTCCTTCTACTGTTTCCCTTTTTTTCCCCAAAGATCTGTTCTCCTCTCACCCCAAAGAGTGTGTGAAGATGGGGGGTGGGGGGTACACATTTTATGAGAAAGGGAAAAACCCGCAAAACCTTCAGTGTTAGTTACAACAAATACCGAAATTCAAAGTGATTACGCCATGCACGGTGGAAAAATTAGCTCCTCTTCCTAAAATTTTTCTATCACTCGAAAATAACTGACTCTTCTAAGCTGATGGAAAGACACTAGATCTTTGTTGTTTCCATTAAGCCAAAGATTAAGGCATGTAGCAGAAAGAATAGAAAAACAGACAGCAAGATGTCGTGGTTAGAGGTCTTTTTCCTCTTTTATTTTTAGATACAACGTCTCACTAGAATGCCCAGGCTGGTCTCGAAATCCTGAGCTCAAATGATCCTCCCGCCTTGGTCTCCCCAAGTGCTAGGATTATAGATATGAACTACCATGTCCCAACCTTTGGCCTTTTTGTTTTAAAAAAAAAAAAAAAAAAGATTCTAGATGAACCTCACTTTAGATCCCACCTCTACTAGCTTCCATCTTCTTCCTAGCTGTGTGACTTTGGCAATTTAGCCTCTCTGGGGCTCACTTTTCAGATTATGGAAATGCTTCATTGGATTTTGATGAAGATTCAGTAAGATTGTGCAACACTAAGGGTTTGGGTCTGAGAAAGTTACTCAGCCTTCACTTTGCGGGGGGCGGGGGGGGGGGGCGGGGAATAAAGAGCCATATTGAAAAGAGACACTGGCTTTTGTGACCACAGGAGAGTGTTAAGTGAGGTAAAATTTGGAAAACCCGGGAGGCTGGTCACCTATTGAGAGCTATTCTTGAACATTTTAATGGTTATTTGGTATCTGTGCCTACTCCACTGGCAGCCACCTATGAACCTGCGTGTGCTTTGCATATCTGCAATGCGCATCCACAAACGCAGAGAAACACATTGCATCAGAGCCACTCTGCCCCATGTGTAAATCTCAGCTCCCCACCTTGGTTCTCAGCCAAGACGTCCAACCACATTAAACCCTCACATCCTCCTTAGTAAAATAGAAGGAAATATAATTACTTTGAAAGCCGATTGTCAGAAAAAAGTGACATGGAAGATTTGCAGTAAATCTTCACCCCTCTTGTTTGCCTCAAGATATTTTTCAGCCAGGAATTTCTGTCACTTTGATATAGATTTGAAATGTAACAGAACACTCAACTCCAATAACAAACTGTTATAGGTACCAAGACCCACCCTTTGCCTCACAGACATAGATTCTAGGGTTAGATAAGATTATAGAGATATTTTATGCTACAGAAGCAATATTCCAAAGCAAACTGGACTTAGTATTTTAAAACTCACTGAATACTGACAACTGAGTCTCCTACCAACTTGGTTTATCTTCCAAAAGAACACTATCCATGTCCATATGGATCTGTTTGGAGTTTGGAGAGGGGAGGAGAATTGAGCAGCCAAGGCTACTAGCAACTGTGATGTTGGGATAAGAAGTAATGTTTCATATCCCTGAGACTCCCCAGTAGGCCATGGCCATTTTGTTCAATATCCCTGCCCCAATCTCTGAATTTCTGGGTACCAGTGCTAGGAAGGAAATAAATGTTCTTGGTCTCTCCACATCAGTCACAAGGATGCTGTAACTGAGTCTAAGGTGTAGGATGGAACCCACCCTCCTGGTGGCTTTGGAAACCAAATGCCCCCTAAGATTCTATCGTTGGGTATGGACAGGTATTTACAAGATATTTGTTAACTTCCAGTGTTTGAAAATGGGGAGATTTCATAGAATGTGTCCCTTGAGAAGCTGTAAGTTTGGGAGCACAGTGTCCACATTCCTTCCTGGTAGCAGGCATCTAAACCAAGTAATGACTGCCTAAGAGAGGACAACAACTCTGCCATTCTCCTAGAATGCCTACTCCCTTACTGCCAACCAGCCAGGAACTCAACAAGGTGTTACACTGATAGATCCTGGGTCTGGAGGTAGGTTTATTACATAGAGATATTTTAATCTCATTGGCTAAGAATCAGAAGGTCCGAAGATGTCATTTTTTAACAGTATAGTCGCTCAAAGCTATCCTGTCTACAAAGCACAAAGTATAGCCCAGGCATGGTGGCTCACACCTGTAATCTCAACACTCTGAGAGGCCAAGGCCCATGGATCACTTGAGCCCAGGAGTTTGAGACTAGCCTAGGCAACATGGTGAGAACCCTCCACAAAAAAATACCAAAAAAATTACTCAGGCATGGTAGCATATGCCTGTAGTCCCAGCTACTTGGGAGGCTGAGCTGGGAGGATCACTTGAGCCCAGGAGGCAGAGGTTGCAGTGAGCCAAGATCACACCAATGCACTTGAGCCTGGATGACAGGGCAAGACCCTGTCTCAAAAAAAGGCAGAGGAAACTAAAGGAGGAGAGGGAAGGAGGTAATGGGAGGGAAATAGAAGGGAAGGGTTAAGGAGAAAAAACTGGACAACTCTTCCCATTCTGATTAATATTACAGACTTGAATGTGTAAAAGTACTCATGATTTACTTCTCTAGTAATCATACAGACTTGTCACATTTTAATTTAGCCCAAGTTTAATATGATTTACTTATCTAGTAATCATATAGACTTGTCACATTTTAATTTTTTAGCCCAAATTTGATTTTGCTTCTTTCAGTTTTCTTGGCCTTGCCTTCTCTGGTATAGATTTTCTCATGCTTTAAACTGGCACTGCCTACCAGAAATATAAGGCAAGATGCGTATATAATTTTAAGTTGTCTAGCAGACAAGCCACAGAAGTAAAAATAGGTTAAACTAGTCTTTTACTTAACTCACAATATTAAAAATAGTATCATTTCAACATGTCATGAATAGAGAAATAAGGAGATATTTTACATCTTCATACTAAGTCTTGGTACTTGGCATAAATTTCACACAGCACATTTCAGTTTGAACCAGCCATATCTCCAGTGCTCAAAAGCCACATCTGGCCAGGCACAGTAGCTCCTGCCTGTAATCTCAACACTTTGGGAGGCCAAGGCAGGGATGTGATATGAGCCTGGGCAACATCGTGAGATCCCCGTTGCTACAGAAGACAATCAGCCAGGCATGGTAGTGCTGATGATCCTAGCTATGTCAAAGGGCTGAGGTGGAAGGATTGCTTGAGCCCAGGAGTTCCAGACTTCATTGAGCTGATAGTACCACTGCACTCCAGCCTTGACGACAGAGCAAGACAACTCCAAAAATAAAATTTCTTTTAAAAAGCTGTATCTAGCTCAGCTTGAGGTGCCCACATTGGATAACGCAGCTACAGATCACTGAAGAATGCTCTTTGGCCACCTTTTATGAGGAGGAGTCTCTCTGTTGACCAGGCTGGAGTGCAATGGCATGATCTTGGCTCACTCCAACCTCCGCCTCCTGGGTTCAAGCGATTCTCCTGCCTCGGCCTCCTGAGTAGCTCGAACTACAGCTACAGGTACTTGCCACCACACCTGGCTAATTTTTTTCTATTTTTCATAGAGACGGGATTTCACCATATTGGCTAATTTTTGTATTTTTAGTAGAGATGGGGTTTCACCATGTTGTCCAGGCTGGTCTCAAACTCCTGATCTCAAGTGATCCACCCACCTCGGCCTCACAAAGTGCCGGGATTACAGGTGTGAGCCACTGCACCCAGCCCTCAGCCACCTTATTTCTAGTCTCACTTTAGCATAAGCCTCAGGAGTGAGACCGCAATCATTCAGGCTGATACCATGGGTGATGCTGGCATCTGATTTACCACTGTGATCAGTCTAAGTAAAAGTTCTGCTTCTGCCCCCATACTTCTCAGAAGTGCAAACATTGGCTCCTCTTCACCGGCAGCTATACTCTTAAAATGCCAGCCATTCATTTACTTTACTTCTGGTTGTCACTGATGCTCAGGTTCTTGGGAAATAACCCAGCACATACTAGAAGCTTGTCTTTTAGGGATTCTATTAGCCAAGTCGGCAAATCCTAAGTCCCAAACGAGACAGACTGAATTCATAGGGTGTATCAAGGAGCGTGATTTAGGAGCAGCCATTTTAGCAGCACTATTCTCTCTTCAGCTGTAATACCCAAGAGGTAGGAACCCTACCTCTTTGTTCATTCTTTTACACATTTCTTTGCTCATCAACAATGCTCCATCATTCCCCAGAGTGCTGAGCACTAGGGTTACTAAAATAGTATAAGTATAGTCAGAGACATTTGAAATGTGTCAGAGGCTTTGAAACAGCGACTCCATCTTGAATAGGGGCGGGGTCAAATAAGGTGGAGACCTGCTGGGCTGGATTCCTAGGAGGTTAGGCACTTTTATCACAGGATGAGATGGGAGGTCCACAGGATTGGGATCACAGGATATAGATCATAAAGACACTGTTGATAAAACAGGAAGCCAGCCAAAACCCACCAAAACCAAAATAGTGATGAAAGTGACCTCTAGTCCCCCTCACTGTTCATTATATGCTAATTATAATACATTAGCATGCTAAAAGACACTCCCACCAGTACCATGACAGTTTACAAATGCCATGGCAAATGTCCAGAAGTTACCCTATTGTAGTCTAAAGAGAGAAACCCTGGGTTCCGGGAATTGCCTGCATCTTTCCAGGAAAACTCATGAATAATATACTTGTTTAGCATATAATCAAGAAATAACTAAGTATACTCAACTAAGCAACCCATGCCGCTGTTCTATGCTGTAGCCATCGTTTATTCCCTTACTTCCTTAAATAAATTTGCTTTCACTTTACCCTGCGGACTCGCCATGAATCCTTTCTTGTGCAAGATCCAAGAACCCTCCCCTTGGGGTCTGGATCTGGACCCCTTTCCGGTAACAGTCATAGAGTGAAACATTACAAATGTGCCTGACATACCATTAGGCGACCATTCTAACCTTGAGTATTAATGTCTATTGCTGTAAAATAAAGTAGGCATGCTTAGTAACTTAAAGCACACATTTGAGATCTCACAATTTCCAGGGCTCAGAAGTCTAGGTATGGGTTAGAGATGGGCCCTGTGCTCAGGATCTCCCCAGCTACAACTTAAGTGCTGACTATGGCTGTGATTCTCATCTGAGGCTTGAAGTCATCTTCCAAACTCATCAAGGTTGTCAGCAAAGTTTAGTTCCTCATGGAGGTAAGATTAAGGTCCCCACTTCCTTGCTAATTGTTAGCTGGTGAGTTCTCTTAGCCCGTAAAAGCCACCAGCCGTTCCTTTCAAGGCAGCCCCATAGAAAGTTTACTATGTGGATATTTGCACCTTCTTCCAGGTGAGCAGAGGTGTGCCTTTTTGAATTTCTTCGCATTCTTTTAAAGTTTCTTCTAACTAGTTCAGGCTCACCCAGGGTTATCTCCCTTCAGATTAACTCTGTCAACTGATAAGTCACCTATTACTGCTACCAAGGGAGTGCTATCGCATCCTAGCCACAGACTCCTCCCATACTCAAGAGGAGATGACGCAGAGCTTGTTCACTAGGGTGCAGAAATCCTGCCGACCATGCCTTGTAAACCTGCTTGTTTATGTCAAAGTAAAAAGCACTACTGTCTTTGTGATAAGAACCACTTCATCTCCAATTCCCAACTTTGAAGGGAGACAAGGCCATCTCTATTTTCTGGATAGGAAAACCAGGTCTCAGAAGTGAGAGAATGCTGCACAGCTACTAGAAACTGGGGGAGCCAGATTAGAGGCTTGGTCTGAAAAGCAAAGCCTTGGAAGTTTCCCCCAAGACACAAGGAACTGTCACTGTATAGCTTTCCCAGGACTTTGCTAGTGAGCTACCAGATCATTAAACCCAAAATAAATGTAAGTCTTTGCGTAAGTTCTTTATTGTCGCATAACATGTTACCTCCAAATTTAAAAGCTTAAAATAGCTGGGAACAGTGGCTCATGCCTGTAAGATTTTGAAGGCCAAGGCAAGAGGATCATTTGAGACTAGGAGTTCAAGACCAGGCTGGGTAACATCAGGAGACCATGTCTCTACAAAAAATTTAAAAATTAGCTGAACACCATGGTGCACTCCTGTAGTCCCAGCTACTACTCAGAAGACTGAGGCAGGAGAAACACCTGACTCCAGGAAGTCAAGGGTGATGCTACAGTGAGCCAAGATCACTCACTGCATTCCAGCTTCAGTGACAGAGACCCTGTCTCAAAAAAAAGAAAAAAAAAAAACAAAAAAAACGTTTATAGGTTCTGTGGGCCAGAGGCCCAGGTTGGCTTAGGGTTTTGCAAGAGGCTGCAATCAGTGTTGGTGGGGGCCATTATCATGTAAAGTGTTGGCTGGAGAAGGATACATTTTCCAGCTAACTTGCAAAGCTATTAGCGGGATTCAAGTTCTTGCAGACTGAACTGGCGGACTGAGTTTTTTGCTGACTGTAGCCAGGGACTTTCATTCCTCAGTTCCCAGCCGTGAAGGTCTATCCGTAGGGCAGCTCACAACATGCAAGCTTGCTTTATGAAGTAATGCCAGCTTCCTTCAGCAAGTAAAAAGAGCCAGAGAGTGCCCACAAGGTGGAAGCCATGGATTTCATAACCTATTCTCAGAACCAACATCCTGTCTTATAAAGCTTGTCTTATAATTTTCATGGGGAGTGGACACCACTAGAGGAAACAGGAATTAATCATAAGCAGTTGAGACTTCCATGGGACCTCAGATCTACAACCAGACACCGTGCTCTTGGCATCCTCATCAAAGAAGTCCCAAGCAGCACATTTTACCATTCCCTTCCTCCTTATGTTTGTCTGGACAATGTCCTGCTGAACTATACATTTTCACTTACTTCTATTTCTGAAAACTAACCCTTTTTCTGCTGCTTAAATGAAGTTTCCCTTTCTAATCAATACAGCCCACTCAATACCTTCCCCCAGCAGATTCTTAGTACATCAAAGATGAAAGAGCTGAAGCCATTATTTCCTCCCCTCTAAATGTGGTCCATGGGTTGCCTGCATCAGAAGCACCTGGAGAGCCTGTTCACAAGGCATATCTCTGAGTCCCTTTTCTGACCCTGGCAATTAGGGTTGCTAGTGTTCAAGCCTAGGTGATTTGCATGGCATGCAGCCTAAAATTTGAGATCGAATGCTTTAGATCTCATCTACTCAAGAGGTTCTCAAACCTGGCCACATATTAGAATCATGTGAAATGCTTTCACAAAATATCCCTGCCTGAATTTCACCCATAAGGATTTAATTGATTTAATTTGATCAGAGTGGGCCTAGGAAGCTCGACTCTTACTATTCCATCCTCATGTTATATATGAGAAAGCCAAAGCTCAAGAAGGGAAAGCAATGCTGTTATGGTTCGGCTGTGTCCCCACCCAAATCTCATCTGGAATCATAGCTCCCACAATTCCCACATGTCATCGGGGGACCTGGTAGGAGGTAGTTGAATCATGGGAGTAGATCTTTCCTGTACTGTTCCTGTGATGAATACATCTCATGAAAGCTGATGGTTTTATAAAGGGTAGTTTTTCCCTGCCCAAGTTGCCTCTTGCCTGCCTCCAGGTAAGACATGCCTTTCACCATCTGCCATGATTGTGAGGCCTCCCCACCATGTGGAACTGAGTCCATTAAAGCTTTTTCTTAAATGGAACTGAGTCCATTATAGACATACCTGACACTGAAAGCTTTATCAGCAGCATGAGAACAGACTAATACAGTCTCCCCAAGTTGTTAGCTAAAAAATCCAGGGTTTGAACCCAGTCTGAAGGATTCCAAAGACTATACTCTAATTTTTATTTAAAGGATTTGGATGTCGTGATTCCTTCCACCATCCACCAAGGTCACCTTAGTTCCTCTAAAGAGCTGAAGTCAATTTTATCTTCGAAAGATTTATCTTGATGTTAGTCCTTTTAATCCTATATTTTTCAAAATTTAAGTTGGACTTCACCTTTCTCTGGTGCCTCCTTGAGTAGCTCAATGATTGACCTTCTGAATTCTTTTTCTGGCAATTCAGAGATTTCTTCTTGATTTGGATCTATTGCTGGGGAGCTAGTGTGAGATTTTGGGGATGTTAAAGAACCTCGCTTTGTCGTATTACCAGAATTGTTTTTCTGGTTCCTTCTCATCGGGGTGGACTAAGAAAGTAAAGATCTGGGGCTCAAGGGCTGCTGTTCAGATTCTTCTGTCCCATGGGGTGATCCCTTGATGTGGTTTTCTCCCCCTTCTAGGGATGTGGCTTCCTAAAAGCCAAATTGTAGGGATTCTTAATCTTCTTCTGGGCCTAGCCACCAAGAAGAGCTACCAAGCTCTGGCAAGTTCGCCCTTTTTAATATGACTGATGCTTAATTCAGTTGTCCTGTTAGCCCACAGTTCATTTATTTTGGCTTCTGTCATCCCCTTTTGATATGGATATACTGATGAAGACTTCAAAATTTACCAAGGATCTTTGGGATCTAATTTCTTAAACCAATTTACTCTATGGTCATTTTTAGAGTAGGTGGTTCTATCCAGTTCTTAATTTGAATACCTCTCCAAACATGAATGAGTTCAAGTCATATTCATTCCTAAGCTATCATGCTCAGTAGTAAACATCTGTGGAATATACCAATACCTTTAACTCCAGACATGTTCTCAACAGAGAAGCCCTTAAAACAAAAAGCAATCTTGATATAGCAAAGTCAACATGAAATTGGAATACAAAATTAATATAGCGCAGATTCCCCCATATCCCAAAGCTTTTAATCTATTCTACAACCCTAGAACCAACTTTAAATTGAAAGACAGGGTCTTACTCTGTCGCTCAGGATGGAGGTACAGCAGTGCCATCAGAGCTCACTGCAGCCTCCAACTTCTGGACTCAATCCTTCTGCCTCAGCCTTCTCCTTCCGGAGTAGCTACAACTATAGGTGCATGCCCCCACACCCAGCCAATTTTTAAATTTCTGTAGAGATGGGATGTTGCTATCCTTGCCCAGGCTGGTCTTTAACTCCTGGCTTCAAGCAAACCTCCCAACTCAGCCCCCAAAGTGCGGGGATTCCAGCATGGGCTAACGTTCCCAGCCTGGAACCAACCTTTACGGTTATCAATTCTCCCATCAGTTAACTGTCTCAGATATAGGTATAGTATCCTTTTTTGAGACGGAGTCTCACTCTATCACCCAGGCTGGAGTGCAGTGTTATGATCTCAGCTCACAACAACCTCCACCTCCTGGGTTCAAGTGATTTTCCTGCCTCAGCCTCCTGAGTAGCTGGGATTGCAGGCGCATGCCACCACGCCCAGCTAATTTTTGTATTTTTAGTAAAGATGGGGTTTCACCATATTGGTCAGGCTGGTCTCAAACTCCTAACCTCATAATCCGGCCTCCCAAATCCCTTCTTACACGTATCAAGACTCATACTGAACAACGAGTTCTGGGTTGCAAGAGGACTTTTTGAACCTGTCTATAAATGTCCACATGTTAAAACATACAAGTGCTGAATTTTATTTTTAAATGACATAATTGGATATATTTATGGGATACGATGTGATACACTGATACATGTATACATTGCAGAATGAGCAAGTTAGGCTAACACATCCATTGCCTCACATGCTTATTTTTGGTAAGAATATTTAAAAATCCATTCTTTTAACAATTAAGATATAATACATTATTAACTAAAGTCACCTTGATGTGAAAAAGGTCAGAACTTCGTCCTCCTGTAAGAAACTGAACTGTTGTACCTTTTGACCATTTCCCTTGGCCCCACCCACTCATATCCCCAGCCTCTGGTGGGAGCATGCAATATTCTCATTTCTATGCCCCACTTATTTCACTTAAGATCAGAATAAAGAGACAATCCATAAATAGGGAGAAAATATTTGCAAATCATACATCAACTAAGGAGATCATATCCAAAATATACAATAAACACAAACCACTCAATAAGAACACAAATATTTATCAGCTTAAGGAGATTTTGGGCTGAGACAATGGGGTTTTCTAGATAAACAATCATGTCGTCTGCAAACAGGGACAATTTGACTTCCTCTTTTCCTAATTGAATACCCTTTATTTCCTTCTCCTGCCTAATTGCCTTGGCCAGAACTTCCAACACTATGTTGAATAGGAGTGGTGAGAGAGGGCATCCCTGTCTTGTGCCAGTTTTCAAAGGGAATCCTTCCAGTTTTTGCCCATTCAGTATGATATTGGCTGTGGGTTTGTCATAGATAGCTCTTATTATTTTGAAATACGTCCCATCAATACCTAATTTATTGAGAGTTTTTAGCATGAAGGGTTGTTGAATTTTGTCAAAGGCTTTTTCTGCATCTATTGAGATAATCACGTGGTTTTTGTCTTTGGCTCTGTTTATATGCTGGATTAGATTTATTGATTTGCGTATACTGAACAAGCCTTGCATCCCAGGGATGAAGCCCACTTGATCATGGTGGATAAGTTTTTTGATGTGCTGCTGGATTCGTTTTGCCAGTATTTTATTGAGAATTTTTGCATCAATGTTCATCAAGGATATTGGTCTAAAATTCTCTTTTTTTGTTGTGTCTCTGCCTGGCTTTGGTATCAGAATGATGCTGATAAGCAACTTCAGCAAAGTCTCAGGATACAAAATCAAAGTACAAAAATCACAAGCATTCTTATACACCAATAACAGACAAACAGAGAGCCAAATCATGAGTGAACTCCCATTCACAATTGCTTCAAAGAGAATACCTAGGAATCCAACTTACAAGGGATGTGAAGGACCTCTTCAAGGAGAACTACAAACCACTGCTCAACGAAATAAAAGAGGATACAAACAAATGGAAGAACATTCCATGCTCATGGGTAGGAAGAATCAATATCGTGAAAATGCCCAAGGTAATTTACACATTCAATGCCATCCCCATAAAGCTACCAATGACTTTCTTCACAGAATTGGAAAAAACCACTTTAAAGTTCATATGGAACCAAAAAAGAGCCCTCATTGCCAAGTCAATCCTAAGCCAAAAGAACAAAGCTGGAGGCATCACACTACCTGACTTCAAACTATACTACAAGGCTACAGTAACCAAAACAGCATGGTACTGGTACCAAAACAGAGATATAGATCAATGGAACAGAACAGAGCCCTCAGAAATAATGCCGCATATCTACAACTATCTGATCTTTGACAAACCTGAGAAAAACAAGCAATGGGGAAAGGATTCCCCATTTAATAAATGGTGCTGGGAAAACTGGCTAGCCATATGTAGAAAGCTCAAACTGGATCCCTTCCTTACACCTTATACAAAAATCAATTCAAGATGGATTAAAGACTTAAATGTTTGACCTAAAATCACAAAAACCCTAGAAGAAAACCTAGGCATTACCATTCAGGACACAGGCATGGGCAAGGACTTCATGTCTAAAACACCAAAAGCAATGGCAACAAAAGACAAAATTGACAAATGGGATCTAATTAAACTAAAGAGCTTCTGCACAGCAAAAGAAACTACCATCAGAGTGAACAGGCAACCTACAGAATGGGAGAAAATTTTTGCAACCTACTCATCTGACAAAGGGCTAATATCCAGAATCTACAATGAACTCAAACAAATTTACAAGAAAAAAACAAACAACCCCATCAAAAAGTGGGCGAAGGACATAAACAGACACTTCTCAAAAGAAGACATTTATGCAGCCAAAAAACACATGAAAAAATGCTCGTCATCACTGCCCATCAGAGAAATGCAAATCAAAACCACAATGAGATACCATCTCACACCAGTTAGAATGGCAATCATTAAAAAGTCAGGAAACAACAGGTGCTGGAGAGGATGTGGAGAAATAGGAACACTTTTACACTGTTGGTGGGACTGTAAACTAGTTCAACCATTGTGGAAGTCAGTGTGGCGATTCCTCAGGGATCTAGAACTGGAAATACCATTTGACCCAGCCATCCCATTACTGGGTATATACCCAAAGGACTATAAATCATGCTGCTATAAAGACACATGCACACGTATGTTTATTGCGGCATTATGCACAATAGCAAAGACTTGGAACCAACCCAAATGTCCAACAATGATAGACTGGATTAAGAAAACGTGGCACATATACACCATGGAATACTATGCAGCCATAAAAAATGATGAGTTCATGTCCTTTGCAGGGACATGGATGAAATTGGAAATCATCATACTCAGTAAACTATCCCAAGAACAAAAAACCAAACACCGCATATTCTCACTCATAGGTGGGAATTGAACAATGAGATCACATGGACACAGGAAGGGGAATATCACACTCTGGGGACTGTTGTGGGGTGGGGGGAAGGGGGAGGGATAGCATTGGGAGATATACCTAATGCTAGATGACGAGTTAGTGGGTGCAGCGCACCAGCATGGGACATGTATACATATGTAACTAACCTGCACAATGTGCACATGTACCCTAAAACTTAAAGTATAATTAAAAAAAAAAGAACACAAATATTTAAAAATAGGCAAAGAACCTAGATATTCTCAAAAGACATGTAAAAACCAGATTTTTAAAATACTCACTATTGTTAATCAGGCAAATACAAATTAAAACCACAATGAGATATCACCTCATAGCTGTTAGAATGGCTATCATCAAGAAGACAAAAGATAACAGGTGTTGGCGAGGATGTAGAGAAAAGAACCTTTGTATACTGTTGGTGGGAATCTATATTAACACAGCCATTTTGGAAAACAGTATAGAGGTTTCTCAAACTAAAAATAGGGTTACCATATGCATTAGTTCATCTTCACGCTGCTAATAGAGAACTATCCAAGACAAGGTAACCGATGAAGGAAAGGTTTAATTGACTCACAGTTCCACATGGCTGGGGAGGCCTCACAATCATGGCAGAAGAGCAAGGGACATCTTATATGGTGGCAGGCAAGAGTTTCTACACGGGAGCTCCCCTTTATAAAACCATCAGATCTAGTGAGACTTGTTCATGGGAACAGCTCAGGAAACACCCGTCCCCATAAATGAATTACCCCCAACCGGGTCCCTCCCATGACATGTGGGGATTATTACATTTCAAGGTGAGATGTAGGTGGGGACAGAGCCAAACCATATCACCATATGATCTAGTAATCACACTTCTGGATGGAGATGTGTGTGTGTGTGTGTGTGTATATATATATATATATATACACACACACACATATATATATACACACATACATATATACATATATACACATACATATACAAATATACATCTATACATATGTCTATACATATATACATTTATCTATACATATATATACATACATATATACATACACACACACACACACACAGGAATTGAGATTAAATGTTAAAGAGATATCTGCACTCCCATGCTCATTACAGCATTATTCATAATAGTCAAGATGTGGATATAACCTAAGTGCCCACTTGTAAGTTAATAGGATTTAAATGTCATTTATACACAGTGGAATACTATTCAGCCTTAAAGAGAAATTTTGTCATTTTCAATGACACGGATTAGTCCAAACTCTGTACTCATTCTACTATCCTATGACCCCAGTCTGATAACAGGTACTTTCTAGTCTGCAAGAGAACAAGAGTTGCAGAAGTTCAAGTGCTGAAAAATACATATTGATCACTGTGGGCAAATCATCCACTATTTACCCTATGCTCAGACTAATCAGAGGAAAGACTTTTCGTATTATATTCGTTTGGATTCATTCAGTTGCAGAAACAGACCTGTAACTCAAATTGGCTCAACAGCAACAAATGTGTTGGAGATTTATTGGGTCCCGAGTTCAGACACGCCTGATTCCACAAATATGCAACATCGTCAGAGCTCTTTTCTCATCTCTGGGCTCTGTTTCACTTTGTTTAGTCCTTTTTCTTTTTTTCCTTCTTCAAATTGGCTGCCTCTATTTGCTGGGGTAGTTGCCATCTGGCAGCCTCCAGCCTATATTGCTTCAACTTAGAAAACCTAGCTAAATAGATGGCTTTTTCTTCCACGCTGGAACCATGTATAGCAAAGATTTAGCATATGCTGAAGAAGGATTCTGGTTGGTCCTCCTTAGACCAATCAATGTGCCTGCTAGGAGTAGAGTGCTCTGATTGGCCAGGCTTGGAGCAGTGTCATTAACAAGGTTTCTGTCCTTTTCACACAGGAGATGGTGTGCCATGAAATACGTTGCATTGCCAAAAAGAAAATGAAAATACTTAAGTAGATAAGAACTACAGGTGTATGCATGCTGTAGTCCATGACCTTGAATTTCAGCTCTGGGGCTTGATGGTATTTACAAAATGAAAACTATTTCCCAGCTGTGAACTGAGTGAACTGCAATACTTCATGCCCTCAAACTTCTCAATTTCTATGCTTAGTGGCAACGTCATTAGCTGGTAAAGTTGGAGAAGAAGCACCATAAGATTCGGAAGCATAGTTGAAATTTAATTTTCAACATAACCAGGACGGTAACCGTTAAGTATTCCCCGCCCCCGCCCCGGAATCTGGGAAAATGCTAAGTTAATTTTTGAAACCTTGAAGAAACGAAGACCACAGACATTGCCCATCTCGAAATCACTCTTTAGTTTGGCCGCCTGCTGAGCTAATGACCCACTGACTGGGTCTTAGGCTTTTGAAAGCCTAGCTCTAACATCAAACTTTCATCTCAGCAATAGCAGCCTGTCTCTAATGAATTTTTTATTTGTTTACTCACTGCTTCTCTGGGATATAAAAGTAACACTCATCTTTTTAATATTAAAGCTAGAACTTTAAATCAGGGCCTAATCCAGTGCCTAACGGTTTAAATTCACTACAACCAAGACAGCTTCCCTTTTGGAGAAATCATACTCCGAAATAAGGGGAGATGGTACTGTGGGGAAGGAGTGACACATCATGTGTGTGTTCTTTTAATCCTTTTGTAAGCAGAGAGCTAAGTTATTAGCATCCAACTGTGTACTGTACATCACGTGGGTTCCAGGAACACATCCACCAAACAGCTATGTTTCCCTTCCCTTCAGGAGGATCAGCTCTTGATTTTGCTAACTCTTTCCTCTGCCATGTAAGCCTGCGGTTTTTTTACTCTTGGGGATTTAGAGACCATCAAGAGGAGAAAGCGCCCTGCAGAGAAATGTGGAGTGAGGGTGTTCAAAAGAAGACTCACACCTCGGGGCCACTCATAGGCCCAGGAGGATATTTAGCTAAACGTTGGGATGTTGTTTACTAGCCTTTCACACATGCATTGGAAAAAATAAGATGTATTAATAAAATCGGATGGGAGAAGAGCCACCAGGATGCAAAAGACTGACTATGGAGACAGAGAACAGCAGTGATGACCTTGGGCCAGAGTCCGAGTGGTGGGAAATCAAGGGAGGGGCACCAGGAAACCCTCGGGGTACAGGATATGTTCTCTATCTTGATTTGGCAGTAGTTTCAGTGGAGTGAACACAGGTAAGAACTCATTGAGTTGCATTCTTTGGGTGCACTTTATGTCAATTATACATCAGTAAGTCAGTGTAGTGTGAGTTTTAAATAATGAAATATCATAAGTCTACAAACACATGAGATGAAGTCATAATGACTAGTCTTTGAATCCCAATTCTGCAAATATTAGCTATGTAGCTACAAATGTGCAACTTCCTTCAGTTTTCTTATCAGAAAATGGGGATAATTCATGGAGTTGTGAAAAGAATCGATGAGATACTGAAATCCTCTTGTATGAACTCTAGTGTTCATACAGAGGCACTCAAACCATCAAACCATTTGGTTAATTTACACACACCCCCCTCCTCCATCCACTGTAACTTAAATGTATTTGCTCACATTTCTGTTGGGGATGCTTTTCATCCTACCACTATCCCTAAAACTTCAAAGATCTACTAATAATGCAAAAATCACATCTGTTAACATATAGATGTTAACACTGACAGATGGCAGGTAAGCACGGGATGTTCCCATGTACTGTATACATCTGATTTAATCTTTCAAAAGTTCTACAGTGTGGATTCAATACATGCCCCTATTCTGAACCTTATCCAACTCAGAAAAGTGTTCATAAGAATGGTATGTGCTTTCCCAGAATACCCCGGGGGCATTTTATAGATTCCGATTATTACACCACCTTCATTCATGTAAAAACATACTGCTTCCTAAAAATTTCACAGAGTGCCTTACTAAGTATGGTATCTTAGACTAATTGTTCACTCCATCTGAAAATAAAAACATATAAATAATGTATTCACCGATGTACTCATCTTTATTAAGATCTGCTAGAACAACATATGCCAAGTTCAATGGGGACCCAACAAGCATACATACAGGTTCAGGGCAGATATTTTGGAGTCTGATCCATTAGATAGTAAATCCTGGCTTTTTCTAGTACCTCCCTGGATGACTCTAGAAAAGTCATCAACCTAAGTTTCCTTCTGTAATAAGATGTGGAAAACAACAACTTGTTAGATTGTGGTGAGAATTAAGTAGTATAGCCCTATTTACAGGCTAAAAAGCACCATTTAGCTGCTGAAGGATGCAGGAGACAGACCTGCCTCAGACACTCTCACTGAGGTTCCCCATTCCCATAGGAGTGAGGCCAGTGGTCAGTTTCAATCTAGGTTTACATATCCATTGGCTACTTTAAGATGTATACTGTCACTGTGCTCTGCCATATTGAAAGTGCTTCAACAAGTCATGCCTAAGTGCCATCATAAGCAGGTGGAAAAAATTACTGTTCTCAACAAGGCCCCACTTGGCAGTTTCATACCCTGTGACAGAAGCAGGCCCAGGTGCTGCAGAAAGATCTGGCAGGATAGCCACACCAAGAAAAGACAAGTTTATCTCCAATTTAAGCTTCTCTTTCCATTTGCTCCTTCTATTTCAGGATAGACAGTACAGTTCCTTGTGTGTATCCGTTTGCACTGGTGGAGACCCCACAATGGGAATTCGCTGTCCCCAAACTGTGCCTAAACTGGCATGGCCATTGATGGATGAAAAAGTAGACTCTTGAAATAAGGACTAGAACACTATGCAAATGTGTGAATAGGAAGCTTTCACCTATTTCCTATAAATGCCTATTTTCATAATACCTCGTGGTTGATAACTGGTATATTAGTTGGTTCTCACACTGCTATAAAGAACCTGAGACTGGGTAATTGAGATGTTTAATTGACTCATGGTTCCACAGGCTGTACAGGGAGCATGGCTGTGGAGGAAACTTACTATCATAGCAGAAGGCAAACAGGAAGTAGGCATGTCCTCCATGGTAGGAGCAGGAGAAAGAGAAATGGAGAACATGCTACACACTTTTTAAAAACCAGATCTCATGAGAACTTACTATCACAAGAATAGCAAGGGGGAACAGCTGGGAAAGATGGCTCACACCTCTAAATCCCTGCACTTTGGGAGGCCAAGGTGGATGGATCACATGAGGTCAGGAGTTCCAGACAAGCCTGGACAACACGGCGAAGCCCCATCTCTACTAAGAGGCATGGTGATGGGCACCTCTAATCCCAGCTACTCAGGAGGCTGAGGTAGGAGAATCGCTTAAACCTGGAGTTGAAGGTTGCTGTTAGCCAAGATTGCACCACTGCACTCCAGCCTGGGCAACAGAGTGAGACCCTGTCTGAAAATAATAATAATAATAGCAAGGAGAAAGTCTGCCCTCATGAGCCAGTCACCTCCCCCAACATTGGGGGTTACAATTTGACATGAGATATGGGCAGGGACACAAATCCAAACCACATCAACTGGATCTGTAATCTTACCTGAATTCAAGGCACTTGCTTTTCAGGCCCACTGACCAAGTGTCAAATCCCGGCCCCTTCCCCACATTTCTGGATGACCCTGGGGATGCACTTCCCATTTAGAAACCTGTTTCTTCCTATGATAAAATGGGATGAATAAGACTATGAAACCCCACAGGCTACGGAGAGAATTAAATGGTACAATAAATAAAGTTCTTACCACTATGCTTCACACCCACCTAGGGTGCAATAAAATCTATTGTTATTGCTGTCATGATTATTTTTGCTCCAGGTATTTTTCCACAGCCTGATAAATTCAGGGTGGGGGGAATATCTCCAACAGAAAGGAGACAGCTTGGCATTCCTGACTTCAGAAAGGAAAGCCAGGTTGAAGAGTTTTGAGTTATCTAGCTCATTGGTTTTTTTTCTGGTTCCCTGTTACGACTCTCCACTGGGACAATGTTTTTCTATAGACAAATTTCCACATGTAATAGAAAAAAAAAATCGAGGGAAAAAAGTTACACTATTGCTGAAAATTGTTGCTGGAAAAAATGAAAGACTTCATTGAAAGCCTGAGACATTTTAGAACCAGTGTAATCAAATCCATGTCTCTGCTTGAGGATCAGAGTATCCAAAACATAGTGTGGGCTGGGTCAGTGGGTGTAGGGACAGAAAAACACCACAAAACTTGAGTTACGCATGCCTTGTGTGTTGCTTTCACGTCTCCCGTTGAACACTTAAAACTCAGAAAATGTATCACTGAGCTTTTCTGCTTAGCTGAAAACCAAGTCAAACAGAACTTGCTACTCAGTTCCTATGTGTAACCTCACCATATCTGATCTGCCAACAAGATGCAGTTTCCATATCTGCAAAGAGGGGATAGTAATGATACCTACCCTCCTAAGGTTATTTAGAGAAGCAAGACTCACCATAAAGAAAATTATGTTGTGCTTGACACAAACTATGTTGAGCCCTTTAGCCATTGTTATTAGAAGGGGTAAGTAGTCTTTGGACAGCTCACATCATTTCTCAGATGTCTATGAAACTCTAAGACACTGGGCCAGAATTTAGAATGAGCAGCACAAATTTTATAAACTCTCCCAAATTGCTCAAAGATATTCTGTTCTTTTCTGAGGCACAAATAAAACCCAAACGTGTGTGTATTGTGCAATAGGAGAAAGAATCTCATGTGCAGTGGATATACTCAGGCTGAAGCTCAACCTCAATTTCTGAAACTTTTAAAGTCAAATCAATTACCATATTCTAGAAATCAAACAAACCACATATTTGGTTCTGTTTCCAATTTCTTAATGTATTAGATTTCTCTAGAGGGACAGAACTAATAGAATACATGTGTATATGAAAGGGAGTTTATTAAGGAGAATTGGCTCACATTCACATGGTAAAGTCCCACAACAGGCCATGTGCAAGTTGAGGAGCAAGGAAGCCAGTGGTGGATCAGTGTGAGTCCCAAAACCTCAGAAGTAGGGAAGCTGACAATGCAGCCTTCAGTCTGTGGCCAAAGGCCTGAGAGCCCCTAGCAAATCACTGTTATAAGTCCAAGAGTCCAAAAGCTGAAGAACCTGGAGTCCAATGTTTGACGACAGGAAGCATCCAGCACAACAGAAAAACAAAGGCTAGAAGACTCACCAAGTCCAGTCCTTTCATGTTCTTCTGCCTTTCATCCTAGCCACAGTGGCAGCTGATTAGATGGTGCCCACCCAAATTGAGGATGGGTCTACGTCTCTCCCAGTCCACTGACTCAAATGTTAATTTCCTTTGGCAACACCCTCACAGACACACCCAGGATCAACACTTTGCATCCTTCAATCCAATCAAGTTGACACTCAATATTAACCATCACACTTGATATTGTTTTCAAATCTACTTTAACTATAAAGAATCAAAAGAAATATGAAAGTAAATAAGATTTTTTTTTGTTTTTTGTTTTTTTTGAAATGGAGTTTAACTCTTGTTGCCCAGGCTGGAGTGCAATGGTGACATCTTGGCTCACTGCAACTTCTGCCTCCCTTCGAGTGATTCTTCTGCCTCAGCCTGCCAAGTAGATGGGATTACAGGCATACACCACCATGCCCGACTAATTTTGTATTTTTAACAGAGATGGGGGTTTCGCCATGTTGGTCAGTCTGGTCTTGAACTCCTGATCTCAGGTGATCTGCCCACCTCGGCCTCCCAAAGTGCTGGGATTACAGGCATGAACCAGCGCACCACACAGGGCCTCGAGATTAGCATAAATATGTTCATTTAGAAAACCTAAGTTTTTCTGGATGACATCTTCCAGTCCTAGTCTTAGAAATATTCATTCTACAGTTAAGTACCTATAATTAGTTTCAAAATGGTACACATACCTTCAATAATCTGACCCTATTCTTTTCCTGCTTATCTTCTCTCATGCATCTCAGGAGTCACCTGTACCAAATAACCTAATTTCCTGATGTTCCAAGTCTTTTTACCCATGCACCCTGCTTTACTATGCTTACATAATAAACCTCTACACATTGTTCAATTTAACTTTGAGCTATTCTAAAGAAAATAGTCTAAGTGTCTCAAACAGGAGTCAAAGTCTTGATTTAGCTGATGTGCTTTGGGGACCACCTGAACCAGATCTTTTTTTCAGACAGAGCAGGGCTGGAATTTCCAGGGCAAGAACAAGAGAAGGAACAATAGAGCAGCACACGTCCTTTAGGTACCATTTGACTCCTGGAACAGTTCTCATCAGGTCAATGGTGTCTTTGGAGTATGGGATTGTGGGTGATGGGGAGTAAGCATTTGACTCATGAAACAGGTAACCTCTAACTTCCAGGAAACTTGTAGTTGTAATGGTTAGGAGATGGTTCCAGTTTTTTATGCCTCTGGCTCAAGATCCTCAGCAAACCCATCCTGATAACTGTCCTGACAGTGCTTTAGACAGCTTTCAAGCTTCTTACGGTCATGTCTACAAGGCCTCTCCAAGATATTTGCGTAGTATTTCTGGGGAAGGAAGGTCAGACAGACCAGAGAGACCTGTCTCTTTTTAGAAAGTCATTAATCCTATCATGAGGGCACCACTCTTCAACATCTCATGTAAACCTCATCTCCTCCCAAAATCCTCACCTCCATCACACTGAATCAGGGCTTCAACACATGAGTTGGAAGGACACAAACATTCGGCCCACGATGTGCATAGTTTTATTCAAAATACAAAATTTAAAACAGCCCATCAACAATGGTTGACTATAATGGAATTCTACCTACAATGGAATACTCGGCAATAAAAAGACACAAGGACTGGGCACAGTGGCTCATGCCTGTATTCCCAACAATTTGGAAGCCAAGGTGGGGGGATGGCTTGAGGTCAGGAGTTCAAGACCAACCTTAGTTACATAGAAGACATAGTCTCTACTAAAAAATTAAACATACAAAGTTGTTTTTGTACCAAGTATGATTCTTAATATTAAGGAAGGCAGACACTAAGGAGTACATTCTCTATGATTTCATTTATATTAAAATTTGAAAGCAGCCAAAACCTAACACTGATGGAAATTAGGTCAATGGAGTCTTTGGAGTATGGGATTACAGGTGGTGGGGATTGACTAGGAAGGTAAATGAGGGGCCGTCTCTATGAGAGTGAGCATTTTATAATCTTTCTAGGCATGTGGGTTATTACAGATAGGTGAAATTTGTCAAATCTAGCTGATCTTCCTGACAGATTGTGTTTTACTGTAAATAAATTATATTTTAAAACCCTTGGTATACATGTGAGAGGTATTTCAGTGATCTGCAGGTCATTCGCCCCGGGAACAATCAAAATAGTGTTGCTGTACCACTACTCATAATACCAAACACTTGGAATCAACCTAGGTGTCCATCAACAGTGGACTGGATCAAGAAAACACAGTCCATGCATGGCATGGAATACTATGCAGCCGTAAGAACAGAACAAAATCATGTCCTTTGCAACAACATGGATGCAACTAGCGGCCATTATCTTAAGGGAATTAATGCAACAACAGAAAACCAAATACCGCATGTTCTCATTGATAAGTGGGACCTGAACATTGAATACTTATGGAAATATAGACGGCAATAATAGACACTTGGGACTACTAGAGCAGAGAGGGAGGGAGGGGGGAAAGACAAAAATAAACTATTAGGTACTATGCGCTCACCCCCTGGGTGATGGGATCAGTTGTACCCCAAGCCTTAGCTTCACGCAATATATGCATGTAACAAATCTGCACATGTAACCTCCTTAATCTAAAATAAGTTGAAGTCAAAAAAATGGAGTTTCTGTACACTGGTTTGCATTACTCATCTTTTCCTGGCTGAAGATCTGGACAAGGTGGCTGGTGTTTTGACTACAATACAGTCAGAGGTTCAGAATGTCATGCTGGGGGATGGGGGGATTGGGGAGTAGGAATAAGACTGTTGGCTTCAAAGGAGAATTCTCCTAATAGTCATTTTATATGACTCTGGGGAATGGGGTCAAGTCTGTGCCCATTGATGGCTATGCCAATGACAAGTGAACTCAATTTGCACCCAAGTTCGCAAGCTGTTGAAGACAACTCATAACTTGTTGACTGTAAATACCCCTGTCATCAGATAACTTATCACAAGCCTTTATTGAAAGTTTATGGGAATATTGTGCCTTGCCCTTTTTGCCAAGCAATCACACAGAAATCATCCTACAAAAGTTTAAGATAACCCACAAACTAAGGAATAAGGATTGTAAAAGATTTAGAACTCTATTCATAACCAGAATGACTTATTTGACTCTGAGCATGCACCATAAGAAAAAAATGCTATGCTATTTTCACATGTTATAAGACACTCTCAAAATGATGCAACTCATTGACTAAGGATATTCCTCAGATTTGTCATGTGAAAAAGATAATCTACTATGCTAATCAACTGTGTTGTACTAAAATTCCACGTAGATTAAATGCATTACTTGCCAAAAGGAATGTGACATATATACAACACCCAACGCCCCCTGTTCCAAGCACACACACATCCTGCCTTATAATAATAGAAGTGTGTAAATTATCAAAAGTCTTCACACAGAGCCAAATGCTTCTTTAGTTTTTGGCTACATGATTTTAAACAGAACTGAATGAAATGATCCCCTTGTGGCCCAGTCAAACACTTCTGCAAATAATAGCACCATGACACACTCGTATTTCTGGGTCTGAAAGCACTTTAGGTGTCTGGCACTAGGGTGAACATGTGCTTTAGATTTCAGTTTTAGCCTAGGATTGTAGAAATGAGTCTGTCACCTGCCCTCAGTCTCTGAAACTTCAAATGAATATCTTAGATGAAATTTTGGTGCATACAGCATACCCTTCACCCAGTGTCTAGGACAAATGGCCATGATATGAGTTTAAAAACCTGCAAGAGCAAGAAGAGAGGTCACTATTATCTCCTGTCTCCTGCATTCCTTCCCCTCAAAAGGAAATCGTGTAGCTGGATTGCCAAGGGCTGCCTCAGCAGTAACAATGCCCCTCACTCAAGGTCCAGAGAGGGAAGACCAGAGAGGAAGCTGCGCAGAGCAGAAGCACTGAGCTCCAAGCCTCCTCTCATCACTTCCTAGTTACAAGGCCTTGGACAATCTAGTCAGCCTCCCCTTACAGAATTGTCATTCTTGAATGAGGGTTGCAGTGGGGATGCAAGTAGATGCACGCAAAGGGCTCGGAACTGCCTAGCACGTGGTGCTTTGAGGTTGCTGATTTCTGCACTCCTCCATGCCTTAGCTTCCCCATCTGGTCAATGACCTAGATGGGCTTCTCCAAGACCTCCAGCTCTATCATCTATTGCCATTTGATCATTCATGGTGCCCTTCCCCATAGGCTACCCATCACTCCCCTCCTCCCTCTGCCCCATCCCAAACCTCACACCAGTGTTTATAACGAGTCCTACTTCTAAGTAAAGTGTCCTTCCAAGGACTTCCAGGACAGAACTGGCATCATTTGCTTATTGTGGGAAGCAATGTGTGTCGTGTTTAACAACATGAGCTTTGAAGCAAGACAGAACTGTGTTCATTCGCCAGCTTTGTCACTTATCAAGTGACTTTGGGAGAGCTTCGTAAAGCCTCAGGCTCCCCTTTGGTCTAATGAATATAATAGTAGCTCTGGCATCAGGGAGCTAGTTGTTATAAGGATTACATTTTATACATGTGAACGTATAAAATACTTAGTGCAGTTTAAATACCAATGCATTTTAAGCATTCTATAAATTGTTATAGAATAGCAGCCGTAGTATTGCCAAAAGTAGTATTCACTCATTCAAGACAAAAATAAAAACAGGAATCATAGAAAATATATAAAAACTGATGCCTTAAGAGTAGAGGGAGTGTGATAAAGAAAAGCCAAATTCAAGTGGGTTTGAATTCAGTTGTCACTTTCTGGGTATGTGATTTGGGGCAAGATCCTTCTGAGCTCAGTATCCCTAGTTGCAAAATTGGTACAACACGACATACCGTAAGCCCCAAATTGGCACTGGGTACTTAGTATTTAGGAGGCATAGACTATATAGAAGCTCCTATTGTTAGTTTCAGGGAAGGAGTGGAGCCCACTGTTGTCAGCCTCTATGCCAGGTAAGGCTTAATGTATCCACATGGGAATGTTTTCCTAGCATAGAGACATTACTGATTCTAGGGAAACCACTGATGTCCATTGAAGGCAAGAGCAGGAAACATTGACATGTAGAATCAAAGATGGACATTTCTGGAACAGGGCCAGGAGTGCACAGAAGAGAAAGGAATATAAAGCAACCCATAAGACTTGCTTGTTCTTGCTGCCATGCTGTAAGGGTCCATTTGTGGCCCTATGTGGCTGTTAATGGTAAATCATTCTTGAAAGTAAAATAGCACTGAAAGTTTATGTGCATAGTATATGCCAATATGTGAGTGGCATTCCAAGAAATAGCAAATTTTGGAAGCGAAATAAGTTTAAGGGAAATAAGTCAACATATAATTCTTAGTAGTACTGCTAATCTTGCTAGGAGATACAAAAACATTATTCAAATACTATCCAATGATGCTCACTTCTGTATGCCGCCAGTGTTTAAATATTCTTACAGGCTACAGTGGTTTATAAAGCAAAATATACAGACATTCATTCATTTAAAAAGGCAACAGGCTCACCTGAAGATATAAACTTCTCAAAGATATAAAACTTTCAAAAGTTTTGGACTCTTAGTTCCACCAACATCAATGCAACATGAAAGGCATGTCTTGACCATTTCTTACAAAATCAGTATTTTGGATAAGACAATGTTTTGTTTTAAAATCAACTGAAGGATGATTTTAAAGTGTCAAACATTAATGAAATAGTTTTCGTTTGTGTAGCAATTTTCATTTAAAGTTTATTTTTGTTAATATTTTCTATGATCAAATGTCTATTAGAAATGATTCTTACATATTATTAAAGTATCTAACATTGTCACAATGTCAATTTATCATAATAAACCATGTTACGGAAAATCTAAACCATTTACTATAATCTTATTACAGAAAAAATCACTTTATCATCATGGTCATGCATCGGACAGTGTTATATAAAACACAATAAAACTTATGATATGGGGGAATATCTGGAGGAGTCCCAGGAATTTCATCTTGTTCTTAAATCCTGAAGATTAAGATTTCAGGAATTTGATGACACTAGCGAAAATAAGTCAGACATTCACCTAGCAAGTATTTTCTCTGCACAAGCTTTGTCACTTGTGAATAGCCAGCTTTCAGTTGGTGGTAGAGAGACAGACATTAACCAAATAAATGAAAAATAAGACTAAATTAGAAATGATGCCTGCTGCCCACAGTAGACACTCTGGGGAATATGTGAACTAAGGCTTCAATGATTCAATCTGTACTGCCTTCTACCTTGAGGGGACAGCTCTGTCACGAGGGTCACATGGGATCTGCAGGTCCCCACCTCTTCCATGACTGATGGCTTCACAGCTCTGTAAGTCCTACCCGTAAGCAAACACCTGACCCAAGCTGACCAGAGTACCCCATGCTGTCCACTCCCACCAGTGATTGGTCCAGAAGGTGGGCCTCTGACCCAAGCATGAAATTCACCTTCCTTTTCTGGGGTTCTGATATCTAAAGCTAGAAAAGAGTCATCTTTCCTTTCTCATGTGCTAACTACACAGCTGAGCTATAGCTATATCAGCCATGGCTCTGGCTTGAGACTGAGCTTGTTTCGGAGAGTAAGAGCTCCTACTGAGAGCTGAACAATGCAAAAGGTATCTTGATGGCATTTCATTCCCTGTGTCCTATCCCTCCCTTATCTTATTTTACATAAGCCACTCAGTCTACCTTTTAACCAATTCTGGATAGAGTTAGGTTTTTGCCGACCAGAGTATTCTTCAGTAATACATAGTGACTTGAGAAATAGCCTGATACTCTAAAGAGAGCCACAAGAATTGGGTAAACTCTGGGAGTTCCACATTCATTGGTGAGAAAGGCAAAACAAACAACGACAATGTAAAATGGATTTGTGTTCCTACTGATGTAAAGGAACACAAGACTGTTGTGAGACCCAAAGACACATGTATTAGGTATAACTCTTTTCAAATACAGTGTTTTTATTTTAAGTTCTGAGGTACATGTGCTGAACATGCAGGTTTGTCACATAGGTATAAATGTGCCATGGTAGTTTGCTGCTCCTATCACCCATCATCTAGGTTTTAAGCCCCGCATGCAATAGGCATTTGTCCTAATGCTCTCACTCCCCTTGCCCCCACCCGTCAGGCCCCAATGTGTGATGTTCCCCTCCCTGTGTCCATGTGTTCTCATTGTTCAACTCCCACTTATGAGAACATGTGTTTGGTTTTCTGTTCCTGTGTTTGTTTGCTGAGAATGATGGTTTCCAGCTTCATCCATGTCACTGCGGAGGACATGAACTCTTTTTATGGCTGTATAGTATTCCATGGTGTATATGTGCCTCATTTTCTTTATCCAGTCTATCATTGATGGGCATTTGGGTTGGTTCCAAGTCTTTGCTATTGTGAATAGTGCTGCGATAAACATACATGTGCATATGTCTTTATAGAATGAATTATAATCCTTTAGGTATATATCCAGTAAGAGGATTGCTGGGTCAAATGGTATTTTTGGTTCAAGATCCTTGAGGAATCGCCACACTGTCTTACTCTATGCTTTGTTTCTAGATACTCACTGAACACCAGCTGTGTCCTACTGCTAGGGAGATAAATCCATAATGTAACTCTTCTCTAAGGGAAAGGGGGCCACAGAAAAGAGTTTAAGCCTTGAAGCATGAAGACACATGAGTAGGACCTTCCAGACATGCAATGGCATGAGTAACAGTGTGGTAGTACGAGACAGCATCCCTATATGGCAGTGGGAACCATCCTGGGACAGAAAGGGTAACCTGGGGAGGAACAAACCCAGCCAGGAGTGCTCAGAGGGCCACACTGGACCAAGCAAAAGACACTGGGCTGTGTGTTCCCTGTGTCTCCCATTCCCTCAGGATGAGATGGTTTCAAGGAGGCCATTTAGAGAGCTGGGCAAACTTTCAAGGCCTGCTTCTTTGTGAACAATCACAGCTGCCCAAACCAAAACGGAAGACAAAGCAGATCTTAGTGTGCCGGCTTAATGGGAAACATGAGCCATCTGTGAGTGTTCCTTCTAGTTCATTTGCTTCATTGGCAAGTATGAAACAGTGCCGTAAAGATCCAGAGAAATTATGGAAATGGGTAGTAACATTAAAATCAGAGTACAATTAGAACATTTCACTGCATAATTGTTTGGCAGGGCCCAAGAGTAAGCAGAGGATTTCCAGCTCTGTGATTTATTGGTCACAGGTTGTCTGACTCTTTAGAATCTCCAGGGCCAGGAGCACATTCTGGGGGGTTGCCCCTGAGATGACAATACACTTGTACTATGGTTAGAAACTTACATCGTCTTTGTCTGATTCCTGGCAACCCTTCTCCAAGCTGCTGGATCAGCACTGCATGAGCCAAGCAGTGCACCATCCAGATAAAGGGAACATGCACAGAATCGAGAGAAACCTTAGTACCACACTCCCGTGTCTTTGTCAGAGAACGTGTACCATGTTTGCTTGTAATTAGCACTCTGACAGACGTCAGAGAAAATGGCTAATCACTGACATGGCCCACAGTGCTTTGTAAGTAAACACCATATTGCAATAGACATGCAATTAATTATACAACCCTCCAATTAAACATGCTTGAAATGAAAATGGGGTGGGAGAAAAGGTATCAAAACCGCACTGCCAAAAATTCTACTTTTTTCACTCCTCTAAGAAATAATAAATGACTCAACTCTTGAATGTCATCAAGCTGTTTCCAGGCATCTCTTGGCTTCAGGCCTGTGGCTGCTACTGTTTCTGGGAAGTTTCGAGCTACTGGAACAAAAGCCTCTTGCATATATTCCAAACCCAATGTCTTGACTGTTGTGTGTATAGCATTGGGGGTTCCGTTTTTTCATTTTCTTACAATGCCAGTGTCCCATTTCTGAAATACTGCAGATTGTGGTACTCATTGTTCATCTCTGTACCCTTCCTTGATGACCTTGACTGGTTGGAACCACTTTAAGGTGTTTAGAAGATTATGCTTATTTTCCCACACCCAACTGATGTGGCTGTGCATCCACCCAGTCCCCTTTCCCGTGGGTGGGAAGCCTCTGGTGTAAACAACAATTGTAAAGATTTCCCTGGGATCAGGCTGTAGCTAGACTTCCCAAGAAATCACTTGTTTGTCTAGTTTATGGCTTGCCCTATTCTTTCCTTACTCATTTACAGGTTTCTCCCGAGTTCCCTCACTCAAATGCCATGGCCAGGAAGAAAAGGTTCTACTTCTGGGAACCCCACTTAAGACAACTACCATATCTTAATATTGATGTTTAAACTACATATGGCAGACTTGTTTTCAATCAGGGTGAATGTTTATAAATGTACCACAAAGTGAGTGTTTTGCATCATTTGAATGTGAACAATGGAGGATGTTTAGAAGAAGGGATGCTTGTACGCAACTTTGAAAGGATAAGAGGTTCCAGAGAAAATATACAGTAAAGTAGGATGATTGGAACATACTGTGGGCACAGCCATCAACCTGACTAAGCAAGTATTTGAGTACTTACTGACAGGTACTTAGAAAACAGAAGTGCCGTTGTGCCCTTGAAGTGTTTTGTCTGAGGTAGATGAACACAAAGAAAACATTTGAGCAATATAATGCTCAATAATAAAACATATATCAAGTATTACCCATTTGTAAGGTACACTTAATCCTTTTTTTTAAAAAGTATGCAGCAATTTATGTTATCGCCATTTTGCAAATTGAAAAAGAGGCTTAGGGAGGTTAAGCCACTTTGACAATGTCACTTAGCTCACAACAGGTGGAAGTGTGACAATCAGGATCCCAGGCAGGTGTATTAACAAGAGAATGACAAGATTAGATGAGGTTCAGGGAACTTACATGAGAAAAGATGGCTTCACAGCTCTACAAGTCCCATAAGCAAGAAAGTAGACCCAGAAGAGGACAGAAGCATTTCACTGTGTAATATCCAAACTGGCATGCACCACTGATAAGCCAAAGATACTGGCAAAGCTTGTCTGCCTCGCTTTCAGTGTTAAAGCCTCATTGCTTCTACTGGGAAAACTAATAACATAACAAATGCAACTATTGTTCAGTTTCATTAAAAATAAATCTGATAAGATGGGCAGAATTGAATTAACCAATCTCAATAGAGTTCTTGTTATTGGAGCAAACGAAATATTCTCTCTAATAGAATAAGTCCTGGTTCATTTTGGCTGGCCTGAGCAGCTCCTTGCTACAGATTTGGTTTCCAGCTCTTGGCTCTGGGCAGTCCCACACTAATGTTAGTATTAGCGGGTCAGCATAAGGGATCAGCACGCTAGATCTGGCAAGAGTGCTGGATGGATCTGCATGACAGATGCAGGGGCCTCCACTACCCTTGGCAGACAAGAAATCTCCTCCCCTCCAAGTAAGTTAGATTTAGGGCCCTAGAGCATGCAAGAGAGAAATGGCTCTTGTTCCAGAGAGGGTGAGGTTGGGCTAGAATCCTGGGATGGGCTGCTCTTGGAGTCATGGATGGGAAAAACAGACACTCAGCATGCCCGCTTGTTTTGGCTGGCTCTAATTGAAGTTAGTGCCAGCAATATTTCTATTCCTTTGTACTGGCTGAAGTTCAAAGGCTCAAGATTGCATAGCTAAAGGGGAGCATGCAGGTACTTGTGTGAATACACACAGAGAGCACATATACATTTCCATTACTTTCCCCCAAAAAAGGATTTTATGCCGTTTATGAAATATACACAGACATAAGATGGAAAAAATTGGGATCCAAGGTAGAAAATAGAGTATTATTGAATGATTAAAATCATCTCTCCAATTACAGAGCTGAATCACTTTTTTAAAGGCTACAAATTTTACTCCAAGTCCACTAGTGGATGTGGAATATATGCACACACATTTTTTTCCTCCTTGTTCTAGAGGCATTTTTTTAATCCTGATCCTTCTGAAGTTTAGTTTTTGCATATTTAAAGAGGAAACTGAATAAAGGTACTAATCAATGAAAGGAGGAAGAAGCAAGTGATGTGTCGAGACAAAGTAATTTTGTCCAACTCTCCCTGCCAATTCCATTGCCTCCTTTACAATATATCCTCTAACATCACAAAGCCAAGAGTGTGGTGCTCACTATCTTCAGACAATTCATGCTCTGAAGTTTCAACTTTTGTCACCCAGGCTGGAGAGCAATGGTGCAATCTTGGTTCACTACAACCTCTGCCTCCTGAGTTCAAGTGATTCTCCAGCCTCAGCCTCCTGAGTAGCTGGGATTACAGGCACCTGCCACCACACCTGGCTAATTTTTATATTTTTAGTAGAGACAGGGTTTCGCCACGTTAGCCAGGCTGGTCTTGAACTCCTGACCTCGGGTGATCTGCCCCCCCCTTGGCCTCCCAAAGTACGGGGATTACAGGCATGAGCCACTGTGCCTGGCCAGAAGTTTCCTACTGAGATAAAATTCAGTCATTATAGCAATACAGGTGAGGTGGCGTTGTGTATAAAGGAAGAAATAGTGGGTCTATGTTTCGAATTCTGCCTTTGCTAGTTTCTCATTGAGTGACATCACCTCTGAGCCTTGGCTTCCCTGTCTGTGAAATGAAGGTTCTAGCTGCCTTTGAGAAGAGCTTCTAGGACTAGATAAGAATATGCATCCCAAGTGTCTAGTTGCACATAACTGAGCAATGTGGATGCATTCCCTCAGTTCACTCACGATTTACACAACACTTCTAAGTACAAAGAATGTAGCAATAAATAAGCCAGGTCCGTCTCCACTAGAGCTAATGGTTTATTAAGCCATCTGTTCTGTTTATTTATCATCCACATACAGAAACTTCACACGTTAACGAGCTTGCTTCTAATAATGAATGCAGTTAGGTATCATCTTTTTATTTGGATTTTCACATCTGAATTTGAAAATCTTGTTTATGTTTTAGTCAGGTTAGAGTCGGGGCAATGGAGAACAAACTGGTTGAGCTGGCTGAGCAGCTAGCTGTATAAAGACTTCACCTCACATTATTTCTTTATCCCTTCACTGTGGTTTAGACAGACTCCAGTAGGATTTAATCTTCTCAGCTTCACTACTGGCTGTTTAAGTAAAATAAATTTTAATTTTGTAACTCAGTCCCAGAGAGCCAAGAGGGGTAGCCTTCTATCGAAATTTCTTCTAAAATTTAAAAAGAAAAAGACAAAACCAGCTGGATTGATAGGATAAGATGGTATATCTTCCCTGATGGTTTAAAGCCATGAAACTAAATACTGGCCATGAAAACCTCTGATTTAAAGATATGCTCATGCACATAGAATGCCTAATTAAGAGATTTTGGCTAAGTTAGGATGTAATGTACACAACTTGAGACAACCGGTTCGATTTTCAGTATTATTTCCCCTATTCGGACCCTTCTGTGTTTCACACTTTAGACACATTTGTAGCTAGGGCAAGACCCTTTCATAAAATTGGGAATATTATCATAATGCAAGAGCCCACAAAGATCTTTAGTGTTGAGTCTTCTTCAAACAGCCTGTGAGAAATAGTATGGTTACATTCATGTTACAGATTAGAAAACTGATTCACAAAGTAGGCAATGTGTTCAAGGAAGTGCTGTTAATGAGCGAGAAACACAGGGAACTGAGTAAGCACACTAACTTCCAACATAGGACTTACCATTAGTATACTTCAGAACCTTCGACAGGTCACCTCTCCATGTAGACATTGCTTTCCCATAGGTCAAGTCTGGGCTACTAGATTTATCTCTCAACCACCTATGACACTTAATGATTTAGAGTTTCTGGCAACTTATGTGATACAATGTATTTGCACTGTCACCAAGCTTAAATTTCTTACTGATTCAGACCAACTGATCATTAGATGTTAGGAAGCAATCCACTATTTAAAAATGTAGATTCCCTCACCATTGGATATGACATTGTTTTAGTGTAAGTCTCTTTTGAGTTAAAAAATTCCAAGACTTGAATACAATAGTATCAGGAAGAAATCAGAACCTGTCTTCCTAAAGACCGAAGCTTAAGCTACATTTGAAATATTTCCTTTACTAACTCATATCCATTATTTGGGGCAAGTTTATAGGCTTTATTTCTGAGCTTGAAGTAAATTGTAAATGGGTCAGTGGCTTCCAGAAACAAATCATCGACTTGACTGTCTCGCACTCGGTTTTTCTTAAATGCACCTGTGTTGCTTTCTCACTTGTATTTCTCTGGTTTTCACAATATGACTTTCAAAGTTGCTGGAAATAATCATTGCATTCCACTCACATGGAGAAATCAAAAGCAAATATAAACTGCTCTCTCAGCTCACTGCTAAATCTAAGCAGACCCAAATGCTGCTAGATATTGCTTTGTATGCTGTTAAGATGCAACATCTCTTTGAATGGAATAAACAAGAAAAACCTCCAAGTGGTATGCTATTGCTAAAACATTACTGAGCTGGCAAAATTCATAAACTAATATTGCAAAGTAGCCCTTGGCACATGTCATTCTCAGCAATTTGTATTCCCTTTCACTATTTCCTTTCACATACCATCTGTAAAGTATACCGTTTTTCCTCAACAAGAAAGCTGTCTTTCTAGAAGGTTGATTAGAAAAAATAAAGAGGAGTACTTGCTATATTGGTTAATTGCCATAGTGGAAGTAGTACTTTAGCACCCCAGAGTGTGTAGTTCGGGGTTATATAGGTCAGATGTGGGAGATTGATATAAAAAGGAAAAAAAGTGGAAGCTGTCATATCTCAGTGAGGAGACACTAGATATTTCTCATCTTCACCAGAAATGGTCATTTTCAAATCTCTGTTGACTAATTAGGATTAAAAAAAAAAGTAGTACCAGTGTCATTATACAGGAAAACCTATCTATTCAGTTATTAGAGGGTTGAACTTAAGCCATACTTGTATAATGCCTGTATACAAGGGCCTGGGATGGGGAGTCAGGAGGTCTGGGTTCATCCACTTAATAGCTTTGTGTCCACACGCAAGTCAATTTCACCCCACCCTCCCAGTCTCGGTAGAATCAATGCAGATAATTAGGAAAGTCTTTCCAGCTTCGAAGTGCTTTGGCTTATCAAAAGATAACACTTTATTCATTCCTTTGTTCAAATATATATTGAACTTCCATGTGCTAGGCACTGAAAAGACGTCAAATTCCTGCTATCATGGAACTGGTGTTCAAATAAAGAGTGAATAAAAGTGTCAAATAGCCACACAAAATAGTTTCAGGTAGGAATAAGTCCATGAAATATAGTTTTATATAATGGAAATTAAGTAGCTCCGGAGAAGGGTAAATGTTAGTCATTCATTAAGTATATACCAGGACCTGATTATCAACAGAAGTGCTATTGAGTGTAGTAGTAGCTTCTGCCAGCATTTTGCAATTGTGAGGGAATTTGCTATTTTATAATGTACCTGTGGCAGATAATTGACATTGGAATACAAAGTATTATAAATTTCATATGTAGAGATTTTATTGCTTCCAAAATAACGTAGGTATCTATTTTACGAATTTCAGCTTAGGATTGCAAAAGGGGAACTAGATCTTATTTTTAATGATGAAGGACATTAGGTTTAATAGAATTAAAAACATTGATGTAGGTTGGGCACGGTGGCTCATGCCTGTAATCCCAGCACTTTGGGAGGCCAAGGCGGGTGGTCACCTGAGGTCAGGAGTTTGAGATCAGCCTGGCCAACATGGTGAAACCCCATCTCTACTAAAAATACAAAACTTAGCCGGGCATGGTGGCGGGCGCCTGTAATCCCAGCTAGTTGTGAGGCTGAGGCAGGAGAATCTCTTGAACCTGGGAGGTGCAGGTTGCTGTGAGCCAAGATTGTCACCCAGGCTGGAGTGCAGTGGCACAGAGCAAGACTCTGTCTCAAAAGAAGTAAATATATAAATCAAAATGTTGATCGAGAACCTTTGTAACTAGAACAATTATGCACCTGGCATTCTTGCAAAATGATCTATTTTTAGGCAAAAGTGATGACCAGAAAACATTCCTGTAGAGATACTGAGCACAAATACAAAACTTCAGACGATTGTTCTCTCAGGTGTCTGTCAGTTTGGGTTGTTACAACAGACTTGGAGACTTCGGGCATTAAGACTTGGAGACTTGATGGAATAAACAAGAAAACTGAGGAAGGAATTAAGCATCTTTCCAGGAATAGTAGCAGAGGGTCTTTAAGGTTAAGAAACTGTCAAGAACCATGTTTTCCTGCATGGAGAGACCTGCTTGAAGGCAAAGATCAAAAGTGACATGCAGCGATAGTTCTTCTATTAAGTTATTCAATCGATATTTTTCTGACTAGTATATGCTAGACATTGTGCTGACTCTGGAGATAAATAATGCCTGTACTAGGTTAAACTCTGCCACCTCTCTATTCCTTTCCCCCACTTCCTCCTGAAGATCCATCTGAATATCTTACCACCATCTATGACAAAAAATATACTTTGCAGATATGACTAATTTGAGATGAGATTATCTCAGATTATACAAATAAACCCAATGTATTACAGGAGTCTTTGTAAGAGAGAAGGCTAAGATTTGAGGATGCTACTCAGAAGGCTTTGAAGATGGTTAAGGAGTTACAAAAGCCAAAGAATGTAGACAGCCTCTAGAAGCCAAAAATCAGAAAACAGATTATCCGTTAGAGCTTCCAGAATAAACTTAGCCCTGCCAACACCTTTTGCTCTGTAAAGCTTGTTTCAGCTTTTGATCTCCCAAACTGTAAGAAATGTGTTGCGTCAAGTCTCTTAGTTTGTGTTAGAGCAGCAATGGAAAACTGATACAAATCCCCTGCCTTAGAATCACAAACCTAGTTGGTGAGACAACCTATTACATTTGTAAACAAGTAGAACACAATTTAGAGAATGGCAAGCAGAAATAAAAGAGAAAGAACCCCTGGGTCCAGTTGATTCCCAGGCCCAGATCTTTACCTGTAGCTATTCCGTCTCAGTATCCTTAATGAATCTTTTTCTAAGTTTTCCAGTTGACTTTCTGTCCCTGTCAAAGTCCTAATGGAATCTACATTAATGCTATTTGAGCTCTGATGCTGTTGTGATGACCCTAAGGGAGTTTCTCGAGAAAGTCTCAATATGTTTACCATATTAGACTGCTCTTACTGGAAAATGTTATTTCAATATGCAAGTATTTTCAGCAACAATGTTCTGTGTAATCCTTGTTAGACAGTTCCACTAAGTAAACCCTTCAATGCCCTGGGCAAACTAGTTAATCTAAATCCTAATATATTCATTCTTTCTCCATTTCCAGTAAAACGAACACCTCCACTGAACACCTACTACATGCTAGGTCTTGGGAAGGTAAGTCAAAATCTCTTCCAAGACTTAGTAAGGAAAATTTCTTGAACTACTACAAACTGTGTAAAAGCAGCACTGATAATTAACGCTTACCACATTCTACGTGCTAGCCAGTGTTCTAAGCTCTTAAAATGCTTTGTGTTGTGTTCGTCTGTTTTGTGTTGCTCTGTAGAAATACCATAGGCTGGGTAACCTATAAAGAAAAGTTTATTTGGCTCGTGGTTGGTTCTGCGAGCTGTACAAGCATGGTACCATCGTTTGCTCAGCTTCTGGTGAGACCTTAGGAAGCTTTTAGTCATGGTGGAAGGGAAGGAGAGCCAGCATGTCACGTAGTGGGAGATGCCAGGCTCCTTAAAATAACCAGATCTTATGTGAGCTAGCAGAGTAAGAACTCACTCATTATTACAGGAAGAGCACCAAGTCATTTAGGAGGTATCCGCCCACCATGACCCAAACACCTCCCACTAGGCCCATCTCCAACATTGGAGGTTACATTTCAACATGAGATTTGGAGGGGTCAAACATCTAAATAATTTCACCCTTAGTCCCCCAAATCTCATATTCTCCTCACATTGCAAAATACAATCACCCTTTCCCAATGGTCCCCAGAAGTCTCAACTCATTTCAAGTAACTCAAAAGTCCAAAGACTCACTTTAGACTCGAAGCAAGTTGTTTCTACATTGAGCCTATGACATCAAAATGAGTTATTTACTTCCAACATACAATGGTGGTACAGGCATTGGGTAAACATTCCAATTCTAAAAGGAAAATTTACAAAAAAAGGGGTGGTAACAGGACCCATACAAGTCTAAAACCCAGCAGGGCAGAACTTAAGCCTTAAAGCTCCCAATCCTTAAGACTCCATGTGTCTCCTCCTACACACACACCAGTACAGGGGTTGGGTGCCCAAGGTCTTGGGTATCCCTGCCTCTGTGGTTCTTCCAGGCTAAGGTTGCATGCTGCTTATAGGCGCCACCATTCTGGGGTGTGGAGGGAAGCCCCATTGCTACAAGCTCCGCTAGACAGTACCCAGGAAGGGACTCTGTGTGGTGACTCCAACCCCACATTTCCCTGGCACTACCCTAGTAGAGTCTCTGCGTAGGAGATCCACACCTGTGGCAGGTTTGCCTGGGCACCCAAGCTTTCCTATACATCCTAAAGTTTAAGTGGAAGCTGCCAACCCTTCTCCTACATTCTGTATACCCCACGGGCTTACCACCGCATGCAAACCAGCAAGGACTGTGGTAGCTTACGCTCTCCCAAGTGGCAGCCCAACCTCTACCTGGTGCCCTTTAAGCCACAGATAGAGCTGGAGCAGCAAGGATGGGGTAGAGAGCAGCTTTGAGGTGGCACAGGGCACCCTAGGCCTGGCCCTGAAATCATTCAGAGCTCCTAGATCTCAGGCCTGTGATGGGAGGGACTGTCCTAAATACCTCTGAAATATTTGAGGACTTGTTCCCATTGTCTTGACTAGTAGCACTTGGCTCCCTTTACTCACTGGTATTTTTATAGCAATGCCCCACTCCTTGGTACCAGTTTTCTGTTAGCCTTTTCTAGTGTTGGTATAAAGAAATCCCTGAGGCTGGGCAATTTATAAGAGAAAGGAGATTTGGCTCATGGTTCTGCAGGCTGTATAAGCATGACACTAGCATCTGCTAGGCTTTTAGTGACCCTCAGGAAGCTTTCTGCTCATGGCAGAACGCAGAGGGGGAAACATGTGTCACGTGGTGAGAGGGAGCAAGAGGCGGGGTGCCAGCCTCCTTTCAACAACCAGCTCCCATGTTAATTAGCAAAGCAAGAACTTGCTTATTACTACAAGGATGGCACAAAGACATCCATGAGGCATCTGTCTCCATGACCCAGATACCTCCCCACCAGGCCCCTCCTCCAAAATTGGAGGTCACGTTTCCATGTGGGATTTGGATAAAAACATTCAAACCATCTCAGCTGTAGTTGAGGTTACAAATACCCTGATGAGTAGTGAGCATCATTATAACAACTTTACAAAACACAGAAATGCGGCAGAGTTAAATATGCCCAGCTGGTGAATGATGTCAGCCCTTGCTTTGAGGATCCAGGACCAGGATTAGTAATTGCAGTCTACTATCTTTGGGGTGGGGTTGGGGGTGGGACCAGGGATTCACAGATGCATGCAACAAAGGGAAGCTTGGGAAGCAAAATAACTGGAAAAGGAGACAAATAGTTTGAGTTTTTCTGGCTAATAATCAAGTGGGTAGAGGCTGAGGTACACGTAGAGGAAAGCTGTAGGGAGTGACTTACTAGCAGAGCTGCAGCATTTGACTGTTAAGCAATGGAGGTGGAGGAATAGGCAGAGCCGTGGCTATGACATGCTTCATCTTCCAGGCTAAGGGGTGCTACTTCTGCCCTTGACCCTAATACCTTTGTTAGCAGGTCTGCTAATGCACCTCACTGTTGCTAATTTTCTCAGCACCTTGCTCCTGGCAGCTGTCCAATTATCCTCCGACCCAAAATCGATTTGTGTGTGTGCAACTCTGCCTTCCCTGCCTAGCCGATTGCTTGCTGTGGAAGCACAATTCCTTTTGCCACAAGTTAGAAAAATCCAACTGGGAAGAACAAGAGTGGATCTGAGATATCAAATAGTGTTGTCATGCGTCTAATTTGCCATCTTTCATCTTGGCTTCACTCCAGTGCTTCCTTTTCAATCTCTGATAAGGGCCATTCTCTTGGGCTTCCTTGTTTGCTTGCTGTTCATTCATTCATCCATGCAGTCATTCAACAAACATTCACCGAGCATCTCTTATATGGATGCTGCAATATTTGAGGACACAGATAATGAACCCTCTGAGAGCAAGGGTTGTACTTTATCTAAAGGGAAAGACAAACACAAATTAACAACATGATGTGACGGGCTACAGGAGCAGAAAGACTCAGTGATTTCTCCAACAAAAAGGCATTAAGGGTGTGGAGCTGTTGTACCAGTTAATAAGCTACTGCCTCTTCATTTCAAAGCTACTCTTTTATACTCAGTGTTGCGATGCTGAGGCTGGGCAAGCCACATTTCTGCTTTTCCAAGTGGCTTCCTGTTAGGTTCTGCTAACGGTGGCCCCAGCAGGAGTCTACAGAGCTGGAGGAGCAAGAAGGTGTCTACTCTTGTCTGTTTACTAGTGGCTGCTTCTTTGCTTTGGGTTTCTGTATGCAGCACCCTAGCCTTTTCCTTTTGCTCTGGCTGTACCCATTTGTTCCAGCAATTGATTCCAGTTAAATTTCTCTAAGACTCACAAGACCATCTTCATTATGACCCCTCAGAGATACAGACCTCAGCTGTCCAGTGCCTTCTCCTTGGATAAGAGGCCCCCTCTTTTAACCTCAGAGAATTCATCAGGAAAAAAAGAGCCCTTACACAGATGTGAGTCCCAGCTCAGCAGGACCCCTTTTCCTCCAAGCCTTTAAATTTTAATTCAACAACTCTTTTGTTCCTGCAGCCCTAGGGGTGGTAGCTGCTTTCTACTAGTGATGTTTCAGTGGTTGTTGCCTCTTTAGTTCAATACCTAGTTAATAATTCTTTATATTAAATTCCCAGTTAAGGTAACTGATGTGGATTCTCTTTCCCAACTAGAATCACTGATTCAAGGTCCTAAAGGGTAAGTAGAAACCCCAAACAAGGAGAATAGTTCAAGGTGACACTTGAAGGAGAGAGTAGTGTGTACTACTAAGACTTCTGTTTGGGTCCAGAAGAACTTTTTTCCAATTGGACTATACTGCCTTCCAATAGCATAGGCTTTCCAGTCTTCTCATGTATAACGTGAAAAATAATATTTCCATAGCACACTGGCCTAATGAGGAAGTTGCTTCTATCCATGGTTGGCTCATGAGGAAGAAAGGGACTTACCCAAAGTCATGAGCCACCCAGGTAGCGATACGGTATTTGGTTATGGCAACCCTAAGAAGTTATAACTGAACGACAAAAAAAATGCTGAGGATATGTTTGCTGTTCATTGCCTGTGGGAATCTAAAGTGGTAAGTGCTATGAAAAACTGGCAGTTCCTCAGTAGGTTAAACATAGGATTAACGCATGATATAGCAACTCCATCAGCAATTCCAACTTGACCCAAATAGGTATATACACAGAATAATCTAGGACAGGTATTCAAACAAGCCTGTTCATGAATGTTCATACCAGCACTATTCACAAAGTGTGGAAAACAACCCCCGTGTCCATATATTGCTGAATGGATAAATGAAATGTGGCTTATCCACACAATGGATATTGTATGGATCCTAGCCATAAAAAGTACTGGTGCATGCTCTGAAACATGAATGAGCCTCAAAAACATTATGCTAAATGGAAGATGCAAAGTTCACATATCCAGAATAGGTAAATCCATAGAGACAAAAGGCAGATTAGTGGTGCCAACATCTGGTAGGGGGAGGAGGAAAAGGAGAGTTCCTAGTGAATAGAGATTGTTGGAGTGGTTATGAGAACAGAGACTTATAATCTAGGTAAGAAATAGATGTCTCAGAATGAAGTTAAGCCAGTAAGAAGAGGAGTAAGATATAAGAGAATCTGTGGTTGTAGTATAGTGACTAAAATTTGGGATTCAGATCAATGTGTATTTGAATTCCATCTCTACTGCTTATTAGCTCTATAGACCTATGCCTCTATTCCTAACATGAAAAGACAATTGAGGTAGTTATGTACGTATCTTTGGTGGATTCCCACGTACCCTAGAAAAGTCAGGACTTTATAGAACAGATTAGTGATGTCACAAAGGAGCACATTTTGACTCAGGGTCTCAAAGATGACCCAAATCACTGACATCAAATTGTCTGGCATTAAGAAATGCACCTCCAGAAATTTCTACGATGTGTCACTCATCATTTTATTCTCAAAGATGTCAAGGTGTCTAATGTTTGTCCACTACAGGGTAAATAAATCTGCAACTGATTTAGAGCCTGTAGGCAAGGAGGAAATTCACAGGGATAACGAGTCATTTAAACTGCGTGGAGAGGAGGAACAATGTCAAGTTCTCACACAAGTGTTTGGGGATTCAAGCCCCTCTCCCTTAAAGTAACAGTTAAGTCCCTTGCAGTGAGGATGGTAAAATATTAGAACAGTTTAGATGATATGGATGGCTTTTGGTTGTCTGTATACATTTTAGAGAGGTGAAAGTAAAAGTTTTGGTTTGGGATGGGCTGAATTTGTGGTATTCCTGGCATATGCAAGCAGGTCTGTCCAGACCAGGGATACGCTTAGTTGACTCACACGGACTCAAGTGTAGGAGTGTAGAAGACAATCCAGGGCAGAATCTAGATAAGATAAGTAAAAGGGAATCAGTGAAAGAAGTTAAAGGGATCTAGCTGGATGCATCAAGGGTAACCAAGCACACCTGTGCCATGCAAATCAAGAGGAAAAGCATCAAGATTGAGCACTCCTAGAATGTCTGCAGCCTCCTGAACCTTGCTTATTGTATTACATCACATTTATCATTAAAGTTGTGGAAACAAAGATTAGGAGGGGAAAAAAGTTCAGAATTGCATGAATGGCACATTAACATGAGAACCAGGGAAAGCTGTGACACTGTTTAGGAGGGAAACACGATTCCGCGTCTGGTTACCCCTGTGAAACAAGTAACCACGTTTCTTACAATTCAGCAGCTTAAGTAACGTTTAGCATTTTAATAAAAACTCATTTAATAAACACTCATATATATATGGAAGAGAAGAACATCCTCCTGGCCTTACCATAGGAAGCACTTTGGTCCTAGTTTTATATTTTTCAGAGAAGACGATGAAATTGGATTTTCAATGTCAAGGACACAGTTCAAAAGTTTCCAAACCTGGCGTGCCCACTTTGCTGGGGAAGAATAATGGGGTCGAATCTCTGCAACTGCTTGAGAAGTGTCACTCTATTGAATTGAATCAACTTCAGACAACTGGATTTTAACTGCGACTTGGGAACAGAATGTTGCAAATCGCGTGGCTGGATGAACTTTTCAGCGTCTCCATTCCTGACACATTTCCACAGAAGCCCTTTCAGCTGAAGGTCTCAGACCTCAGCTGCCTCCTTCCCAACGAGAATGCATTTTAATAGTGGTACAGGCCCGTGGGTCTGTGTTTTCACAGAGAACTGCCTTGGCTCCAGGGCCACCTTGGCCGATATTCATTTTCCAAAGATAAAATAAAGCAGCAGACAACTAGCATGCAAGGGCATGCTATTGGAATCAGGTGTAATAGTAGGAATTCGGGAGTGAGCAGGGCTGTAGGCCATCCACTCAGGGGTTCTGAAGGCTCTTACAAATGGGGAAATTGGTTCCAAGAAAATGAATAGCAGAGATTCCTTAGGCCACATTGCGAACATATTGGCATTTTGTTCATTTTTGCTCTTTTTGATAAAGCAAAAAAAAAAAAAAAAAAAAAAAAAAATTGGATTTTTCGTGTTCTCATTTTCAGGAACCATTTGCAGGAAAATTTATACACTCTTTAGAGAACAAAGGAGATCAAAAATCTTAGAGATAGTATTGGCTAGGGTTCCCTTGTCGTTTATTTGGAAATTAGCTAACTATGAGAGGTGAGAAAGTTCCATTGACGAATGGAAAGAGCACAACCAAATTTTGCTGTTGTTGAGACTGGGTCTTGCTCTCCTCCCCAGGCTGGAGTGCAGTGGCACAACCATGGCTCACTGCAGCCTCCATCTCCCAGGCTCAAGCCATCCTCCCACATCAGCCTTCCAAGTAGCTGGAACTACAGGGACACACCAACATGATACCGGGCTTTTTAAAAGACCTGGTACAAGTGGGATCTCACTATGCTGCCAAGGCAGGTCTCAATTTCCTGGGGTTAAGCAACCCTCTGAACCTTGGCCTCCCAAAGGTTTAGGATTACAAGCATAAGTTACCACGCCCAGCCGAAGATTAGAAAGTTCTTAGATCTTTGCCAGTAGATTTATTTTCTAGTTCTTACTCATTTAGGACAAGTCCAAGGCCTAATGCTACTTTTTCGAAAGTTCTTTTACTAATTTAAAAATTTTAAAGTATTTAATGTGTAAGAGTCGAGGTATACAATATGATTTCATATATATTGCATACTGATTATTACAATCAGATTGACATTCATCACCATCTAGAGATACCATTTGTGAGTATATGTGGGGTGAGGTCACTTAAAATCTGCTCTTATCAAATTTCAAATACATTATCAACTATAGTCACCATGCTGTACATTAGATCCCCGCAGTTATATCAAGGTTGCTGCAAAGATAATTGTGATTTTACCATTAAAAGTAATCCCTCCTTCCCCCAAGCCTCTGGCAACCACCTTTCTACTCTGCTTCTGAGTTCAACTCATTAGACGCCGTAAAGGAGATCACGCAGTATTTGTCTCTGTCTTGCTTATTTCCTTAGCATAATGTCCTCCAAGTTTATTCATAGTCAAAATAGCAGGATTTAAGTCTGAATGTTTCATTATACATATATAAAATGACATATACATACACCCGATATTTAAAGTCTGTAGATGAATACTTAGCTTGTTTCCATATATTGGCTATTGTAAATAATGCTACAAGGCCGGATGTGATGGCTCACAGCTGTAATCCCAGCAGTTTGGGAGGCCGAGTTTGAGACAAGCCTGGCCAACACGGCAAAACCCCGTGTTCTATACTGAAAATACAAAAATTAGCCGGGCGAGGTGGCATGCACCTATAACCCCAGCTACTTGGGTGGCTGAGACAAAGAATCACTTGAACCCTGGAGGCATAGGTGGCAGTGGGCCAAGATTGTACTTCTGCACTCCAGCCTGGACCACAGAGCAAGACTGTCTCAAAAATAATGCTGCGATGAATATAGGACTAACAGCTATCTTTTAGATACTGATTTCAACTCTTTTGAATATATACCTAAGATTTGGGTTGCTGAATCCTACTTTTAGAGGGATCTTCTGGCTGTTTTCTGTAGCAGCTGTACCAACGTACATTCCCACCTACACAGTGCAAGGATTTTTTTTCCCCACACATCCTCAGCAACACTGAGATATAATCTTGCTCTGTCACCAGGCTGGAGTGCAGTGGTGCGACCTCGGCTCACTGCAACCTCCGCCTCCCAGGTTCAAGCAATTCTCCTGCCTCAGCCTCCCGAGTAGCTGAGACTACAAGGCAAGTGCCACCATGCCCAGCTAATTTTTGTATTTTTAGTAGAAGCGGGTTTCAACATGTTGGCCAGGATGCTCTCGCTCTTTTGACCTCCTAAGCCACCCACCTCAGCCTCCCAAAGGCCTGGGATTACAGGCATGAGCCACCGTGCCCAGCCACCAACACTTATTTTTAACGATAGCTATATGTAACAGGTGTGAGGTGCTATCTCACTGTGGTTTTGATTTCCATTTCTCTGGTGAGGAGTGATGCTGAGCAGCTTTTCATATACCTGTTAGTCATTTCAGTGTCTTTGGAAAAGCTTCTAGTCTGTTCCTTCGCGCCTGCAAAGCAACACTTACTGCAGTCTTGCCACCACGTTTGTAATTATTTACTTCTTAAAAGTTTGAGGGCAGTATACTTGTTTTGATCACAATATAGTCCCAGTATGTTTCCCAAAGCCTAGTGTAGGCCTGACATGTAAAGCATATTTAGTTCGTTCTCACACTGCTATAAAAGAACTACCTGAGACTACCTAATTTATCAAGAAAAGAGATTGAATTGACTCACAGTTCTGCAGGGCTAGCAGGAAGCACGACCGAGAGAGCTCAGGATACTCACAACCATGGCAAAGGAGAAGCAGGCACGTCTTACTATGGTGGCTATGGGGCAAACCTGCCACACGCTTTTAAACAGCCAGATCTTGGAAGAGTTCACTATCACGAGAACAGCACAAGGGAAACCGCCCCCATGGTCCAATCCAATTGTAAAGCGAGTGCAATGCTGCCAAGCTTGCAGGTGCATCTGCTGGGGATAGCAAATGAAGGTATCAGACACACCTAAGTTGCATTTATTTAAGACGACTTCACTATGCCCCTTTGTTATTTTTCCTGACTAAAAGAATGTTTGCTTTTCACATGAAAGACATAAGATAGCAAAAGTAAGTCCTTTTTCCTGATTCAGAAAAGTCACTAATAGTTTCAAGTCACTAGGTTTGTCATTTGTGAAAGCGGCAATGGGAACCTAAAACAGTCCTCTTCAAATTAATCACATTTTCCCCTTTATTATGAAAGTTATGGAAAACATGGCTAATGGATGAATATGCCGTTTACATAATTTCTTGGGGAACTGAAGTAATTCCATTTCAAAGCCCAATTTGACTTTTTCCAGTTATTACATTGGTGTAAATGGGAAAAGGTGAGGTTATTTCTTCACATCAAAGTACTGCATTTCTTGGGTAGCATTCAGCAAAAGCCATGAATGCAATTAGAGGTGACGGGTTTTTTCTAAAAGAATTACTATCTTATCTGATGGCAGCTTCTTCTAGGCACTGTATCCCATTCTAGCAGCCCTTAACCGCCCCCCCCCCCCCACATTGTCAGAGTCCTGGGCTCAATAAAGAACTCTTTTTTTAAAAAAGTTTTCTTTGGTCCTATAACAGAGGCGAGAGAGAGGCGAGAAAGAGAATAGATTTTTCTGCAGGACCTTTCATTTCAAGGTGTCAGGGAGCATTACTGGGAAGTGTAAAGATTTGGTCTTTGCTAAAATATGTCACCCCTGCTTTGAGAGGCTGTGCTCCAACGTAAGTGGCTGCACATTTAATTTCTTTCGTGACTGAAGCCTCTGATCTAGACCCCAAGCAAGAAGCATGGGCAGCAAGCAGTTTGCAGAAAGAAGTACAGCTCAAATCTAGCAAGGTGAAAGAGAGGAAGAGAGATTTGTTGGAGAAAAAACGAGGCTTTGGGTTTATATCTCGTCTAACTTCAGAGACTTGACTCGACAGGGTCATTGTCGTAAGTTTTACAAAGAAAGAATTTGGTATTGGTTTTCTGTCGGTTATCCTTACCTTTTGTCTTCTAGTAGAGCATGGCAAAAGAGCGTAACCACCCAGTGGATTCACCTTGCCCACTGCCTACACAGGGTGATTTATCAAGAAAAATAAATTGCAATAGAGAAAAAGTCATATTATGCAGGGATGGCTGCAAGAGAGACTGGAGTTTCGCTATCGCTCAAATCAGTCTCCCGAAGCACGCGGGAAAACAGCTTTTAAAGATAACTTGCTGTGTGGGGCAGGCCAGTGCATCAGCAGTGCTGATTGGTTGGGTCAGAGATGAAATCATGGGGAATCAAGGGTGACTTGTGCTGAGTCAGCTCTTGGGTGGGGCGGCCACAAGATCAGCTGAGAGAGTTTATTGATCTGAATGGTGCCAGCTGATCCATCAAGTGCAGGGTCTGGAAAATACCTCCAGCACTGATCTTCAGCTTTACAATAGCGATGTTGTCCCCAGGAGCAATTTGAGGAGGGTCAGAATCTTGTAGCCTCGAGCATGACTCCTAAACCATAATTTCTAATCTTTTGACTAATTTGTTAGTCCTACAAAGGCAATCTCGTCCCCAGGCAAGAAGGGGAAAGGGCTGTTACCATCGTTTCAAGCTGTAATCTGTAAGCTAAGTTTCTCCCAAAGCTAATTCAGCCTCCAGGAGTTCAGGAATGAACAAGGACAGCTTGGAGGTTAGAAGCAAGATGGAGTTAGTTAGTTCAGATCTTTGTCACTGTTGAGGGCTAAGCTCTGATTTTTTTATCTTACCCACATTCCTACCTAAGGGTGGGGGGAGGTGTAGGGAGTCATGCCCTACAAACCATAAATTCTCATCAGATGGGTTTTATTTGACCCTATATATCGTGACTCACTTTTCAATCTGACTCTGGCAAAACATTATAAGACAAGGAAAAAAATATTTAACCCGAAGATGTATTTCCTTGCCATACCTTGAAATTGCCCTGCAAAGTGTCTTGTGGGAAAAATTCACATTCTATAGAGAATCCCCTTCCCCCTTTCTTTTCCTTCCTTCCTTCCCAGATCCAGAAGATAATCAACTAAGAACCAGGTACCTTTTTAGGTCCCAGGTCCCATAAGAAACATTTTACAACCTGCTCTCTCTAAAGTCATCTATCTAAGAGCTTCCTCTGCACAATAAAACTTGGTTTCCACAATCCTTTATCTTTAACCTGAACATTCCTATCAATCCCACATGTTCAGATAACCTCAACCAATTGTCAACCAGAAAATGTTTAAATTTACCTATAGCCTGGAAGCTCCCACTCTGAATTGTCCCACCTTTCTAAAGCAAACCAATGTATTTCTTACATGTATTTGATGTTTCATGCATCCTGAAATACATCAAACCAAGCTGCACCCCAACCACCTTGGGCACATGTTCTCAGGACCTCCTGAGGGCAGTGTCACGGGCCATGGTCACTCATATTTGGCTCAGAATAAATCTCTTCAAATATCTTACAGTTTGACTCTTCATCAACATGGTGTCAGTTAAAATTTTGCAATGGCGGTTTCAAGAGTGAGGAAGAGCCGGAGAGAGCGGAGCAGAATTGTAGGCAAGGATGTTGGCCGTGCCAGTGTTTGAGCTCTGGCATGACATTGAACATGAGTGGAGTTAAACCAATATAAGATATAATCCTTTGTACTGAGGAAATTAAATCTCTTACACAAGAAAATATGCCCTTTACCTATGACAAGTCACATAAATTAAAGATGCCCCAATTTCCTTCCAATTCCAAGCATCCTTTCATTGGCCCAGGAGGCAAGAGTCAAAACTTGCCAGGGAAAGTTGGATCACTGTATTCTCTGCATTGTAAACGTATGCCATTTACTTACTGCATTTAGGTAAAGCTTAAACTCCTCCACCTGCATGTGTCTTTAAACTTCCTCACTAAGATCCTGTGGCAACCAATTAAGTAGAAATCAATTTACTGGCAGAAAACCCTTCTCCAGGTTTTCTCAATGAGAAGTCTTCTAAAAGATTCTGTATGTTCGAACTCATGAAACTTTCTGAGGCACCTCCACCCAACTCACAAAGCATATGGTCATAGGCTAAAGAGAGGTAGAATGGGGTAATAGAGACATGCTATGTTACTAACATGCTGTGTTAGTAACTCTTAGCCTCAAACAAACCCCCTGCCTTAGCCTCCCAAAGTACTGGAATCACAGGTGTGAGCCACGGCAGTGCTGGCCCAGGCTGAATTTTGACTCTTTTCTCTGAAAAGACTCATTTATCCAAATTCTATCAACTGACTACCTTAATGTCCATAAGCTAAATCTAAAGAACAAAACAAATCCAAAACAAAGACAAAAGCCACGATTCTACATTACATCTGCCTAATAATGAAAAACACACTCTTCACCTTTTTCACCTGTACCCTTATTTATAGGAGTTTGTAACAGGGTCTGAGGCTGAAGGTATTTTTTTTTTTAGCCATTCTAATTCAATTAGTCGGCAATAAAAATGAACAAAAGAAAGCCATTATGCAAATATATGGCCATTCAAAGTCAGAAATTGGGGTCAGGAGGGAGAGGATGGGAAGAATAAAGACTGGGAGAATTTTTTTTTCTTGGCGGAGTTCATTCCTGTTTTATTGTAATATTAATTTTCTAAATGATTACTGATATTCAAAGTCAACATACGGGATGGTCGGTCTTATCTCTCACATTCCAGCTGTACTGAGTAATACATTTCCTTAAAAAAAACACCTCTGTTTTTTTTACTTCCGGATCTAGAGCAGGGATTGGCAAACATTTTCTATCAAGAGCCAGAAAGCAAATATATTAGGCTTTTGGGGTCATGATTCTCTATCACAACGACACAACTCTACCACGTAGTGGCACAGGCAATATGCAGACAAATGGATGCCAATTAAACTTCCTATACAGACGCTGGCACTTAAATTTAATAAAATGTTTATGCATAATGAAATATTTTTCTTCTTTTGATTTTTTTTTTTTTTTAGATGGAGTCTCGCTTTGTTCCCCAGACTGGAGTGCAGTGGCGCGATCTTGGCTCACGGCAACATCTGCCTCCCAGGTTCAAGCGATTCTCCTGCCTCAACCTCCCAAGTAGCTGGAATTACAAGCACCTGCCACCACTCCCAGCTAATTTTTGTGTTTTTAGTAGAGTCAGGGTTTTGCCACGTTGGCCAGGTTGGTCTTGAACCCCTGACCTTAGGTGATCCACCCACCCCGGCCTCCCAAAGTGCTGGGATTACAGGCGTTGAGCCACCGCGTCCAGCCTGAATTTATTTTTTTAACCATTCTTAAGTCAGTACAAAAACAAGCAGTGGGTGAAGTTTATTGACCCCTGCTCTTCACCCATGCTACTCTAAGTGTGGTGCATGGACAGCTGCACCACCATCACCTGGGAAATTTTCTCAAAAGCAGCGTCTCAGGTCAGACCCAAACCTATAGGATCAGAATTTGCCTTTAAAGGTCCCCAGGTGATGCACATTAAAGATTGAGCTGCACTGCTCCCTGGGAATGTTTCTTAATTTCACCCTATCAGGAACATCAAGGAGCCTTGTTAAAAAGGCAGATACCCAAACACTTCCCCTGGAAATTCTGACGCGAGAGTATCTGGTTGGGGACTAGGAATGTGTGTTTTTAACAGGTTGTTCAGTTGGTTCAAATAAATGTCTAAATTGGAGTATTTCATTTTGACAGCGCTCTCTAGGGAAGCCACCCCATGCTCTCCTTTGCTTCCTTTTAAACCTGCATGGGCCCAGACAAGCAAAGGTGCTTAGACAAAAACTGTAGTTTTGTAAATTAGAAAGAACAGAGCAGCTTCCTTGATTTGCAACCCCTTGACCACAGAGAGATTAGTGCCTGCTCTCACTCTGGGCTTCCCTGCCTTCTCCCCATCTTACCCCCTCCTCAACACTACCTGCAGGGATCTTCAAATACGTTACCCTGAGACTTGGCAAAAAATGGGCCAGCATCCCTGGACTCGAAAAGTGTAACTAGAGCCCCAGGGAGGGAAAAAAAATTGTAGGAAAAAATAGAGAGTGAGAAAGGGAGTGGGGAGCATTAGAGGGAGATGTCCTCCCCCTTTCTTTGAAACAGCTTTAAACAGTGAACCACATCTGGTTTTCATAAGCACCAATACCAGGTGTAAGACATTCTGTGAGCAATCACCTCTGGCTGATGGAGTGGAATATGGCACATTATCAAGAATAAATGAGACAAAATATTCCAATTACAGATGCATCCTACTTCTTTCTGTCTCATGCCAAGCGTTTGTCTCAATCGTTCAAACTACAAATTACCCCCATGCTCACGAAGGACTGCCGAGTGGGCAAACACCAAGGTTTCTGCTTAGAAAGAGATCGTTGGTGTTTGTTAACATTGGAGAATTTGTGTTTGGAGAAACGAGGTGGTTTGAGTAGCTTGTCTTTTCCCACCAGGACATACGGCACGACGTTGGGTGGGGATATTCCAGGCTCAGATAATAATGCAGAAATTCAAAGGATATTAACATCAACATTAAGCTGTCTTAAGAGTAATATGGAAATTGCAATGTTATTTTATTTGTTGGAGATCAAAAGGATCTATGACCTAATTAGGGAACTGGCTAAATAAATTATGGCATATCAATAAGAGAGGCTAGGCAGCCAGAAAGTTAGGTTTTTAAAGAATATTGAATAACATGGGGAAAATGGTCACAGTAAAATAAAAATAATAGCACTCTCATTAAAAATAATAGCCACCAGTGATTGAATCCTTATGACATGCCAGAAACTCTGTTAAGCACTGTATGTGTGCCCCAGCATATAATTTACAACAGCCCTGGGAGGTAGGTGTAATTTCCCCAAAATTTCAGAAAGTTAAATAACTGGCCCGAGATCAAACACTCAGCGTGTGGTGGAACTGAGTAGCAAATTCAGGCCCGTTCAATTCCAGAATCTGAGCCTTTAACCCCTATGCTATTATACTAATTTCACTTTCAATGAAATTAAAACAAATGGGAAATGATGAAAACTGTGTTTGTTTGTTTGTTTTTCCTGGGTGGTAGGAGTAAAGATGATTGTTTTGTTTTGATTTGTCCTTGGTTTTCCAAATTTCCTACATTCTTTTCTATGTACATATTCTATAGTGCAAGTCTCCTATATTCTGAAACAGAATCAGAAAAAAATAAACTTGGTTTAAAATGTTTCATTTCTAGGCTGGGAGCGGTGGCTCACACCTGTAATCCCAGCACTTTGGGGGGCCGAGGTGGGCGGATCACCTGAGGTCAGAAGTTTGAGACCAGCCTGGCCAACATGGTGAAACCCTGTATCTACTAAAAATAGAAAAATTAGCCTGTAATCCCAGCTACTCCAGAGACTGAAGCAGAAGAATTTCTTGAATCTGGGAGGTGGAGGTTGCAGTGAGCCAAGATCGCACCACTGCACTTCAGCCTGGGAGACAGAGTGAGACTCCGACTCAAAAAAAAAAAAAAGTTTCATTTCTGTTATTTCATATTTTCAATCCTTGATTGCTTGTAAACAGTTTGTAATTTTAGCCACATCAATTTGATAGATTGAAAAATAATTAATGTGCTTTAAAACATGTGTAAACAGGGTGGGTGGGGTGGCTCATGCTTGTAATCCCAGCACTTTGGGATGCTAAGGCAGGAGGATCACTTGAGTACAAGAGTTTAAGACATCACAAGACCTCATCTCTATAAAAAATTTAAAAATTATGAGGGCGTGGTGGTGCATGCCTGTAGTCCCAGCTTCTCAGGAGGCTAAAGTGGATAGATTACTTGAGCCCAGGAATTTGAGGTTGCAGTGAGCTATGACCCCATCACTGTACTTCAGCCTGGGTGACAGTGAGACCTTGTCCCTAAAATGTATATAAACATGTTTATATGTTTATGTTTGATAAAATGTTTTATATAGTCCATTAATAAAATATACTTTATACATACATAAAATATAAATATATACATACGTACTTAGAGATTGTATATATAAAATGTATAAACGATTCTCCTAGCTGTAACTACTGTCATCATCATAGAAAGGGCAGATTTGGGGACCCACCTACCTCTGGGGTACACAGAACCCGCAAATCCAGTTCACAGTGGGGTCTGGCATTTTAACCTGGGGTACTCAAAGGAAGTACAGCAAGGCGATGTGTGGGGAGAAAGGTGTAACACCCTTTCAATCACCTGTCACAATCATCACAGCTATAACAAAAGACACTCCTGTAACAAAGGACAGGTTAACAATAAAAAAGTGTAACAAGGCCAGGAGCGGTGGCTCACACCTGTAATCCCAACACTTTGGGAAGCTGAGGTGGGTGGATCATGACATCAGGAGTTTGAGACCAGCCTGGCCAACATGGCGAAACACTGTCTCTACTAAAAATACAAAAATTAGCCTGGCGTGGTGGTGGGCACCTGTAATCCCAGCTACTCGGGAGGCTGAGGCAAGAGAATCACTTGAACTTGGAAGGCAGAGGTTGCAGTGGGCCGAGATCACACCTGGGGGACAGAGCGCGACTCCATCACAAAAAAAAAAAAAAAAAAAAAAAAAAAGTTTGTTTTTTTTTTTAAAAACACAGTTTTATGTGACATGGGAACGGTCAGAAATGAAGACCCAAGGGAAACTGTCTAACTTTATGCTTAGATTTGCTGAGGAATAGGCCACCGTGTAGAAATGTGATTGGATAAAATGTGTTTGATCTACTGGCAGTAGACTGAGGTGGAGGGGACCCAGCAAGGTCTGTCTATTCTGATTCTTCCTGGCCCCGATGTGGCATTCCTTTCCTCTGGGTATAGTACAGGATGCCTGTCACAGGAGGGTTTTCAAGGGAGAAGGGAGAAGGTCAGAGAGTGACCTTTCTAGGTTTTATTGGCTTGCTTTGGGGAAGAGGAGCTCTAGTTGCCGTGACTCACCTTGGAGAAGGGGAATTCTGGCTTCTATGACTCCCTTCTGGGGAGAAAGAGAGGCAAGAGACAGGAGGATGAGAAAAGGTCAGAAAGACCTTGTTTCTGAGGCCCTTGCAATCTCCTTCAGCTCAAAGTACACAGCATACCAAGGCGCCATACTTTGGGGTATCATGTTCTGAGCCCTGACAATGGCTAATTTGTAAGCTTGAGAACTAAGTACCTATGTTCATGCACCAGTTGGCTGACTGTGAACATGTTTGAAAAAAAAATTGAGTCTTTTGCTCATATGTAAAAAGGGAAATTAATATCCACCTAATAAGAGCATTTTGGAGGTTAAGTGGGTTCGTACTGTACAGACTGGTGGCATCAAAGGTGGTATGTAAGTGATGAATCATCATTGCCTCATTTGTTTGTTTGTTTGTTTTTTTGAGATGGGGTGTCACTCTGTTGCCCAGGCTGGAGTGCAGTGGCACTATCTAAGCTCACTACAACCTTCGCCTCCTGGGTTCAAGCAATTCTCCTGCCTCAGCCTCCCGAGTACCTAGGATTACAGGTATGCGCCACCATGCCCAGCTAATTTTTGTAGTTTTAGTAGAGACGGGGTTTCACCATGTTGGCCAAGCCGGTCTCGAACCCTTGACCTCAGGTGATTTGCCCACCTCGGCTTCCCTAAGTACTGGGATTACTGGCGTGAGCCACATGCCCGGCCCATCATTCCCATCTTTATCATTAGAATTAGAATGAAGGGGGTTGCTCCTACCTTGGCTCCAAATATGAATGCTGGCCTCATGAGCAGCAAGCAGTCATCCTTTCTTTTTCTATCAAGAATGAGCTGCACACTCGCTTCACGCCAGGCTCTGCAGAGGCATAAGAGGCATCATATGAAGATGGAATTGAGAGTTGAGGAGATAACCATGTGGAATAGGAAGATTCACAACCCAGAGCAGAAGAAAGTGACATCCAAGAAGGTTTCCCAGAGGGGTGACATCCAAGCTGATAACACTTGAAGCATGACTACAATTCTCCAGACAAAAAGAGAGAGATGATTCCAGGCGAGGGAACAGCAAGTGTGGAGGCTCAGAGGTGTTGGTACCAGCAACACCTGGTCTGGGTAACTAATGACCTGGCAGATAATGGCTTGAACCAAAGGTGGGTTGGGCAAGAATAAGAGGTAGACCTGGAGAGCAGCAAAGGCCAGAGGGAGTGCAAACCAAGCCTAACATGCAAGGCTTAGACATGCTCATTTACAAAAAGGGGAGCCCTGGTGGGTTTCAGCTTAGGAATGACACAACAATCATGTGAGGAAGACCATCCTGCTGGCCACTGGGGATACACAGCTCCCTCATTCACAAATTCACTTTTATGTCTGCTGCCAGGGAAGAGCCGCTCTTAGTTATGAGAGAGGGAAGAGTTCAGACTGGAGTTCTGCGACAAATGCATTGCATTTACGCAAATCCACGGATCTTCCTGGATCTTGGTTTTCTCATCTATAAATGAGAACAATTCATGCAGAGCACCCTGCACATTGGAGCAGGAAAGTGTATGAAACATAGCACAGGTTTTCTCTCTGTACTAACCAGAACTCATATCCCGGTTACTTCCAAACTATTTTTCCAGCCTTTAGCCATGTGCCTTAACCTCCCTGAACCTCAGTCCCTCATCTGGGAATTCATAACAGTACCTATAATCAAGAGTCACTGTGGGCATGAAATAAAAGAATGCCTATGCTTGTTTCATACAGTGTTGAGATTGCACGCAATAAATAAGAGATATCATCATTATTGTTGTTATTATTACACTCTGAACTATTCTGCACAAACATGGCATTGTTCCTTCTATACAGGCAGTATTGAGAGTTAAAGTGCCAAGTGCAATGTCTGTCGCAAGTTGATTCATAATAAAAGGGCACTTACTTTCCCCTTCTTAATAGGTACTCAATCAAAACAGCTTTTAAACAGATCATTCATGCATCCACTTATTTATTCCCCCACAGTGTATTGAACTTCATGTACCTGGAATTGTACAAGGTTCTGAAGATATGGTGATAGGTCAGATACAGTCATTACTCTCAAGCTGGAATTCATTTAATGGGTTTATATCATGCATTCTCACTGGTGACAATATTTCTCCCAAGGAAGTAAAAATTGGTTCTTGGGGGGAGGGAGAAGACAAACAATCTCAAATATGACAAGGTGTGTGTGACCTTCCAAAGGGCCACAGTACATAAACAGATATACAATGCATCCATGATATTAAAGTTAATAAAACAGTATTCATTATTCATGATAGCCAAAAGATGGAAACACCCCAAATGTCCATTAACAGATAAAAGTATGAGCAAAATGTCGTCTAGCCACACAGTGAATATTATTCAGCCTTTCCATGAAGCTCTGCTCCAGGCTACAACATGGATGAAACCTTGAAAACATTATGTTAAGTGAAGAAGCTAGACACAAAAGACCACATATTGTATGATTCCTTTTTTGTGAAATGTTCAGAATAGGCAATTCCACAGACAGAGAAAGCAAATTAAAGCAAATTAGTGGTTTCCAGACATTAGAGGGGATGAAGGGGATAGGAAGCGACTGCTAATGTGTAAGGAATTTCCATTTGGGGTGGTACAAATGCTCTGGAATTAGATAGTGGTGACATTTGCACAACATCATGCATGAACTTAATGCCACTGAATAGTATACTTTAAAATGGTTAAAATGGTGAACCCGTACATGTATTTTACTCTAAAAGCAAAATAATTTTAGACTTATAAGTAGGGTGATAGTGGAAAAAAAAGTTGAGAAATGCTGGTTTCGATGGATGTACAGACAAATAAGCTCAGCAAATAAACATCTCTTGTTTCGTCTCCACATGCTTAATGATCTCGATGTTCTAGAAGGAAGGGGTCTCCATAAACCACCATCAGTCTGGCAATCGTTACTTAGTTGATGGGTCTCTCTCAGAAGACGATTCTGTCTGTCCCGCTGCATTAGTGTGTAAGAGCTCAGAGTGTCAGCCTAGAGCACTACGGATTTACAGCACCTAATCCCTTCCTTCATGAGTAAGCAAGACCAGCAAGCATAGCAGGAAACCAAGGTGAGTGGTGGCACAGACAGAATTGGAGGCAGAAGGGACCTCTGAGGGCTGGGTGCCCAGAAGGAGGCTTTATAAGAGCTGTGAGTTCTGAAGGAAGGTGCATTATTAGTCCCGTCTTGCATTGCAATACAGAAATACCGGAGACTGGGTAACTCATAAGAGGTTTAATTGACTCACGATTCCACAGGCTGTACAGGAAACATGGCAGTGTCTACTTCTGTGGAGGCCTCAGGGAGCTTTGACTAACAGCAGTAGACAAAGCTGGAAGAGACATCTTCACATGGCTGGGGCAGGAGCAAGAGAAAGAGTGGGGAGATGACACACTGTTTTGTTTCTTTGTTTTTTTGAGATGGAGTCTCACTCTTTCTCCCAGGCTGGAGTGCAGTGGCGTAATCTCGGCTCACTGCAACCTCCACCTCCCAGGTTCAAGCGATTCACCTGCCTCAGTCTCCCAAGTACCTGGGACTACAGGTGCACAACACCACACCCTGATAAGTTTTGGATTTTTAGTAAAGACAGAGTTTCACCATGTTGGCCAGGCTGATCTCGAACTCCTGACCTCAAGTGATCCACCCATCTCAGCCTCCCAAAGTGACGGGATTACAGGAGTGAGCCACTGTGCCCGGCCTGTGCTACACACTTTTAAACAACCAGATCTTACGATCACTCGCTCACTATCACGAGAACAGGACTGACAGGATGGTGCTAAACCATTCATGAGAACTCCGCCCCCATGATCCAATCACCTTCCACCAGGCCCCACCTTCAACACTGGGGGATTACAATTCGACATGAGATTTGTGGGGACACAGATCCAAACGGTATCAGATGGTAATGACCTAAACTGATAATATCAGCAGGTCTTTTTAATTGCTAGGGTTAGCATTGCTTTTTACCCCATGGCATCCCCATCCCCTTACACAATTTATGTCTCTAAGATTCACTGTTGGTCAGGTGCAGTGGCTCATGCCTGTAATCCCAGCACTTTGGGAGGCCAAGACAGACGGATCACTTGAGGTCAGGAGCTCGAGACCAGACTGGCCAAAATGGCGAAACCTCCTCTCTACTCAAATACAAAAATTAGCTGGGCATGGTGGTGGGCACCTATAATCCCAGCTACTCAGGAGGCTGAGGGAGGAGAATCACTTGAATCTGGGAGGTGGAGGGTGTAGTGAGCTGAGATCACCCCACTGCACTCCAGCCTGGGTGACAGAGTGAGACTCCGTCTAAAAATAAATAAGATTCATTGTCTCCATCTGAATAACAGAGCTTACAAAACAGTTACAGCCTTTTTAGTTGGGACCTCTGGAACAATTCCCCTTGGAACACTGCTCTCTCTCCTCCACATAAATAATATACTGTCATGAGATGTTCTGTCTGTATTCCTTAGACCTGTACTGTCTGATATGGTAGCTACTAGCCAAATGTGGCTATCTACTTTTAAATTAATTAAAATAAAATAAAATGTAAAAATTCAGTTCCACAGTTAAACAAGCCACATTTCAAAGGCTCAATATCAAGTGGCCGGTGACTGTTAAATTAGAGAGTGCAGGTGTAAAACATATCCATCATCACAGAAGGTTCTACTGGACAGTGCTGCTCCAGACAGTGCTCTGAATGAGTTGAAGAGGGTATGCCAATAATTCTAAGTATGTTAATGCAAACCTTTTAAAATGCACACATTTTAATTAAAGCCTAAGTGATGTATTCGGATGTTAAGAGTATGGTGGCCTTGTGGTGATATACTTTAAAAGGACTGATGGGTGAATCACGCATGGGCCCTACATAACCTCTCCTCTTGCAGGAGCTATGACCACAGGCAGTTAACCCCATAAAAGAGGGGCCCCATGGCTGACTCCCTTGTGCAGCCTCAAGCAACAGAACACACCTCCAATGAGGTGGCCACTTCCATCCTGGAATTCCTGAGGACTCTCTGGCTGCTGGGGTCACAGAATTTCCTGTCTTTTCTGCCATTGACAAGCACTGCTTTGATGAGTACTGTGACAAGATGCTTCCCTTTTCTACCCACACGGATCATGGAAAGTGAGATTAAAGTGTGGTTTAACTGCAAAAGAAAAGAAAAGAAAAAAGAAAGAAAGGGAGAGAGGGAAGGAAGGAATGAACGAAGGAATGAAGGAAAGAAGGAAGGAAGGAGGAAGGAGGGAGGGAAGGAAGTAGGGAAGGAAGGAAAGAAGAAAGGAAGGAAGAAAGGAAGGAGGGAAGGAAGAAAGGAAGGAGGGAAGGAAGGAAGGAAAGAAAAAGGAAGAAAGGAAGGAGGGAGGAAGGGAAGGGAGGAAAGAAGGAAGGAAGGAGGGAGGGAAGGAAAGAAGGAAGGAAAGTAAAAGGAAGAAAGGAAGGAGGGAGGGAAGGAAGGAAAGAAGGAAGAAAGGAAGGAAGTGAAGGAAGGAAGGAGGGAAGAAAGAAAGAGAAAAAGAAAGACAAAGGAAAGGAAGAAAGAAAGAGAAAAAGAAAGAGAAAGGGAAGAAAGAAAGAAAGAAAGTCACCATATGACCCAGCAATTTGACTCCCAGGTTATACCCAAGAGAAATTAAAATATGCATATATGCAAAAGTTTATACACAAATGTTCAAATGTTCATACCAGCGTTATTCAAAATCACCAAAAAGTGAAAATGAACCTGAATATCCATCAACCGATGAATGGATACATAAGATGTAGTTAATCCATGCAATGGAATATTATTCGGCCATAAAAAGGAATGCAGTGTTGACACATGCTACAATGTGGATGAACCTTGAAAGCATCATGCCAAATAAAACAAGATACAAAGGACCACATATCATGTGATTTCATTTCTATTAAATACTCAGGACTGGCAAATCCATAGAGACTAAAAGTAGATTCATGGTTTCCAGGGAGAGGGGAGAGCAGGGGGAAGAGGGAGTGAGTGCTAATTGGCATGGATTGGAGGGGAGGGGGAAAGAAAATGCTCTGAAACTGATTGTGGTGATAGTTGTGCAACTCTATGAATATACTAAAAACCATTGAAATGTACACTTTAAATAGGTTAATTGTGTGGTTTGTGAATTCTATCTCAGTAAAGCTGTTTTTGTTTTTAAAAAGCCAGAGGCAAAGTCCATGGAATCTTGGGAACAATTGCAAAACACAGTTAAGCCTCTGCTGCCTATATTTGGGTCTCTTCCTTCAAGGAAAAGACACACTAGGTAAGTATTTAATACATATTTTGTCATTTGGTATGGTTTGTGTTCCCACCCAAATCTCATCTTGAATTGTAGCTCCCATAATTCCCATGTGTTGTGGGAGGAACTTGTTGGGAGATAATTGAATTATGGAGGTGGTTTCCCCCACACTGTCCTCATAGTAGTAAATAAGTCTCATGAGATCTGATGGTTTTACAGGGGAAACTCCTTTTGCTTGGCTTTCTCATTCTGTCCTGTCTGCCGCCATTTAAGACGTGCCTTTTGCCTTCCATCATGATTGTGAGGCTTCCCCAGCCATATGGAACTGTGAGTCCATTAAACCTCTTTTTCTTTATAATTTACCCAGTCTTGGGAATGTCTTTATCAGCAGTGTTAAAAACAGACTAATACATCATTCTTTTTTTTTTTTTTTTAAGGTGGGGTCTCACTATGTTGCCCAGGCTGGCCTTGAAGTCCTAGGCCCAAGCAATCCTCCCACCTCGGCCTCCCAAAGTGCTGGGAGTACAGGCATGAGCCACTGTGCCCAGCCAACATATTGTGTCATTACCTTTTTTTTTTTTTTTTTTTTTGAGACGGAGTCTTGCTCTGTCACCCAGACTGGAGTGCAGTGGCGCAATATCGGCTCACTGCAAGCTCCACCTCCTGGGTTGGGTTCACGCCATTCTCCTGCCTCAGCCTCCTGAGTAGCTGGGACTACAGGCACCCGCCACCACGCCTGGCTATTTTTTTTTGTATTTTTTTTAGTAGAGACGGTGTTTTACCATGTTAGACAGGATGGTCTCGATCTCCTAACCTTGTGATCCACCCGCCTCAAACTCCCAAAGTGCTGGGATTACAGGCATGAGCCACCGCGCCTGGCCTACTTTTTTTTTAAGTTAAAAAGTAGGCCAGAGAAACATTCCAGGAGGGAGACAGGATAAAAGCAATGATGTAGACACTCAGGGTTTCTGTAGTCATTTGGAGATGAGGAAGTCATGTGAACAGGAGTCTGATTTTGGCAGAGTGTTTACAAAGATATAAGAAGGAAGGGGCCTTCATTGGCAGGTGAGAAGATTCATAGAAATGGAAGCTTTGGAAGGTTAGGGGGGTGCAGAGTGGGGTTTTATAAATAATAATAATAGAAAAAAGCAGTGGTATGAAAAATGAATTGGAAGGAAATGTACACATTCCCTCCTGGTTTCGGAAATTGTTTAAGGTTGCTTGCAAGGATTGAAAAAGCCCATAAGCCAACAGGAATTAAGAGTCCAAGAGTGGTAGCTCACGCCTGTAACCTCAGAACACTCATAGAAATGGAAGCTTTGGAAGTTTAGCGGGGTGCAGAGTGGTGTTTTATAAATACAAAAAAAAAAGTAGTGGTAGGAAAAATGAATTGGAAGGAAATGTACACATTCCCTCCTGGTTTCAGAAATTGTTGTTTAAGGTTGCTTACAAGGATCGATAAAGCCCATAAGCCAACAGGAATAAAGAGTCCAGGAGTGGTGGCTCACGTCTGTAACCTCAGTCCTTTGGGAGGCCAAGGTGGGTAAATCACCTGGGGTCAGGAGTTCGAGACCAGCCTGGCCAACATGGCAAAACCCCATCTCTATTAAGAATACAAAATTAGCTGGGCATGGTGGCGGATGCCTGTAATCCCAGCTACTCGAGAGGCTGAGGTAGGAGAATGGCTTCAACCCAGGAGGCAGACGTTGCAGTGAGCCGATAGCATGCCAGCCTGGGCATGACGGAGCAAGACTCCGTCTCAAAAAAAAAAAAAAAAAATTTGGTGAGAGAAGGTGGCAAAACAAAGGAGGTGGGAGAGGATACATGCTGCGACAATCTATTGAGTATTTGGGCACTATGTTGGACACTGGTGGGGAACAAAGAATGACCACAGCCTGTTTAGGGTGTTCGGAGAAAATAATCAAGTATCTGTACTATCATGTGATAAATGCTCTGGGGGAAAGAGGAGAAGGCCAAGGGTGTTCTGGAGTCAGAGAGGAATGGAGATGAGAAAAAGATCATTACTACAATATATAGTCAGTATCTTCAACAAGGGCAGAGGCATGGAAGATAGACAGACAGATAGACAGACAGATAGATAGACTAGATAAGATAGATGATAAATGGATAGAGGATAGAGAATAGATGATAGATAAATAAATAAGATATATGCTAGATGTTAGATAGAGGAGATAGAGGATGGATGGATAGTTAGAGGATAGATAATAGATAAATGATAGCTGAATGATAATAGATGATAGATGAAAGATAGATGATAGGTAATAAATGATAGATGGTAGATCAGTGATAGATGACAGATAGGTGATAGATGATTGATAGACAGGTGATTGATACATAGGTTGATAGATTAGATATGAATAGACAGACAAATAGGTAATAGGTAGATAGGTGATAGATAGATAGATGAGGTATCAATTGATAAAAATGTCTTTCTATGAAAACCAGCTTTAGGATGCCCCCATGAGGCCTTCTGGTCTCTGTGAATCTACTTTGATAAAGCAATGGTTAGAAAAACCACAGTGGGTCAGAGTAGACAGGGTAGACTACACATGCTACAGTGACAGACTAAACCAGAGTTACAGTAGCCTGACAACGAATATGTATTTCCCACTCACACTCTACATCCCACATGGTCAGTGGGGAGGGAGGTGGGCATCTCTCTATACAATTCCTCAGAACCCAAACTCATGGAGACTGGGATTCCATCTTATGAAGCCACCATATCAGCATGGCTCCCAGGGGGTCACAGCAGGAGAGAAGAGAGATTTAGGAACTCACATTCACTCCTAATGCCTCTGCCTGAAAGTGAGCCACATCACTTCTACCAGCAGCCCACTGGCTAGAATGGGTCACATGACCTTGACCTAACTGCAAGGGTAGCTGGGAAACACAGAGGGGCACATAAGTTTTTTTTTTTTTTTTTTTGGGGGGCGGGGGACATTGCTGTTTTTGCAAATACTGCTGCTATTATTGCTACTACCACTAATAATAATAATAGTTCATATTTATTCAGTGGTTGCTATGTGCCAGGCACTGTGCTTTACACACGCTGTTAAATTCAATCTCCCCTGAAGTCTCTGAGAGCTAAGCAACTGTTCCTATTTAACTGGTAACTAAATTTTTTAAATGTGACCCACAAGGAAAAGACTGAGCTGGGATTTGATCCTACGCTGTCCCACTTCTGAGCCCACACTCTTCCCGCCCTACATCCCCAGCCCTCCTTCCTGCAGTTCAATTTTCTGATGAGACAGAAAGTAGCTATGGGTCTTGTACATGACCCCAAGGCTCTGCGCTCTGCACCTCTCCAGCCTCTCTTGGGAAGGAATGAATCACACCGCCCCAGTTTGCTGCACCTTCTTTCCACCTGGACATCCAGGCTTTTGTCAATAAGAGGGTACTTTGCTGCTTTATTTTTACACTTGAATAACATGCATTATTTAGCAGCAGAGTTTCAAAAACATTGAAATGACCCTTGTAAACATGGTTAAAACGTTTTCCTTTCAAAAGGCTCTGCTGGTCTTTGTAGCAGTGGGATTTCAGCACACAGAAGTAGCTTCCTCTTTTTTCCTTTGGTGCCAAATGTATCTTAATTTTGTTTAACATGGAATAAATATTTAGTTTTACTCTCCCAGTGCTAAAAGACATTTATACAAGCTTTTGAGTTATTTGGAAATTGTCTTGATAATTAGCTATATTTTCACAGAGATCAAGAGGGCTTCATGTTTCTTCTTCAATTAAGTTTTCTTGTTTGTTTGTATTTCTTTGTTTTGTTTTTACCGAGTACTTAAAAATTATCAAAGTGGAAAGCTTTTTTTACTTGAATGTTTTGGGTGTCTGGAATAAAGCAAAAATTCATCTTAAGAGAGAGACGTCTAGATGTTAACTATCCTAAAATGACATCACTTTTCTGCTTTTACTTTATATCTTAAAAATAACAGCATACATTTGTGAAACAAATTTCAGAGAGCACTTTTGGTGTGTAGAGTGAGAACCCAAGTTATTCATTATTTTTTTTCCGCAAAGATTGCTTTGGGTGTGGGTATGGGATAGGTTAGAGCAAGATATGTCTCTCTTCGGTTAGTTTCAAACACTTGTAGAATAAGCTACCTATGGACACAAACAAGGCTCAAGTTGACAAAACGAAGGAGGGTGGAAGTCAGAGGAATGGTTAGATCACTTTCAATGCAGAAAGTATGAATGTTATTTCAGGGAACTTTCACACATGTGAGCATGATAACCATCAAGGCAGGGAGAGATCACAAGAAAAGGTAAAGGTTTGTTGAGCCACATATGAATTTAAATCCTGGCTCTCCTACTCACTTGCTGTGTACCTTTCGGAATGCCAGTTAACCTCTCTGCGCCTCAATTTCCTCCTCCAAACAATGAAGAGCTGGCGATCACTAAGGTTTCTTCCTTCCTTCCTTCCTTCCCCTCTCCTTCTCTCCCTCCCTTCCTCTCTCCCTCTCTCCCTCCCTTCCTTCTTCCTTTTTTAAGGACATACCAAATATTGTTTTAGGTACCAGGGCCACAGCAATGGCCATAAAAAAATTACTTGCAACCACAGAGGTTACATGGACAGGAGTAAGCCAGTGAACAAATTAGCAAGAGAATGAAACTGATAATTTTAGATAATGTTGAGTGCTATGAAAAACATAAAGTAAGTTAATGGGACGTTGAGTGATGGGGGCAGGAGGAACTGTTGATCTAATGGCATGGGAAGGCCTCTAGGAGGGTGGGATATTTCAGTGCAGGTCTAGGGGATGAGAAGGACCAGCCATGCACTCAACGACCTGGGGGAAGAGCAAAGAGCATCCCCCAACGGCAAGGGCAAAAACAAGGGCCTGGAGGTGGGTGTCAGCTTGTAACACTCAGTGGGGGCAGTCTCTGATCTAGGTACAGAATTGTCTTAGCATCCATCTTTCTTGCTCTGTGTTCTTTCTGCCCTCCTAGGCAGCATCTCATTTAAAGCTCTCCACAGTGCCTGCAGTTGTCCACTCTCCAGTGACAGCATTCTCTTGGGTTCACAGCTCTGTCTGAGCATTCTGTGGAGGATGTGCATGGTATTTTGCATCTTTCTCATTGGGATGGTAGGGAATTCTCAATGAGCTGGGTTTTCTCCCTACCAGCTCTCTGGGACAAGGGCAGCCTCTACCTCCCCGTGTGCTGCTGGCAATTTGTACCAGGACACTGGGAACAGCAAATACTGGTTTCTACAAAAACATTACTCTCTAAGGTATGTGAATTAAGGAGCAGGAATCCACGATATTTTTATCTGAGCCTTGGGAGTGTACTCAATTTCGGAAGCACTTATGGCCTAGTGACTAGGGACGCAGTCACTGAATTTGGAACTCCTGGGTTCAAATCCTGCTGCTATTAATTCACATCCAGGTGGCCCTAACCCAGTTAATCAGCCTCTCTGTGCCCCGGTTTCCTCCTACTCAAAATAGGGATAGCTCTTTCCATTCAAAGAGACAGATGGCTTAGCACAGTGCTTGGAACACTATAAGAACTCAATAAATTCAGCTGCTCTTACTATTTTATTTGTCCTAAGAAGAAATGCAAGTCCAAACTTTAATCCTTTTCCTTCATTTCTTCCTTCTCTCCTTCCTTCGTAAGTGTCAACCGTTCGTTCTTTCTCTTTCTTTCTCTCCTCTCTCTCTCTTTCTTTCTTTCTTTATTCTGAGACAGAGTCTTGCTCTGTTGCCCAGGCTGGAGTACAGTGGCATGATCTCAGCTCACTGCAACCTCCACCTCCCGGGTTCTAAGCGATTCTCCTGCCTCAGCCTCCCTAGTAGCTGGGATTACAGCCAGGTGCCACCATGCCGGCTAATTTCTGTATGTTTTAGTAGAAATGGGGTTTCACCATGTTGGCCAGGCTGGTCTTGAACTCCTGACTTCAGGTGATTCACCCACCTTGGCCTCCCAAAGTCCTGGAATTACAGGTGTGAGCCACTGTGCTCGGCCTCAACTGTTCATTATTAAATATCTTTTGACGTCTCCCATTTCTAGGGCTCTTTGACATGAGGAATCTAGAGGCAATGGAGAACTAGTCCAGGAGTGCAGGGTAGTGAGCGAAGGGGGATTGACTGTATCACTGCTTGGCTCCTATCTGAGTGTCCTTGAATCACTTATTTTAAGGATTCTCCGGGCCTTAGTTCCTTCATATGTAAACCGGAAGAGAGAAATCTGTGCTAAAGGGTTTGTGTGAGGCTTTAGCCATGCTTTTATTAATTGTCAGTTATGCCTTCAGCACCCAGCACAATACCTGACTCACAGTAGTCAATAAACAAAGGGAAGAAACGCCACCACTAAAAACAGCAAAAGCAATATCACCACAATGTCTTGCAGTCTAGGGATGCGATCTAAGAGAGGAGGTCAGAGAAAAACAGTTGTTTTCTTTGTATGTGATCATGAGATACATCAACTATATGCAAAATGTTCATAATTTGAAAGAACTGACATTCTTCCCTTTTTTGACTCTCTAATGCATTTTGTTTCTCCTTGCCCATTCTTTGTTTATTCAACAAATATTTATTGAAGACTTACTCATGTGTCAAACGCTGTGCCAGGTACTGGGATTATCACCATAAATGAAAAAAAAGGCACAGTCCTGATCTCTTGGAAATTTCAGTCCAGTGGAGGGTACAGATATTAATCAAAGAATAATAATAATAAATCAATCTATCAATAAAGGATGTGATGAGCGTCTAAAAAAGGATTTGGTCTGCATTTCCTCAATGACTAATGATGTTAGCATCTTTTCATGTGTTTCTTGGCCATTGTATGCCTTCTTTGGGGAAATCTCTATCCATATCCTTTGCACACTTTTTAACTGGGTAGTTTTTCTTTTTTGTTGTTGAGTTGTAAAAGTTCTTTATCTATTGGGTGCTATATTCTTATCAGTTACATCATTGCAAATGTTTTTCCAATTCTGCAAATTATCTTCTCCCTTTCTTTTTTTAATTTATTTTTATTTTTATTCAAGATGGAGTCTCGCTCTGTCACCCAGGCTGGAGTGCCGTGGCACCATCTTGGCTCACTGCAACCTCCACCTCCTGGGTCCAAGCAATTCTCCCGCCTCAGCCTCCCAAGCAGATGGCACGCACCACTACACCTGCCTAATTTTTGTATTTTTAGTACAGGTGGGGCTCCCCCCACCCCCATGTTGGCCAGGCTGGTCTCGAACTCCTGACCTCAAGTGATCTTCCTGCCTCAGCCTCCCAAAGCGCTGGGATTACAGGTGTGAGCCACCATGCCTTGCCCTATCTTCTCCCTTTTTTTTTTAGTGTCCTTTGGAAGGAATGATGTACTAACACATACTACAACGTGGATAACTCTTGAAAACAGTATCCTAAGTGAAAGAAGCAGGACATAAAAGGCCACATATTGTATGATTTCATTGAAATGGAAATATCTAGCATAGGCAAATTCATAGAGAGAAAAAGCAGATTAGCGGTTGCCAGGGACTAGAGTGAATGCTTAACAGGCGTGAGGTTTCCTTCTGGGGCTGTTAAATTCTAGCACTAGATAGTGGTGATTGTTGCACTAAATGCCACTGAATTTGTTCACTTTAAAATGGTTAAAGTGGTACATTTTACATGATGTATGCTTTATCACAATAAAATAGAAAAGTATAAGACATGTGAAGAACGTAAAAGAAGACCCAACTTACTCTGGTGCATGCTGTAATCATTGAGTAGCAGTGCTGGAGCCATTACTAGCTAGTTGTGAACTTGCTGAACTGTCTTGGAGAAAAAGCACTGGTACCTTGGGGAGGTTGCTGATGATGGAAAAGGAGGGTTCTGCGTGGAAGGAATGCCATATGCAAAGACCTCTCCCCTGCCCTACCTTGCACTACAATTGCAAGTGCCCCTCTTTAATCCTCCTTATACGGCTCTAATTATCCTGATGGCACTACACCTTAGTGGTACAAGTCAAGTTGCAGAGATCCCATGACCACTGCCTTTACTACCACTTCTCCAATAATTATAATACGAGCAATAATAACAAAAGTAGAGACACAGAAATGAAATCTTACTAAGTGTTATAATATAATACTATTCATATTCTCAAGTTAATACCACCAGAAGATACTTTGAGGTTACCATCCCCCACTTCAGTCAAGCAATTGATTTTTTTTTTTGTTATTTGTCATCATGAAACATAGCAAAGAATACAGAACAAAGTATAGTAGTGACCCATGTACTTACATCCAGCTTTAATCAATGCTTGTAAAGCCAGTTTACAAATGAAATAGAAAGAACAAGCTGGGCATGGTGGCTCATGCCTGTAATCCCAGCACTTTGGGAGGCCAAGGTGGGAGGATCATTTGAGGTCAGGAGTTTGAGACCAGCCTGGCCAACATGGTGAAACCCCGCCTCTACTAAAAATACAAAAATTAGCCGGCCATGGTGGTGGATGCCTGTAATCCCAGCTACTTGAGCGACTGAGGTGGGAAAATCGCTTGAACCTGGGAGGCGGGGGTTGCAGTGAGCTTGAGATTGCACCACTGCACTCCAGCCTGGGCGACAGAGGGAGACACCATCTCAAACAACAACAACAACAACAAAACCCCAAAAGAACAGCAATAACAAAAGCTCCAAAAGAACAGAGATTCATCGATTCCAGGAGGCCTGGGGTTGGGGGAGAAGATCTGATTGTCCAGATTTTCGAAATCAAAATGCCACCTCTCCAAGTACTGCAAAGTTCCGTAGATCTAAACTGACTGTAACTGGCCATCAGAAGTCAGTATCCTCAGCTATGAAATGAGAATAACATTTTCTCTTCCTTTAATCTCACATAACTAGTTGGTACGTGTGAGAGAGGTGGGGTGCAGCGAGATTCCAAGTCACGGTCCTGCATGGAAACCATAAACACTGCAAATGAGAAAGGGTCACTGATGGCTGCAAGGTACTGAATATCCTCCTCCATGCAGCCCTTCTGCCATCAGAAAGCAAATTTCATAATCCATTTTGTCTAACATCGCTGTGCTGATTAGTATTTGTTAAATGCTTTAATGGAGATGATGATCATTTGCTATGTAGAGACCTATTGGACTCTTCCCAGTATAATCCCAGTGTGAGTAGTGGAGCCCAATGATATTATAATCCCATCCCCCGATTTCCTGAAATAAAATAAAATAAAATAGATGGTGGCACATGTTCTCAATTCCTGAGCCAGATCCTAACCAATCCCGCAACAACATTCCCACTTTACTAATGGTTTGCACCCTGGTGGATGCCCTCCATTGCCCGAAAATATGCAATCACTTAATTGCCATAGCAATCCTATTATATTACCATTACACAACGTCTGTTGGGGAAAGCTCAGAACATGTTATTACCGTTGAAAGGGACAATTTACTGGATTTCACTAAATGCCATCACTTCCCCAAAAATGAATCAAAATTACTTGATTATGCACATCTCCCTTTAATGTCCTGCTCAGAGAACAACAGGGAAGCTGCCACTGGGGGACAGAGCTGCTGTGAGCAAGGCTGACTTTATGGAACTGAGGGGATGGCGGGTCTTGTCTGTCTCCATCCCAGTCTCCTGAGTCCACGTGGTACTGCTGTGTTGGGGTGCACTGAGCACTGTTTGTGAAAGGCCCTCTGTCCATCAATCAATTTAGGGTGGAGCTTTTTTTCTTTTTAATTATAATTTTAAGTTCTGGAATACATGTGCAGGTTGTGCAGGTTTGTTACATAGGTAAACGTGTACCATGGTGGTTTGCTACACCTATCAACTCATCATAGGGAGGAGCTTTTATTGGGAAATTTTAGTTTAAAGCAGTGTTGAATTCTAAAGTGCTTTCTGTATGACAGAGGCTATGTCAGTGAAACACAACCATACCCCAAACTCTGAAAATTAAACTACAAAATAAACCAAAGGTGAACAGGGGCCATTGCTCTGCAGGGAATACAGATTAGTAAGAATGGATCAGACCAAATCTGGTCACAATCCTAGAAAACCAATGCCAAGCTCTGCGGATCGGAACATAATCTTTATACATGAAGAACAGTATATGTATATATATATATATGTGTGTGTGTGTGTGTGTGTATTTTTTTTTCTTTGCATGCCTGTGAGTCTTCAATGCTGCTTGGCAATGACTCCACTTGTCTCCCTGTCTGCCCCCCCATTTTTCCAACACTATAAATTGCAGCAATCACAAACACGAACTGCATTTGAAAAGCCACAATGAGTTAAAAAAAAAAAAATGTGATCTTGCCCCCTACCCCTTCCTTTCCTGACGAACGGCTACCCATATTGTTAGATTTTAGTGGACAGGTTTGTCTTAAAGTGCCATAAATCACAGCTGAAAGCCATTTGGGTAAATTGTCATTAACCATTTGCATGTGGAAAAGTGTAAAGAATTTAAGAGAAAGTGAATTGCATCAGGATTCCGGGTGCAGAAGCTTATAAGGGCAACGATGTCTCCAAGCAGAGTAAGAAGGAATTTGTACAAGCCTTTGATTCTCTGATTTTTTTGAAAGCACAAAGAGGCTTCATATTTAATTTATAGTGTTATATAAGCTGCTGCTGCTGCTCTGTGTGTGTGTGTGTGTGTGTGTGTGTGTGTGTGTGTGTGTGTGTATTCCAGCATAATTCTGACTCTGGTAGTTTGGATTTTGCATTATGGAGGCAACCACTATTCTAGCATCTGAATACTCATTCTAGACAGCTAAATCCATGACAGCAAAAGTATAGAAACAATTTTGCGGTGTTGGTGGCATTTCCCTTGCCTATAAAACCAATTTTAACTGCACAAAACCCTCAGCACATTGCATTTGGGAAATGCAGTGGCTGCACATTAAGCTGTTAGGAATAACTGCTGTTGGGATGGAATGAAATGGAAACAAATCTGCATTTTATTTGCACTCTCTCTGCAATTCCATGCCATCCAGACTGCAGTTACATTCCCTGCAAAGCAACACTGCCGAAAAGGGTGGGTTTTGCTGGGAAGCATGATCATACTTTGATTTTTAGCCATGCAATCATTTGAAACTGTGACTGTTCTTTCCTGACACTGGCCACTGAACATTATAATATAGATGGTTTGCTTCTTTTGGAGAAAATATAATCCAAGTCAAGTCTAATTTGACTCAGGCACATATCTAACTCTCCCCTTCTAATTTAGAGGCAATGAACCTAGGGTAAGAGCTGTCAGGCTGGTCTCTGGGACTGTGAATATTCCTTTGCTTAAGGAAGCATGAGAGTTACATTGGCTGATTGTGGCATTCAGCTCGTAACTTCCCGGCAATGGACCTAAGTTGACGGTAAGCACTTCAACACGATCAGTGTTTGTCATATGAAGTTGTAACATACTGGGGAAGAGGATTAGAATAATCCTAAATATTGGTGCAATGAGAGGGGCATGATTAAGAAAATCATAACACAGCCTAGATTATTTATGTAGCATTTAAAATGATGGTCATAAGACCACATACTAAGAATGAAAAAAACAAATGCTAAATGTGGCTGTTTGCACACAATCTAAGTATTAAGGTAATATTCCTTTGTACTTTTTCATACCTTCTATCCACCCAATTGGGACCAAGTGTAGGATGCTAGGGGACAATGCCATTTTTATTTGGTTCCTAGGTGTGATGGTTAATACTAAGTGTCAACTTGATTGGATTGAAGGATACACACTATTGATCCTGGGTGTGTCTGTGAGGGTGTTGCCAAAGGGGATTGACATTTGAGCCAGTGGGCTGGGAAAGGCAGACCCACCCTTACTCTGGGTGGGCACCATCTAAACAGCTGCCAGCATGGCTAAAATATAAGCAGGCAGAAAAATGTGAAAGGAGGGACAGGCCTAGCCTTCCTGCCTACATCTTTCACCCATGCCGGATGCTTCCTGCCCTCGAACATCGGACTCCAAGTTCTTCAGTTTTGGAACTCAGACTGGCTCTCCTTACTCTTCAGCCTGCAGATGGCCTACTGTGGGACCTTGTGATTGTGTGAGTTAATAAACTCCCCTTTATATATACATCAATTCCATTAGTTCTGTCCCTCTAGAGAACCCTAATACACTAGCCATCCATAAAAACTGTGTTTCTTAGCCCCCTCGCATCTAAGTAAGACCATGTGACTAGTTTTCGTGGAAGGAATATGAGCAGAATGACTGTAAATTACTTTGAGGCCTGGCTGCTAAAACATCTGATGTGATCTGCTGAGTCCTCTCTTTCCCATCCACGTGGCCAGAAGCAAGAAGCCCCAGTGTGACGAAGCCACAGCATGGAAGAAAGCTGGGTTTCTGTGTAGCTATTGACCAGACAGCTGCTCAGAAAGGCCTCCTATGCATTTCTGATACACAGGAATTTTTTTTTTTTTTTTTGAGATGAAGTCTCACTCTGTGGCCCAGGCTGGAGTGCAATGGCACAATCTGAGCTCACTGCAGCCTCTGCCTCCCAGGTTCCAGCAATTCTCCTGCCTCAGCCTCCCTGGTAGCTGGGATTACAGGCATGTGTCACCACACCCAGGTAAATTTTTATATTTGTAGTAGAGATGGGGTTTCACCATGCTGGCTAGGCTGGTCTCAAACTGCTGACCTCAGGTGATCCACCTGCCTCAGCTTCCCAAAGTGCTAGGATTACAGGCATGAGCTGCTGCACCCAGCCAGGAATTTTTTTTTTTTAAATGTCGCATTAAGTACTGAGATTTGGGGTAAAGGAGGTTATTAAAGTAGTTAATGTTTACTTACTGATATGGCTTGGCTGTGTCACCACCCAATTCCCATGTTGTCACTCCCATAATTCCCATGTGTTGTGCAAGGGACCCCGTGGGAGATGATTTAATTATGGGGACGGTATTGTTCCCGTGCTGTTCTTGTGATAGTGAATGGGTCTCATGAGATCTGATGCTTTTAAAAACGGCAGTTTCTCTGCACACCTTCTCTCTTTGCCTGCTGCCATCCACGTAAGACGTGACTTGCTCCTCCTTGCCTTCCACCATGATTGTGAAGTCTCCCCAGCCATATGGAGCTGTAAGTCTAATAAACCTCTTTCTTTTGTAAATTGCCCAGTCTCGGGTATGTGTATATGCCAATAAGGGTTATTGGCATGGCAGCAGTGAGACATTTCTGAGTCTCTGGCATAATACCATCACAATTGCACCAACATCTCACTTCCAGCTATTGTAGCTACTCTTGATATAATCAAAATACTACCAGCAGTGTGAAAATGGACTAGTACACTTACTTTGACTAATATATTGTTGTTCCTTTTCTTTTTCTTTTTTATTATTTTTGGAGACAAAGTCATGCTCTGTTGCCCAGACTGGAATACAGTGATGTGATCATAGCTCATTGCAGCCTCGAACTGTTAGCCTCAAGCAGTACCCCACCTCAGCCTCCAAAAGTGCTGGGATGATAGGCATAAGTCACCATGGCCAGCGCATTGTTCCTTTTAAAATGGGAGATAGCGACGTTTTGAAGATCATACCTCAGAAGTCGGATTTGAAGTGAAAGCAAAGTTCTGTTTAGAAAGCGGATAATAGCCAATCATAATAAAACCAGCTACCATTTGTGGGATGCATGCTGCCTTTGTAGACACTTGGCACACAATTTTATGCAATCCTCATGACAACTGCACCAGAAGGTATTCTTATCTCATTCTTATGATGGGGAAGCTCAGAACCTCATAGGAAAGGTCAAGGTCATACAAATTAAGTTAAGAATGCCAGAATTTGAACTCAGGTATATCTGATACCAAAGCTGATACTCATCATGACAGCCCAGCTGAGACATGCAAGGTTGCAGGGTTTAAACTTCTAGCCAATGTAGATTTAAAGAAAAAGTGTAATCAATGAATTGTCACATATTGAGCTTTCTGTATCCTACGTACTGTGCAAGATATTATGAGGCAAGAAAAAAACAAAAGAATCCCGTTGTATGGTCCTCAAATATTTTAAGGGCAATAAAAGTGGCGGCAGGTTGGGGCATAGATAATATCTCCCTCTTCCCCAGGTGGCTCTGTCCCTGCCTGGTCACTTTTTAGTTCTCTGAAAGCTACGAAGCTTATGAGTCACAGTTCAGCACATTTACTGAATGCTGGGTAGAATTACTGGGTTTTAAGGAATTTTTATGCTATATCAATCAATAAAGACTCTCAGTTTATATCCCAGTTCTATAATTTATTAGCAGTGTGAGCTTGGATCATACAACTCAATCTGCTGCTGTATCAGTTTCTTCATCTGTAAGATAGAGGTGATGATAATAATAGCAATGGCTTCATAGAATTGCCGTAAAGCACATAGAAATGGCCACAGTAAATGTGTGTGTGTGTGTGTGTATAAGTGTGTCTGTATAAGGGTGTGTGTGTGTGTTCCTGCATTCTGTGAACACTGAGAATACTGAGTCAGGATTAGCTCTTCACACTTTTCCACCCTTTTCTGAGCATGTAGTTGGTGGGTTGACCTGTCAAGGTCATCCTGGATGATCTAGACTTGTTTCTCTCTTCTTTTCCCTTCAGTATGCCTGAGGGATCACAGGGATGAATATAGAGTCACCGTTTATACCTCAGGATCCAACCTATACTTTTCTTAAGGTTACAACACTAAGGCTTTAAGACATGGGCTCAAATATTAGCTGAGTGATTCTTTGGGCCCCCTTTGTGGAAGGCAGCTATCTAAGATGCCCCCCAGTGTGATATTCACTTACAATTATTTATGTCCTTGTGCAATCTACTCTTTCACTCCCTGCCCAGTCTGACTCCCAACGGTGGGCTGGACTTAAATATCGGCTTTTTATTTATTTATTTATTTTAGATGGGGTATCGCTCTGTCACCCAGGCTGGAGTGCAGTGGCACAATTTCAGCTCACTGCAACCTCCGACTCCCGGGTTCAAGCAATTCTCATGCCTCAGCCTCTCGAGCAGCTGGAATTACAGGCATGCGCCACCATGCCTGATTAATTTTTGTATTTTTGGTAGAGACGGGGTTTCACCATGTTAGCTAGGCTGGTCACAAACTCCTGACCTCCAGTGATCTGCCCGCCTCAGCCTCCCAAAGTGCTGAGATTACAGGCGTGAGCTACCGCGCCCAGCCTGCTTCTATTGCACAAAATACAACAACATGATGGATGTCACTTCTAAGATTAGCTTGCAAAGAGAGTGTGACATCTCTCTCTCTCATTTTATCTCCCTCTCTCAATCTCATGAGGCCAACTGCCATGCTGTGAGCTGCCTTATGGAGAGTCCACATGATAAGAAATTGAAGATGACCTGCCACCCAAAACCCACAAGGAGCTGAATCCCGCCAAGAACTCTGAGTGACTGAGCGAGCTTGTAAGTGGATGTCTCCCCAGTTGAACCTTGAAAGGAGACCCCAGCCCCTAGCTAATGCTTTCATTGCAGTCTCCAAGAACTGAGTAAGAGTAAGAACATACGATATTTGGTTTTCCATTCCTGAGTTAGTTCACTTAGAATAATAGCTGTGAAGATGCAAAGGCATAAGAACGACACAATGGATTTTGGAGACTCAGGGAGAAAGAGTGGCAAGGGGGGGTGAGGGATAAAAGACTACAAATTGGGTTCGGTGTATACTGCTCAGAAGATGGGTGCACCAAAATCTCCCAAATCGCCACTAACAGACTTACTCATGTAACCAAACACCACCTATTCCCCAAAAACCTTTAGAAATAAAAAAAAGAACTGAGTAACAGGATCCAGGTTAGCTAGCCCCTGATTCCTCACCCACAGAAACTGTCAGCCAATAAGTGTGGGTTGTTTTGAGCCTCTAAGTATTGAATAACATGTTATGCAGCAATAGATAACTAATATACCCTTCTCTATCAGAGAATTCTTTTAAAGATGCAGACAGAATAAGGGTTATTGGCATGGCAGCAGTGAGAAATTTCTGAGTCTCTGGCATAATACAATCACAATTGCACCAACATCTCCCTTCCAGCAATTGTAACTACTCGTGATATAATCAAAATACTATAAGCACAGAAGGTCTTTTTTTTCCTCCAGAAATTAGGGAAGACAGGACCAGATAGATGTGAAAAACAGTTACATCGAACCTAAATCAAGTGCATTGTATGTTACAAATACTTAGTTTGCATTTTTGTCATGTTTTAATATATATCTTTTTTTAATGAGGATGGTTACCTTTTTTTGAGAGCTTACTATTTGCCAGCTCATTTAGAGAGTATCTGGTTTAATTTTTATAAAACCTAATGGACTGTTATTATTTTTTTCATTTTAGAGATGAGATCTTGGAGTTTAAGGAGGACAAGGCACTCACCACTCAGCCAGTCACTGGTGGCACTTGGACTGGACCCGAGGAATGTTGGATTAAAAAGCCGATTCCCGTTCCTCTACTCCAGCTACCCCAAGGGCGGAAAACATGTCTTCATTTATCTTTGCCTTTCCAATAGCATATGGTCTCTTTCCTGACACACAGTGGGTGTCAACACTGATGAAATATTTAACAAAGGTTGGCAAAGAGAGAAATTCAAAAGTCTAATGTTGCATTGCCATATCTAGGTCAGTTAATTTTTGTGTGAACAGAGGGACATTTCTATCTCTAACCCAAGGTATTGAGGCTGAGTTTACATTTTTTTAGCTCTGTCCCCAAATTTGGCTTTCTTCAGAGAAGAGCATTATTGGGTCATAATGGTTGTATTTCCTCTACTATATAAAATAAAGAGATTTAGACCCTGAAGAGAGATCTTCACAGGAAAAACAAAAAGCAAAGCCATAATTCCTGGCTACCTTGTCGTTTGCTATATATTAAATACCAACTCCTAGAATTCATTCAATCATTTATTCGTATATCCATTCATGAATTCATTCATTCATTCATCTTCCAGATGGTTTTCTGCCTGAACTCATCTCACTACTTAGGTTTAACAAAGAAACACAGCACAGTCTTCGATTATGACAAGCTCAGTCATGCTGAATACATTCTGTTCTTTCATATGACTTTCTCCTAAAAGAAAATAATATTGCTAATTGTAAAGATGATTATAAAATACAGAGTCAAAACAGTAAAAGAAAAATCCACTATAATCTCCCACTTGAAGATTACTAATAACTGGTTAACATTTGGTTGCGTTTCCTCCCAGATTTTTCTACATATATTTTGCAAATGCGATAAACTAAACATACCAATTTACAGCTTTTTCTTTACTTAATATGCATGTTTATATTTTTTCATTTTATTAGATATTCCTCTACAATGCCTTTTTTGTCTATAAATTGTTTCACTCAGTTGCTTTACACTACTTTATTTAACCATGGCTTGAAGGTATTATTCTTAATGGTATTATTGTTATCATTAAAATAAAATGAAATAATGAAACACTCATGTTGGCAAAGGTGTAGGAAACTAAAATACCCCCAGAATTTCACCTGTTTTACTTCTTTTGCATTAGTTTTTCAAATTACTTTTAGGTAGCTTGACACATCTTTAATTTAAGCACTAATTATTGTACAGAATGCAGCTACGCCTGTGGTGATAATGCTTTTTATTAGCATTAAGACTAAAGACATCAAAGAATCATATCAGGATAAAACGTTTATTTCTAATTTAATAGAATTGCAATTAAAGCAAATTTGAGCTGAATGAAATCCCATCATAACTGGACTTTTTTTTTCCTACACAGTGAGCGAAAGTTATTCTACCCTAAATTGAAGATTAATAACATGTTTTTAATGTTAAATGTAGCAATTCAAGCATTAGGTTGCAATTCAAGTTCAACATCACTGAACATTTTATAAACTTCACATTTTAACATCTCTAGAAAGCGCTCTGAGGTAAAAGCGTTAGCGTTAAATGCATTAATGTTATTTTTCTTTATAAATGAGCTTATAACGGTGTTGTTACCTTCATTTGAATATTTTAATGAAGGGATAATATAAGGAGAGTGGTCCATTTTCACAAGGTAATTGTTTCTTCCCTGAGTGGCTAAACTTGGGCAGAAAGTGGAATTTATCTCATTGAAATTCTATTATGGCTGCATGGCTGTTGTTACTTGTCGGAATTTCTCATTACCTCGTAACTGGGGCTTTTGGCTAATGCTCTTCCTTCCTATGACATCCAGTCTTCTGCTGTCCTAGGGTGTAATCCTATCCTCTGGCAAGTCACAGCAGCAAACCTTTGGTATCTTGCTCTAGTACTTACTGGCTCAGCACTTAAAATTTAGCTGGATGGAGAATTCTGATTTAGATAAGTTCAGAACAAGTTGGTAAAAAAGTAAGCTAAATCTGCATTAGAAATGAAAATGATGGAAAGGTATGCAGTCTCTCTCAAATTACTCAAAGCTGGGTTTGTGCTTTTGGTAGCTTCATTGCAAAAATGGCCCCATTTTTCTTCCTTTTGCTAAAGCCACTCTATTTACCATGTTACTTTTCAGATCCTCTCATCAAGAGATGGAGTCTGAGTCTTCATTCCTTGAATCTGGGCTGGCCTTCTGATTGGCTTTTGGCTAATAGAATGTGGTAAAAGAGATGCTTTACATGAGTCCACTCTTGGTCTTTGACCTGTGCCTCCACCATGAGAACAAGTCCAAGCTAGCCTATTGGAGAATGACACCTTATGGAAGAGAACCAAAGTGCTCCACCCAGCAGCCAGACATCCTTCACATGCAGAGCCACCAAAGCTTAATGCAGCTCATAACAGACGGATGCGGAAGCCCAGCAAAGGTCTGCAGAACCACCCCACTGAACTCAGCCTAACTTGACTCACAGTAATGAGCTAAATTAATGGCTGTTGTTTTAAATTAATAAGTGTTCGGTGGTTTATTGCTCAGCAATAGATAACTGATACGATATTCTCTCTCTGCCAGAGGATGAGTCATGATGGATGATCTACTACTTTCTTTGAGTTTTCTCATTCTCTTCTGTAAAATAAAAATAGTAACACTGCCTTACAGGACTGTCTTGAATTAAAGACAATAGATAGGAACTAGTACAGTGCATTTCACGGAATAGTGCTCAGTATAAATATTAGCAGTCATTTATGTTGATTTTCATGTTTTTGCTGCTCATTTTCATGATACACATCCAAACATTTCAATTAGTGATTGAGAACATGGGTTATGGAGCTAGGCTGCCAGCCACCATTGCCTTCCTGGCACAGCCCTTATGAGCTATGTGACCTTAAACAGCTTACTTGGCTTCTATGCCTCAGTGGCCTCATCTTTAACATGAGGTTATCATAATACCTACCCCAGGGTTATTGGGCTAATTAAATCAGTAAAAATAGATAAAGTGCTTAGGATCTCGAATGGTATAGTGTAGTCACTAGAATAAAAAATAATTAGGCTGGGGACCGTGGCTCACACCTGTTATCCTAGCCCTCTGGGAGGCTGAGGCAGGAGATTTCTTGAGCTCAGTACTTCTAGACCAGCCTGGGCAATGTAACGAGACCCTGTCTCTACACAAAAAAAATAGAATAAAAATTAGCTGGGTATGGTGCTGTGCACCTGCAGTCCTAGCTACTTGGGGGGCTGAGGTGGGAAGATCACTTAAGCCCAGCAGGTAGAGGCTGTAGTGAGCTATGATTGCGCCACTGCACTTCAGCCTGGGACAGAGCAAGACCCCGTCTCAAAAAAATTAATTATTAATAATGAAGAGATATATGGCTTATAGATACTTCTATATATCTAAGTAGACACATTTCTACTCATAATATTTATGGATCCGATTTGATCTTTGGAATCAAGAAAACAAGCATTTTTCTGTGACAATTGTTATGGAAAATTTCAAACATATACACAAGGAAAATAGCATAATGAACCTGATTTACCTATTACTGAAACAACAATCATCAATACACAGCTAATCTTGTTCTTCTCTACCACCACCCACTCTCCAATCTCTAGATTTTGTTGCAAATGTTGGAACATCACTTAATCTGCAAATATTTCATCATGTATCACTAAAATATAACCTCCCTGAAAAATAACCACATCCCATTTTTACACATAAAAATTGACAAAAATTCATAATATCAAATATCTTCTTTGGGCAAAAAAAATCCTCCTCCATCCCTTCTATTTTTATTTTTTAATAAACTAGATCATTTGTCATGTAGAATTTTTTATAGTCTGGATTTTGCTGATTATATCCAATTAGGATGTTTAAACCTGTTCCTGTCTCCTGCATTTCTTATAAATTTATATGTAGGTTTAGAGGTTTGTTGATATCAGGTTCAATGATTTTGGAGCCACCAAAATCACACTGATTGATCCACTCAATCACACTTCTTAGATGGCATTATGTACTTATATCAAAGGCATATAGGGTCTGATTCTCTATTGTTTTGTGATAATCAGCCTTTTATGATCATTACCTAATTCACTAATTAATCAGAATTTTAAAATTACAATAGTTTTATTCAATGATTCCTTCTCCATTCAGTGGAATACTTCTAAACGAAAATTCCCTTCACACCTATTTGCTTACCCTGAGGTAAACCTCAGTACCCTATACCTACTTACCTCCACCTTACCTCTTTTTAGTTAACAATATATTCTAGAGATAATTACGTGGGACCATATACAGATATTTCTCATTACTTTTTTATAGTAGCATAGGACTCCTTGTGTGGATTTATATGGATAATTCAATCAGTTCTCACCAATGGAAATCTGGGTTGTTTGCATCCAATCTTTTAATACTGCAAATAATGCTGTCATGAATGGCTTTGGACATAGCTGTTTTTTTGCTTTTGTTTGTCATAGTCAATTTTTATAGCCTGTGGCTTTCAGAGCCTTGTTGAAGACTGGAGAAGAGTGTAGGGGATAAATTCAGTTATGTGTGTCTTAATGGTAAAGAGTATTCTGACATACATTGAGTTTATAGTTTCACCTCCAACTCTTCCAAGATCTGTAAACTCCACTGATATATCTGTTCATCCATTTGCCCCTTTGCTGAGACTGAAAGAACACAGATTGTGGGAAGGAAAAGCGAGTCATGTAGCAATTCAGAGAATCCCCTATAACTCCATCTCCTCTCTCTCTGGCTCTGTGCATCTCTGTTCAACACAGGATACAGGCTTTTCTTCTCCATTTAGTAGAGTCCACAAAACCAAGCAAATTTCCAAGGCTATTATTAAAAGCATGTAGCAGATGAGGAAGTCAAAGCATGTCATGGATCATTGAGGGTCATTCCATCAAATAGCAATAGGCACATATGCAGATATTTATGAAAGTTTTATGACAAATCATTCACGAATGCCTTGGACCTCCTCTGCAGGATTTTTCAGTGGTGAGAAAACCATGGGACCTTAGGATTAGAGGAAACGGAGATGTAGCAGTTCAGTTGAGCCCCTTATTTGTTCTCAAACACATGGATCTACTGTATAAATATCTAGTGTGAAGTGCATTTCCTACGAGAAATCAAAATAAAGGTCCTGCTCTTCACTGAAGATTGGGTCCCTGTGCCCAAGGCTATCCCTTAATGTGTTTCTACCTATACCAATAGCAATCTTGTCTTCAAGGTTTATCCCAGTCTTTAAAGGCCCAGCTACTTAATAGTCAATATAAGTTTATTGACAGGGACACCCAACATAGCCACCAACACTGTCATGTACATCAAGCTCTGCTGTATCAGCCCTAGGCTGGTAGCCAAGAAGAAGAATGAGAAGTATGTCTCTGCAAGCTTAGATGACTCTCCCAACAGGAGGCTGAGTCAAAGGTTCAAGGGGATCCAGCATTGGTGAAGGAATCTGATATGTGTGAGTTTACATCTGTTAAAGCATGTTACAAAATAGAATTAATCAGCAGTACAAGAAACTCTTGATAACAAACATCTCTCTGAGCATATGCTGTTTCATGATACTGTTTAACACTGCTGACAATACTAATAGCTGCCAATTATGGACTCCACATTTGATAGGAGTGATAGTTGTTTAAAATGACATCTATTCAAACAATTCCGCAAGGATCTTTATATTTCTTCCATTCTGTGGATGAGAGAGATTTTTAAAACTTGCTAGAATTTAAACTCAGAAATTAAGCTGAGTTCTCTCTGACTTCAAAATCCCTTCTTTCCACCATTCTATGACCACGTAGCAGCTTGTACTATGGAGTTGAATTGTACACAGCAGCCCCAAATCCCCACACATTGATATTTAAGCAATTAGGTGTGTAACCCTAAACTAGGTGAGAGACTTCCATTAAACATGGCTGTATCTCCTCAGTAGGCTGTCAGGGGATAATCAAAAAAGGCAATAAAGTGTCCTGCAATACACTCCTCCCAGCATTTTTATGCAAAAGGATTGCTGTTAATTAGATACTTTGCCCACGTTTTGATTTTTAATTTTCTCTTCTAATAACATAATGTGCCATTTAGAGCAAGGTTCAAATCAATATGACATCTCAGAACCTGTTAAATGTTTTGGCAACTAAACTTCATTGTTGTCAAAGTACTTGGCTTTTAATAAACATGTTTTCACTTTGAGTCAGGGAGCAACAAGGAAGTGGGTTCCCTCACCCACACTTTTCCTATCTTTCTTAATGATGCTTAGCAACTGTAGGTTCTAACTCACTTCTATATATCTTTCTTTCTTTTTTTTTCTTTCTTAGTTTTTGTTTTTTTATTTGTTGTGTGTATATATCTTTCTTTCAACCAAACATGACCCTGTTCTGTTTACCACACTTATTTATTTATTTATTTTTGAGATGGAGTCTTGCTCTGTTGCCCAGGCTGGAGGGCTGTGGCATGATCTTGGCTCACTGCAACCTCCGCCCCCTGGGTTCAAGTGATTCCCCTGCCTCAGCCTGCCGAGGAGCTGGGATTACAGGCACATGCCACCACATCCGGCTAATTTTTGTATTTTTAGTAGAGACGGGGTTTCACCATGTCGGCCAGGCTGGTCTTGACCTCCTAGCCTCAGGTGATCTACCTACCTCAGCCTCCCAAAGTGCTGGGATTATAGGCGTGCGCCACCGTGCCTGGCTTATTTCTCACTTTTAAATCTCTCCTTGCACAATACAAAATCAACACAGAAAAGTCCTCTCTGACACATGGTTTTATTCCACATGACTTTTTTGTTGTTGTTTACTTGGTACATGGCACTTATCCACATCATGGTTATAAATAAGCGTGAAGATAATTTCAGTTCCTATATGGGTCTTCATCACCTGCTATTTTTCCTTGAGTTTGGCTTTCCCTAATTCTTTTTCCTCACCCGATAGTCTTCTCAAGGTTCCTTTTGAAGATATCTTACATAAAACAAACTTTCTCTTTTTTTTTTTGTACTTCTAAATATTTAAAAACAAACCTGCATATAACAGAAGTTAGTTAGGAAGCAAAGTTAGTAGCAACTACTTTTACTGTGGCTTTTATCTTTAGAAGTTTTAAATTTATAATTTATTGGGATGCACCACTGAAATGGAAGGGTGAATTGAGTATTTGTACTTCAAGCATAAATTCAGCTTTCATCAGATGTCAGCCCCAAGTCTGGTATCAGCCAGTGTAAACTAAACGACCTTGAGAAAACAATTTCCCCCACTTGGGCTTCAATTGGTGCATGTTTTAAATGGGATTTGGGTTGTAATAGAGCCACGATTTTTGTCTGATTCTCCCCTGCAGAGACCCTTATGTTCTCCAACATCGGAGAGAATCTGCATTTATAGTGAATAGGGCACTGGTCAGCCACAATTTCAGAGCCCTGTACTTGCCAATCTCAAAGTTCCCTTCCAGTCGACAAATCTGTGAGCACACTGTTTTGTAAGGAGAAAGGAGCCATGCAAGATCCTAGCACACTACCCAAGACAACCAATAAAATGAAGAGGAGTAACTCAGTCACAAAATGTGATGGGTTCCACCTTGACTTAACTCTCTAAGGAAGACAGCATCGTCAGCTACAGGATTATTTGCATACCATGGACAGAGTCTCCCCTGCTCCCCCGACCCACTAAATATCAGAGACCCTTCTTCAGCAGACATGTTGTATCAGAGTTGTTACAATTGTAGTGACAATAGCTAAAGTTTATTCAACATCTGCAATATCCATTGGAAAATCACTCAATATCTCTGTGTTCATTTATTTTACATACCAACTAGGGCAAATGACAATACTTACTATAATTATCCATATTATATTAAAACATTTCACATGAGAAACATGGAAAACTAAGAGCAATCTCACTCCAAATCCTGTACTCTTTTTCCTCCACTGAAGGGCAGATACATGCAGAAACATGGTGTCTTTTTCCATCCCCCTCTATTCCCTATCGCAGTAGCTCTGAGTTGCAGAAGGATGAGGTTTTATGGCTGGGTTTACCCTCCGATGTGACAACATCTGAGTGGGCAGGGAGATCCATGGGTGCCATAAGGTTTCCAGATCTCAGAGACCCCCTACTCTTATTTAATCCGATAATCTGATTTATTCATCAGTAGGTTAAGACATTTCACAACCAATGGATAGTAAAATGCTTTATTCTATTCTGCTGAAGACCCGAAATATCTCCGTGCCCCCATCTCTACAAAAACTACTGGCACAACTTAGAGACACATCCAGAGGCTATCTGGTCTTCCCACCAGCCTCTTTTCCACTCACAAAAATCGCAGGGAGTTCTCACATATATCAAACCTGAGAGTGGGTCATTGATTTCTATATGTAAAGAAATTCAGTAAAAGAGAATTTTAGGATCATTCTAATATAACCTATTTTACAACCTATAAAGTCGACCAAAGCTTCAATCTCTCTTTTTTCATAAATCAATTGTTTTCTTATCAGGAAGAAATAAAAGTGTCACCCTCCTTTAATTCCTCAAGCATTGACTGAGTACTTGTCATGTGTATATGATGACACAGTGATACTGACACTCCTGACTTCAAAGCAGGCACCTTCCAACAGAGAAGACCAAAAAGTAATCAAACCATCAACATCGCATCCAAAAAAAGATCACAGCAAACGTTTGTTGCATATCTGTTTTTCACTCATCTGAGAGCCATTGTGTACACAACAAGATGTTAAATATAGCTTTGTCTTATTCTTAGGTGAAGATTTGAGAGAATAGGTGCCATCATGCCCATATTCCTAGTTGAGGCTTTTGACCTAGTGATATATAGGGCAACAGGAGAATATGTACTCTATCCTGGCACACAGGAAACAGGTATAATATAAGTAATTAGGCACTGGCTATGAAGCAAGCATTACTAACTTTCAAATAATGGGTGTTGTACAGACCACATTTTTCAAACCACAATGTAATTAAATTGCAAATCTGTTGCTAAACTTGGTTAAAATAAATACAGATTAAGAAATTTCAAAAATTACTTCTAAACTTGTGTATGTATGCATGTGTGTATATGTATATATAAATAAAATAAGTGTACTCTGCATCAACAGAGTAAGCCCAAAGAAGATATACAAAGAAGAGATAAAGATAAAAGCAGAAATTAAAGAAATAGAAATTAAAATTGCAGTAGAGAGGATCACAAAGGGAAAAACAGATTTTTTTTAAGAAAGACTAATAAAATTGACAAAACTCATGCAAAGCTGGTTAAGAAGGAAGAAAAAAGCACGTTACAAGTACATAATACTAGAAATAAAAAGAAAAGTGACATCACTACAGATGCAAGAGGTGTTTACTATACTACTATTTGGAAAGATTGTGATCACTCCTAGAAGGGGAAACTGTGGGAGTCTGGAGGCAGAGGGAGAATTTCTCTTTACTGTAAACCTTTTTGTACTCTCAAATATGTACATTTTCTATTAAAAAATAGAGTTAACAAAAAATAATATCCTTTTTATACTGTTAAGTGCGTACGTTCTCTATTACAAAGTAGAGTTAAAACAAAAGATTTGCCTAAGTGCAGATTTTGTGAACAACGTTTGCGCAGTGATTTTCCCTTTACAAGAACGTGAAGGTGGAATGTTTAGACTGATCCTCAAGAGGACCCTGCCAGATAGGTCTGGTTATTCCATTTTATAAGTGATGAAATTAAGTTTCAGAGAAAACAATACACATGGTTAAAAGTAGAGGATGAAGTATTTTTTTATATATTGAATTAGAAAAATTTAAATTGCATGATAAAGTTAAAAAGAATTTCACAGTGAATTTTATGCGTGTATCACCTAGATTCTATAATAAATATTTTCTCACAATTGCTTTATCCCAGCACTAGAGGATGAAAGACATATTAGGAGCAATAAATTCCGTATTCTTTCTACCACACCCAAAAAAAAAGATTTACTATTAGTAAGGCTTTTGTGCGTGTCATCAAATCAGATAGCTGTTTGTATATTCCTGGTGCTTTCAGAAATATACAGAACTTTGTCGGCATCTTTATTTTTTATTTATTCTTTATTTTTTGATACGGAGTCTCGCTCTGTCATCCAGGCTGGACTGCAGTGGTGCAATCTCAGCTCACCACAACCTCTGCCTCCCGGGTTCAAGCAATTCTCCTGCCTCAGCCTCCCAAGTAGGTGGGATTAGAGGCATCCACCACCACACCTGGCTAATTTTTGTATTTTTTGTAGAGATGGGGTTTCACCATATTGGCCAGGCTGATCTCAAACTCCAGACTTTGTGATCCACCCACCTCAGCCTCCCAACACCCAACTGTTTTTGTATTTTTAGTAGAGAGGGGGTTTTACCATGTTGTCCAGGCTGGTCTTAAACTCCCAACCTCAGGTGATCCACCTGCCTTGGCCTCCCCAAGTGCTGGGATTACAGGCATAAGCCACCAAACCTGGCCTGTCAGCATCTTTAAAATAATGTGACTAATGTAAACATGACCACAGTCTTTTCACCGTTTCTGTTTTCCATGTTGGTCATTATACATGATACTTCCATTGCTCCTTCCTCTCTAATATAACCTATAAGGTCAACTGAAGCTTCAGTCACTATTTTTTCATAAATCAATTTTTTTCTTAAAGGGAAGAAATAAAAGTATCACCATCTTTTAATTCCTTAAGCATTAACTGAGTACTTGTTAAGTGTGTAAGATGATACAGTGATACAGATACATCTAGCCTCAAAGCAGTCACCTTCCTATAGAGAAGACCAAAAAGGAATTCAAAAATTACTTCTAGGCCGGGCATGGGGGCTCATGCCTGTAATCCCAGCACTGTGGGAGGCCGAGGTGGGCAGATCACCTGAGGTCGGGAGTTTGAGACCAGCCTGACCAACATGGAGAAACCCCATCTCTACTAAAAATACAAAATTAGCCAGGCGTCGTGGCGTGTACCCATAATCCCAGCTCCTCGGGAGGCTGAGGCAGGAGAATCTCTTGAACCTGCGAGGCAGAGCTTGTGGTGAGCCAAGATCGCACCACTGCACTCCAGCCTGAGTAACGAGAGTGAAACTCCAACTCAAAAAAAAACAAAAAAATTCTAAATCTGTGTGTGTGTGTGTTTGTGTGTGTGTGTGTGTAAAATAACTGCACTCCAGTATGTATGTATGTGCATGTGGTTATATTAGACCAAGGGTAGGCTCTTGGTCTACCCGTCACATGTCCAGCCAGCTTCATCCTTTCCTCTTACTCCCATTTATTTACTCTCATTTATTCTACATCTCTTTCTTTCAGGAATGAGGAAAATTCCCTCTGCTCATAGCATTCTGAAAACCCAGGTTGAATCAAACGAGAAAGACTGGCAACATTTAAATGCCCTTTGTGGCTACCATTTAATCTCACTGGGGATTCAGCCATGGTTATATTCTTATGAAATTATTTCTGTTACTTCTTGAAACAAATGCACTCTTTTGGCCCTGGCCTAAGCAATGCCTTTGTTTCTTCTATTGTTTTAATTGTCCATATTTTCTAAACTTGTATGCAATAATTTTTTCCCAAGTTTCTCTCATAGGTAATGTTTTATTAACATCCATTTTATTCCTTAACCATTTATTGAATGTCTACTGGTGTAAGCATTAAGATTTTAGCTTTGAACTAAAACACACATACACACACACACACGGTTACTGCCTTTAAGACTAATTGCCATCCACTAACATAGGTGTTATTTGCATATTTTAGATGAGAAAAATGGAGTTCAGAGAAGTCAAAAACTAATCCAAGATGATCCTACCAGCAGTACTTTCAGTTGAGTTTGAGCTCAGAACAGACTACCTCTAAACCTGGAGATTTCTCAATGATACACAACCACTTTTTACAGTGCCCTGAAACTTAATGGCAAGACTCAAGTCCAGCCAAACATCATTTGGAGAAGGACAAACAGAGCCACAGCTGTTTTTCTTTTTGTTTTTGTTTTTGTTTTGTTTTTTTATGGCCCTTGAGCTAAGAACGCTTTGTTTTTTATGTGTTTAAGGGGTTGTAAAATAACAGCAAGAATAACAACAAAAACCACAGAAAATAATATGTAACAAACATGTAATTGATCCTGCACGCAAAAAATCTTTGCTATCTGGCCCTTTATAGGAAAAGCTTTCGGACCCCTGACTTGGTGTTACCCGAAGCAACCCACTCTTCTGTCGTTTTTTTTTTTTTTGTCGTTGTTATTTGCCTATTAAGGGATTTTTGTGTATTTTGTTTTTATAACACAGCTTATCGGCTTCATAAATAACCAGTGCCATCAATTATTCCACCCACTGTTTCATGAGTACATAAAGGCCCTCTCATAGCTTTCCTTGGGAAGGTGGCTTCACATATTCTAATAATTCCTGACGAGCAGACAGGCTGATCAGAGGTAAAGTGGATGAAAAAGGGAAGCCATGCTGTTTGTTTAAAGCGCCATCGCCTGCTAATGGAATTTCTCTTTCTCCAGTTATTGAAATCTGTGTGGGAGAGGGGTGGTTTGATGGAATCAGCACTTTCAGAGACATCGACAGCAACTAAATTGAAAAAATGCACCGAACCTCGGGTTTCAGCAGGCTATCGACTTAATATAGATTGAGTCGGGAAGAAAAATATTGCGCAGTGTGCAGTTTGCATGTCCCATCATCTCATTAAAGGCTTTGGTATGGATGACACAGTGGGCCTGTTTCTCCCCAGCTCCCAGCTGAGGGAAGCGCTCATGCAAGGAGTAATAATAGACCATTTCATGGCACTTTGAGGGAACTGCCATAATTCAGCAAGAAAAGCTGCTTTGATTATTATTTACAGAAATAAAGCCAGCCCATGCCTCTAAGAGAAGTACTTTACCTCCCCATCGCTTGCCACTCCCATCTCTGTCTTCTTAGGAATGACCCGCGCAGGAAAAGGGAAACAAACAGCAGCTTCGCAGCCTCCCTGGGCCTGCCAGACACCCGATTATTTAATTACGGTTTTCTAGCTTCAGCACTTCGCCCTTACCTGCGAATGTAAGTGAAATGTGTCAGAAATAAAGAAATAAATTACAAGCTAAATCAATAGGAAAGAACCGTGCAAATTGGCATCACAGTGGATATCTGTTTATCCCAAGGCTTTCAAAGTCATTTAGACCTTCAGGGGGGCGGGGGGGTGGGGTGGCTGGAAGATAAAAACGAGGTAAGTTGGAGAGGTAGCAGAAACACAAGGGAGATGTCTGTCTGCAGACAGGCCCAACCCAAAGCTGTCTCGGCTTCGTACAGAGCCCCCGAGGTTAGCCTTCGTGCTACTCTCCAGCGGAAGCGCAGAGACGCGGTTTCCTAAGTGGAAAATTTAAAAGTAATTTTTCACCTTGAGAGAGAGGTTTCCTTCTGTTTAACGCTTACTCAGGCAAGACAACAAATCTCAAAAGCAAACAAATTGAAGGCACTTCTGCCAAAACTCCACTCAGACAGAAAGATCCAAGAGAAAGACCATGCCTGCTTGGCTCGAACCTGAAGGAGGGCTGGGGTGAAGTTTTGAGAGCCAAGTGTCTTGCTAAGCTTATCACAGACCTGAACAGCAGCCCCCTCTAATGTCCATAATGAATTATTATTATCATTATAGCTTAAACAGACTTGAAATGCTAAGCGCATGCACATGTATGCACCAGAGTGTTTCCAATACCTTTAAATTCTACTTATGAGACACGAGAGATTTGGGATGCAGACCTCGTATCTCCCCCCAAAAAAGATAGTGAATTGTTTGGGAAATATTTATCTCTAAGATAAAACAGGGAAGAAAAAAAAACCAACTCAATCTAGCTGGAAGCAATAATGACGACATCAACTGGGAGACTGACTGGAATTCCAGACACGTCGCTGAATTCAGGGAATTCAGGGATTCAGTTTTATCAGTTTCTTTTCTCCTGTTTCCTTCCTTCTTTTCCCATCTTCTCTAGTCCTTTCCTGTCCTCTACCCAGGTGAGTGTCTCTCTCTGTCCTGTCTTTCCTTTCTTGTGCTTTAGAAGGGCTTCTACAAAGAGCTGAAGAGAGGTCCTGGCTTATAGTATCAGAGCTTTGGGGTGCCAAGAAGAGAAAAAGCTTCTTTCTCCTAAAAGCATCAGATATGTTCCCAGGGAGGTTTGGTGAGGGTGAACCCTGCTTGGGTAAATGTGCTCTCTTTTGAGCATGGGTTATGGGGCTAAGAATGAATACTATAAAAGAGAAGAAGAAGAATATAACTGTGATGATTAAATGAGATAATAAGCTGTGAAACACTCAACACAAAATTATACCTGTGCAGAAACAACCCAGGTCTCATACACATTACATACATTTTGGGCCTACTAGACCTCTTTTTCCCACTCATTAAACAGGGGTCCCCAACCCTTGGGCCATGGACCGGCCCTGGTCTGTGGCCTGTTAGAAACCCAGCTGCACAGCAGGAGGTGAGTGGTGGGTGAGTGAGTGAAGGTTCCTCTGTATTTACAGCTGCTCCCCATCACTTATATTACCTCCTGAGCTCCGCCTCCTGTCAGACCAGTGGCAGCAGTAGATTCTCATAGGAGCATGAACCCTATTGTGAACTGTGCATGCAAAAGATCTAGGTTGCATGCTCCTTATGAGAATCTAATGCCTGATGATCTGTCACTGTCTCCCATCACCCCCAGATGGGACTGTCTAGCTGCAGGAAAACAAGCTCAGGGCTCCCACTGATTCTATATGATGGTGAGTTATATAATAACTGCATTACATATTACAATGTAATAATAATACAAATAAAATACATAATAAATGTAATGCATTTAAACCATCCCCAAGCCATCCCCCAGCCTCCATGGGTGGAAAAACTGTCTTCCATGAAACTGGTCTCTGGTGCCAAAAAGGTTGGGACCACTGTGTTAGAGTGACCAACTGTGCTAGCTGGTCTAAGATGGAGACTTTTGAAGGGGCATGGACATGTAGTGATGACAAACAACCTTGGGCAAACCATCCCAGTTTGCCCAGGACTAGGGAGTATCTCCAGATTTGGGATGTTCATACTCAAATTGGGATAGTCCTGGGCAAACCTGTTTGATTGGTCACCTTCCACTAATTTATGTCTCCTGGAATCCACCCCCCAATCCCTTTGTTATGAATAATGCTATCACAAAGAAAATCTATCCTCTTCTCTTGACATGAGAATAATGGCAAAATTTTATTTAAGAAAGCCAAGCTCCAAAAGAGAACCTGTTTTATGAAATTATTAATCCCCCGGGGGACCTTTCACAGAACACCTGGGTGTGCTGTAATATACACACACCTTCATTTTGAAATGGTATATCAATAATGCTGTCATCTATTTTCAGTTTTGACATTATACAGATCAATACCAAATTAAAATCACATGGTAGTCTTAATAGCTACATTCTTATGAACATAATACATATTTTGAAAATCAGAAGAAACATTTATGAAAAAAATATTTTAGGTTTTTTTTAGACATTGTATGTTTAAGGGCCTTAATATTCTCACTTAACTAAAGTCAAAATTAAAGGGTAAATGAAATTTAAAAATTTTTAAATGTTGTTTTAATTTAAGGACTATGACCTTCTAGAAATGTCATATAATGCTGTTATACAGTAAAGAAAAAATGGATATGGGGTAAAAGAGAAAGATAGAAAAGAGGAAAGAAAGAGAGTAAAGGGAAGAAGAAAGAGAAAGAAAAACTCAGGGAGAGCTAGAAGAGGGAAAGAAAAGAAACATTTTAAAGGAAAATAAAGGAGTAAAAAATTGAAAGAGAAAACAAATTGAGCAGAAAAAGAGAGGGAAAGAGAAAGAATCCCTTGGGTCCTCTTTTTAAACAAAACTCTAAGGAACATTTACTTGCATTAAGATAATATTTATTTGTTCCTTTTTATGGGGGAAGGATGGGAGGCAGGTGAGGGATAAAAGACTACACATTGGGTACAGTGTACACTGCTCAGGTGACGGGAGCACCAAAATCTCAGAAATCCCCACTAAAAAACTTACCCATGAAACAAAAAACCACCTGTTCCCCCAAAACTACTGCAACAAAATAAAAAATAAAAATAAAATAATATGCAAACAAAATAATATTTGTTAATTAGGTCAAATTCTCCTTTCAGAAGTTGTAATTTAAATTTCTTGATCACATCTTGGGGATGCCCTTATCCCTTCAAAGGAAAAATAATCTATTTGGAGGACGGATATAACAAGAATTCTATTTAGAAAAAGATATTTTAAGGATTCAAGTTTTTAAGAAATTCACAAATAATGAAATATTGGGACCTATCTAAATGTATGAAAATAAGGTACACATATTCCGTATTTTACTCCATAGCTCTTCTAGAGCTTTTAACAACATTTGTGATATGGACCGTATTTCTTTCTTTCTGCAATGCTACTGGAATGCTTCGAGGTAGAGCAGTTGTATCATGGCCATGAGGAGGAAAGCCACAGTCTAAGGAAGCACAAGAGAAATGCAGAGGTAGCCTTACTCCTGATGACACTGGGGATATGTTATATTAGTCCAAGACTGCATAAACCTAAATATCTTGTCACATGGTAAAAATAAACTGTCTTCTACTTTTATGAACAGGAAAATATAACAAGGACTAGCTTTAACCTCCCTCTGTACTGGGAGCAACAAGAAAACTATAATATGATTGTGTGTGTGTATGTGTGTGTGCGTGTGCATGTGTGTGTGTATGTGGGTGAACATATCACAAGCATGTTCAGACGTCAAACAACAGGTTATAAAGATCTGGGATTTTTGACAGAAGTGGAAAATATGATTGAGTTCTAGCTTTCTCCAGGGAAGAAATATCTAGATCATGTGCATGAGAGAGAAAAACCAGAAATACCCCAGTAGAGCAGATGGAGATCATCAAATATCTGGGGAGGCTGATGAGCCTAGAGGTTGTAAAGAACATGTTTGGAAAGAAAGGAGCTATGCTGGAAAACAAAGTCACAAATCTTCATAGGGATCCCTTTGGGGGATCCCTCACCTATGCATAGGAGAAAACCCTCAAGATGAGCTGAAGAATTCCAGGCTAATTGTAAGCAAAACAATTTTCAGATATAATATAAGGTGGGAAGGTGCTTGAGCTGTGGTGGGAGAATACTGAGAGTCTTTGGGGATGATCTGAGGGCATTCAGTGGAGATTCTGAAATGATCATGACTTAGTAATAAAGCTGAAGTATCTCTGACATTAAGATTTTCCAAGATTTGCCCAAGAAGAGCTAAACGATAAAAGAAGTCTCAACACATTTAAAGGGATTTCAATTATATAGAAAATGTTTCCTAACCATAATGGAATTAGGTTATAAATCAATAGCAGAAAGACATTTGGAAAATGCCCAAATACTTGGAAATTAAACAACATAGTTTGAAATAATCTATGAGTCATAAAAACACAGCTTACCGTATATTGTAGGATGAAGTTAAATTAGTGTTTAGAGGAAAATATGTGGTTTTATGTGCTTATATTATGAAAGAAAAAAATGTCTTAGCTTTCATCTTAAAAAGGGAAAGAAGAACAAATTAATCCCACAGTAAGTGAAAGACTTGAGGAGGATATCAAAAATAAGAGCAGAAATTAATGAAACTGCAAACAAGGCAAATAATAAAGAGAAATAGTGAAACCAAAATCTGGTTCTTTGGGGAAAAAAGCACTAAAACTGATTAAACATTTAGCTAGACTAACCAATAAAAAAATAGATAAGGAACAAATTGCTAACATCAAGATGGGAAAAAAGGGATATACTAAACATCCTACTATATTACTATAGTAGTACTATAATAAGGGAATATATTATGAACAATTTATAAATTTCACCACTCAGATGAAATGGACTGTGTTTGAAAGACACAAATCATCAAAACAAATTCAAGAATAAATAGATAATATTAATAGTACTATCTCTACTAAAAATGTTGGATTCGTAATTTAAAACTTTTTATTGGTGAATAATACAAAATATTTAAGGAAAGAAATAATACTAACCTTACACACTTTTTTTCCTCTGAAGATGGAGGTGAAGGGAACACTTTCCAACTCATTCTAGGAGCTGAACATTACTCTTACATAAAACAAGGAAAGAAAACCATAGATTATCAATATCCATCATGAACATAAGTGCAAAAACCTTAAGAAAATTTCAGAAAATCAAATGAAGCACTATATAAATGTATAATTCATCCTGACCAAGTGTGTCTCATCCTAAGAACACAGGGTAGAATGAGCATTCAAAATTTAATCAGTGTAATCAACCTATACAATCATCTCAGTAGATTCATAAAGGCATCTGGTAAAGTTTTACATTTATTCATAATAAAAGAACTACTAACACACTAGGAATAGGAGATTTCTATAACCACATAAAAAACATCAACAAACACAGCTAGCATTATACTCAATGGTAAAATATTTTAAAGTTTTAGGGTAGACAGAATTTCTTAGGACACAAAAAGCATGAACTATAAATGCAAAACAATGATAAATCAGACAATAAAAATTAAAATATTCTGCTCTTTAATAGACAATTAACAGAATAAAAAGGCAAGTTGCAAACTGAGAAAAATATTTGAAATATGTACATCTAACACATATAGTATATAGTTATAAGCTATACAGGTGTGTGTGTGTGTGTGTGTGTGTGTGGAGAGAGAGAGAGAGAGAGAATACTAATATAGATATTAGTAAGATTTGACACTTCACTGAAGAAGATGCAAGAATTACCAACAAGCACATGAAAAATGTTCAACATCAATAGCTATTAGGGAAATAAAATATCAAACCACAATAAAATACAATTACATGCCAGTTAGAACGGCTAAAATTAAAAAGATGGATAACACCAACTGTTGGCAAGGATATGGAGCAATTGGAACTGCCACAGAATTTTTAAAATGGTACAACATTTGGAAAACATTTTTGAGGTTTCTTATAAAATTAAACATAAACCTGCCATATGACTCAACAACTCCACTCCTGGAAAATCATTCAAAAGAAATGAGAGATAAAGGAAAAAATGAAAAGACTTGTGCATGTGAATGTTTGTAACACCTTCATCATAACACCCTAAAACTAGAAACAACCCAATGATCTAGCAACAAGTATATGGATACATAAATAGTGATATACCATGCAATGGAATACTACAAATCTATAAAAATGAAATGAACTGTTGGCACACAGAGAAATATGCTGAATGAAACAATCAAGACACAAAAGACTACAACTATATGAATCCATTTATAGGAAACTCCAAAACAATCTTTTCTGACAGAAAGCAGATCAGTGGTTGCCTGAGATAGAGAATGGGAATGGGGGAGTTTACTGAGCAAAGTCACAATGGAATTTTTGTGCTTGTGAAAATGTCTTGATACAGATTGTAGTGGTTACATGCATGTATATATTTGGCAAAACTCATGAAATGTAAGCTTAAGATGGGTGCATTTTATGCATGTAAATTCCAACTCAAAGAATAAAAATGATATGTAGAATGATGGCTCAGCAGCCCATAGTGAAGCAGAATTTGAAATGATACAAAATTTGATCTCGTCATGCACAGTAAACACACCGATAACTACACACACACACAAACACACACACACATAAACACACAATTAAAGTTAGAACTGAAAAGAAATAATCCAGAACAAAATATTAAAACTTATTTTGCATGGGTGACAGGATTTGGAAAAATTTCTTTCTTTTAAAATCTTATTTTTATTTTATGCATTTGATTAAAAATGGTGTTGTTTTCATAATTTGAAATACTAGAATTTCTCAACTTTCACTAAATGTAATTATGTCATTGTCATTACTTTTTATATTAACAGATAACTTTAACTGCCAGGTTATACTCAGTTTAGGACTTGGATGACTGATACGGTTTGGCTCCGTGTCCCCACCCAAATCTCATCTTGAATTGTAATCTGAATTGTGATCCCCATGTGTTGAGGGAACCTGGTGGGAGGTGATTGGATCATGAGGGTTGTTTCCCCCATGGTGTTCTCATGATAGTGAGTGAGTTCTCACTGAGAACTGATGCTTTAAAAGTGTTCGGCAGTTTCTTCTGTTCTCTCTCTCTCTCTCTCTCTCTCCTCCTGCCATGTAAGATGTGCCTTGCTTCCTCTTTGCCTTCCACCATGACTGTAAGTTTCCTGAGGCCTCCCCAGCCATGCAGAACTGTGAGTCAATTAAACCTCTTTTCTTTATAAATTACCTGGTCTCTGGTAGTATCTTTATAGCAGTGTGAAAGTCAACTAATACAATGACTCTAGTCACTGACTTTACTTACCCTGTTACTGTTGTTTGTGATGGTAGGTCACCCTACGTATTAAAAGTCACCCTTGTTTCTGTTGTTTGTGGTGGTAGGTATCTAGTTCTGCTGTATTTGAAGTCATGAAGTTTTCTTCACTTAGTCAAGAAATACAGTCTTAATTCAAGGAACATTACTATGCCTACCATTACCTTCAGTTAAAAGAAAAATAATACAAATGCACATACTTATGTATGTGTGCAAACACAAGAATAGCACTGTGCTTGGAAAAGTAGACTTCATTCATAATCTATAGAAACTGAATAAGCAATTAAAAGTAATTGAATAAGCAACTGGCTTTCTTTTGGAGGAATGTTCTGAATTAATTTTCTTTTTAGTATTTATTATTCTCATTAAGTGGGAGTCACTTCATCAATAGTACTTTGGGCTGAGCTTTAAATACTGGAATAGTAAATATAACTCCATTATCCCCAGTATTCTAATAATGTTTTTTCCATGAGTTCTCCGGTGCCCAGCCCCACTCTTGGTACTGAGTTACAGTGCCCATAGATAATATATCTTAAATGCATGCTATGCCCAAGCACAGCTCTAAACACTTCATGTATATTAATTCATTTAATCTTCATAACCACATTAGAGGACAGGTACAATTCTATGATCATTTTGCTCTTTTTGCATTTTGTTTCTTGACTTCTCATTCAGTTTGGAGAGCCGACATACTACCTAACTGCCTGGCCTTGGATTCAGTACTTTGACTTCAAAAACCCATTCTCTTTTCATGTTACTGACAACAGCCATGGTAAGAGAATTGACAGTAGTTAAGCTTGATATTTAATTGGAAAAATGGGGCTTACATGAGAAACTTTTAAGACTAACTTCAAAAAGTGCAACACCCAATCTCTGAATTCCGAGAAATATTGGGTGCTCTTTTCTAACTTACACCGAATGGGAAGTTGGACGTTATTTTCTTTAAACATGAAAGAAGAGCAAAATGACATCCCCATATAACTGGGGCTTAGGGGACATGTCATTCCTATCACCAGTAGAGGTAAAGGCATCCAGCACTTAGATCTCTACTGTGATCACCTGACTTCTGGAATGCTAGACGTGGTTTCTGAAATCAGAAGCTTGGGCTGGAATTGTTATAGGGGTTATTAACAAATTATTTTAGGCAGATAGAGAGGAAAAGGGATCCTTGGGAAGTTGTTGTTTCTTTTAAAGTAGCTCCAGAAACGTTTCTTGTATAGCAGGAAAGCCCTGCTCTTAGAGCCTAGCAGCAAGCTTTGATATACAAATACTGGCCATTAGAAAGTGGGTCCACCCAAACATGGCGATTCCCACCCTCATCTTCTTGCCCTTGCCCCCACATGTGTCTGGCATCATGGCCGACCCCACATATCCCCACGTGTATGGAACATCATGGCACCGTGCATTTGCATATTAAAAGGCTAGAGTGGGAGGGCCAGTTTTTTTTGCAGGCTACATGAATGTCATAGGGTCAAACCAATCCCCTGAGCCTCATGCAAATCAGACACTACCTCCTCCAGCCTCCTCATACAAGCAGCCACTTTTCTGCACACACGGGAGGGTTTCTTCTCTGGTTTTGGAGAACCCCTCCCTCTGTCTCCGTACAGGGGAGCTTCTTCCCTCTTTCTTGCCTGTTAAACTTCAAACTCTCAGCTCCTTAAAACCACTCCACGTGTGTCCATGTGTCATATGTGTCATCTTATCCAATTCCGCGGGAGCCTAAGGACCCTGGTGTTCCTCCACTCATCAGAGCCGTATCAGGATCACCTTGAATTTTCTGAAACCTTCTTGGCTTGGGTGATCCAGCTTATATCTGTATCTTTTCTCATTAAGGTATAATTTTAGGTAAAACTTCTCCACCTTATCTTAGTTTGTATGGATTGCTCCTGGTCCTACCCAGGGAAAAGGCAAGAAGTGTAAAAACAGAAGTTTAAAAAGGAATATACAGTATTTTTTTCAGCAAGGTGCTTATGGGCACATATAAGAAGAGGGCACCAGGCGTGGTGGCTCATGCCTGTAATCCCAGCACTTTGGGAGGCCGAGGTGGGGGGATCACCTGAGGTCAGTGTCAGGCCTCTGAGCCCAAGCTAAGCAATCATATCCCCTGTGGCCTGCATGTACACATCCAGCTGGCCGGTTCCTGCATTAACTGATGACATTGTCTTGTGAAATTCCTTCTCCTGGCTCATCCTGGCTCAAAAGCTCCCCTACTGAGCACCTTGTGACCCCCACTCTGCCTGCCAGAGAACAACCCCCCTTTGACTGTAATTTTCCTTTATGTACCCAAATCCTATAAAACGGCCCCACCCCTATCTCCCTTCACTGACTCTCTTTTCGGACTCAGCCCACCTGCACCCAGGTGATTAAAAGCTTTATTGCTCACACAAAGCCTGTTTGGTGGTCTCTTCACACGGACACGCATGAAATTTGGTGCCATGACTCAGATCAGGGGACCTCCCTTGGGAGATCAATCCCCTGTCCTCCTGCTCTTTGATCCGTGAAAAAGATCCACCTACGACCTCAGGTCCTCAGACCCACCAGCCGAAGGAACATCTCACCAATTTTAAATCTGGTAAGCAGCCTCTTCTTACTCTCTTCTCCAACCTCTCTCACTGTCCCTCAACCACTTTCTCCTTTCCACTCTTCAATCTCTCCCTTCTCTTAATTTCAATTCCTTTCATTTTCTGGTAGAGACAAAGGAGACATGTTTTATCCATGGACCCAAAACTCCAGTGCCAGTCACGGACTAGGGAAGGCAGCCTTCCCTTGGTGTTTAATCATTGCAGGGCCACTTCTCTGATTATTCACCCACGTTTCAGAGGTGTCAGACCACACAGGGACGCCTGCCTTGGTCCTTCACCCTTAGCGGCAATTCCCACTTTTCTGGGGAAAGGGCAAGTACCCCAACCCCTTCTCTCTGTGTCTCTACCCCTTCTCCACCTTTCTGGGGAGCAAGAAACCCCCAAACCCTTCTCCTTCACTCTTAGCGGCAAGTACCCCAACCTCGTATCTCTGTGCCCCAATCCCTTATTTCTGTGCCCCAACCTCTTATATCTCTGTGCCCCAATCCCTTATTTCCATGCCCTGACCTCTTATCTCTGCGCCCCAATCCCTTATTTCCATGCCTCGACCTCTTATCTCTGCACCCCAACCCCTTATATCTGTGTCCCAACCTCTTATATCCATGCCCCCACCCCTTTCCCGCTTTTCTGGAAGGTAAGAACCCCCGAACCCCTTCCCTCCGTGTCTCTACTCTCTATATTCTCTGGGCTTGCTTCCTTCACTATGGGCAACCTTCCACCCTCCATTCCTCCTTCTACTCCCTTGGCCTGTGTTCTCAAAAACTTAAAACCTCTTCAACTCACACATGACCTAAAATCTAAATGTCTTATTTTCTTCTGCAATGCCACTTGACCCCAACACAAACTCAACAGTAGTTCCAAATAGCCAGAAAACAGCACTTTCAATTTTTCCATACTGCAAGATCTATATAATTCTTGTCGTAAAATGGGCAAACGGTCTGAGGTGCCTGACTTCCAGGCATTCTTTTACACATCGGTCCCTGCCCGGTCTCTGTGCCCAGTGCAACTCGTCCCAAATCTTCCTTCTTTCCCTCCCGCCTGTCCCCTCAGTACCAACCCCAAGCGTGGCTGAATCTTTCTAATCTTCCTTTTCTACAGACCCATCTGACCTCTCCCCTCCTCCCCAGGCTGCTCCTTGCCAGGCCAACCTAGGTCCCAATTCTTCCTCAGCCTCCGCTCCTCCACCCTATAATCTTTTCATCACCTCCCCTCCTCACACCTGGTCCAGCTTACAGTTTCGTTCTGTGACTAGCCCTCCCCCTCCTGCCCAACAATTTACTCTTAAAAAGCTGGCTGGAGCTAAAGGCATAGTCAAGGTTAATGCTCCTTTTTTTTTAATCCAAAATCAGATAGTGTTTAGGCTCTTTTTCATCAAATATAAAAATCCAGCCCAGTTCAGGACTCGTTTGGCAGCAACCCTGAGACACTTTACAGCCCTAGACCCTAAAAGGTCAAAAGGCCGTCTTATTCTCAATACACATTTTATTACCCAATCTGCTCCCGACATTAAATAAAACTCCAAAAATTAAATTCCAGCCCTCAAACCCCACAACAGGATTTAATTAACCTTGTCTTCAAGGTGCACAATAATAGAAAAAAGTTGCAATTCCTTGCCTCCACTGTGAGACAAACACCAGCCACATCTTCAGCACACAAGAACTTCCAAACGCCTGAACCACAGCGGCCAGGCGTTCCTCCAGAACCTCCTGCCCTAGGCGCTTGCTACAAGTGCCAGAAATCTGACCACCAGGCCAAGGAATGCCTGCAGCCCAGGATTCCTCCTAAGCTGTGTCCCATCTGTGCGGGACCCCACTGGAAATCGGACCGGACTGTTCAACTCACCTGGCAGCCACTCCCAGAGCCCCTGGAACTCTGGCCCAAGGCTCTCTGACTGACTCCTTCTCGGCTTAGCAGCTGAAGACTGACGCTGCCTGATCACCTTGGAAGCTCCGTAGACCATCAAGGCCGCCGAGCTTCGGGTAACTCTCACAGTGGAAGGTAAGTCCGTCCCCTTAGTCAATACGGAGGCTACCCACTCCACATTACCTTCTTTTCAAGGCCTGTTCCCTTGCCTCCGTAACTGTTGTGGGTATTGACGGCCAGGCTTCTAAACCCCTGAAAACTCCCCCACTCTGGTGCCAACTTGGACAACACTCTTTTATGCACTCTTTTTTAGTTATCCCCACCTGCCCAGATCCCTTGTTAGGTCGAGATATTTCAACCAAATTATCTGCTTCCCTGACTATTCCTGGACTACAGCCGCATCTCATTGCCGCCCTTCTCCCCAACCCAAAGCCTCCTTCGTATCTTCCTCTCGTATCCCCTCACCTTAACCCACAAATATAGGACATCTCTACTCCTTCCCTGGCAACTGATCACATGCCCGTTACCATCCCATTAAAACCTAATAACCCTTACCCCGCTCAATGCCAAGATCCCATCCCACAGCACCCTTTAAAAGGATTAAAGCCTGTTATCACTCGCCTGCTGCAGCTTGAGCTTCTAAAACCTATAAACTCTCCTTACAATTCCCCCATTTTACCCGTCCAAAAACCGGACAAGTCTTACAGATTAGTTCAGGATCTGCGGCTTGTCAACCAAATTGTTTTGCCTATCCACCCTGTGGTGCCCAACCCGTACACTCTTTTGTCTTCAATACCTTCCTCCACAACTCACTATTCCGTTCTCGATCTTAAAGATGCTTTTTTCACTATTCCCCTGCACCCCTCATCCTAGCGTCTCTTTGCTTCCACTTAGACTGATCCTGACACCCATTAGGATCAGCAAATTACCTGGGCTGTACTGCCGCAAGGCTTCACAGACAGCCCCCATTACTTCAGTCAAGCCCAAATTTCATCCTCATCTGTTACCTATCTCGGCATAATTCTCATAAAAACACAAGTGCTTTCCCTGCTGATCGTGTCCGATTAATCTCCCAAACCTCAATCACTTACAAAACAACAACTCCTTTCCTTCCTAGGCATGGTTAGTGCGGTCAGAATTCTTACACAAGAGCCAGGACCGCACCCTGTAGCCTTTCTGTCCAAACAACTTGACCTTACTGTTTTAGCCTAGCCGTCATGTCTGCGTGCAGCGGCTGCCGCTGCTTTAATACTTTTAGAGGCCCTAAAAATCACAAACTATGCTCAACTCACTCTCTACAGCTCTCATAATTTCCAAAATCTATTTTCTTACTCACACCTGATGCATATACTTTCTGCTCCCTGGCTCCTTCAGCTGTACTCACTCTTTGTTAAGTCCCACAATTACCATTGTTCCTGCCCCGGACCTCAATCTGGCCTCCCACATTATTCCAGATACCACACCTGACCCCCGTGAGTGTATCTCTCTGATCCACCTGACATTCACCTCATTTCCCCACATTTCCTTCTTCCATGTTTCTCACCCTGATCACACTTAATTTATTGATGGCAGTTCCACCAGGCCTAATCGCCACACACCAGCAAAGGCAGGCTATGCTATAGTACAAGCCACCAGCCCGCCTCTTAGAACCTCTCATTTCCTTTCCATCATGGAAATCTATCCTCAAAGAAATAACTTCTCAGTGTTCCATCTGCTATTCTACTACTCCTCATGGATTATTCAGGCCCCCTCCCTTCCCTACACATCAAGATCAAGGATTTGCCCCCACCCAGGACTGGCAAATTAGCTTTACTCAACATACCCCAAGTAAGATAACTAAAATACCTCTTAGTGTAGGTAGACACTTCCACTGGATAAGCAGAGTCCTTTCCTACAGGGTCTGAGAAGGCGACCGCAGTCAATTCTTCCCTTCTGTCAGACATAATTCTTCAGTTTAGCCTTGTCATTCCCTTCTGTCAGACATAATTCCTCAGTTTAGCCTTCCCACCTCTATACAGTCTGATAACAGACCAGCCTTTATTAGTCAAATCAGCCAAGCATTTTTTCAGGCTCTTAGTATTCAGTGACAGACTAATGGTCTATTAAAAACACACCTCACCAAGCTCAGCCACCAACTTAAAAAGGACTGGACAATACTTTTACCACTTTCTCTTCTCAGAATTCAGGCCTGTCCTCGGAATGCTACAAGATACAGCCCGTTTAAGCTCCTGTATAGACACTCCTTTTTATTAGGCCCCAGTCTCATTCCAGACACCAGACCAACTTAGACTGTGCCCCCAAAAACTTGTCATCCCTACTATCTTCTGTCTAGTCATACTCCTATTCACCGTTCTCAACTACTCATACATGCCCTGCTCTTGTTTACACTGCCAGTTTAGGCTGTTTCTCCAAGCCATCACAGCTGATATCTCCTGGTACTATCCCCAAACCACCACTCTTAACTCTTAAAGTAAATAAATAATCTTTGCTGGCAAGGCTATGCTGACCCTTCTTAGGCACTCTGTAATTAGATGTCCTAGGTCTTCCCAATTGTTAGTCCTTTAACACCTGTTTTTCTCCTTCTCTTAATCCGTTTAGTTTTTCAATTCATACAAAACTATATCCAGGCTATCACCAATAAGTCTAAATGACAGATGTTTCTTCTAACAATGCCACAATATCACTCCTTACCACAAAATCTTCCTTCAGCTTAATCGCTCCCACTTTAGGTTCCCACGCCACCCCTAATCCCACTCGAAGCAGCCCTGAGAAACATCGCCCATTATCTCTCCATACCATCCCCCAAAATTTTCCCCATCCCAACACTTTACCACTGTTTTGGTTTTTTTTCTTATTAATATAAGAAGACAGGAATGTCAGGCCTCTGATCCCAAGCTAAGCCATCATATCCCCTGTGGCCTGCACGTACACATCCAGCTGGCCGGTTCCTGCCTTAACTGATGACATTCCACCACAAAAGAAGTGAAAATGGCCTGTTCCTGCCTTAACTGATGACACTGTCTTGTGAAATTCCTTCTCCCGGCTCATCCTGGCTCAAAAGCTCCCCTACTGAACACCTTGTGACCCCCACTCTGCCTGCCAGAGAACAACCCCCTTTTGACTGTATTTTCCTTTACCAACCCAAATCCTATAAAAAGGCCCCACCCCTATCTCCCTTGGCTGACTCTCTTTTGGGACTCAGCCCGCCTGCACCCAGGTGATTAAAAGCTTTATTGCTCACACAAAGCCTGTTTGGTGGTCTCTTCACACGGAGGCGCATGAAAGTCAGGAGTTCAAGTCCATCTTGGCCAACATGGTGAAACCCCATCTCTACTAAAAATACAAAAATTAGCCAGGGGTGGTGGCGGGTGCCTGTATTCCCAGCTACTCAGGAGGCTGAGGCAGGAGAATCGCTTGAACCCAGGAGGTGGAGGTTGCAGTGAGCCGAGATTGCACCATTGCACTCCAGCCTGGGCAACAAGAGCAAAGCTCTGTCACAAACACACACACACACACGCGCAAAGGGGGCACACTCTGAGACTGTGGGTTCAGAGAATGACTTCTCTAGAAGACAACATCCAAAAGGAGTCTTGTAGCATACATATAAATCAGAAATGGAAAAGAAAGAGAAAGGAATATCAGGCAGAGGAAGACAAATGGACAACGTACAGAGGCGATTAGAAGCACAGTGTGTTTGGGAACCAGAAATTTTATTAGCTTGCTTGGGCAGGGGTGGGAGGGCCTGGTAAATTTGTGGCAAGAGATGAGGCTTAAGAGGGAATGGGAGCAGCTCCTGAAAAGCCAGGTGCCTCTGTGTCCTGAGCTCTCAGCTGCTAGACGGCATGAGAGCAGTACCATCCAATCAAGCCTCTCCCCGGCCATCTCTGGGGAGGTGTCTCTAACACAGAGATCTGGTACGCAGCCAGATCTGAAAAGCTTTTTCTTCATGTTTCTTGATAAAGAAGGTTTTGCAACATCACTCACTACGTTAAAATGCTTTCTTAGCTTCAGGGGACTGAAAGCATTTTTATTATGTTCCAACATTATTTATCCTTCTTGTATACAAGAGAGCAAAGCAGAAATCCAAAGAGAAAAATCCTTCTAATGTCTCAAATGCAGCCTTGGTCCATTTGTCTGGTGTTGCAAAGGTACAGACATGACAGCAAATGTGGGAGAGAGCTGGTTTCTTGCCCCCTTCCTCCCCGGGATTTTTAGTGGGGTGGAGATAAGGTCTCAGAAAAATGGCCACAACTCAAAATTGGGCCTTCATTCTCACCCCAGTTTTGAAACCACATTTCCCCAGGATCCCTGCAAGAGCTGCCTTCCTCCTAGAAGCCCCATTCATTGTGGTCACTTGTCTGGAAGTTCATCCAAGGAGAGTCTTTTACCCAAAAGAAAATCATCTCACAGGTTTAACAATTAAATACTGTCAGTGCATAGTCATTTGCAGGAAATATATACATCTCAATTTTTTAATAATGGAAATTAATTTTTGTTAAAAGTCTCCAGATTACCTTGCAGCAGAATAGAATCTTAATCTAAATCACTTTAAGATAGCTGGGCGTGGTGGGTCACCCCTGTAAGACCAACACTTTGGGAAGCCAAGCCGGGATGATTGTTTGAGCCCAGGAGTTTGAGACCAGCTTCGGCAATGTAAAGAGGCTTGGTCTATACACAAAAAATTTTTTTTAATTAGCTGGGCATGGTGGTGGGCCCTCGTAGTCCCAGCTACTCAGGAGGCTGAGATGGTAGGATCGCTTGAGACCAGGAGGTTGAGGCTGCTGTGAGCTAGGATTGCTCCCTCTGCGCTCCAGCCTGGGTGACAGAACAAGACCCTGTCTTGAAAAATAAATAAACAAGTAAGTAAATCACTTTAAGATAACCTCAGTTAAATCTATTTTTTTCAGACTGACTCAGGGATTGCTCCTATGTATTCTTGTTAGAGTTTCATATACATTGCAAAGGGTATTTTTAACACTGCTTAGGAAAGATAACTTTTCTTGTGCATTTATCATTGTCTATCCACACTAGAATTTGCTGGGATGATCGTTACTACTACTGACCAACTGTATGCCTCTCCTATCAGTGCCACCTGTATGCATTGACCTTAATTGGAAATTGCGCTGTAGATATTTTCCATCTGGTCCACAGGCTTCAGGTTACTTTGTGCCTTGACTGTCCCAAAGTTGCTGCCTCTTGGAGCATCTGTCTCCCAGCTCTTTCTGCTCTTCCTTTGGGACCACAGCAAGCTCAGTAGGCTTCTGTTAGCCTTTCTGGTGTATTTCCTCCTCTATTGATGTCAAATGTGGCCATCATATGAACCTCCGTGTGAGGCCAGCTGCCTTCCCCGGTTTCACCCAGGAAATAATCCCCAGTTGGTCTCTGCCCTTGAATCTGTCAGAGGCATGTGAACCAGAACAACTTCTTGAATGAGGCTGAATAAAATGAGGCTGAGACCTACTGGGCTGCATTCCCAGACGTTTAAAGCATTTTAAGTCACAGGATGAGATAGGAGGTGGGCACAAGATACAGGTCATAAAGGCCTTGCTGATAAAACAGGTTGCAGTAAAGAACCCGGCCTGAACCCACCAAAAACAAGATGGCCGCAAGAGTGACCTCTGGTGGTCCTCACTGCTACACTCCCGCCAGCGCCATGACACTTTATAGATGCCATGGCAACATTAGGAAGTTACCTTATATGGTCTAAAAGGGGGAGGCATGAATAATCCACCCCTTGTTTAGCATATCATCAAGAAATAACCATAAAAATGGGCAACCAGCAGCTCTCAGGGCTGCTCTGTCTATGGAGTTGCCATTCTCTTATTCCTTTACTTTCCTAATAAGCTTGCTTTCGCTTTATGGACACACCCTGAGTTCTTTCTTGTGCAATATCCAAGAATCCTCACTTGGCATCTGGATTGGGACCCCTTTCCTGTAGCAAATTCCCTCTTCTGTCTGGGTTGAGGCACAGGTGGTTGGGTCACAGCTTGGATTTATACATTTTAGGGAGACATGAGACATCAATCATTATGTGATGTCCATAAGTTGGGTCCAGAAAGGCGGGACAACTTGAGGCAGGGAAGGGGTTTCCAGGTCATAGGTAAATAAGTTGCATTCCTTTGAGTCTCTGATGAACCTTTTACTGAATACACAATTTACCTGTGAGAGGAGGGTAGAGGAATAGTCACTTATGCCTTAGTCTGGGTTAGTGAAAAAATAGGGCAGAGGAAGCAATCAGATGTGCATTTGTCTCAGGTGAGCAGAGGGATGAGTTTGAGTTCTGTCTGTCTTTTGTCCAAACGCAATTTCCTTGTGAGCAAATTGTAGCTTTTTTATCGTTGTAGCTATCTTATTTAGCAATAAAATGGAGGCAGGTATGCTTGACTCAGTTCACTGTTTGACTTCCTTTTGCCTTAGTGATTTTGGGGGCCCAAGATTTCTTTTCCTTTTGCAAAGTGTAGAATGAAATCCCGAAATATTTTTTTCTTGGTGACCTTTCTCTCCTCAGGAGTGGAGATCTGGTCTACTGTAAACAAAGGGTATCGAAACAATGGAACAAACGTTAATTTCAGGAAACAAAAGACCAGAAGTTCAAACGTTGAAGAATGATTTCACTACGTGACCACTGAACAATCACAGATATACATTAATTCCAGAATTTTCTAGGTTTTTTCATACCAGAGCATCAATACCCCTAAAAACCTTTTCTTGCTGGCCTTGACCACCCTTCGTACTAGGATGTAGTGTTGATGTTTTACTCTGATGAAAAGCTTTCCACTAGGGAAGTCTTGCAAACATGATCACTAAGGATGAGAATATTCCCAATTCCTGCTAGCCACTCATTTGCAGATAATCCCTTGAGTCATTTTCTCAAAAGGAATTTAAATTAACATTTTTGTGTTGATTATTACTTATCTTGCTTTTATCTGATTTCTAACTTAAGGGAGTCCCTGCCTATGTGTCTAAGTACAAATAATAATGGCACTGCAAGGTTAAAATAAAAACAAAAGCACCGACTTAGGATAAGAGATTTAGATGCTAAACTTGGCATCTCTGCACTTTACTCACGGAGTCATTTCTCCTGACTGAGCCCATTTCCTCAATATTGGATTTTAATGAGGGTTAGATGAAGTAAGTTACAGTATGTAAAACATTTAACACAGTGCCTGGTATGCAGTAAGCACTGAGTGATAACACTTATTATTATTTGCTTTATTATTCAATGGCCTAAGTTTTACCCACCTCATTGATATGTAGCTCCTCTCTACAGTTTCCAGAAAATGTAATAGGGTGAGAAACTAGTGTATTGTGTGACATTTTTCCATTGTAAGTAGAAAAATGGCCTCTTTCTAAGGAAGGGCCTTCACCTGCAGAACAGCTTTAAAATATTGTGCCAGGCACTACGAGCAATTCTAACACATGAAGTCTGAGATGTCGAGAAAACCTTGGCAAGGCTATTTCTCTGAGGGCTCTAGGGGATTCAAACAGGTGCACAGTCTTGACCTTACATAGCAACAGCATGATTTTTCTCAAGCATGAAGCATGACTACATGCTTCGTATAGGACCTGGAGGCCATGGCCTTAGAAAATTGGAAGCTTGGAAAATAAGCATTCAAAAAGTGAAATGCTTCATCTGATTATTAGGGGAGTCGAGAGAGATGCTTGCCAGGAATAGGACCTTCAACTTCACTTGCATGTACTGAGGGCATTCACCAAAGTGTCCTTGGCTGGTTGGTCTAATTGTATCACCCTTTGGTAATGAAGAGGAGGGTAGGAAGTTATTATTCTCTATCACAGAGATTTGCTGATTCTAACAGAGGTTTGATGGGGTATAGATGATGGTGGTAGTTTTCCCTCTGATTATTTAAAAAAAAAAAGTGCATTCAAGAAAACCAAATGCTGCATGTTCTCACTTATAAATGGGAGTTAAATGATCAGAACACACAGATACATAGAGGGGGAACAACACACCCTGGGGTCTTTTGGAGGATGAGAGGTGGGAGGAGGGAGAGGATCAGGAAAAATAACTAATGGGTACTAGGCTTAATACCTGGGAGCTGAAATAAATCTGTACAACAAATCCTTGTGACACAAGTTTACCTATATAACAAACCTACACATGTGTCCCTGGACTTAAAATATGAGTTAAAAAAAAAGTATGTTCAAATAGTAAGAAGGAAAACATAAAGAAGAAATGATCTTCTATAACCCCATTTCACTAGTCTACCACCAAGAAACAGTCATTGACAGGCATTGACAACATTCTGTTGTGTTCTCTCTCTGTCCCTTCCTCCATATATATATAAATATATTTGTTGTTTGTTTGTTTTTTGAGATGTAGTCTCATTCTGCTGCCTAGGCTGGAGTACAGTGGCATGATTTTACTTACAATCTCAGCTCACTGTAACTTCCACCTCCTGGGTTCAAGGGATGCTCCCACCTCAGCCTCCCAAGTAGCTGGGATTACAGGCATGCAACATCACACTTGGCTAATTTTTGTATTTTTAGTAGAGAGGGGGTTTCACCATGTTGACCAGGCTGGTCTTGAACTCCTAGCCTCAGCCTCCCAAGGTGCTGGGGTTACAGGTGTGAGCCACTACAGCTGGCCCATTTAGATATTTTAACAACTTTATCAAGGTATACTTATATACCATTAAATAACATTTTTAAGCTGTACAGCTCAATAGTTTTTAGAAAATTTAGTGAATTTTGCAATCATCACCATAATTCTGTTTCAGAGCATTTTCATCACCCCAGTAAGATCCTTCTGTCGATTAACAGTGCCCACTTCCATTCCAGCTTCAGGTAACCACATATCATTTTCTATTTCTGGTTGTCTTTTATGAGGAATTTTATATAAATGGTATAATATGGTAGTGGTCTTTTGTGTCTGGGTTACTTTGCACAGTGTTAACTAGGGTTCGTGTACCATAACTTACTTCCCTTTCATGGCTGAATAATAATCGATTATATGGCAGTACCATATTTTTCTTATTAGTTGACCCACTGATGGACATCAAGGTTGTTTCCCATTTTGAGTTATGAATTACGCTGCTGAGGTTATTCGTGTGTTAGTCTTTGTGCAGACATGTGTTTTCATTTCTCTAGAATAAAATACACAGGAGTAAATACCTAGGAACTGCTGAATCGTCGGATACATTTATGTTTACCTTGTCAGGAAATTATCAAACTGTTTTGCAAAGTGGCTAAATTATTTTACATCCCCACCAGCAATGTACGATGGTTCCTGTTTCTCCACCTTCTCGCCAATACTTTTTATTGTCTGCCTTGTGGATTATAGCTATTCTAGTGGGTGTGAAATCTATATGTGTCTTTAAGTGACCTCATTTAATCCAAGGAATCCATTTAGATGGAAGCCTCGGAAATCCTTAGTCATAAGTAAACAAGTCATCTTTTTGTGCTTATAATAGCAACAGAGTTGTTTTTTGTTTGTTTGTTTTTTTGTGATGGGTCTCACTCTGTCGCCCAGCCTGGAGTGCAGTGGCGCGATCTTGGCTCACTGCAACCTCTGTCTCCTGTGTTCAAGCGATTTTCCTGCCTCAGCCTTCCGAGTAGCTGGGATTTCAGGCATGTGCCACCACACCCAGGTAATTTTTGTATTTTTAATAGAGACGGAGTTTCTCCGTGTTGGACAGGTTGGTCTTGAACCCCTCACCTCAGGCGATCTGCCCTCCTCAGCCTCCCAAAATGCTAGAATTACAGGCATGAGCCACTGCACCTGGCCGGGAACAGAGTTTTGTGTTTTGCTCAGTTCTTTGTTTTCCCTTCTCCCCTTCATTATAATACTCAAGTGCATAAATACATATTATATGTGTCATAGTAGAAATTATTCTGAATACACCTGGCACAGCAAGTTACTAGCACAGGGGTGATGGCTCTCCTTCTTATGCCCACAAAGACCTTGCTAATCATTTCTGCCGGGTGCACACAAGACCTGAGAAATGCTTTTCAGCATAGAATTCTGAGCAGCTGTTACCAACAAATTGGTGATGGCATGAAGAATGAAATTGATTTGCCATGCTTGGTGTGTAAAGTTCTGCATATTACTTTTTCATCAATTAAAATTATATTATAAATATGTATTAAACAGTCTTCATGAAATAATTTTAATGGTGTGTAAGATACCATCGTATTAACATATTGTAATTTATTTAACCATTCACCTCTTGTGTACACATAATTCTCCCTGGATTTATTTCTATTATAAGTAATGCTACAGTGAATATCTTTATATATTTACACATCCTAGAAGTAGAATTATTAGATCAAAGTGTAAAAGATGTTTGAGATTCTCAGTGCATCATTAAGGTGTTTGTGGTGAATAACTTTAGTTTTTGCTCCATTTTTCTGATGGATGGAGTTCTAGAATGGTGATAACTTTGACTTTTCCTAAAATGCCAAAAAGCTTAGCGTTTTCTTAAGTTTCTAAGTATCCCTTAACATTTATGAGACCTCCTTGGAAGTTCTTATTTGGCTTATCATGTAAATAAACTTGTTTTCGTTTTTCTATTTTAAATGGCAAGGATGTTATTTCTCCTTTCCCTCATTGTTCTTTGCTAATTTCCTAGCCATAGAAATAGCCTTCAAAAACTGATAAAATAGCTTCAATATCAGGATTTGTTGAGCGCCCTTTTAGGACGATGCAGGCAGGGCACTAAGCACACTGGAAGAACCAGCTCCTTCTTCGGGGATAAGGACCTAGCTTGGCCCAGTGTCCTGCCTCCCTAAGATGATTTCAGCCTGAGAGCAAAAGAGAGAAAATACGGAGAAGCTGCTGCACCCAACTGAGGTGGCTGAGCCATCAGGAGAGGGCCAGATGCCACCCTTCCTGCATGCTGGCCCATTTGCACATCAAATCCAGGGGCAGGGTGGTGGGCAATATGTTTCCACTGAAGTCTCTCCCTCCTATTGTTTGGTAATAAATCTTCATCTCTCCATGCTTTCACTTTTCTTAAAGAGTTCAGATGGCTGGGCGCTGTGGCTCATGCCTGTAATCCCAGCACTTTGGGAGGCTGAGGCGGGTGAATCACCTGAGGTCAGGAGTTCGAGACCAGCCTGGCCAACGTGGTGAAACCCCATCTCTACTAAAAATGCAAAATTCACTGGTTGTGGTGACTCATGACTGTAGTCCCAGCTACTCAGGAGGCAGAGGCAGGAGAATCACTTAAACCTGGGAGGCAGAGGTTACAGTGAGCCGAGATCATGCCACTGCACTCCAGCATGGGTGACAGAGCGAGATGCCTTCTCAAAAAAAAAAAAAAAAGTTCAGGCAGGCAGATGGTGGCATAATGTCAGTTGCAAGAATTTTCTTTGTTATTCTCCCACTCTTCAAGTCACCCTGATGCACATTTACCTCAGCTCTGATTCAGGGCTTATGTAGTCCAGTAAGGTTATAACAGAAAGCATAGAAAGAAAGTGTCAAGAGGGTAGGTAGCATCCTGCGCTGGCGACTGCTGTGCCCCCAGCATGTGGTGGGCATTCCAGAAATGTCAAGTGAATCAGACAAAGCATGTGAAGTTTCTTAGTAGCCTTAACACAGCGCTAGTCACTACAGTTGTCTATAACTATCATTACTACTGAAAAGAATATTGGACATAAAGTCATATTTTGAAGCACATTTTTTCCTTAAAAGAAATATTACATATAGTCTCCATTGTATTTGTTTCTTATTGTTATGGTAACAAATTACCACAAACCCAGTGGCTTAAAACAATACACACTTATTCTTGAATAGTTCTGGAAGTCAGAAGTCCAAAATGCAATACAGAGCTGCGCCCCATCTGGAGGCTCTAGGGCAGTTGTCCTCAACCTTTTTTGCACCAGGGACTGGTTTTGTGGAGACAATTTTTCCATGGACAGGGAGTGGTGGGTGGTTTTGGGTTGATTCAAGTGCATTACCTTTATTGTGCACTTTGCTTCTATTATTATTACATTGTAATATATAATGAAATAATTATACAACTTGCCATAATGCAGAATCAGTGGGACCTCTGAGTTTGTTTTCCTGCAACTAGATGGTCCTATCTGGGGGTGATGGGAAACAGTGATGGATCTTCAGGCATTAGATTCTCATAAAGAGCACACAGCCTACATCCTTTCCACCTGCAGTTCACAATAGGGTTTGCCCCCCCATGAGAAACTAATGCTGCAGCTGATCTGACAGAAGGTGGAGCTCAGGCAATAGTAATGTGAGCAATGGGGAGCGGCTGTAAACGCAGATGAAGCTTCACTAACCCCCCCACCACTCATCTCCTGCTGTGTGGCTCGGTTTCTAACAGGCCATGGACAAGTACCAGTCCATGGCACGGGATCTGGGGACCCCTGTTCTAGGATAAAATCTATTTTCTAGTTTTCAAGGGCCACCTGATTCCTTGGCTGATAGCACCTTCCTCCATCATCCAATTTCTCCTTGTGTTTCTCTCTCTCCTTCTGTAATCACATCACCTGTGTATTTGACCGACCTGCCACCCACCTTCCTCTTTTAAAGACCCCTGTGATTACACTGGGCTAAACTGGATAATCCAAGATAACTCTTGTATCTTAAAACTCAACCTACTCATTTCTGCAGAGATCCTTTCACCCTATTACACAACATTCACAGATTCATGGGATTAGGACATGGCATATTAGGAGAGCCATTATTTTGTTGTGGTTGAAACTGGATTGGGGGCCCAAAGCCCTTCCTTTTTATTCCCATTCCTCTCTTCTCTCCACCTTCCACCCACTCACCCATTCCTAATGAATTCCAAGATCATGGAGGTGGAAAGGAAGACCTGTGGGCAAGATCACCTCCAGAGCCACTTTTGGCTGGCACATTCCAGGATATCAACGAGACTACAACGTCCATGCTAAGTCCTAAGGGGTCATCTTATTTTTGAAAGGGAAAAATAAGAAAGATCCTCATGGTGAACAAAGCTCTGACTCTGCAGTCAGACAAACCCTGGATTGGATTCCGGCCTTTACGAGCTAGTGTGTCCTTGGGTGCGTCACAAAACACCTCTGACACATGGATTCTTGTCATATGTCAAGTGGGACAGTAACAGCTATCACCCTTGCTGGAAGACAAAATCAAGTGAGATAGATGTGCAAAGTACCTTGAATTCATGAATACCTAACACTGCGCCTTTCCTCCACTCCATTTTCCTTATAATTCTCCTCCACCTCTTAATACCAAATTAATTGGGCAATGTGAAAATACTAAAGGCTCATAGAAAAAAAGTAAACCAGTAAGTGTTCTAGAATTAGATAAAGGTGATAGTTGCATAACTCTATGATTATACTAAAAGATGCTGACTTATACACTTAAGGTAGTGGATTTTTTTATATGTAAATTATATGTCAATAAAAATAAATTTTAAAAAAATTAAGCCAGCAAACTACACACACACACACACACACACACACACTTGCAATATAAAAAAGTCAAGCCTACTGTCCTGGTCTTCAGTATCCCTTAACTCTGGAGTTATTGAACACACTGCATGAAAACATCGATCTTTGAAGATATGTCACTGATGTCTACTCTTCCAGTAAGAGGAGCCCATTGTAAGTGGGAGAGGAAAAAAGCCCCTTATTTTGTTTTCTGCAGAAATACTGGGGCAAGCAACATCTCATTTCTGTAGCTCATGGGGTCAAACAAATCCTCAGCTGCTACTTTCCACAGAAATACCATCCCCTCAAACAACTATACCACTCCACCTGAAGCTCACAGCCCTAGGTGTGACCACCTTAGGCCTCTTACTAGCAATGGAGCTTAATCTTAATCTTGCTGCAAGTGAATACCAGTCTCTTCACCAGCATTTAGTGAATTTCCATTTTGATTAGCTACGAAATAAATTTTCCAGGTGTTTTGCTTCATTTCAAGCTATTTATTTTGTTGAACCCAGGTAATCTATTATGAGAGGTTGAGAGGGGTTGGGTTATTTTATTGAGGGTGGGGAGGAATCTTCTTATTTCTTCCATTTAAAGGGAAAAACACAATATTGCTTCCATTACTTACCAATTGTCGATGGCTCCCTAAATTCAAAATCACTGCCGTTCTTGACATGGCCTTTGTCTACATTTCTACCTCATTGCCTCATGCCAGGAGGACTTCTGGTGTTCCCCTCCTCACTTCTGTATGTGAGCGCAACCTCACATGGGCCTCTAAACCCAAGATGCATCTGTAGTTTCCTGGAAAAGCATAGGATCTGTTTGTAGCAGCAATGCTACCCACACCATGTCCTTTGACCTGATAAACTAGTGTCTCTGATGACCTGCTATTCAGCCTTCAAAACATAGTGGGTTCTTGCTCCAATAAACTTTCCCTGGATCTTCCAGGCAGAGTTAAAGTACTTCTTTTCCTTTATACCCTCCAGTACTCCATTACTTAGACTCTCCATTACTCTAGTAGACCAGTAGACTCTACTGGAGTATCTACCACTTTGCTATTATTATGTATTTGTCCATATCTATCACTAGAACGTAAACTTTTGAAAACAGGGGTTGTTTTACTCACACACATTTCCTCAATATCTTCTCTATAGGAAGATCTGGTCTGTTATAAGTTGTCAATCTCTCTCTCTCTCCAAACACAACAAGGTGGTTGGGGTTTAGTATAATAACAGTTTGGTCAACAATGAGGCAGCTTCTGCTTATTGGTTATTTACCACACAGAGAAAGGCATAAGTTGAGATGCTTTTGAGCAGAAAAGAAAAACTGCCTGAAAAGGGTTTAAATACTAGCAATTTACAATCTTTTATAGCAAGAAATCAAGAGTTAGGCAATTCCACGGTTGGGTCATCAGCTGCCTATTCTCTGTTAGATTGTTTATTTTCTAATTGTTGAGTTTTAAAAACTGTTGACACAGTTTAGATACAAGCTGTCATCTGACATGTGATATGCAAATATTTTCTCCTAGTTCTGTAGCTTGTGTTTTCATTCTTGTAGTTCTGTAGCTTGTGTTTTCATTCCTTAATGGTGTCTTTCAAAGGGCAAAGCTATCTTAATTTTGATGAAGTCCAATTTATCAATTTGTTCTTCTATGGGGTCACATCAGCACTGTTCTTTTTAATGCAAAGTGTTTCATGGAATAAAAAAGTTTGCTGGTCTATTAGCTGCAAGTGTTTTTTGTGCATCTGAAGATACCTTTTCATTCTTGGAGTGTGAAACTCATCCCCATATCATTTTTCTAAGCCATTTACAATGTATTGATTGAGGAGAAGAAATGCCTGGATTCTGATACTTTGTGGAATAATTTGCACAACTTGAAAGCAAGAGTGATCGATAAAAGAAAGAATCTTGAGTTGCAGCAGAAACCCCATGGAGCTCTCATTTGCTGAGGGGCCACAAGATGCAATCATTAACAGCGTGGATATCAGAGTCAGCTCTGGGTTCCAGTTTTGGCTTCTATAGTGACTGTCTGTGTGACTTCAGCCCCCTCAGTTACCTTCTCTATGGTTCCTTTTTTTTTTTTTTTTTTTTTTTTTGAGACAGATTCTCGCTCTGTCGCCCAGGCTGGAGTGCAGTGGTGCCATCTCAGCTCATTGCAAACTCCGCCTCCCGGGTTCAAGCGATTCTCCTGCCTCAGCCTCCCGAGTAGCTGGGATTACAGGTGCCCACCACCACGCCTGGCTAATTTTTTTTTTTAAAGTGGAGATGCAATTTCACCGTGTTAGGCAGGATGGTCTCGATCTCCTGACCTCATGATCCACCCGCCTCGGCCTCCCAAAGTGCTGGGATTATAGGCATGAGCCACAGCGCCTGGCCTATGGATCCATTTTCTTATTGCACGGTGGGAAAAACAGTATTATTCTGCTCATATGGTTGTTTTATGGGTTAAATTACAAATTGAATGTATGATGCTTACATGAGGGCATGGAACATGGTGAGCAAGTGGTAAATGTGAGCTAAACACTTCCCAGTCCACACTGCAGTGAAGTGGCTTTTCTAAACCCGGATTTATCCATTGCAGTTCTACTGGAAACTTTCTTCGTAGTTTATAAAAAGACACATGAAGACAAAAAAGGGACAAGCCACAGAATGGAAGGAGATATTTGGCAAAATGCTTATCTGACAAAAGACTTGAATGCACAATCTATAAAGAACTCCTACAAATCTATAAGAAAAAAAGTCCAATGACAAACAAAAGGGAGATCCAGTTAAAACTGGTCAAACTATTTAAATAGACATGTCGCCACATAGCACATCAAAATGGCCAGTAAACATATGGAAAGATGTTCAACACCATTAGTCGTCAGATAAACACAAGATAATACCATGAGGGGCTGGGCATGATAGCTCACACCCGTAATCCTAGCACTTTGGGAGGCTGAGGTGGGCAAAGCGCTTGAGCTCGGGAGTTTGACAGCAGCCTTGGCAACATGCTGAAACCCTGTCTCTACAAAAAAAATACAAAAAAAAAAATTAGCTGGGCATGGTGACACAAGCCTGTATTCCCAGCTACTTGGCGGCTGAGGTGGGAGGATTACTTAAACCAGGAGGCTGACGCTGCAATGAGCTGAGGTCATGACACTGCACTCCAGCCTGGGTGAAAAACTGAGACCCTGTCTCAAAAAAAAAAAAAAATACCATAAGGAGATATTAATACATACCCATCAGAATAGCTAAAATTTAAACGACTGGAAATACTAAATACTGGCAAGAATATGGAACAACTGGAATCCTCTTACACTGCTGGTGATATAACCACTTGGGAAAATTGTTTGGAAGTATTTACTAAAGCTGAGCATACCCTCTGATACAATAGTTCCACTCCTGAATATATACTCAACAGAATTGAATACCAATATCCTCCAAAAGACATGTATAAGGAAGTTAATCGTAGCTTTATTCATAATGTCTGAACCCATTTTTACCCATAATATTCATCAGCATTAGCATGTTCTGGATAAATTGTGATGCACTTAACAACGGGATGCTACTCAGCAATACAAAGCATAAAACTAAACACAACAAGAACATATATTACACAGAAAATATTGAATAAAAGAAGTCAAACTTAAAAATGTGTATGTTGCATTATTTCATATATAAAGTTCAAAAATAGGCAAATATGATACTTGGTGATAGAAATTAGAAGAGTCACCTTGGTGGGGCAGTAGAGACAATACTGAATAACCCAGAGCAAAAATAAATATATAGAATTATTCCATACAGTGATATAGGGGTTATTTCTATGGAGGCATCCATATATATAAATGCACCAAACTGTGCATTTAGGTTTATAATCTTTCCTGTTTGTAAGCTGCATCTTAATTTTTAAGTGTGCTTTTTGTAGGTCATCATTGCTTTTCATGAGCTAACTCTACTTCCCTCAATGCTCACATGTTGCTAAACTAACCAATAAGTGCCTGAATATTTCAGGTATTATCTCACTAACAGGATTTTGCACATCCTGTTTCCTCCTCACTGTTCCTTACAGCCTGGACAAATATGCCATCATCTTCAGGTGCCACTTTAGACAAAATTACCTTGTAAGACAATCTCTGTCACCCTTTCCCCAAGACTGCATTCATCAGGTGTACCTCTTTTGTGCCCTCCCAGCACTGAATATTTATTTCCCACCCAAGTTGAGTAAAAATTGCCTGTGTTCTAGTCTATCTCTCCTACTAGATTCTGAGGTTCTCCAGGGCCGGGGCCCCTTCTGGTTTCCAGCTGAGCCCCAACTTACAGTACATTGCCAGGTGCTTTGCAGGGGTGCAGTCAATGCTTGTTGGATTGAATGCTGAATCTCTCCTCTCACAAACGAAAATGTAACATCAGTGGCCCAGATTTTTCTCCTCCCAAGAGTGTTGGTGTTAATAGGGCTTTCACTAATGCCACTATGACATGTTCTTTGCATAGGGCTTGTTGGAAAATTAGATCAGGTGGCTTCCCCACTGTAACATATGACACTTTTCTAATTAGGGCAATGTTTAATTTACTGTCTCATGGCTTTTTGAGTAAATATAAATTGTCATACTAAAGTGACAGGTGTAAAACCCAGGATGGCTGTGTTAGAGAGGTTAATCTGCTGTTAATCACTTCAGTTCTGCTTGACTTTCTCCTGGGGAGTGAGAGATAATGGCCCTGTTTAACTGGAGATTAGCCAGCTTTTGGCTGGAAATCCCTCAGGGTTCACCTGAGCCTCCCTGTGTCTTGTTCAGAATGAAGATATTCAAATGTGTTGATAATTAAATTTGGTCCTTTCTCCCTCCTTTGGCATCTCATGATGCAAGGATGCTTTCCACTGAGCCTTTCCATTGACCAGAAGGGTTTTCCTCTGAATCCTGTTAATTCTGAAATGTTCTGGAATGTTACGCAAAGACCTTCCAAAACTCTAAATTCCTGCCGGTAACAGAGTTGGCTATCTCAAGCCCCATTACCACTCATCATGGCAAAGTTGGAACAGTGATTGCATGACGGAGGAGGGCCTAGGTTTATCCTGGTTGTGGTCCCATGAATGTGTCTGTGGTCTCGGAAGGGAGGAACTCTAGCCAGAAGCCAGTAAAACAGTTGATACAAGGAACTGTGAGACTGGAAGACACAAGCAGTATTGATTTGGGGTCTAGGAGACTAAGTTAGGTCTGGGGTAGGGAAGAAAGGCATTCTCCTTAACTTTTGCTAAGGCTGTATTGTGACTTTGGTATTGTGAGAACTGTAGGGAACAGCCTTGCTTTGTAAGCTTAGGGATTTACAGTCTCAAGAGTGCTGCAGTCCTTACCTGTTAGCAGGGAAACATCAATTGTTCATCCTGGGCTCTGGCTCTAGGCATGAGGCACCATGATCAGTGGCTTTGCAGGCAGCAAGGCTAAACAGATACAAATGAGAAGAAATTCTGTGTTCTGAACTCCTGAAATTGTTTTTAGGAAGATTTTGGAGGGATTGACAATTTCATTATCCAGGTAGGAGAAAGGCAAACAAAATTTGAATCATTACCATTAATTTGAACCTGCCTTTATAAAAGGTGATATAATGACATGTTTAGAATAGCACAAACGAGGCAGAGTGCTGCATTCAAATCCCAGTTTAAAACACAAGTTATGTGGCTATGGGCAAGACATTTAGCCATTCTAAGTCTCAGCATACTCATATGTAAAATGAGGTTGTGATTAAATGAGACAATGTGCAAAAGGCACTTAAAACTGCCTGGTTATAAAGTCAACATAACCATTAGTTATCATTAGTTATCACAGTCATTAGTTATCAGCATTATCATCACAATCATCATTACCATCATCACCCTGATTATCACCATCAACATCAGTATTCGTACCGTAGAATAATGAAGACTGAGAAAATTAAAATTACTTTGGCATGAATTAATTAATTATAGGTGAGAAAAGCATTGATCAGACACAGAGACTTGTCTCAGTAACACACAATCAGAACCAGAGTTAAATTTGAAACAACGTTTTATCGTGTGCTCTTCCCATAAAAAGAGTTGAAACAGGTTATGAAGAGCATATGAAGAGCATATGAAACAGGTTACTGAAAAATGGTGAATACAGTAGAATTATGTGTTATTAATTCCAGATGTGACATTACTACATGGGTGCTTGGTTTCAAAATTAAGAGCACGTTCCTAATTCTGAAATTTGGAGATTTCTTTTCTTTCCTACCTACAGATTAATAATATAATAAGAACAGACTTGTTCTCTTCCATCTTTCAGCCAGGCTTACACGGTTAATCTCCCCCGTGACCCTGAATTGTCTCTGGATTTTGGAGAGGCACAACAGTGCATCCACTTATGTTCCCGTAACTCACCCAGCATGTAAAACAAATAACTAGGCTGACATGTCTGAAGTGCCGTGTCGTGGGCAAAACAAGGAGGAAAGACAGTCTTGCTCTTCTATTTATGGACTATAAACCCTTTACAGTGGCATTGATGAAGGGTTTATAGTCAGTACCCAAGCTGGTTACACCATAAATTGTAATGTTATATGATAAACTGGGACTTTATAGCAGTAGTAGATATCAAAGAAAAAAATGAGTTGGAGTCAGAAAGGATCTATCATCGAAGATACTTGCTGCAAGTTTAAATATTCAAGCTTGTTTTTGTCTTCATTTCACTCAAGCATTGGATAATTCATGTTCTTCAGTGTGGGAATATATAGATTTACCTAGCTATCAATTGTGTAAAAAAATAAATAAGAGAAAGCATCACCGAATGGTGAATGGCATAGTTATGATGTGGGTAAGAAATAGAAGAGGAGGAACACTGAATTATTCAAGCATTTGGGCTTTCTATTTTTACACTGGCAGATGACAGGTGAGGCTTCCCCCTAGTTTGGGGCCTGCAAATATGGCACTGTTGTAAGACATCTTGGTTACTATATTGAGAAACAGAAAATATTTACAAGGGAAATATGATGACTATAACTTAATTGCTTCTAGTTTACATTAAAGCTAAGAGCAGGAAAATGTCAACAAATGTTAATTTCCCAGCCTCTCTAATGGGTACACACTCTTTCAGCTCTCAATTCTGTCCTTATTCATTATGGAACCAAAATTGCTAATATTTACTTATTACTTATTTATATTTTCATTTGAAAGTAAAAATAAGCTCATTTGCTATAATAACAGCTTAATATTTCCAGTGCGAAGAAACTGTCTTTTAAAAGATTTCTATTAATGGCCTCTCAGAAGAAGAGATCATAGAGTTCTCATTTTTTGCATATGGAATAGAGGGAAGTATCATTAACTTTGAACGTAATCATCATTCTCTTTAGTGCTTACTTACTGCTCTGCAAAAGAAAGTGCCTTGAATTCATAGAGGAAAGGAATGGCTTGATAGTGGCTTAAGGCTAAAACCAAACTGCAAAGAATGAGAGCCAAGAGAAACCATTCCAGAATGTAGGAGTTCAGTTTCACGTCACACTTGCAAGCCCGAGATTCCTTGGAGTTGACACGCTAAGAGGTCCCAAGGTCTCTAAGTTGTTTCACTGTTTTCATTTAAATAAATGCATCCCCAAACACAATTTTATATAATCACCAAAAGGTCCCAAGTAACCTGACAGGAGGCTGAAGGACTTGCTCTGAGCTAGGTGGCCTGAGTTCCTCTAGTTAAGTAGTAGTTAAGTTGTTTTCTCAAAGGCCTTCTATAGACTTTAAGGTGGAGTTCATCCCCCGGCCTTAGCTCAGTTATGTGACAAGCAGCTTGACAGGTCAATCATCCTCTTGTCTGCAATGACCCTACCTAAATCATATCAGTACTGGAAAAACCAGACCTCCTAGCTTGCCTGAGACTGATGGCCTTCCTGGGCCGCGAGATTTTAAGTTTTTAAATCTAGTGAATTCCCAACAAACCAGGATTCACTGGTCACACTGGTGATCCTCAATTACTAGGAGTGGCTAAGAGAGAAATTAAGATGGCAGTTGTATAAGTCTAGGCAAGGCTCAGAGGGGAAAATTAATGGATGAGAAAGAGAGCCATTTGTATAGAGGTAAGGCTGTGGCAGGGGGTAAATATCTAAGTGACTGGGTCTAGAGCAATGTAAGAAAATTCACATACCTTTTATGATAATTCTGATTGACTGGAAATGACTGCCTGGAACAATCTGTTGAGAAGTATTCTGAGGCTACTTAACAAAAAAACGTGAATAATAAACTTCATGGAGTGAAAGAAAATGATAGCAGCAAGTGCACTACTTAGTATCCTGACATGGTTAAGAGAGAAAGAGAAGGAGAATCGACTAAGAACTGGATGTAGTTGTCAGGAGATCGAGACCAGCCTGGTCAACATGGAGAAACCCAGTCTGTATTAAAAATTAGCTGGGCATGGTGACACATGCTTGTAGTCCTAGCTACTTGGGAGGCTGAGGCAGGAGAATCACTTGAACACATGAGACAGAGGTTGCAGTGAGCCGAGATCACGCCACTGCACTCCAGCCTGGGTGACAGAGCAAGTTGTCATCTCCAAAACGAAACAAAACTTTACTTAAAATTAACTTTAAAAATCTTACTCAATAAAGAAGAAGCCATCACAGCCAGTGATTACAAATGAGAAAGCACACAAGACTAACACATAGAGTGTTACACCCTTTCTCTATGCAGGGGTACCTTCTAAACAAATAACCTTCTTTATACTGTTTGCCAACGTATTTCTTTTGTTTGTCTTTTCTATCCAAAAGACTATATTTTGAGCAAAATCACTGTTATTAAATACTTTGAATATAGCGTTATTGCAGATGGTTGCAGAATGTATTAGTACATAGAATATGCCCCAATTTGCGTAAGAGCTCTCCTATTGTTACACGTCTGACTGCTAATATTCACCTGTTTTTTATTTACAAACATGGCTGTTTTATACAGTTCAACTTAATCACACACTTGCTCCTACCTGAACCTAAAAAAAATACTAACTACAAGAATAATGTCAACGTGCATTCTTGTAGCTAGGGTTTACTTGTTTCATTGGTTCTTTCCTCAGGGCAAGTTCATGAAGTGGACTTGCTAACTCTAAGGATCAATACCAGTCCTAAGGAAGGACCATCAGATTTTAGCACTGGAAGGCATCTGCAAGTTTAGCCAGTGCTCACTGTAGAAAAGAAGCTGTCCCTGAAGCTGGATAATTTGTTCAGAGCTGGGACTCACAAGCAGCACCACGGACAGGTCCTTCCGAAGTCACCTCTTAAAACATGTGCATCCTTCCAGCCTCTGCTGTACTAGTCCTAAAATCATAAAAGCATCACATCCTCTTGCCAAAAATGCAGATCTCGTGAAGGCAAGTATGGTCATTTGTGTCCGACATTTGGAGGAGGGAGCCAAGTAGAGAGGGCATGTTTGGGCCACTGTAGATGCTGGTTTGGAACAGTGTTCCACAAGCTACAAGCAACAATTTACATTCCATCTTCCTCAACTCATTACTTATTTCTTAGATTATATTTGTTACTTAAGTTACAGTACGAAAGTGCATAATAAAGGTCTTTAAGTTGTTTCACTGTTTTCACTTAAATAAATGCATCCCACAACACAATTTTATATAATCACCAAAAACCAATGTCTGTCTCATGTATATTAAAACATGATTAATTTTAAGTTTATTGATAGATCACCCCTAATCATTCTGTTTATCAATAGTAAATGTCACATTCTGGGAAACACTATACTCAAATATATTCTGAGGTCTCTTTTAATTCTCCTACTTTATAAGAAAAATAAAATCTGATGAACATGTTTTTAACTAAGCTGCACATTACAGGTGTTTAGAATTGAACCGTAATTACAGCAATTGCCTTGGAGGCTTCTCCAGCTTGGCAGAGCATGTCCTGCCCAAGGGTAAAGTGTTATTAGTAACTGTGCCTTGCTTTGCCGTGGCTCTCATTAGCCTTTGCAAAGAACCCACCCATTTGTTAATTTCTTTCACTCTCACTGCCTCACTGCCATGACCAATCAGGCGGGTCATGTGCTGGCTGCATTTTACAGACGAGAATTTTAAGACAATAGAAGTTTAACGCTTATTTATGTTTGCCCAGAAAACTTGCACTAACATGGCAAGTCATGTTTCTCTACAATAGTATTGTGTACCTTACTAGAGAGAAGTGGGAGAACTGGATGGTTTATAATCCAGGAATGTCTTCATTCTTGTCTTGTAAATGGGAATATTCTTTATCTGCCACTTTTTCTTCTCTTGGTTTCTTTCACTTATGTGATACTCAGCTGAGGTTGTCCTGCTAAGATTTTTCTTTTTAAGCCAGTGCCCTTGAATATGTGTTAGAATTAACAGCGGGGTACTTCTAAAATACGCTAAATCCTGAGCACAGTCCTGGGGACGATGCATTTTTTTTTTTATTTTATTTTACGTTTGGAGGTACATATGCAGGTTCATTATGTAGATAAACTCGTATTACGGGGGTTTGTTGTGCAAATTATTTCATCACCCACGTACTAAGCCTAGTATCTCATCAGTGTCTGTCATTCCTTTCTTTGTGTTCATGAGTTCTCATCATTTGGCTTCCACTTATAAGTGAGAACATGTGGTATTTGGTTTTCTGTTCTTGCATTAGTTTGCTAAGGATAATCTCTGGCTCCATCCATGTTCCCATAAAAGACATAATCTCATTCTTTTTTATGGCTGCATAATATTCCACAGTGTATATGTATCTCATTTTCCTTATCCAATCTGTCATTGATGGACATTTAGGTTGATTCCATGTCTTTGCTATTGTGAATAGTGCTGCAATGATACTATCAATAGAATAAACAGACAACCTACAGACTGGAAGAAAATATTTGCAAACTATGTATCTGAAAAGGTCTAATATCCAGCATCTATAAACAACTTAAATTTACAGGGAAAAAACATTGAAAAGTTGGAAATATTGATTTAATTGATAGAGGTGGTGCCTAGAAATTGGTGTTTAGAAACACAAACACCCCAAGTGACACCAAGGTGCACATTTTGGGTTGAGAACCACTGTTTAACCAGCATTGATATTACTCAGAATCTTTTTTAAAAATTCAGAATTCCAGGTTCCTCCCATTCTTCACAATCTATATTTTAACAAGGTTTTCATATTATTTGTGTGTATTAAAGTTTGAGAGGGACTGCTCTGGAAGGGCACTTGTCTACCTTGTATGTTTTTACTGGTGCTTTGGTTCACCTCTGTGAACACACTGTGCCCAGGGTCAAGAACTCAACTGACCCTGAAAATAAACATTGAGTAAGTGAAACAATACATCTGTCTTACCATTCAGGCCTGAAGAAGTATATATAAGTATTTACTCATCCAAAGGATTTTGATAACATAATAGAGAATTCCAAACTTTAGTATATGATTTTGAGCAGGCTGGAATCATTGTAGACTCCTTCTTCCACCTGAACCTTAGTTGGGCCCCCATATGTTATTAGTCTTTTTTTATTTTTTATTTTTTTATTTTTTTGAGACAGAGTCCCACTCTGTTGCCCAGGCTGGAGTGCAGTGGCGCAATCTTGGCTCACTGCAAGCTCCGCCTCCCAGGTTCACGCCATTCTCCTGCCTCAGCCTCCTGAGTAGCTGTGACTACAGGTGCCTGCCACCATGCCTGGCTGTTTTTTTGTTTGTTTGTTTGTTTGTTTGTTTGTTTTAGTTTTTGGTAGAGATGGGGTTTCACCATGGGGTTTCATCAAGCCAGGATGGTCTTGATCTCCTGACCTCGTGATCCGTCCGTCTCGGCCTCCCAAAGTGCTGGGATTACAGCTGTGAGCCACCGCGCCTGGCCTATTAGTCTTGGTAGTGGAAGAAAGAGGTTTGGGAATCAAATAGTTTCCCTATGTGTAGTGTCATCTTGGGCAAGTGACTTAACCTCGTAGAACTTTACAATGTTCTTAGGAGAATGAAATAAAAACGATGCATGCAAATTGAATAATGCATGATATGATTCCATGAATAAGCTCAGATACTTACAAGTTGTAAGATCTTGGGGAAACATGTTTAAATCTGTGGGCCTCAGTTTTTCTTATCCATAAAAGAGGGAGAACAAGGGTGGAGATGCCTCAAGATTAAACGAGAAAACACCGTGCATGTATCTAGCAGGATGTTTGGCATTTGGACAATGCTCAATAATTTGTTGTCTTCACTATCATCATCATTACTTCCTTCTATTGATTTCATATGTATTTAGATTGATCTTGATTTAGTAACTTCTGCCTGAAGGAAAAAAGACAAAGAAAAATTTGAAACCATCATCGCTTCTTGTTTTTTCTGCTTTTACTTCCCATTTTCTCTCTGATTGGTCAAGTTACATGTTCTTTGTTTCCCATTTTTTTCTAACAAATCTACAAAACATCATCCTCACTTTATTCTGATATTACATCATTGTTGTGTTCTTAATGATCATCCTCCGATTTCTGGCATCAGGAGCCAAGCCGAATTTGACTAGGGAAATCATGTTGCTGATAAGCCAAGATTTTAATCACCGGGAATGAACCGGCTGCCATTGGAGGCAGCAGAAATGCAAGCCTGAAAAGCCAGTGAAAATGACATGATTCCTTGTAGTTATAAAAAGTGTGGTGGAGACAGGGACAAAGTGTGGAGTTGAGTTTAGAGATGAAAGGTAGAAGAAGACCCAGTCTATTGGCAACGTCCCACCTCCAAGCAGCAAGGTCTCCCTTGAGGCAGCTGCCTAACACATTAGACCACATTTCTTAGCATGCTTTCCTCCTCAGTGAATATTCTGCAGCTTTGGATCTATGGCTTTGAAAGAAAGAAAAAAGACATTTCCATAAGAACAAATTAGCTAGCAGCTTCCCTCCCTGCTCCTCGCCCCACCCAAAGTCAGAGAATCACTTTGCAGCCGCTCTCTCCTGCGCAGAATTACCCAATTATCTTCTAAATTATAAAAGGGAAATCTTCCCCGCCAACTGTTCGTGGCAGGGCCAGGATGTGCAGTGTTGCAAAACTGCAGCAAAAAAATGTAAACAAAAGAATCCCGGAATAGGGGGCAAGCTGTCCACATACACCAATCCCAATAGCTTCAATCAAAAGCAGAATTGCTTCCCCAATAAATGAAGCCAGTACAACAAATAAACTCAGGCGCTAATTGCTGGCTGCAGATGTATTAACTGAAGCAAATGCGAACCTGGCAACCATTAATTATCTAATGAGGCCAGCAGTCTTCTGACGAGGTGGGGGCTGATTAAATATTAAAGAGTGACATATGGAAAGTGCCAGGAACAAAAGATTTCAATCTGGGGGGGAAAAAGAATGCACAAAGTTAAAAAAAGAGAGAGAGAGTTTCTTTCTTTACTCTCTCTTTCTTTCTTTCTCTCTTCCTTTCCTTTCCTTTCCTTTCCTTTCCTTTCCTTTCCTTCTCTCCTCCACATTCTTTTTTTAAGACAAGAGCCATCTCTGTGTCTGAGAAAGGTAATTAAAGTCCCATTGCTAGCACGAGTCTCAAAGTGACTTCATTGAAATCTGACTTCTGAAGCTTCAACGCAGATGAAAAGGTTTCAGATTAAAAGGGGGTGACAAAAACATTTTCATGTAAAAGCAGTTGTCTCTTTGTTTAACCCTTAGAGCTAGGGTGAATGCCTGCTCTTTAGCTACTGCCTCTGCTTTTCATCTAGTGAAAGCAAACTTCTCCACTGAATCAAACCATGAGGAATGTTCATAGGTAGGGTCCCTGCAGAAGCTGTTCCCAGATTGGTCTTTAAGCTTCTCTTCTAAGGCTTGTGTATTAAGTCATAAAAAGAGTTACCCTTTATAGGACACTAACAGTGTGCCAGACACTCTGCTAAACCCTTGATATAAGTAATCCCATTTCTTCCACAAAATAACATGCAAGATAGGTAGGTACTCTCCCCATTCCAAAGGCAAAACATTTGAGGCTTAGACTTGCTCAATGTGTGAGCCAGTCTAAGTGGGAAAAAGAAGGGGGAAACAAAGGAAATATAACTTGACCAATCAGAGAGAAAATGGGAAGTAAAAGTAGAAAAGACAAGAAGCAATGATAGTTTCAAATTTTTCTTTTGTCTTTTTTCCTTCAGGCAGAAGTTACTCAATGTGTGGGCTGAATGTGTGACTTGCTCAATGTCACACGGGAGCAGGACTGAGATTTAAATGCAGGTTGTCTATTCTAAGGTCTTAGTTCTTAACCATTGCACTATGTAGCCCTCAAATAAGAGCAGCTTAATGTCCAAGTGATATAGGAAGCATTTCTTGCATGATCCCTTCTTCTAGTAGAAAAGTAGGAAATAGATTTAAGTGGGTTTCTGGTTGTCCCTGGATAAGATGATGGCCTGACTTTCCAGAATGATTCGAATGCAACTTTTTTGAAGTTGTCTGACCCCAGGGAAGACTTGGGGTGACCAGCCATCTGTTTTTCCGTGGTTGAGGGATTTCCTCTGGGCAGACAGGACTTTCAGTGCCAAAACTATGACAGTCCTGGGCCAACTGGGATGTTGGTCACCCTGGCAGATATAGACAAATTTTTTTCCAGGTCTCCTTAATTAAAAACCCAAGTTATGTTTAGGTGACATTTTTAATGTCACCTAAACATTTAAAGTTAAATACAACTTGTGTTTCAGAGGGCTATGATTAGGAAGTAGCTGGGATGTGGTAGTTCTGCCTCTACCAGCTGGTTTGTCATTTCCACCTCTGGGTCTCAATTTCCCATCTAAAAATTGAAATGCTCGATGAAGTGAGCAATACCCACATTTTCTTGCAACTTTAAGTTCCTGTGAGTCCAAAGGGGGTAAAAATGGGTTTACAGTCATTGTCATTAATGACGGTAACCAGCATTGGTACAGTACTTCACAGTTTGTATAGTACTTTACTTGCTGGCAACCGGCCTTGGTACAGTACTTCACAGTCTGTATAGCACTTTCCTTGGCACTGTCCAATAGGATTCTCATACAATCTGGAGATATAGACAAACTGTTAGGTGTTATAGTAGGAAAAGGGACACTCATTAATTTGGAGTTCTTATAGAAACAGTCATTAGAGCAAACTGCATTAAAAATAAATCAAGGTGCCAAGTTAAAACCATAGACATTGCCTCTTTGCCCATTCCAGTGATCAAGCATTTAATATCCTGTATATTTTAAATAAATACAGTAAATAAGATATACACAGTAGAATATAAAGTATAAAATACAGTAAATAAAATATAAATTTAATAATATAAATAATAAAATACAAGATATATATTAAAAAATTGAAAAGTGAAAAGTGACTATTACTTCTTTGCAATAAAGAGAAAAGTCTTTCTTTTCTTCAGGTTAGTTCTCCACTTTCCCAAATCGATAGCTTAGCATTCACTAAAGTGTATTCCACAGCACACTACCTCAGTGAAATGCTACAGAAAAAAAAAAGTTCTATCACAATTGCATATATGTAAAACAACATGGATGAATCCCAAAACATCATAATGATTGAAAGTTGATACCATTTAAATAATGCTTTAAACAGGCAAAAGTAATCTTTGGTGACAAAAAATACAAATGGTAATTTTGCTGGGTAGTGATTTTAAAAAGCCAGAAAAGTGATTTCCTCTGGGTGAGTGGGTGGGAGTGGGGATTAACTGGAAAGAAGCATGCTGAAACCTTCTGGGCTAATGAATTCGGGTCACACAGATCTGTACATTTGTCAAAAATCATTGTTTGATACCCTTCAATTTGTACATTTTGCATTATGTTATTTTTACCTCAATTAAAAATGTGACCATGAAATATGTTTAAGTCTAGTTCATAATATGCATGCTGAAGTGTTCATGTTTGAAGAGTTCTGATATGGTGTGATTTGCTTTAAAATGGCTCCAAAAATAAAAAGGATTGAAGAATAATAGGAAAAATAGAAGGATAGATGGATAGATAAATAAAACAAAGGCAGCAAAGTGTTAATTGTAGAATTTAGGTGGTGAAAACATGCGTGGGTATTCGCTGAACAAGTCTTTTAATTTTTCTATTTGGTTGCAAATTTTTATAATAAAATGTTGGGGAGAAATAAACAGATTATAATCTTTTAAAAGCTTCAAAATTTTGTCAATTCCACATGCGATTTATCTGTATCCCTCCCATCTTCCCCTTGGGGATATTTACAGCTCAGAAGCATATTAAAGGCTTTAAGTCTTATAGTTAAAGCAAAATAAGTAAACGATATTTAGCCTCACATTTCCTAAAAATATTTGGTTATAAAACTCTTGGTATTATTTATATTTTTTGTTTGTATTAGTGAAGCATCTTTAGTTGTTTTATTTTTTTTTCTGCACTGTGAAGTTTATACTACACTATCAGAATACATTTACACCTAGAATCTGGTATTTCATGAGAATGTATGTCTTTAGGATGTGTCAAGTCAAGTTTAGGATATGGTAATTGTTAGAATTTGGATTCTTTTCTTTCTTTTTTTTGAGATGAAGTCTCGCTCTGTCGTCCAGGCTGGAGTACAGTGGCGGGATCTCGGCTCACTGCAACCTCCGCCTCCCGGGTTCAAGTGATTCTCCTGCCTCAGCCTCCTGAGTAGCTGGGATTACAGGCTCATGCCACCACCTCTGGCTAATTTTTTGTATTTTTAGTAGAGACGGGGCTTCTCCACGTTCGTCAGGCTGGTGTTGAACTCCCGAACTCAGGTGATCCACCCCACTCAGCCTCCCAAAGTGCTGGGATTACAGGCGTGAGCCACCGTGCCTGGATTGGATTCTTTTCAAACTGGTTAGACGTGTTTCCCATTTGAGCCAGAGTTTGCTCACCCGTGAGATGTGCAAAATGGCTCCTTCCTTGCAGGAATAATGTGAGGAGTAAATGAGGTGATTATGTAATGTGCCTACCCATAAGGAAGAAGAGACAATGCCAGTAGCATTTGTTGTTCATGTTGGAAAGGGCTGAGCAGTGAGTAGAGTCAACAGAGATGAGATAAGTCCCTCCCAAGACACACTGTAGTGAAAAATCAAAACGGCTGATATTCAGAGAAAAAAAATGTTAAATCCCCACAGAGAAAATACAGTTATAGACAAACGATAATAGTCTGAAGCTACTTCAGTGAGTCCCAGAAGAAAATGGGAAAAAATTAGAAATGACCCAAATGACCTTCAACAGTAGAACGGATAAATGAATTGTGGCATATTCATGCAATGGAATAATATACAGTAATGAGAAAAGGACCAACTTTATTCCACAACACTGTGGATGGATCTCCCAAACTGAATGCTAAGTGAAAGAAGCCAGAGACAAAATAGTACACACCTTATTGTTTTATTTACCTAAAGTATAAAATCAGATAAAAATTAATCTATGTAGTTAAAAATGCAAATATTGGTTACCATTGTGCTGGTGGTGGGAGAGGGATGAGAGTGACTGGGAGGGAAAATGAGGATGGCTTTTTGGTGTTGGGAATATTCTGCTTCATGATTTGAAACCCATTCAACTTTATACTCATAATTATTATATTTATCTAGCTGGCTACCTATAAAACTCCAATATAAAACTAAGAGATTTGGAGACAGATGGAAAAGTCTTAATGTGCTAACAGTTGGAATTCTTAAAGTATAAAATGTAAGAGACTGAGGAGAAATATTAATCACAGAAATAAAAGAAAAAACTAACCACACTAAAGATGAATATGAATTGTTAAACCAAAATAACTCACATCTTTGTGGATAAGACTTACAGACTTACAAATTTCTAGTAAATCCTTGTGAGATACCCAAGTGTTAAAGATAAAAAATTGTGCTATTTTGATGAAAATAACAGACTACAAATACAAGACAGAGAATTAGGCAGATTTCTGATATTTCACCTACCACACTTTGTAGCCTGTTTGGTAAAAAGGATGGTGATAAAGTATTTCACATCCAACTAAAATACAACTCTTGTTCAAGTGCAGAGGCAAAGGTGTTTGAAGAAGTTGATTGAGGAGGTACTTGAATCAGAAGAAAATTAAATAAAAATAAATATCTACAGACAGAAAGATAAACTATACAACAAACAGAGGTGGGCAGTGGATCTTGTGATATCACAATTCTGCCTAATTGATTGATGATACAATGACAGGTAATGATAAGTAGTCCTTAGATAAGAATTCGCAAAACAGGAGCACATACCTCTGTTTTGACAATGTGGAAAATGTTAATGAAACTATGTGTATTGGTCTGTTCTCACACTGCTAATAAAGACATATCCAAGACTGGGTAATTTATAAAAGAAAGAGGTTTAATTGACTCACAGTTCAGCATGGCTGGGGAGGCCTCAGGAAACTTATAATCTTGGTGGAAGGGGAAGCAAACACATCCTTCTTCACATGGCAGAATGAGAACAGAGTAAAAAAAAAAAAAAAATGAGAACAGAGTGAAAGGGGAACCTGCCTATAAAGCCATCAGATCTCATGAGAACTTACAGTCATGAGAATCGCATGGGGGAAACCAACTCCATGATTCAGTTACCTCCCACCAATTCCCTCCTATGACAAGTGGAGATTATGGGAACTATAATTCAACATGAGATTTGGGCAGAGACACAGCCAAACCATATCACTATGGAATTGAATTTCTAAATGTTCTAAACACAATGTAGGAGTTGAGAGTGTCCAGGGAGTTCAGAATAAAAGATTTTAAAGGCTTTGGATGGGAACAGTTAAGGAACAAGTAGAATGAGTGGCAGCATGGTGAGAGACATAGTTAAATTAATTATTAGCATTGAGTATGGTGTTGTAAAAAATCACTGTAAAGATGGCTGTTTAGGAGACAGACGCTCGTGGGATGGAGCCTCCAAGCAGCTATCCCAAACTACTAAGAAGGATAAAAAGACAAAAGTTGATTGCATGATTTTAAGGTTGATTGTTGCCCAAACCTTAGAGTATTGAGGTTGCAGAAATGCAAGCGTGTATAGCAGGTGCATTGCAGTATGTGGTGATAGACCCTTTGCTTTTTGTGGAGAGGAGGCAAAGTAGAAAAGCAGACAGAAGGAGAAAGAAGAGGTTCTTTTTGTTGAGAGCTGTGGTAAGTGGACCTTGGAACACAAATAGCGTTTTCAGAGAGGGAAGTTGCAAACAAACCCCCTGGGCAGTCAGGGAAATACTGCTGTGAAATAAAACCCAACAACACACAGCTGCAGATCCCCTCGGTGTGACCAAGATGCTGAGAGGTTTTACTTCCAACGAGGGTAGTGTCACATTCTGGAAAACACGTCACCCCCAATACTGACTTGCCTAAAGTCTAAGAATGATCCCTTCCCCAACTCCCATTTTATTTTTTTGATAATCCCCCTCTTTATTATAATCTTCTTAATATCCATCTGTTCCCCTTTAGGCAGTGGCTTCTTAAATTCAAATATCAGGCTATTTTTATCGCAGAAGAATATGTAAAGCAATAGAAAACAGTTTAATGGATTTTGGAGCCTGTGGCCCTCTTTAGTAACATTTCCATAATGAAATCCAGTTACAGGGATCCGTGTTGCCACAGTTGACTGTTCACAAAATGAGGAGTGAATGCTTCCTTCCTGGAAGGTAGCCCAGCACAGCAGAGTGTGAGATAGCCACCCCTGACAGCCACCTGGTATTTCCTCATTCTGCTTTGCACTGGATTATGTTACGTAACTTCTGATGCAGTGAAACTCAGTGACATTTGGGCAATGTGTTCCATGCCTGGGTTCTGTGGAATGGAGAATAGAGGGTTGTTTTCACAGAATAAGACCCAGGGAGAATTCTTTTCCCTAGGAAATTAACACTATAAAGAATACTGAGGCTAAAGGTTTCATGAGATAGTATTATGGAAAGGTGCAGTGCAGAAGAATGAATGATCTTGATACTTGACAGCCATACTTCAGGATGTATTAAAGAAGTTATTGTTTTAAATGGACACATTGTGTCCTCAAATCCTGCTATAACAGCATAAAGGTACAGAGAAAAACTCACCTGAAGGGAGCCTGGGCTCTATCAGCGAATGTTGTTTTATTACAAGTTGGAAAACAAAATGTTCCCTTACATTTTTAAAATCTGTAATTCCCAAGTTATACATAATATGATGCAGACTTGAAAATTTGAAAGTAATTTGCAGTAATTTGAATTTAGCTGCACATGCTACTTTTAATTTGTAGGAGTTTGCTGAGTGTTTTGTGATGTCTTTAGAAAGGACTGTTTGTGCAGCCTGGTCCCTGAAGCCTGACTGTCCTAAGACCCCCAACGATACCTCATTGGCCACATAAATGAAGGAGTCCTCTGAATCTCATTCACCTGACCTAGCAAGACAATTACGCATGGCTTGGGTGATTACTACTGAATCTCTAGAAAGTACAAGTAGAACAACTGTTCTTCTTCTGAGCAAAAACATCAGAGCAGAAAGGAATAATTACAATAGATGCCCAAATAAATTGTTTTACTGTACATCCTGATAAGAGTTTTGACTATCTCATGGATTTTTAAGTCAAGTCTATGGTCATTTCTATTACTATCCCCATTTTAAAGAAGTAAAAACTGAGGCTTAAAGGAACTAATTTCCATAGCCAAGTATTTTATTTATTTATTTAGAGACAGACTCTCACTCTATTGCCCAGGCTGGACTGCAGTGGCGTGATCTCAGCTCCCTGCAATCTCTGCCTCCCCAGATCAAGCGATTCTCCTGCCTCGGCCTCCTGAGTAGCTGGGATTACAGGCGCTTGCCACCATGCCCATCTAATTTTTGTATGTTTAATAGAGTTGGGGTTTCACCATGTTAGCCAGGCTGGTCTCAAATTCCTGACCTTAAGTGATTTCTCCCCCTCAGCCTCCCAAAGTGCTGGGATTACAGGCGTGAGCCACCATGCCCAGCTGCCATAGCCAAGTTTAACGATCTCATTAAGTGTTGGCAGTTTGTCCTAGAGCCAGCACTACCTGACTCCAAACTTTTAAGCTCTTAGAACTCCTGTTTTACTGCTTTCTTTGTGATGATCAAAATCTGCTCCTTTGTTTCCGGATGGTGAAGCTGATATTCGATGAGAAGGGACAGGGATTACCTAAGGACATACAGACTTATTGGCAATTGAGATTGAAATCTGGATCTCTTGTAGAAGATTATCCCCTATAAATGTAACAGTACACAGATGGGGTCATCGTCTCACTGGAAAGTTGTATTCCACTGGAAGTGTCTCCTACTAACTGCAGTAGTAAAGTTGGCTGCATCTCCCTCCAAGCCTGCAGTATTGTTGGGCCAATCGATAGAGCTTAGTTTTCAAAAAGAAAATATGAACAAAAGAAACTAGGGTTTAGACAGACCTCTTAGAACTGCTGAAGGCACCTTTGTTCTCACTAAAACAGGTTCTGGGTGGATGCCACATAAGTAGCTTTTAAAATGGTGTGATTTAGGAGTACCAGAAATGGCCTTGCCTTCATCAAATTATCTTCTTCCACTGAGCAAAGCATCTGCAAAGATGAACAGGTATTACTTTTTTCAGTTAAAACATAAACTCATTCATTCAATTATTCAGCAGCAATTATTTTATTTTTTATTACGTTTATTGTGGTGAAATACATATAAAAGTTACTACCTTAATCATTTTCAATGTACAGTTTAGTGATATTAAGCACATTTGTATTGTTGTACAGCCATCACCACCATCCATCTCCAGAACTCTTTACATCTTGCAAAACGGAAACTCTGTCCCATTAAACACTAACTCCCCACTCCTCTCTTCTCCCAGCGCTTGGTAACCACCATGCTACTTTCTTTGTGAATTTGACTATGCTAGATACTTTATATAAGTGAGATTATACAGTATTTGTCTTTTTGTGACTGGCATAGTTCACTTAGCATAATGTCTTCAAGGTTCATACATCTTGTAGCATGTGTAAGCAAATTGTTTTACTGTACATCCTGGTAAGAGCTTTTGACTATCTCATGGATTTTTAAATCAAGTCTATGGTCACATAGACTATGCCCATTTTAAAGAAGTAAAAACTGAGGCTTAGAGGAACTAATTTCCATTGCCAAGTATTTTATATATATATATATATATATATATATATATATATATATATATAGGCACGTGCCACCATGCCCGGCTAATTTTTGTATTTTTAGTAGTGATAGGGCTTCACCATGTTGGCCAGGCTGGTCTCAAACTCCTGACCTCCAGTGATCCACCCACCTTGGCCTCCCAAAGTGCTGGGATTACAGGAGTGAGCCACCACACCCAGCCAAATAATATTTTATCGTATGCATATGCCACATTTTGTTTATCTGTTCATCTTCTAAAGGACAGAGGTTGGTTTGCTTCCACTTTTTGGCTATCATGAATAATACTGCTATAAACACAGGTGTACGAATATATCTTCAAGACCCTTCTTTGAATTCTTTTGTGAGTATACCCAGAGGTAGAATTACTAGATTATATGGCAATTCTATGTTTATATTTTTGAGGGACCCCAAGCTGCTTTTTCAGCCATAAGTATGCACCAACAGAAAACAAAGATAAATCTGCCAGGACCCCTGAAGATAACAGGCTAGTTGGGCAAGCAAATGAATATAAACATGTAATGACAGTGTATTGGGATAAAAGATGCAAGGAAGGGCTGGCTGAGACAGCAGAAGAGCTCTGAAGAAGGTATGCTTAGCTCTTTCCAGAGAGAGCAAGGGAGGCTTTCAAGAGGTGGTGGCATTTGAAATGAATCTTGAGCGTGTGTTCACTGAAGATGAGGGCTTTTTATCTTGGAGAAGAGATGTCTCAGGACTCATGACAATTCCCTTCAAGTCTCTGAAGAGCTATTATGTAGAAGACTGAGCAGATGTCTTCTGTGTAACCCTGATATAGAAGGGAGACAGACTTCAGATCAATAGAAGAATGAGATTGCCAAAAATTAGAGCTGTCCAGCACTAGTACAGGCTGTCAGAAGGTAGAGAGTTCCACGTCACATTTCCAGTGACAACCTGTCAGAGGATGGCAGGGAAGATTCATTCAGCAGTTAGTATAGAATTGCTGTTTTCTAAGACCTCTTCCAACTTGTGGTTTTGATTATTCTAACACCGGTTCTATTAAAGCATCTCTTAAGATCCGAATTTATTAGCACATTTTTTCCTTTAAATTATCTCCTATATAGATAGATGATAGATAGAGAAATGAAATATATGCACACAGATCAGAATATATTGATAACAGCTATGATGATAACAGCTAATATTCCTTAATCAACCTATGATAATATAACAGCTAATATTTATTAATCAACCTACTTTGTGCCAAGCACTATTTTAGAAATGTTTTATTTTATTCACTTAATCTTTATATTAACCTTATGCATTTCATACCATCATTATACTCACCTCACAGACTCAAAACTCATGCAGAAAAGCTGAGTAATTTTTCCAACATTACACGCTGATTCAGTTGGCATTTAAACTTAGGCTCTTTGACCCCAGAGGCTAGACTTGATTCTATACCCTATACAGTTTTCCATGAATAGGGCAATTTTTAAAAATAATAGTTGCCATGTACCATTGTCTTATTAATTCTCTCCACAATTTTGGAGGTATTTATTATCATACCTTCAGTGAACCAGTGGGGAATTGGAAACCCAGGATAGTTTACCAGCCTGTTTGCTAGCCAAAAATCAAAGCCAGACCTGTCTGTCTCCTAGTCATTACTGGCCAAAATATCTCCCAACTCCAATGCCCTATTAGATAAATAATCTAGCATCTGAAGAAGACAAAGGACATCTTCTTTGCCATTATCTCATGAGAACAGAGTATAAAATATAAAATGACATATATTAACTTTGGACAGATGCTTGGTTTTTAACTCACTACTTACCCATTTTGCCCTGCCAAGAGAAATATGCTCTTTGGAAGTTTTGTGTGCAGATGAATTGTAATTTAGCTGCTTTTTTTTCCTCCCTAATGCATCACACACAAGGCATTGTAGAGGGCTTGGTCATAAAATGAAATTGTTTTATTTTTAATGTTTATTGCTGGAAAGGACCAAGTTGAAAATCAAACACATGGGTCTCATGACTTTAATCAGGAGCAAACTTGCTAATAGATTTTTTTAACTTTAAATTTAACAACTTAACAACTTGGCAATTTAATTAACTTTTTAAACACAACATAAACCAGCCTGTGGGAATTTCTGCTGCTGTACTTAATTGTGGCAAATAGCCTGAGAAGTAGCAAGAAAAACAGATGAGACACCTTTACGGTGAAAGAGGCACCATCTGTAGTTACCAGCTAGAATATTTTGTCACAATCTAGGAAGTATAACTCAAAACATTAAAATAGCTCTCGGGTGGCTTTTCCTTAAGAGGTTAACGATGGCATCACAACAACCATTAGGGAAAAATAATACTACGATTTCATAGCAGGAGAATTTATTGTCTGGTGCATTCTAGGGAGGACATTCATATCCTTCTATAATAATTAATTAATCCAACAAATACATATTGAGTACCTACTGATGGAGTCATTTTAAAAAAAGAAACAGGCGATATCCATGCTTTCAAACTGCTTAAAGTCAAGGGGGGGAAATATATGCATTAACCCAGTAAAAACAAAACAAAACACTTGTTCCCATTTACTGAGTATTATTATTACGATCTCTCTCTGCCAGGTGATTTACATGTGTTATTACCTCATTGAAACCAAGTAGATTTCATTATTCATCTTGTATCTAGAATGAAAGAGACAGACAGGGGTTATATCATTCGACGGAGATACCACAGCTAAGTTAACTCACTGATATTCAAACCTAGGTTTATTCATCCAAAGCTGCAAAGCCAGTGTTTGCCAAATTAATTTGCACACCACAAGGGACCTCTCATGCCCTATTCATGCATCACCCAAACTTGTGCTTATTTATTTATTCATTCAGTCTTCATGAAATTTCATCCCATTTTCAATAGCAAGGTGTGTTAAATTAATGGTCTGATTTAACCAAGGTCATGTGACCTAGTTGGACTGTGTGTCTCCAAAACTCAAACTCATGTTCTTCAACACATTTTTTTTTCATTTGCCTACTCAAAGGGTGTCAGGAATTTTAGAACAAGAACTAGAACTGTAAGAACCTTCTAAAATGTCTAGTTACCTTTATGGTTTCCACATGTTCATTTTTTTTCTCCATATTGTTTTTCTATAGCTATTGTAAGAAAAGCAAAATATAGTTAAAGTGCTTATTTAGGGGAAATAGGAGGAAAGGCTCAGTAGTGGGGGTCCTAATTGTTAGAGTTATGTAAAATTAGGAATAAAGAATTTAAACAAAATTTTCCAGGATCCTGCATATAAAACACAGTGTTGTTGAACTCCAGACTCAAGGCCGTAGGCCCTATGTTATCCTTCTTATGAGAATCTCACCATCTCTGCCTCATAACTGGTGGCATCTCAGCTTTCTCCCTTTGGAGTGTACAGGCACCTCATACCTAGTGTTATTCTTCTTTGACCAACATTATCAATTTTACTAAAAATAAAGAGGCCTCCTTTTCCCTCCAGTGGCTGGAGAATCGTCTGATTGGTGATGGCCTTTCCCTACCTGTAACAAACAAATTTTGTAGTGTATCAAAGTTTCATTATTTATTAATGACAAATAGAAATTACACCCTTAGTTATGACCCTCTGGTTTTTGTTCCTTTTGTTATAACAAGTATTTAAATTTTATTTTATTTTTTTCTGGAAGTCAATCTTAATGCTCTATGAAATCGCGACTGAAAATGGTCGGGGCAAGTTTTCAGGGATTAGTGTCCCTGTCTTGGATCCAACCTAAATATCTCAACTCTTTGTATTTGTTCAGTTTCCAAGCAAATGAATGATGTTGTTATTGTTATATCAGTATGCTATGGCTCAAATAATGAAGTTTGATGAGTATCCAACTACCATGATTCTTTAATTTTCAAAGGAGTGGAAACTGATAGTCCAAGAGACTGAAATTGAATTGGCCAGGTTCACTCAATGTGTTGCTAGGCAAAGTTAGAACCTGGACTGAGCCATTTTGCAGCTTCCATCCACATTCTTCCACTACGCCACAATACGACCCATGGAGTCTATTTCAAGACAGGGAGGAGATAGCCTCTTTCATTGGCATGGCCTATTTTTCTTTGACAATGAGTCAATATCGTGGGTAGCATGAGAGGTTGTTCTTGATGGTCCCCAAGGTCCCACACAGCTCCAACATGCAATGATTCTCTCTCTCTTTCTGAACTTTTCTTTTATTCTCCTGTTGTACGGAGATGTATTGCAATGTGCTACAGTAGGAGAAAAACTTTCAAAGTCTTAGTGGATCCTAAATAGACTCATTTAATCTACACAGGGATTTGAATCCTCACATAAGACATTTTGCTTAATTAAGCCACATTCAAACATGAAAAACTCATGTTCATACAAACTTAAGGATCAGATTTACAACTGCTGAGCACCTAGAGTCTCAATTAGCCACATCCCGATTCTCGCTGAGAAAAGGTCACCAGATTTTTCAGTCTTTTAGTTACTTAAAATTCAAGTCAGCCATCCCAACCATAGTCAAATGTGTAAAAGGAGTCTTAGTTTATCTTGAAGCCTCCATGGAGAAAAGTCACTCATCTAACAAATATGTATTGAGTACTCTGTGCCACCTGGTATATTAAACATGAGGAAGATGCATTGATAGTGAAGACCTGTTTGCTTCCTACTCTCTTGAATGTTGCAGTTTAGTGAGATGTTGGAAAACTGGATACTTTTGTAGGAAGGGGGTCCAGATTCAGACCCCAAGAGAGGGTTCTTGGATCTCAAGCAAGAAACAATTCAGGGTGAGTCCATAGTGCAAAGAAAAACAAGTTTATTAAGGAAGTAAAGGAACGAAAGAATGGCTATTCTATAGACAGAGTAGCCCGAGAGCTCCTGGTTGCCCCTTTTTATGGTTATTTCTTGATATGCTAAACAATGGGTGGATTATTCATGCTTCCTCTTTTTAGACCATATAAGGTAACTTCCTGATGTTGCTATGGCATTTGTAAACCGTCATGGCATGGGTGGGAGTGTAGCAGTGAGGATGACCATAGTTCAGTCTTGTTGCCATCTTGGTTTTGGTGGGTTTTGGCCAATTTCTTCACTGCAAGCTGTTTTGTTCACAAGATCTTTATGACCTGTATCTTGTACTGACCTCCTATCTCATCCTGTGACTTAGAATGCCTTAACCATGTGGGAATGCAGCCCAGTAGGTCTCAGCCTTATTTTACCCAGCTCTTATTCAAGATGGAGTTGCTCTGGTTCACATGTGTCTGACAATACCAATGGATGGAACTAAACTTGATTATCTGGAAGTTGCAGAGGCGAGAACTTTGAACCAAGAAGTCTGCCCTCTTTTCTACTATAGTGGAAATAGGACCTGTGCCTTTGCTCTCTCTTAGGATTACTTACAGCCTATTGTTTTTATAAAAGAAATACATGCACAAAAGAAGTACATTACACAAGTACTAAGCAAAAATATACAAAGAAAGACATCTGCAAATCATCCCATACGTTATCATCCTAAAGAACCATCATTAATATTAGGTGAATATCACGGTTAATATCATTCTGTGCATAAACACAGATTTAAGAATAAATTCTTTAATCTAGCATGCCATTGTTTTATTAAAGAATCACATGTCATAGTACTCAAAAATAGAAAATCTCAAGTGAATTTGACAGTATAGTTGAGATTCAAATAAATACTTTTTCATTGCAGAAGATATAATGTCCTAAAAGATTTCTCTAATGTTAAGAAGCGATGTTACAAAAACATTAAGAAATCAGAATCATCATTGTTTTAAACTACTTTTGGTTTTATTATGATATTATTTGACTCTGCTATAAAAGATGAAGTTCTTAAACACTAATGTATCCCAGCCTCACTTCACTACAACTTCCACATTTTTTAGTTATGTTATTATTAATTTTTATATTACCAAGTATTATGACCTTTACATTTTGTTTTATAACTGTGATTTTCACAATTGCCAAATATCAGTACTGTGTATAAATACAGAAAATATTCATAGTCTTTTGACCACAGTTTCTTCCTTTCTGAATTCCTTTTTTTAACTCCTCTTCTAAGTACTGTCAACCACATGCAAGTGATCCATCCAGAGATCTTGTTAAAATGCAAATTCTGATTCCCTAGGTTTGCAATAGGGCCTGGTAATCTTCCTTAATTCCCAGTGATGCCCACGAACAATGATTTAAGCAATGAGAGTTTTTTTTTTTTTTTAATATCTATTCCCTCAATTCTGTATGGAGGCTTTCTATGTGTTGCCTTTAGAACAAGCTAATTCCTTTGGCTGGAAATATTTCTGAATCACATTTGTATGCATATTGCTCCATTTTATTCTAGCATTAAATATAATTTTGGAGAAATGTAAGACCAAACAGAATTTTACTCTTTACAAATGATTTTATACGTCTCCTAATAGACTTGGAGAAAAAATATGCCTCATATAGATCATTTGATATCACGTTTTCTTGGAAAATGGTGTGTTTCTTAATTATACAGATTCAGTGGTATTTTGCTTTTTTACCATTTCAGAAAATTTTTCTTGTGTTATATCTTCAAAGACTTTTATTTTTCCTGTTCCACTTGTTGACTATTTTTTTCCTAGAATAGATTCACTTTCTTTATTTTAAACCATTGTTATTTGTCTATTGTGATTTTCAAAATAATATCTTCTCTCTGACTGCTTGAATATTTGGAAGTTTTATCTGTATCCACCAAGATTATAACAAGCCTTTGGTTTAGATAAGATACTTGTCTTTCAGCAGTATCATTTCAGTTTCTTACTCTTCCTCATTTTTTCCCTTGCATATGTGCTTTCTCATTTATATTGGTATTTGTCATTTTATCTTACCTTTGAGTTATTATTATACATTTAAAAATGGTTCTAGTACTATTGCTTAACCATTTCTGTAATTCTTTGTTTGTTGTTCTGTTAGGTATCCTTCCAGGTTGGGCTCATTTTTTCCTGTGTTTTGCATTCATTGATTGATTGGTGTGTTCTCTTATTCCTCTCCTCCTAGCTTTACTTTGCAATTTTACCATCATCTCCCTTATGCTTAGACAGATCTGTCTACACAGGTCTTCTTTTTGCTCTCAAAGCACAGGGGATTTATTGACTCCATTCTAATCACAAAGGAGGCTGCACACTAAACCACAGTTTGAGAGCTGTGTATTCAGTATTATGTCTTCTTTTTCTTGCTGCCTCAAGTTGTGGACTAAGGGAAATAGTTTTCCTGAAGGAAAGTGCTTTCTTTGTTAGATGCTCTGTACAGACTCTCAGATTTTGTTAAATGTCCTGGGATCTATCCTTCATGGTTCAGCTTTGAGATGAATGCTTTCCACTGAGATATATGCTCATCTTTCAGTTCTTTCCCTCATAAATAGGCATATTAGGCATATTCTTTTTTTTAATTCTTTTGTTTCACTCATTTATTCCCAGAAACTCTTACTACCTTTTTTTCATTAAAATAGAGACCAGTTAAGGATGCCCACTTAGTTCGCTCCTTCTCAAATGTTGAGAATTTTCAGTGGGAACTGTCCACCAGACAGCTTCTAGGAGGTCTTGGTGAGGGTAAGAGTCTGGCCACACCAGGATGCTCTAATCCAGGAAACCTCTTTTTATAGCATTGATAGCACTGGGTTGTGATTTTACCTTGTGTGAATGCTTGAAGTGAACACTTGATGACATTTTACATTTTCATGGTATTTTAGAAGAGGAAGTTTCTATCTAGAAGTTGTAATCCACTGTTTTAAAATAAAAGTCCCCATCAGGTGATACATAATAATGGTATTATTTGCTTGACATTCTATCTTTTCCTCCCTGGATGTCTATAAAACATACAATAGGTTAAACATCTTTTTCATCACTTAGCTCCATTCCTGGCTGATCATAGATACTCAAGAATGTTTGTTGAATAAATGAAATCAGTAGGGAGAGAGAGCTAGGTCTACTGAGCAGCTACTATGCATCAGGCATGCCTTGCTTGATTTAATTTTCACAAGAACCAGTGATAAGTACATGTTACTTTCCTGTCTTTCAGATGAGTGTACTGATGCATATAGAAAAAGTAGAACCCTTGTACCTGGTTGGTGGGAATGCAGAATGGTACAGCCATTATGGAATATAGTATAGAGGTTCCCCAAAATGACTTAAAAATGGGACTACCATATAATTGAGCAATTCCATTCCTGAAAATATATCCAGAAGAATTGAAATCAGCATCTTGAAGCATTAACTGCACTCCCATCTTTATTGCAACATTAGCCACAATAGCCAAGATACAGAAACAACGTAAATGTCCATGAATAGATGAATAAATAAAATATGCTATATCTATACAATGAAATCTATTTAGCCTTAAAAAAGGAGATCCTACCATATGCAACAACATGGATGAATCTGAGAGACATTATTGCTAAGTGTAATAAACCAGTCACAGAAAGACAAATACTGCAAGATTCCACTTATTTGAGGCATCTAAAATAGTCAAATTCTGCTGGGCGCATTGGCTCACGCCTGTAATTCCAGCACTTTGGGAGGCCAAGGCAGGTGGATCACCTGAGGTCAGGAGTTTGAGACCAGCCTGACCAACATGGTGAAACCCCCTCTCTAATGAAAACACAAAAATATTAGCTGAGAGTGGTGGCACATGCCTGTAATCCCAGCTACTTGGGAGGCTGAGGCACAAGAATCGCTTGAACCCGGGAGGTGGAGGTTGCAGTGAGCCGAGATTGTGCCATTGCCCTCCAACCTAGGCAACAAGAGTGAAACTCTGTCTCAAAAAAAAAAAAAAAAGTCAAATTTATAGAAACAGAGAGTATAATAGAATGTTAGTTGTCATGGTCTGGGGAAGGCAGAAACAGCAAGCTGCTGTTCAATGAGTATAAATTTTTAGTTATGCAAGAGGAATAAGTTCTTGACATCTGTTATATCGCACAATGCCTATAGTTAACACTACTCTATTGTGCCTTCACAACGTTTGAAAATATAGACCTCTTGTTAAGTGTTCTTAGAACAAAAAAAGACGGTGAGGGAGTACAAGGCAACTTTTGGAGGTGATGGATATGTGTGTTATTTTTATTGCAATGATGATTTCATGGGCCTATGTCCAAGTTAATCAAATTTTATACTTTAAAGTTGTGCAGGTTTTTTTTTTATTTTTTATTTTTGTATATCCGTTATGCCTCGATGCTGTTAATGGCAAAAATGAGTTTGTGATTAGAAAGGTAAAGGTAAGCTGGGACTCAAAGGTAGGTCAGTATGATGCCACCCCCCATGCCTTCCCGTTGGAACATCATCTTAGCCACATGGGAAATGTGGAAACAGCCAGGAAGACTGCTTAGCTCCTGTGTGATACACTGAATGGCCCACAGATGTTTTGCATGTCCTATACTGGTTTTTCTTTGTAAAAGATTAATTGTCGATTATAAAATAAAGAGCTTTCACATGCAAATCTGGATTCAGCATGTCTTAAGATATCAGCGCTCTGGCAACATGGGTCTTGCTATCTTCCTGGCTACCATTGACAATGAATAGATAGTGGTAGTCCTTTTTAGATAACACAGGCACTCTGCAAATTGCTGTAGCCCTCTTCCTTCCGGCTGCACTTCTTTACATGCCTGGCCTCTGTAGGCATTTGAGTTTGCAACCTCAACCTAAAAGAAACTTGATCCAGGCCCTCTGCACTCTCAGACTCCTTAAAATGTGGGTAGTTCATGGCTGGAGAAATCACCATGTCCTCAGGGAGTCCCAGTCATGATTTGAGCATGATGACAGAAGGCCTCCCTGACACAGGACACTGTCCCTAAGGATACCCTGGGCTCTACCTCAGAGTCTGGGAGTGTCACTTTATTCACTGAAGACATCCTGCAGCCTCAGCAGGCTCCACAGACAGTGATCTAAGAGGATGATTTGCAAATCTTTCAGGAGCAGCTGCAAGTTGAGGCTCTAGTCTCTAGGGACAGCCAAAGGAACAATCAGCTTTGTGTGTGGCATAGTTGTTTCCTCCCCATGGATAAAGAATTAATAAAAGCCAAGGAAGTTCTGTCCTTGGGGTCCCATGGGGGCTTCTTCTAGGGAAGGGGCTGCCATGTTGCCTCCCATCAAATTTAAAGGACCCTCTGAGGGAATTGTTTTTGAAGAGCAATGGACAGAATGATCACCCAGATTATCACTCCAGGGGGAACATTCCTCCCCTTCCATCCTCCTACTCAGCCACATGGGCTCTGTTAGCTATGATCCCATTCAATATAGCCAGGGGCAATCTTGCAATCCTGAAATTTGTAGGTGAGGATGCTCACAGTTTACTATCTGAATAAGTCTCTCGTGACTCTTGTTAATCATGAAAATTTCCTGGCCTTAACTTGATGGCAATTAAGTCTATGGTAGAGCCTGGGAATTTGCATGTTTAATGAACAACTCAGATATTTAATATAGATCGAGCAGAGTTTGAGGAAAAAAACCAATGTAGAATTTTTCCACGTTGAAAAAAACCAATGTAGAATTTTTTTCTGGAAAAAATGTTTGTTTTACTTTTTAATTTTATTTTAATAATTTTTAGGGTACAGGTGGTTTTTGGTTCCATGAATCGGTTCTTTAGTGGTGATTTCTGATATTTTTGTGCACCTGTCACCCAAGCAGTTTATACTATACCCAATATGTAGTCTTTTATGCCTCATCCCTTTCCAACCTTCCCCCTGGGGTACTCCCAAAGTCCATTATGTCATTCTTATGACTTTGCATTCTCATAGCTTAAATCCCACTTATAAGTGATAACAAATGATATTTGGTTTTCCATTTTCGAGTTCCTTCACTTAAAATAATGGCCTCCAGCTTCATCCAAGTTGCTGCAGAAGACATTATTTTGTTCTTTTTTATGGCTGAGTAGTATTCCATGGTGTATATATATATATATATATATATATATATATATATATATATACCATCAATGTAGAAATTTCTAGAAAAGGCAAGACTATAAAGACAGAAAGCAGGTCAATGATTGGGGCTGGGGATAGCTGCAGGGGTTGACTGCAAATAGGCATCAGGGAACTATTTGGAGTGTTGGGAATGTTCTAACACTGGATTTTGGTTATGGTTGCACAGTAGTATATGCAAGCTAAAGTTCACCAAACTGTATACTTAGAACAGGTGAATTTTATGGCATGTAAATTAAACTCCAATAAAGTTGTTAAAAAGACACAGACACACACACACAACTCTGAAGTAATAACTAATCATGTAATGATGTAATGAGAGAACAATATAGAAAAATAATGAATGTTGTCAATCATGGTAGAACGTATAAGGATGAGAGCCAACAGTTGCGGAGCCATGCCTATGGGCCAAATGTTAAGCTGAGTTTTTTGCTTTTTTTCTTTTTTTCCAACTTTTACTTTAGACTCAGGGGGTACATGTGCAGATTTGTTACATGGGTATATTGTATGACACTGAGGTTTTGGGTATGAATGATCCTGTCACCCACGTAGTGAGCATAGTATTAATAGATAGCTTTTCAGCTCTTGCCTCCCTTCTTCTCTCCCCTGTCTAGTAATCTCCAGCGTCTATTGTTCCCATATTTATATTTATGTGTATCCAGTGTTTAGTTCCCACTTGTAAGTGAGAACATGCAGTATTTGGTTTTCTGTTTCTGAGTTAATTCACTTAGAATAATGGCATCCAGCTGCATCCATGTTGCTGCAAAGGGCATGATTTCATTCTTTTTATGTCTTCGTAGTATTCCATGGTGTATATATATATCCCTTTTTTTTTTAATCTAGTCCACCGTTGATGGACACCTGGGTTGATTCCATGTCATCGCTATTATGAATAGCACTGTGATGAACATACGAGTGCATGTTCCATTTGGTAGACCCATTTTTCTTCGAGTTGATACCCAGTAATGGGATTGCTGGTTTCTAATGGTAGTTTACCTCTGAGTTCTTTGTTGAGCTGTGTTTTTATTATGCGCATTGTCATTATTTCTCATTACTACCCCGTGACATACATACTGTCGTCTTTTTGCAGACAGGTAGACTGAGGCTTGAGAGGTTAAGTGAGAACACACAGCTACATAGGAATGAACTGGAATTTGCACACAGGTGGTCTTATGCCAAGGATGTAGTCCCTTACTGATTCATTGATTAATTCAGCTGTTCCATCACATGAAACTTATAGTCCAACATAAGTAGGTCTGAAGTCTGACTTTACAATTTCCAACTACCTTTCTCAAGCACCCACCATGGTCTCACTAAGCTTCAGTTTCCGTATCTGCAGGCTGAAGATAATGATAGCTATCTCAAAATGTTCTCAGAAGAAAAAAGTTATATGAGATAAGATATGTAAAGCCTGGTAAATATGCAAAGCTCTCCAATAAATGGAGATGACATTAAGTTAGACTGTGTAGATCCTTTAGCATACTGGTTAATGCATTTGATGAGCTTAGTAAATATTAGCTAGTATATAACTCTAAATATTGGGATGATGCATTTATTTAACCGTCACCTAACCTGAGCATTCACATCTGCTAAGAACTAAGGGACTCATTGTGTTAGATCTCACATAAACCACAGGACACAACCCTGTTCTCCAGGACGAACAGCTATGTAAACTAATAACTGTAATAAAATGTTCAAGATATAGCTGGTGACTTAGTTGGCACCTTCCATGGTGGCACAAAAATAGAGATAAAGCTATTGAGGTTTATTAGTAAATAATAAAGGTATTATTGACAATCTGCTTCTTTGTGAAGACTTGCCATATATTTCTATATAGCAAGTCTTCACAAAGAAGCAGACAGTCAATAATTTAATTGTAAACTTAAAGCATGTAATTTGATTATTTGTAACTCAAAAGATAAATGCTTGAGGGGATGGATATGCCATTCTCCATGATGTGCTTATTTCACATGGCATGCCTATATCAAACCATCTATGTACCCCATAAATATATACACCTTCTATGTACCCACAAAAATTTTTAAAAATAAATTTTTTTTAACAAAAGAAGCAGATAGTTGAGTCCGACCTTTAAGAACGAGTCTTTTTCTTGTAACTCACCCAAATACACATCAATGATAGACTGGAAAAAGAAAATGTGGCACAAAGACACCATGGAGTACTATGCAGCCATAAAAAAGGATGAATTCATGTCCTTTGCAGGGACATGGGTGAAGCTGGAAACTGTCATTCTCAGCAAACTAACACAGGAACAGAAAATCAAACACCACATGTTCTCACCCATAAGTGGGAGTTGAACAATGAGAACGCATGGACACAGGGAGGGAAACATCACACACCAGGTCTGTCAGGGGGTGGGCGGCTAGGGGAGGGGGGAATAATTAGGACAAATACATAATGCATGAGAGGCTTAAAACCTAGATGATGGGTTGATGGGTGCAGCAAACCACCATGGCGCAAGTACGCCTATGTAACAAACCTGCACATTCTGCACATGTATCGCAGAACTTAAACAAGAAAAAGAAAAAGTCTTTTTGTAGCTGACATCTATTATTTTTGTGTTTTTAGCATCTGTTTAAACCAAATGCATCACAAAAATGTTTTTTCCAGATTTGCAAATCTGTAGAAACCGTGGTTTTTCTTTTTCTGTAGGGCTGCCTTTCTTTTTGTTTGGGGATCTTGTTGCTCCTCTCACTTCATTATTTTCATACAAATCCTGATGGCTCCATTCTCAGAGTAGAACTCTCCAAGTGGAAATACAGCACTGACTTTTTGGATGCCGCCAATTCCATTTACCCCCTCTATGCTAACTCCCTGAAGCCACCATGCAAAGTATGGTTTCTTGGGGACTCTGGGATTCAGCATTGTGACTCGGCATGTGATATCTTTTACATATCCCCTGTTGTGATGAAGCAACCATTCGTAAAAAGCTGTTCTACCTGGAGTGGGATTTCACTTCTAGTACAGCTAACAAAGACAGGTGTTTCTAAACGACTTTAATGTTAATGGGAGGAGTTGTTTAATTAACTTCTCCCTTTACTTTTCTTTTAAACTCCCAGAAATGCACAGCTTCTGGCTAAACAGAGTTACATGTCTTTTCTTTCCCTGAATTTTTCAATCCAGGGGGAGCATCAGCCGAAGCTGAAGCTGATGCTGCAAGCTTCATTAGGGCTAGCAGGAGATGGAGTGACTGAGGAGCTGCCTTGCTTCAATTTTAAATTGCAAAAGTCAAGGCAGCAACTTAGAAAATTGTTCTTCTGATTCTTAATAATAGCTCTCTGCCTTCCCCACCATGACTGAAAATAGATCAGAGGGGGAAACTCACGGAAGGCCAGGACCCAGTATATTTTAATTCTCCAAAGCATCAATTTGGAAAGGGAAGAGAAGGAAATTCTGTGCTCATGGTCATCAGCGAAAGTACTCTGTCTGATACAGACTGACTTCTTTCAAGTGTCTCTGTCTCACATTTTATTAGATGAGAAGGGGACTCTACTTTTTATGCAAGCATGTGGTAATTTATAAAACACATATGCAAATTACCTGATTCTTCATTCAGCTGGTATTCTTCCAATTGCCTTAATAGACCATAAAAATGGTAATGCCATGGTGCACCGTTAAATGCTCAGCTATTTAGCCCAGCAGCCCTCCTTGTTTAATAGTTTTGCTCATTTAGCATGTACAATTTGTAACTGAGTAAATCTCATTTTGAAGTAGGCTGGGGAAGTTAAACTGCCTCTGGGAGTCCTGGGCACACCCTTTCGTGGCAGGAATATCACTAATAGCTACCTGGGCTCTCTGAGCACCTGCTAATGAAGCCAGATTCTCAAAATTGCTAATGAGCTTGGCTCCTTTTATATGACTTAAGATGTGAGTCCGTTTGTTTGTTTTTCCTGTTGTGAGGTTATTTAGCATATCCAAGGAAGCTTGGATATTCATGGAAGCAGGTAACCTGCGCCATCACCTAAGTATTATTTGAATTGATTCTGGCAACCCCTCCCTCCTGAACATCAGCTACACCATGAATTAAGTGCAAAATCTAAGCCAACACTGAGAGGTGGAGTGTGGGTTTACACCTGTTAAAGATCTCATTGTCCAAAATTAATTTAAAACCTATATGTCCCGTAAAGATTGTTAATTGGGAAGCAGAGAAAATAAATTTGGCAGGGAGGGTGGAGTGAAGTGATGAACCTGTCCTGAGAAAGGTTTTGACTTTATTCGTTGAGTGACTGGAGATTTACTGGAGATGTCTGAGCAGGGAAAATGAACCTAGTAGCCGTGTGCTAGCTCGTGTGGAGAGGGAAGTCTTGGAACACCCATCAGGAAGCACTTCTGGAGATGTAAGGGTGATGTGCTAAAGGTTTCACCTGGAGAAATACTGGCTAAAATGAAGAGAAAGGAGTAGGTATAAGCAGTATTAAATTGTGGTAGGCAGAATTCCAAAATGACCTCAAATCCCCACCCTCAGTGACTCATACTCTTGAATAATCCCCTTTCCTTGAGTGTTGGCAAGACCTGTGAATATAATAGGATGTCAATCCCATAGGTCACTTAGCTGGCTTTGAGGTGACAGCAAAGGAGATTACACCAGGCAAGCCTGACCTAATCAGGCAAACCTTCAAAAAGTGTGACATCATTGAGATTCCCACTGTAGGCCTCAAGGAAGAAAGCAAGCCGCTCTGTCCTGGACTGCCAATAGAGAGGGGTGGCCTCTAGGAGTTGAACACCTCAGTCTTACAACCACAAGGAACTGAATTCTCCCAACAACCAATGATCTTGGAAGAGGAACCCAGATTCTGATGAGATTTCAACCCAGGCTGATTTCAACCTTGACTTCAGCTTTACAAGACCTTGAGTGGAGAACCCAGCTGTGTCATGCCTGGACTTTCATCCTCCTGACCTGTGAGATAATAAATGAGTGTTGTTTTTACCTGGTAAGCTTGTGGTGATTTTTAAGGCAGCAATAAAAAACTCATGCCAGTTCCTACCCACTAGGAGGTAATCAGCCTAAAAGACTCAATCTAAAATTATAAAATCTTACTTTAAAAATGCAATTATATTTCAAATATATATGGTGAATCAAGTGAACAGTTGGTTGACCAAGTGTTTCCAAGCTGAGGGTCTTTTGAGTTTACTTTATTGAATATATATAATACGTTTATTACCTTTTTATACAATATCTTTGTTCCATAGCGCTAGTCAAGTGTTTATATTGATGTTTAGATTGTTAATCTTCTCCTTCCCTTTTCCACCTGCCCTCCTCCAATGACCCTCCAGTATAGTATTTCAGATATTACAGTAATTATTAAGCCTGGTTGAACAAGACTCTATTCAGAATTATGTCTCATTGAAATCCAGTAAGATTTCACTCCACATCTCAGTCTCGGATAAAGCTATGCCTTGATACAGAAGAGGAGGTACTGACTGGAAAAAGCTGACTGACCAGCTCTCTGGGTTCCAAACATGTGAAATTTGCTTTCCTAAAATTTGCTGCGGCTGTGGTCCAGAAAGGGAGTCTTTGTTCTGAAAGTTCAGAAACTCCTTGTTAGCGTTGCAGGTAGGTCTGATCTGCCCAGGGTTAACCTGAATTCAATTCAGGTTGAATTCAGATTCTGATTCTAACTCTCTAAACTTCAATGTCCATTTTTAAAGTGCTGAAAATGTGTCTACCTTAGAACACTTTTGAAATGGGATGATTACCACCTGTACCCCCGTAACTTATGGAAAAATAAAATTAAAAAATAAAAATTAAAAAAAGATCCTAATGAAGAAAGGAGAATATGTTCCAGTTTAAAGATGAACATTGAGCATTCCAAAGAAAAAAAAAAATGAGATGATTCAATGAGGTGATTCCTTGTAGATCAGTTAGGAGGAGGAGAAGAAGGAGTCATCAACAAATTGCACACATAATAGGGTTTTGACACTGAGTGAGTGAATGAATGAATGAATGAATGAATGAGGAAGCTTGGCGATGGAGGCCAATTCATGAAATAAACATAAAAATCACACCAGCCAAGTACTTTGGATAATTATTTTGGCTGACCAAGGAAGCTAGAGGAGATGCCAGGTCATTTCCAAAGGTTGCTTGATAAGCATGAGATTCTAAGCAAAGGCAAGGAGAGACTTTTGTTTTTTTAAATGGAGGAATTGCCTGTTTTATGGTACCAATCGGTGATCTCCAGATACACCTATAATCACACTCAGGTTAAATGTGCCCAACAAAATCTAAACCAACACTGCAAGGGTGGAGTGTGGGTTTGCTAGTGTCCTATCTCCTTGGTATGGTGCCTGGCTGGACACTAACATGGGAGTCTCTATTCGCCCTTTCTTAACCATTACCAACCCCTTTCGAAGAACTTAGACTTTTTTCCAACATACTGATTCAAGGCCAGACTTACAGGCTTCACCACCATCCTGTTTCATCAGGCTGATATTATATATCCATTCACTAATTTTCCAGGTGTCAATGTCATATTTGAAACCCCAGAGAGTGATGTTATGTCCAGTCTTTTGAGGGAAGGGGCAACCCAGCTTTGCCATTCTGTCCTTTCTATAGAATAAATCACACAAACCGAATAGACCTGGTGAGATACAAAGTCAAAACCAAAATGTGTTTCTCCCAAAGTCATTCTAAACCAAAGACAATTTACAGACAGTAAAATGAATATTTTTCCTTGAGTTTTATGATCTGAAAGATTTATGGACCATGATCTTAAAAGCCTATTTGAGTTATGTGGAAGAATGTCCTGATTTTTAGATGTGTGCTGAAGTATTTAGAAATCAAGTGCCATGATGTCTGCAACTTACTTTCAACTAGGTCAGCAGATAAACACACAAACACATACACACACACACACACACACACACACATATAAATATATTATAAATCATATAAATATATAATATATTTAAAATATATAATATATATTATATTTTATATATATATATATATAGAAAGATAGGTACACATAAAACAAATTTGGCCAAATTTGAGCTATTGTTGGCTCCGTGTGGCATGTATATGAATGTTCATTGTACTGGTCTTTCAACATTTGTCTATGTTTGAAAATCTTCCTAGTAAAATGTTGGAGAGAAATTCTACCTGTGCTTTAATTCTATTTTATTATTGAGAGGGAGTCTTGCTCTGTCACCCAGGCTGGAGTGCAGTGGTGCGATCTCAGCTCCCTGCAACCTCCGCATCCCGGGTTCAAGCAATTCTCCCTGCCTCGTCCTCCCTAGTAGCTAGGATTACAGGCAGCCACCACCATGCCCGGCTAATTTTTATATTTTTTAGTAGAGACAGGGTTTCGCCATGTTGGCCAGGCTGATCTTCAATGCCTGACCTCAGGTGATCCGCCTGCCTTGGCCTCCCAAATAGCTGGGATTACAGGCGTGAGACACCACGCCCGGCCTTAATTCTATTTTATATGTCCAAAGGTGAATTTGGGCTCTTCCATTCTTTTCTTCTATGATATTGACTAACCATTTAAATATATGGAAGCTTTTCACTTAGGCCTCCTTTTACCACCAGCAGTGTTGTGTATTTTATTCTTCCATTCCCTTATAATGATTTTGTCCAACTCTCTTCTCCTTAGGACGTGGGTTTTCTTTCTGCTTTTAATGTAATTTTACATTTAACCAGAGAAGGCTTGCTTGGGCTGCTTCTTTTTACTGATGTCTTATTTAATAAATCAAAACCACCACTACCTTCTGAGATTAAGTCCAGCCAATGCTCCATTTCTTATTAGGATGAGAACGTCTGTAACCTTCCCCCTGCTAGGATGCCACAAGACAACTTTGCATTTAGTGATGGTGTCCTGGAAGTTACAGGGAATTAGATCCAACTCAATTTGACTCACTTTGATCCGAGCCTCTTAACATAATTTTCAAGTGTTTGACCCAATCAGGATCATGAAGTGGAAAATTTGAGAAAACCTGATTACTGAGGGTTTTTTTAAAAAAAAAGAAAAAAAAGAAAGAAATCAAAAGGACTGTTGGAAGATGTTTAAAGAAATGACACTGCATGGGAAACATCACAGTGTGTGAGTCAAGTTGCTTCAGAATCAGTCGACCAGAAAGGCACCTTGTTGTTGACTCTGCTGAGAGGACACACTTTAACAGGCAGGAGGACGGTGATCCTGCCGAGAGAAACAGAACGGAGCCGATCACAGTGTTAGCAACTTTCTCCTCAGAAGAGCTTCTTAGCTGAGCAGCTCCGCGGAAACCTTTTTGAGGTTGATGTCGATGGCATTGGGTCCCATAGAGTTAGTGAAGCCTTATCATGGAGGAAGACCTTGGCCAGAGGAAGTTCCGATAAATTTCTTGCTGATTCAGTAATCCTCATAACAACGCCATGAGGTTAATGGAATTATCCCCAAGTTGAAGGTACAGAAACTGAGGCTCAGAGATTTAAATAATTTACTTAGCAATGACACACAGCCATGACACACAGTTCGTTCTTCACATTAGTCATTTAGATCCCAGAGCCTGAGCTCTTTGTCATAAATAGGAACCTTAGATATCATATAGTCTAAATCTTCGCCTGCCTGCCTTCCTTCCTTTTCTTTTCTTCCTTTCTTTTCCTTCCTCCTTCCTTCCCTGTCCTTCTTCCCTCCCTTCCTTCCCTCCCTTCCTTTCTTTCTTCCTCCCTCCTTCCCTTTTTCCTTTCCATTATCTTCCTTTCTTCCTTCCTCTCCTCCCTCATTCCTTCCCTCCCTCCCTCCTTTCCTCCTCTCTTTCCTTCTTTCCTTCCTCCCCTGTCTCCTTTCTTCCCTCCCTCTCTTCTTTCTCCCTTCCTTTTAGCCTGTAAGATGATGTTGTAGTATTATAGTCTTCAAAGATACATCCATGAATAAATGAAATAAAAGTCCTTGCTCTCATGCAGCTCACATCCTTGGTGCTCATAAGTGAAAAACGACAGATTAAGCAGAGTCAGGCATGTTTGGTGTGTGGAGCTGCAAGTTTAAATAGGGGGTCTAGATAGAAACCGGTGCAAAGGCCCTGTGGCTGCAGCTACTGGGTCCCTGGCATGTTTGAATAACAGCAAGGAGACCATTGGGCCTAGCACAGAGGGAGCAAAGGGGAGATAGGAGGAGGAGAGGCTAAAGAGGTTACTCGTGGCAAGCTCTTGTAGGGATTTTGCTATGAGAAAAATCCATTGCAAGGGATTTGGGACACAGTGACGAGACTGACTTCCATTTTCAAAGGGACACTCTGGCTGTTGTGTTTTAGAGTAATGGCAGAACCAAAAAGACCAGTTAGAAAGCCAGTGAGGAAATCCAGACCAGAGAGATGTTTGTCACTCATGTTAGGATGGAGGCAGTTAAGGCAAGGAGAAGTGCCAGATTCAGGTTATGTTCTGAAGGTAGGGACAAAATAACTTCCCAGTGGATGGCAAGTGGAGTGTGAGAATAACTGAGCAGTAGAGCTCAGCTCTGTGGATGGGGCCTATGCATTAGGAAGAATGCAATGCCATCAACGGAGATGGGGAAGCTATTGTAGCTCATTTCGATAGTCTGGAAAATGCTTAGCTTTGGACTTTTTGATTTTGAGACATCCATTAGACATCTGCATGGAGAGGTCTATAGTTTAGGATAAAAGTGTGTAATGTAAAGCCAGTTTTTTCGTAACATCTACTTCTCTTTCTCTCTATATTAGATATTTCTCTTTAGCTCACTTTTACAATGAGGACCTGTTTTCTTTAAATCTACTTTAAAAAATTAACAGATAATGCACATATCATAAAATTAGCCATTTTATAGTGTAATATTTGTGTTTTTAACAGATTTACAAGATTTCACTACCATCAACACTATCTAATTCTAAAATATTTTCATCACCCCCAGAAGAAACCCTAAACATATGAATAGTCACTCTGTATTCCTGCCTCCCCTGAGGGCCTGGCATCTATGAATCTACTTTCTGTCTCTATAGATTTGCCTATTCTGAGCATTCCATAAAAATCGCATTATATAATATGTGGCCTTTTGTGTCTGGCTTTTTTTTTGGTTAGCACAATATTTTCTTTTTCTTTTTTTTTTTTTTTTTGCATTTTTAAAATTATTATACATTAAGTTCTGGGATACATGTGAAGAACGTCCAGGTTTCTTACGTAGGTATACATGTGCAATGGTGGTTTGCTGCACCCATCAACCCGTCATCTACATTAGGTATTTATCCTAATGCTATTTCTCTCCTAGCCCTCCACCCCATGACAGGCCCCGGTGTGTAATGTTCCCCTCCCTCTGTCCATGTGTTCTCATTGTTCAACTCCCACTTAAGACTGAGAACATGCAGTGTTTGGTTTTCTGTTCTTGTGTTAGTTTGCTGAGAATGATGGTTTCCAGCTTCATCCATGTCCCTGCAAAGGACATGAACTCATCCTTTTTTATGGCTGCGTAGTATTCCATGGTGTATATGGTTAGCACAATATTTTCAATGGTGTTCGTGTTGTACCATGTATTACCACTTCATTCTTTTTCACTAGCGAATAATATTCCATCAAAGGAATATACTGCATTTTGATTATCTATTCATCATTTGATGGGCATTAGCATTGTACCTGCTATTTTGCTATTATGAATCATGCTGCAGTGAGCATTCATGCACAAGCTTTTATGTGCATAGATATTTCCAATTCTTGTGGGTATGTATGTAGCAATGGGATGGCTGGTCAAGTGGTAACTACATATTTAACTTTTTGAGAAACTGCCAGACTGACTTTCATAGCAGTTACACTGTTCTACATTGACACCAGCAATGCATGAAAGTTCCAATTTCTCTGCATTCCTGCCAAGATTTGTAATTGTGTGTCTTCTTGATTATAGTGATCTTGGTGGGTGTGAAGTGGTATATTATTGTGATTTTGATTTGTATTTCCCTAATGACTAATGATGTTGAACATCTTTGCATATGCTTATTAGTCATTTGAATATCTTCTTTGGACAAATGCCTATTGAAGTTCTTTGCCAATTTTTAAATTGGGGCATTTAACTTTTTAGTGGTGAGTTTTAAGGATTCTTTATATATGAATATCATCTGTATGACTAGCAAATGTTTTCTCCCATTCTTTGGCTTTTCTTTCCACATTCTTATTAGTGTCTTTTGATGCATAAAAGTTATTAATTTTGATGAAATCCAATGTATCTATTTTTTATTAAGATATACACCTGTGTTTTCTTCTAAGAGTTTTACAGTTTCCGCTTTTACATTTAGATCTTTGATGCATTTTGAAATATGTTTTGTATATCATGTAAGATAGGACCCTAAATTCATTCTTTTGCATGTAGATATTCAATTGCCCCAGCACCACTGTTACAAAGACTATTTCTTCTCTAATGAATAGTCTAGGCATCCTTGTCAAGCATTCTCTGAATTTGCTTTATAGATTATTTCCAACTCCCCTATTTAGTACAAGAAGTATATAGAGCAGATATGTTTTTTATATGAACACAAGAAAGCAGATACACATATATATGGGTATACAGTCATATATACATATATGTGTGTATATGTATATAAATATAATTTTCATATGATCTTTAAAAGACCATAATCTTTTTGTTTTCTACCTTCATAAAAGATGAAGCTCCAACTTTGTAACTCTAGGTAGTTGAGATTTGGAGATAGGGCTAAATATGGGCAAATTGTTATGATTGTAGTACATTCCATACAGTAGTTATTAAATTAATTCTGTACTACAAAGACTCATCTTCTAATGGAACTCACTCATAGGTGGGAATTGAACAATGAGATCACATGGACACAGGAAGGGGAATATCACACTCTGGGGACGGTGGTGGGGTCGGGGGAGGGGGGAGGGATAGCATTGGGAGATATACCTAATGCTAGATGACACATTAGTGGGTGCAGCGCACCAGCATGGCACATGTATACATATGTAACTAACCTGCACAATGTGCACATGTACCCTAAAACTTAGAGTATAATAAAAAAATAAAAATAAAAAAAAAATAAAAAAAATAAAAACAGGCTGCAGGAAGACATGGAGAAGGGAAGTCTTGATCTCTCTGGGTATGTTTAGGCCAGCAGATAAAGCTTACTTTTATTTTAGCATATCAGAACTGGAAAAACCTTAAGATGATCTCTTCTCGAGGATTATTCATCTGAGGGATTGGGGCTCTGAGAAGGAAGATGGAACAGTGCAGCAGAATGGAAAGCAGGTTGTATTAGTCTGTTCTCACGCTGCTAATAAAGACATACCGGAGACTGTGTAATTTATAAAGGAGAGAGGCTGAATGGACTCCCAGTTCCACATGGCTGGGGTAGCCTTACAGTTATGGTGGAAGGCAAAGGGAAAGCAAGACACATCTTACATGGCAGCAGGCAAGAGATTGTGTGCAGGAACTCCCCTTTATAAAACCATCAGATCTCATGAAACGTATTCACTATCATGAGAACAGCATGGGAAAGACCTGCCCTCATGATTCAATTACCTCCCACCGGGCCCCTTTCACAATATGCGGGGAATATGGGAGCTATAATACAAGATGAGATTTGGGTGGGGACACAGCCAAACCATATCACAGGTGGAAGTTGGAGTTGCACAAACTTTGAACCTCATTTTCATCATTTTATTTTTCTCTTTGACCTTGGGCAAGTGACTTTACTTACCCAAACTTGTACTTGTCCATTAGTGAAATGACATGATAATACTTGTACTGCAGATCTGTAGAACAAAATATGTTTAGCACCTAATTTAATACCTGACACAGAAGAAGCATCCCATGCAAATATGCTGTTATTATTACACTTGTTACTTAATTTCTACAAGACCTTTTGCTTAAGAATGTCTACTCAGCTTACAGATATTGGCTAGGACATCACTGCTCAAAAAAAAAAAAATCTTACAAAGCACTGTTTCTCAACCCCACATACACATGAGCCTCCATTCCATATTTGTGGGTTCTACATCCCATGTACTCAGAAAACCAAGCACCTTTCTTCCTATTTCTCAGTAGTTTACAATCACACAAACACACACACACACACACACCACCCTGACTTTAAACAAATGTTCGTTACTATTTTTTCTCTTCTTTATTAAAATAAAAAATAAATGCAATAAAAGTCATTCATCATGGGGTACAGTTCTGTGAGTTTTGCCAAACACTATAATGTAGCCACCACCAAAATCAAGATACAGAACAGGCTTATCACCCCCTAAATTTCCTCATCCCCTTTTGTAGTCAGTCCTCTCCACGTCCAGCCTTTGGCATGTACTAATCTGTTTTTTATCTATAAAGTTAGCTTTTTCTGAAATATAAAAATGCAGTCATGCAGCCTTTGAGTATGGGTTTCGTCACTAAAAACACACTTGAAATTCATCCATGTTGTTGTGTGTATTGGTAGTTTCCTGATTTTAATTGCTGAGTAGTATTCTATTGAATTGATATACCATGATTTGTTATCCTTTCACCCCTCAGAAGCTGTGTGGATTGCTATCAGATTTGGGTGATTATAAATAAAGCCACTCTGACCATTCATGTACAGATTTTTGTGAGACTATAACTGTTCATTTTACTTGGAGGAAAAGTCCAAGATTAGAATTTCTGGGCCTATCTGCAGAATTTTATTTTTTTTTTAAAGTAGAAGAATTATCTGAGGCAGATGTAATAAAATGTAGGTTTGACAATGTGGATTGAGTGAGCGCAGGTGGTCTTCATATTATTCTGCATATTTTTCGTATGCTTAAAACATTTTATTAGCCGGGAGCAGTGGCTCATGCCTGTAATCCCAGCACTTCGAGAGGCCAAGGCAGGTGGATCATGAGGTCAAGAGATCGAGATCATCCTGGCTAACAGAGTGAAACCCCATCTCTACTAAAAATACAAAAAATTGGCTGGGCATAGTGGCGCTTGCCTGTAGTCCCAGCTACTTAGGAGGCTGGGGCAGGAGAATTGCTTGAACTCGGGAGGCGGAGGTTGCAGTGAGCCGAGATCGCGCCATTGCACTCCAGCCTGGGTGACAGAGCGAGACTCCATCTCAAGAAAAAAAAATTGTTAAAAACAAACCTCACAACCTGTGCAATGTAAGTCAAGCAAACAATCCAGATGAAATAGGAACTGTTGATTTTGTCAAGGTATACACATGGCCCTTTAACTGTAATAAAATTCTTTTCTACCTATCAATAGAATAATTCTTAGACATATCACTGAAACCTTCTAATGATTCTGAGTAGAAATGGATTAATCTTATCTATAGCTGACAAGGCAGCCCCTTGGGATGATGCGAATCTCTCTGTGTGGTTCCACCTTCCAGGTACTACTGGAGTCACTTTACATAGATGCCCATGAGTCTCTTACTGGTCCACCTTCTTTCTGCTTTCATTATCTATCTCCCTGCTGCCTCCACTTTACCCAGGTGCCATCTTCACCCAGTTATTGCTCTTCCTTTATACTTGGTCTTCCAAAAAGAACTTTTTAGTCACTGAGAGGAGAATTTCCAAAGCATCAAACTCTCATGTGAATATACACATAACAATATCCCAGACCACCATTTCTACCAGGGCAGGGGAGGAGGATTACAAGAAAAGAGGGAGGAAACAGGGAGCCTGTTGGGGCTAAGCCAGAACAAAAAGGTGGAGGACAATAGCAAAGATATGGAATCAACCTAGATGCTCATTGACAGTGGATCGGATAATGAAAATGTGCATATACACCGTGCAATACTACACAGGCATAAAAAAGGAACAAAAGCATGTTCTTTGCAGCAACATGGATGCAGTTGGAGGCCATTATTCTAAGCAAACGAACATAGAAACTGAAAACCAAATATTGCATGCTCCCACTTATAAGCAGGAGCTAAACACTGAGTACATAAAGACACAAAGATGGAAACAACAGACACCAGGATCTACTTGAGGGAGGAGGATGTGAAGAGAGCTGGGGTTAAAAAACTACCTGTCTGGTACTATGCTCACTACCTGGGTGATGGGATCATTTGTACACCAAATCTCAGCAACACACAATGTACCATGTAACAAACCTGCACAGGTACTCCCTGAATCTAAAATAAACATTAAAAAAAAAAGAGGTGAAGGAGCAGGAAACCATATCCTATCACATAATTGTCAGGCCTCAAGAAGTTGGGTGGCCCCCACCTACAGTCTAGAAAGGTAACGATGGGGACACTTTCAGGCAGGAAATTCTTTTCACAAAACGCCTTTGGATTATGCTTTGGAAAATTGCATTAGCTGTGGTGGTGATAAATAGTCTTTTAAAGTCACAAAACATTCATCAGCTGAACACTCAGACCCTTCAGGTAGCACAGAGAGTGAACATTGACGGGAAACATGAAATATGGGCCAGTCCACCATCCACTAACTAAAATGTTTTATCTGGTAATCACTCTGGAGCAAGATTTATTTTTGGTTTCAAAAACATCTTTTTAGTTTAAATTAGATTCAAGGGATCCTCTCTCTCCATCATCTGACGTCCTGGCGTTTAGCATTTTTGGGGGCTCTTTTTTTCATTAACCCTCTCATAATCATCTTCCAATCAAGTGTTTCCAAAAAGAAAATTACAAGTGGAGCTGAACAATAATTATGAATTCCACTGAAAGTTTGGGCTGATGGTAGGCTTTGAGGGAAGTGGGCTGAGAGTTCTTTAATGACAGGAATTATGAAGAAGTCTGATATAGAATTTGAATTTCCTTTTCCCAACATCATCCCAGGTATTCTTGACTCGCATTGCAAAGCTCAGCTTGGGCATTACTTCTACTATGGAACCATTTTTTTGTTTTTGTTGTTGTAGTTGCGAGACAGGGCCTTGATCTGTTGCCTAGGTTGGAGTACAGCTGCACAATTATAGCTCTCTGCAGCCTTGACTTCAGTCTCCAGAATAACTGGGACTACAGGTACATGCCATCATGCCTGGCTAATTTTTATATTTTTCATAGAGATGAGGTCTCGCTACATTGCACAGGCTGATCTTGAGCTCCTGAGCTCAAGTGACCCTCCTCTCTCAGCCTCTCAGAGTGCTGGGATTACAGATGTGAGCTACCATGCCCGAAAAGAAACATTTTTGTTTGTTTGTTTGCTTCTGCCCACTCCACCCAGACAGAATTACATACTTCTTCTCCTGGACCCCAACAGCTCTCTGTTGTGCCTTCCTTGAAGCCATCCATCACTTGACTTGAGGTCCTTTCTCCAGCATTTTCCTCCTGCCCTTGGATACCCGGTGTTCATTTCAGTTGTGGTTGAATTCCTTCTGCCTTTGCTAGTGTCCAGCATGCAGCAGACACTCACGAAACACTCGGTGAAGAAATGAAGTCATCTTTCTGTGTGTAGTCTGCTTGTTTGGATCCTGAGAGAGTGAAAAAGAAAAGCCTCCAAGAGGCAAGTAGGCAAGTAATGAGAGAGGAAAGAGGAAAAGAAAGAGAAAATTGCATCCCATGACAAATCTCATTGAACACCATTTTTAATATAATGGGAAAGGATTCAAAGAGAAACTTTAAAGGGGAAAAGAATCTTAATGATAGGAAACAAAAATCATTACACATCACATGGCAAGCTGACATCGCATGGCAGAATGACAAATCCTAGAAAGAGATTAATTTCTCTATTAATGTGTAGATTTACTTAGTATTTCCCCCTTCTCACACAATTCTTTTTAAAAAATTATTTATTTATTTATTTATTTTTGAGACAGAGTCTTGCTTTGTGGGCCAGGCTGGAGTGCAGTGGCACAATCTCGGCTCACTGCAACCTCTGCCACCCTGGTTCAAACAATTCTCCTGCCTCAGCCTCCTGAGTAGCTGGGATTACAGGTGCCCGCCATCATGCCCAGCTAATTTTTGTGTTTTTAGTAGAGACACAGTTTCATCATGTTGGCCAGGCTGGTCCCAAACTCCTGATCTCAAGTGATCCGCCCGTCTTGGCCTCCCAACGTGCTGGGATTACAGGCATGAGCCACTGTGCCCGGCCCTCTTCTCATGCAATTCTGTTTTGCTTTTGAATATAGTCGTTTCATTCTGTTAAAACAACTGAAATATAACAATACCTTAAATTTAACTCTGAGTACCTCAGTCTCTCTTTGTCTCTCTCTTCCCCCCTTCCCCCATTCTACGCTATGAGTTTTTAAACATCACCAATGTGTTGGTTCTTCATCAGATTTTCTGAAGTATCACATATTTTGGAGGACCCAGTTTGGAACTCCACATAGGATTGTATTTATTTGTATGTGCTTGAAGAAAAGTAATGTTGAAATAAAATTCTTCAGAGAATATTTCCACTGTTCCTTGAATTTACTTGAGTGGGGTATATTCAAATGCATTGTAATATCTCCTCTGATCGCCATCAACATCCATGGGCTCTATTTATTTTGGGTTGAGTCTGTATCTGTTATCTGTATTTCCTTCTTTCTTTCTTTCCTTTTTTTTGTTCTTGTTTTTTTTTTTTTTTTTTTTTTTGACGGAGTCTTGCTCTTGTCACCAGGCTGGAGTGCAGTGGCTCAATCTCGGCTCACTGCAACCTCCACCTCCTGGTGGGTTCAAGCGATTCTCCTGCCTCAGCCTCCTGAGTAGGTAGGACTACAGGCGCGTGCCACCACACCCAGCTAATTTTTGTATTTTTAATAGAGACGGGGTTTCACCATGTTGGCCAGGATGGTCTCCATCTCTTGACCTCGTGATCTGCCCGCCTCAGCCTCCCAAAGTCCTGGGATTACAGGCGTGAGCCACTGTGCCCGGCCATGAGTCTGCATTTCTATAGCTTCAGAATCAGACACATAGGTGGTATCAAATAGCATTTTTTAATTTTAATTTTTGTGAGTACATAGTAAGTATGTATGTTTATGGGGTATATGAGATACTTCGACGCAGTCATGCAATGTGCAATAGTTACATCATGGAAAATGGGTATCCATCTCCTCAAGCATTTATCCTTTGCATTACAAACAATCCAATTTGGCACCATCCAGGAAAACAGTAGTCCACATAAGTGATTTTGATATATTTTTATGTCTTTTCATTCAGTTTAGCCAACATTTGCTGAAATTTTGCCGCCTACGAGACACTGGGCTAGGCAAGATCCACAGGCTTAAAATGCAGAAGAATGAATCTGTAGGGGCATGGGTTTAACTGACCTCACCTTCTCCAAAACTGGATTAGCTCTGTATGCAAAATCATTCCACATGAACATACAGTAAGTGTGCACTTAACATCATTGACAGGTTCTCAGAAATTCCAGCTTCAAGTGAAATGACATACAGCAGGTCCTCGAATACCATTGATTGCTTCAGTGTCCTTTTGTATAATATTGATGGAAAAAAATGGTTTTATTCTAGTTCACTGCACTTAAGGTTGCAGTTTCCAAAAACCTATCAACAATATTAAGTGAGGATTTACTGCACGCTCTAAAATTTTAAAAGAGAATAAAGTACTTGTTGTGAAAACACAGTTTTAAGATAATTCCCCCCAGCAATTCTTCCTTTAAGACAGGTACCCTTAAATACATCATTTACAAGCTTCAGGAGGCACCCCTGAGCACACATATTAATAAGCCATAATTCCTGACCTCAAGGAGTGAAGCAAGTATTGCTAATGGCCTTGGGAGAAGTATATGGCTGGAGCTCCATCAGCAGAGAGAGGGGAGCTCAGCACAACCTGATGGTTAAGGAAAGTCTTCTTGGAAAAGCTCACCGATTTACATGCCAAATCTGCATATACATATTTTAATCATTATATACCTCCATCCATTTATTATGAAATGGAGGATCCTTAAATGACCCATCTCAATGACTGCAGCCCCTCATTTTGGACACAAATTTCTAAGATGCTGTCAGATATTCTCCATATGTAGCATTTTGCATGTCTTCTCCAAGTACCCTCAAACTGAGACACTTCGTTATATATACATTCAATAGCTTGCCGCCTTTTTTTATAATAAAGTGGTGTACCTGTGTCATTCAATTCTGTCTCCACCCATCTCCCACCTATCTCATTAATTCCTGGTTGGCCTAAGCAAGAAAACCCAATTGCAAACTTTTATAACTTGTGTTAAAGTGAAATTAGATAGTGTCAGAGTGAGGCTAAAGAACAAAGCAGATAGCACCTGTAATAGTCGTTTTCTTGTTTTATCTTCTTTTGGGGGCCAGAGGGTGGAAAGTGAGGTGGGAAGGGTCTAATTTCTTGGAGTACTTCACAGTTATGTACATTTCAAAGAGCTTTGTTTTTATACTCTCTATTTGGGGCAATAACCCAGTTTATTTATTTGTGGTTTATTTATTTATGCAACTCTAGGTCAGCAACAACCCTGACAAAATGGGCATTGAGAAAGTTCTTGGTTGTTCCATTTTTCTTTCCCTCTATCTTTTTATTTCTAATCACTGTTTAGGTTCCAAACATAAATTTAGAATCTACGGAGGTGAGGCTTCATGATACACAGTTACTAACTGATCAGTCAACCAGACTAGTAATATGAACTTTAATCACCAAGAATCGCATTTACACATATTTATTTTTCCTTTCTTCTATTATTCACTGCATAGCCCTGGGAAGAAAAGTGCCATCATTGGGTCCCTGTCTATTTCACCCTTGGCAGCCTGTAAGAATATTTGAAATGCTCATGTCCAAAGACTGACCTAAAAGTACTCAGGAACTAGGGGCAAAGTTAACTGCCATCTGGTTCTCTCTGAAGGCTGTCAGTGATGACCTATTCTCTGCCTTTACATTTGATTTTCTCTGCAAACCTTCTGCCTACCATGGACATTTTTTTCCAGCCTCCATGCTCCGACTTTGGGCACAAGAAAAGAATTTCTACTAGACTAACTGCTAAAATACACAGAAATGATGCCAAAAGGTCTTTCTGTTCCTAACACCTCTAATAGTGTTGGGCTATGAGTGGTGTTGCATTAGTTTTCTGTTGTGACTGTAACAATTTACCATAAACTTAGTAACTTAGGCTGGGCACGGTGGCTCATACCTCTAATCCCAAAATTTTTGGAGGTCAAAGTGGGAGGATGGTTTGAGCTCAGGAGTTTGAGAATGGCCTGGGCAACAAAGGGAGACCCCGGCTCTATTTTTAATACTTTTTAATAAAGAAGAAAAACCTTAGCAACTAAAAACAACATGAATTGATTATCTCACAGCATTGGAGGTCAGAATCCAAAATGGGTCTCACTGGACTAACATCAAGGTGTCACTAAGGCTGTCTTCCTTTCTACAGGCTCTAATGGAGGAATTGTTTTCTTGCCTTTTCTATCTTCTAGAGGCTACTCACGTTCCCTAGCTTATAACCCTTCTATCTTCAAAGCCAGCAGTGTCCTGGCCAGTCAAGTCTGTCTCACATTGCCTCACTCTGACCCTCCACCCCAGCTCTTCTATTCACCTGTAAAAATCGTTTTGATTACGATGAACCAAGAGAATCCAAGAGATAATGCAAGAGAATCTCCTTCTCTCAAGATCGACTGATTAGCAACCTTAATTATGTTTGCAATTTTAATTCCTCTTTGCCAAGTTCTAGGGATTAGGACACAGACATCTTTGAAGCAGCATTATTTTACTGACCACACGTACTCAGTGCATATGTGAAAAAAATTTTATTCCTATGGAGAAGTTCACTGGGTTGGATTCCTTGGGACAGTTACTTGGCTTTGAGAAGAAAAAGTGAGGTCATGTTCTTTTTTTTGTCTTTTCTTGAACCAGAAATAAAAACACTTTCATGTCTATCTTAAGGACAGCCACAGCTTCAGAGCTCAGCCTGCCTCCTTGCAGCTAGCTGAACATGGACAAGCAATTGACACTCTCTGGACCTGCACTATCCAATAGAACTTTCTGTGATGATGGGCATGTCCACATCTGTGCTGTCCCATCTGTAACTACTGGCTGCATGTGGCTCTTGAGGTCTTAAAACATGAGCAGTTAGAGAAACTAAATTGCCAATTTTATTTAGTTTTAGCGAATCTGAATTCAAATTTAAATAGCCACATGTGACTAGTGGCTGCCACATTATACAGAACAACCCTAGGCATTTCTAAATAAATGACAAGCTGCAAAATTTGGAATTAATAATATCCATTGTTAAGGGTTGTTTTCAGGATTAAATGAGATAATTTATGTAAAGTGCTTAGCATGGCACCTGGTTTATGGTAACTGCTCATGGAAGTTATATTTATTACTACCATTGTCATCACTGCTATTATTATTTTATTTCTTATGGCTATTTAAGACGATTATTATTTACTACTAATAATAAGTATCATTATTTTTATTTGTACCCTTTGCATTAATGATTTCCTGCCAATTAGACAATGTTTTCATGTGTTCATAGAGGAGGAAGTGGGCTGGATCACAAAGAAAAGGCACGGAATGAGAACAGCAGACTGGGTGTTCTTGGAGGAGGAAAACCTAAATCAATGACAAGCTCTTCTCTGGATAGGGAATCACAGGAAATCATGAAATTCAGAAACCAAAGATTCCCACTGAATTTCCTGAAGTGCTTCCCTGAGGTGGAGGCATACAATTTTGTGGGAAAGATCCCCTCCATCCTGGCAGGGTATGAACTAAGTTCTAAGTCAGGAGTCTTAGAAGTTATTTCTTTATACTTCTAAGGTATCCGCTTAGCACAGCTGTAAGCCACCATGTGTGCAGAGATTATAAACAGAGCATAAGCCACTCAAACCCTGATATATCTGACCACAGTCTTGGCCATGTAAAAAGTGGAGGTAGAAAGAGTGTAAACTTTGGAGTTGGAGCAAATGGAAATTGAATGCGCACTCTGCCGTTACTTACTGGGTGCCTTTGCCAAATAACATACCCTCTACAAGCCTGCTTCCTTATCAAATTAAGGGGATTGAATTAACCATTGTGTTTCAGTTTCTTAGCATAGCACCTAATATATAGTACATGCTCAATTAATTAAATTAGAGACGCTTAATACATTTTTGTTGACTGGGTGAATAAATCTAGCGACCCAACGTGAAATGACTTTATACGTCACAAAGAATGGGTATATAGAAATGGTGCAAAGGATCTGGGCTCTGAACACACAGGCAAGCCCATGAGTCTTGCCGGTTGTGTTCTTCAGAGCAGGTGCTCTGAGATGCAGAATGAGAAGCAATTTATTAGAGATCAACATTTGTGAAAAAAGAGGAGAAATGTGCACTGAAGAGAGAGAAGTCAAATGCAATGCAGGCCACTGTAGGGTTTTGGCCAATGAGGCAGGGAGCTCTAAGAGGATGTCGCCCATCAGTTGACTCAGTTTGGGCCTAAATGACTAGGCATTTATACCTTGCCCTTGCTTAAAAATTGGCTTCAGGCTGCCCCAGGAAGACTGTGGTCTCTCTCGAGGGTGCTCTCTGAAGCCAAAACAGATCCTGCAAGAAATGACAGCTGGAGCTCCCCAGTGCCACACTTCTCATAGCTGGGCAGCACACCCTGCTGTGAGGACGGATCTGGGAGATATATCCCTTGTTCACCCCAATGGGATACTCAGATTAGTGAGAGCAGGTCAAGGGACAGAAAATGCAAGAAACATTCCCAGGGTTGTAATCAACCAGTGGCAAATATGTGATAGGAATCCAGGAGAAACAGAGAGGATGCTATAAGCTAAATTTGGAAAATTTCATGTGTAACTCCTAATAAATTTCTATTCATTGTAATAAGGACATTTATATGAAGAAATAACATTCCCAAACAGATCAGCATAAGACAAGAAATGTAGGGTACAATGGAGAGTAATGGAAGGATTTAGATCAAACCGAAAAAGCTTTCTAATTGCAGTGTTTAAAAACTTGGGCAATGACATCATAGTGATTTGGGATCAAGTCCTGATTCTGCAACTAACACATGACTATTAAGTCACTTAACTTCCCTAAGCCCTGGTTTCCTGATTTGTCAAATGGAAATTGAATTGCAATCACTGCATTACATTGTCGTGGTGATTAAATGAATTAATGCATTTATAGGGTGTTGTGTTTAGCAAATAATATTCACTCAATACATTTTAGCTCAGTGTTCTGACTAGACTATGAGTTTTCTGCAACTTCTTAGTGAGGAGTGGTTTGAAATTAATATCAGACTTTTCTTTCTACCAAACACATGTATAATACTGTATATTATTTAAAATTTGTGCCTAAGATATACCTAAATGAAACAATAGTAAAATATACGTATTTCTAATGTCATACATAAGATTCAACATTACCAATGATTTTTATTTCCCATTTACAATTATGTCCACTGAATCATAAATTACATAATCTCCCAAGACATTGTTATATACCAGCTTACACTCTCTCTCGGAGAATTCAAGAATGCATTTGCATAATAAATTATCTGAGAAATTTCAGTCAGAAGAATATTCCAGTGTTTAATTTTGTTGAACCTAGATTACCCAATTTCTTTTGGCCCCATAATCCTTATTTTTCATGTGCAGATTTATTAATCAGGACACTTGAAATTGCAAGTAACAGAAACCTAACTCTACCACACTAAGCAAAGAAACAGATTTATTGCACCAAGGAATTGCATTGAACAAGGATGAAGCTCAGGCCTGCTTGCATCAAGGGACCAAGTAATGTCATTTGTCAACCTCTAAACTGTTTTCTCTGTATCCACTTTATTCTCAGGAATACTCTCCTTAAATGTTTAAAACATTGATAATACCAGTTCTAAACTTTCTGTGACAATATAAATGCCCAGAAGGGAGGAGACGAAGTTTCTGTTGTTGCTGTTTTTGTTTCATAAAAATCAATTTTAGGAGAAGTGTCAGGGTAGCCTCTCAGTAGCCCAGATTGGACACTAACACTGTGACTAGAACGATGTAATAATGCTAAATGCCCAACTTAGGTCAGATGTCCACCTCTGGAACTGAAATAGGGTCATTAAAGTTACACTCATCCAAAGCACAAAGACTTAGAGGGTTAAGCCCTAAATAGCCCCATTGCCAGAGAGGCCATCTGAGATCTTTGTCTTGCCAAAAACAGCTCCATGCTGAATTTGCAGAAAGGCTTAATTTCTCCTCCGGAGCTCTGAGCAGGGTTATTAACAGTCCCTTTCAAGTCCTCCCTCTGAGAAGCTCTACAAACAGCTGCACTAAAAGGAAGAGGGAGGAAGCACTAAAGCTTTTGGAACCCAGGTTGTGCACCCTCTGGCAGCCCCAGGCTTTATCCCGGCAACCTTGATGAAGAGCAGTAGCATTCAGGGGAGGTTGGAGGCCTGAAGATTTTCAGCAAAGCTCATTTCTGAGAATGCCTGCCAGGGATTGCCCTGTGCAGCCATATCAGGGATTTGAGAATAAAGCTGATATCCAAGAAAAAGATTGTGGTTTATTTTAGGATTGGCTTGTCAGAAAACATTTGACTTGGGAGAACATGCATTATCGTAAGACTTCTTGGTGGATGAGAAGTTATATATGCCACCATAAAGTGGTCCGAGCTTTAGGCAGGCATGCTTTGTTTGGAATGCACACATCATTATAAGAGCTATGACCAGGAAAGGAACAAATAGGTCAGCAGCATGGTGTATGGAAAGGTAATCGAACTGGGATGTAGATAGAATTTACACCAATTCACTGAGTCACCGGGGAGGATTGCCTTCCCCTCAGGCTTTACTTTCTTCATCTCACAAGTGAGATGGGTTAGCAAATAACGTCATCTCACAGATGAACTCTTGTGGTGTTGGCATTGTGTTGAGAAATAATCCGAGGTCGTATCCTCACTCTTCAAGAAATAATTATGCAGCTGTTTTACAATCACTTGTCATAGCCATTGGAAAGGGCGATCAGTAGCCCATCTCTTTTGTTTGCTATTCCTGGAGAAGATGATATTTATAATCCCTGCTGGATGGAAATTTCCATTATTCTAAACACTTGAATATTTTCCTTGATGTTTGAGACTAGATAATTATTTTTCACCTCTCACAATCGTTTTAAATATTATCTACAAAAATCTTCTCTCTTTATTGGTATGAGAACTAAACACAGATATAAAACCTGGAGCCTCTAAGCATTCCATTTGCCAAGGGTTTCAGCTTCCCTCAACTGTGAGTTCTGCTCAGTGAACTCTGCCAAACATGAATAAACTACAGTGTGCAGAATCACTGCCTCTGGTCTGCTTGTGTTTTTCTTCCTCCCTCAGACCTGATCACATTGTCCCTTTCTGAGATTCCACAGCTCCCACAGATGCCAGAAAACCATGTCTGAGCAGCTGGAGAGTTCCTGGGGCAGGGTTTTGATCAAAGCTGGTGGCTTTTCAGTTCATTGTGTTCTCTTCAGCAAAGCTGTCACTGTTCTTTTTCTTTTACGTCTTTTAAAGGAAGTACTTCTTTGCACAGCAATTCAATTCAACAAACACTTTCTAGTGTCAATTGTGGGTAAATGTTGTGCTAAGTGCAAGAGAAAAATAAAGATGAATAAGACATAGTCTATGTCCTAGAAGGGGTCACAAGTTAGTGAGGGAGACAGACTTGGACACGACTAATGGTGATGAAATTCTGGCTGTGATAAATACCTTAATACTTTGTTCAAAGACAGAACACTATGGGAAAAGGGAACAGAGAAAAACATGTTCTGGGTGAGTAGGCATTGGGTACGTTTCCAGAGAGGCTATTTGAGCTTGGCAGTGAAGGAGGAATACTAGGGGGGAAAGATGAATGTTTTCCAGTGAAAGTAAGAAACTTATGCAAAAATGTGAGGATAGGGAGTGCATGGTGTGTCCAGAGAACAATGAATGAATGGTTCGAGGTGGCTGGGATGCCGTCTCTGTGTAACAGCAGCAGGGATGAGGTGGAGGTTTACATCAGAGTCACAATTTTGAGGGCTTTAAATAGCATTCTAACCTACTTTAATGTATAAAACATATATTGAAGCCCAATATGTAATAGGCATAGTGCTCTAGGCTGAGCTGGGAGGATGCTACACAGAGTCCCTGCTCCTAAGAGACAGGAATAAAGGAGGTGCATATACAAAGTGCTAATCACAACTCAATGTGTGATAAATTCCCTAATGCAGGTATATAAAGGGGTATTGTAGCAAATAGCCAATATCTAATGAAGAGTAGAGAAAAAGCATTGATGAATAAATGGGAGACAGGGAGAAAGATTATTCCAGGCACTGGGTCTAGAAAATAAGACTTAAATTATGATAGATTTTAAAACTTTTGGAAAATTGAGATACATTTAGTATATGGCCAAAATGTAGACTAAATGGGGAACAAGTGATGGAAGTTAAGGCCGATAAGCTTGTGGCTTAGTCTGAATGAATGAGGAAAATAAGGAATGCTTAACTTATTAGAAACTGAATTGTAAATTTTAAAAATGCAATTGAGTATTTTATAATACTAATTTAAAGTGCCCATTATAGGCCAGGAGCAGTGGCTCAGGCCTGTAATCCCAGCACTTTGGGAGGCCGAGGTGGGTGGATCACCTGAGGTCAGGAGTTCAAGACCAGCCTGGCCAACATGGTGAAACCTCGTCTCTACTGAAAAATACGAAAATTATCTGGGCATGTTGTGGGGACCTGTAATCCCAGCTACTTGGGAGGATGAGGCAAGGAATGTTGCTTGAGCCCAGGAGGCAGAGGTTGCAGTGAGCCGAAATCGCAACACTGCATTACAGCCTGGGCAACAGAGTGAGACTCCATCTCAAAAATAAAATAAATAAATAAAGTACCCATTATAAATGGTCCATGATTTGTAGTGTACAATCATCACTGTACATATACTACTTCTTATTTTAAGTTTCTACTTGTATTGAGTGGCTGTATGGATGGAAGATATGTTTAGAAAAATGGAATTTTGTCTTTAATGCAGAAAACATTTTGATCTAGATCGGTACTGTTGAATAAAACTTACTTTGGTGATATAAATGTTCTATACTGTGCTACACAACATGGCAGCCTCCAGGTGCCTGTGGTTATTGCGAACTTGAAAGATGGTAATACAACTGAAGAACTGAATGTTTTCTTGGACTTAAGGCTACTTAATTTAATTTTAAAATTAAATATCTACATGTGCCTAGTGTTTATCATATTGGATAGTACAGATGTAAATGAAGAAAGTATATAAAACCTGAAATATAAAATTTGATAGAAATATATTACTTAGAGCCCCATTGCAAGAATAAACAAGTAAGACAACTTATTGGAAGGAACTATTGTCAGGTAGGAATGCCATTCACTCTTTCTTTCTGGAAGTTCTGAAATCAAGTAGATGAAAAGAGAGAAAAAGAGAGCCTGGGAGTTATCTCTCCCTAGAATTAGCTTCTAGTTAGAATTGTTGAAAGAGATAGATTGAACAGAGAGGGGTTTGAAAATAGTAGAAATGAAACAACAAATTTTAAGACAAAGTTTAACCCCCAGCCTTAATATTGTTACCAGTAAAGCATGCCTAGTTTCTTGACATCTTGACCAAAGAATTGGTCAAAACGCACAAAGCAAGGAAAGAATGAAGCAACAAAAGCAGAGATTTATTGAAAATGAAAGTACACTCCATGAGGCGGAAGCAGGTCTGAGCACAGGGGCTTAAGAGCCCAGTTACAGAATTTTCTGGGGTTTAAATATCCTCTAGAGGTTTCCACTGGTTGCTTGGTGTACACCGTATGTAAATGAAGGGGATGAGGTAAAGTTACAAAGTCCTTTACTCAGCGTACACCCTAGGTAAATGAAGAGGATATTTCCTGTCATAGCTTAAGTGTTTCCATTTGATTTAGCTGTAGGAAGTCCTTAGGTTTCCTGCTCCAGACCCTATTCTCCTGCCTCAATACAAGCGTCTTGATCATTAACAGAATGTTCTTATGGAAATATTACACAGCTCAGGGTATTTAAGGAATAAAAACTTGTGCCTGAGATAAACGTATCTTGTTTTTACTTACTGGTATCCATTTCCCACTTTTCTGATAGCACCATGCTTTTACTTTGGGGACTTTCCATTTCTACATTCTGTGTGGTCCTAATAGAGCTTTAAATCTGAAACCCTGAGCTTGATGGCCCAGGATTGGTAAAAATGCTTTACCAGCCTGAACTCAATAACTGGCTCGGGGATAAACCAAATGAGCCAATTAGAAACTTCCCTGAGACCCTTCCTAGCTGGTAGATTTTTCTCTGAAACAGAAAGCTAAAAATACCATAGATTTGGAGTTTCCACTGATAATCTTGCAGTTTGTCTTCTTGGTTATTATGCAAGGAGCCAAGAAGAGGTTAAAATGGGAACAAAGAAAGTCCTGAAGGTATAGTTCAAATCCCTATGTCTAGCTGTACCCAAATCTCCCAATCCATTCCCCTGGGAATTTAAGAATTCCTAGTATAGGAGTTAATCAATTTACTCCTTTACTTGGCTTGAGTTGGGTTTCTGCCATTTGCAACCAAAAGCCTGTATGGATACACTGTCACACAGAAGTACAGGTCTCAAGATTTGATAGCTGTTTTTCCATTAATTAAATCTAAATATCTGCCTCTGACAGGTGAAATTATGTTTTTTAGTGAGTAATGAAGAATTTTGAAGCAGAGTAATTTTTTTTCTTATTTTTTTTTCTAACCAATTAGAGAGTAAAAGAAAAATGAAAGAGAACTTGGACTTTTCCAATATTTCAGTAAATGTCATATAAATGATCTTGAAATAATGCGGTCTGGGACGATGCCATCTACTTTAAAATTTCAAATTCAAACACAGAGTCTCTGGTAATTATAACCACACTAACACCATCAAATTTTGCCACTGATATGTGGGAGGATTAAATTCTGAAATAGAAGTTAGAATCAGAATTTGCCATTCTGATAAGACAATCAGCCGTCTTGTCAGCCTTTTCTCCCATCTCTCATCCACCCATATTGAGGACAAGCTGAAGACTACTCAAAATTCTAAAATAGGTGGTCTCGAGTGATTGGCATTTATCTTGGGAATAGGCACAATGTCCATATTAGCTTAGAGATCTTCGAATGTGGTCTGTAGATTGTCAAATATGCCCTGAGGTCCTAAATGTAAACAAGAAACTCCAAGTGAAAATTAACTTTATCCAAATAAATAAACTTTTTTTTTTTTGAGAAAGAGTCTCACTCTGTTGCCCAAGCTGGGGTGACATGGTGTGATCTTCGCTCACTGCAACCTCTGCCTCCCAGGTTTAAGTGATTCTCTTGCCTCAGCCTCTGGAGTGGCTGAGATTACAAGTGTGCACCATCACGCCCAGCTAATTTTTGTATTTTAAGTAGAGACGGGGTTTTGCCATGTTGGTCAGACTGGCCTCGAACTCCTGACCTCAGGTGATCCACCCGCCTCGGCCTCCCAAAGTGCTGGGATTATAGGCGTGAGCCACCATGCCTGGCCCAAATAAATAAACTTTATCTATAGAACAATATAATGTCTATGAAAATAAAAAAATTCATGGCATTTGTATGGTGTGACTATATTTGCATGATGAGGATGGGAGGAAGTATAGAGTGGTGACGACAGAGCGAGAGAACACAACAATTAAAATTACAAACAGGGGTGGGTGGTTACCCAAGGATGACTACTATTAGGTCTAAGCAATGGGGTGCAATGCTGATCAGCAGAGCTATGGAATAGCATGATTGGAGAGAGAGAGAGAGAGAAGGAGAAAGAGGAGAAAAATACCAGGTTGTGTGATGTGGATGAGGGAAGCTATTTAACAAGAGAAGTCAGATTATAAAGGATCAAAAATGACAGCAAAGGAATAGAAAAGGAAGGTTATGAAAGTGGCTCTATAAAAATAGAGAAGACAGTACTTCCTCTTGGACAGTGGGTTGAAGAGAGAAATGTTTTATATATACAATCCAGAATTAGTAATCGATACCATGGTGATATGGGATGTGGGTTCCAGAGTTAAATAAGTGGGTTATTTATCTATGCCACAGAGCAGAGGGTCTCACCCAGGGCTATTGTGTCCACTAAGGAACATCTGTCAGCGTCTGGAGACATTTTTTATCACAACTGGCAGAAGGGGTTGCTACTGCCATCTAGTTGGTAGAAGACTGGTAAGATGCTAAACATTCTACAAGGCAATGATTCAGCCCAAAAATAAGCGTGCTGAGATTAAGATTCAGCTCAAAGATGTCACCATAACAACATTTCTTAAGCTCTTTAGAACTAGGTTCCCTTGACTGCAGAGTAACAACAACAATACCTGCTTTTTAGGCATATGGGGATTTAATGAGCTAATAGGTGCAGAGAGCATGGTGCTGGTAAATCCTCACACACACCATCATCATTGTTGTTTTTATCATTGTGTGTGATGGACCAACATATTCACTGAGATAGGATTCAAGGGTAGGGCTTAATGCTAATGAGAAAGAGGATGGCTTTAGGGGTTACTTGTCAGGGTCTTTGATTTCCTACTTCTCCTTTGTGGGGAGCAGTTGGGGCTGAAGAGAGAGGAGATGACCTTTAGAAATAGGTTTATTTTTTCCTTCAACTCTGGAAAACCCCTGGGTGTCCCGTTTTCAGATATAGAAATGCTTCGTGCAGTGGGGCTTTTGTTTGTTTGATCATTTTGTTTACTCTCAGTAAGACTAATCAAGTCTTGATCTCAGACCTGGAAAAGTGTATAAATGTATTTGTAAAGAGTACCTTGTTCTCTTTACAGATAAGATAAGAAAGATAATTTGGCAAGTAAAAGTCTTCTCTGACATACAAAAGATTTAAATCTATGTCAAAAGTTTGAAACAATGAGCATAAATATTCAAATCCAAGAGTTCATGTCAATTTTTAAATGTTTGCTATTTTCATTATGCCATCAACTTCATTGCTAACTTAAAAAATGTTTTTGCCCATTTCATTATTTAAATCATTCTAATTTCAAGCTGAAACTATAATCAAACAAGGAGAAGGGCTGCTTACCTTTACCTAGGTTAGAACGAAAGCACTCCTGACAAGAATGATTCCCAGGCAATGGAGCTGATTCTATTTCCACTGCTGTTGAGAATGATCTGTTTTGTGGCAGGACAGATGGGTAGATAGATATTCCTTTGGGGTACTTCCAACTGAAGGAGAAAAGCAGATTAACTAATGAATATATATATATATATGTATGTGTGTGTGTGTGTGTGTGTGTGCGTCTATGTGTGTATGTATATGTATACATATAATGGATATATATATCTGTTTTATATATATATATGTGTGTGTGTGTGTGTGTGTGTGTATATATATATATATATATATATATGGAAATAGACAAGATAGTACTTACCCTGAACAGTGGGTTGAAGAGAGAAATGTTTTATATATATGAAGATTCAGAATTATATATAGTCATTAGTTTTATATATATAGAAACACATTTAGTATATTATATTTATAATTTATATTAATATAAATATAAAATATATGATACATATTATATTTATATATTATATATAAATAATGGGTTGATATATTGACTATATATTATATGTAACTAATGGATCTGTTATGTATGTATGGAATACATATGTATGGAATTTCATACAATTCCATATGTATATAATACATATATTCAATATATATCCATTAGTTATATGTATATATAGTCATATATATAACATATATAGTCATATATATTACTAATGGATATATATTGAATATAAATATTTACTATATATAGAATAGATATTATACAGTCATGTATATATAACTAATGGATACATATTTGAATATATATATAATGGATATATATATTTGAATAATTGCATGTGTTATACCTGCACATTTTTCTATTTTCCAAGATGGATAAAAAGAGATTGAATAGATCTTAGGAGATTGATTTGTTGTCAGCCTGTAGCAAGGACTGTGTGTGGAGGGTGTGTGTGTGTGTGTGTGTGTGTGTGTGTGTGTGTGTGTTAAATAAAAATTGCCTGCAAAAGAGCTGGGGAGAGGTGCACATTTGAAAGATTCCTACTCTAGTCAGAGTCACTTAGCCCCTTAATCCCTTACATTGGCAGCTGAATCCCAAGGATGTGTTCTGGTGCACAGGAGAGCAATAAACAAACACAGCTCAGGGCTCCAGGCATCGTGGAAAAAAATAATCGCCCATTTCTTGTAAATAGATTGCAATAAAACAATAGTGACGGAACATTTGGTGGAAGAGAGAATCAACCAAGAGGAACTCTGACTTGGTGGCCTTTAAGCTACAAAAACAAACACAAGAGCATTGAAATGGACTCGAATGAATCCTTTAAAGACGACTAGCTTTTGAAGGTTTATTAATCAACCTCTTGGACAGACTACCAGATTATTTTAACTAGAAAGAAGGTGAAATCAAGTAATAAAAAAATTGTTGATTGACCAAGCAGGAGATGTGTGTTCCAACATCAACAATTAAACTTTTTTTTTTTTCCTTGCCTTATTTTCATGTCTCTGCGGTGGTCAGATTCTAGGTCCGCCTTTCACAGACCAGTTAAAAGGAAAATGAAAAAGCAATGTTCTTTGTCGTGGACATTTGTGGCAGCCTTTTCAGAGTTTCTTTGCCTTCTCCCTTCCTGACCATATCTGATTTGCATTTGGGGACCCAGGTGATGCTGATGTACCCCTTCTTTGGAAGGGTGTGGGCTGGAGCTCATAGCTTAGGTTAAATCCATTAAGTCATTACGGTCCCTCAGGCCACCACGATTGTTTCATCCATTGCATGGGCTCTAATCTGGTCTCCTTTGTCATACCAGCCAATATATTCTCCTCATAATTAAGTCAGTTCAGATGAGTTTTCTATTTTTTGTCGTTTAAAAACACTATTATTTTAAATTCAGTGGTAAAAGTGCAGGTTTGTTACATAGGTAAAATTGTGTCATGAGGGTTTGTTGTACAGATTATTTCATCACCCAGGTATTGAGCCTAGTACCCATTAGTTGCTTTTCCTGATCCTCTCCCTCCTCCCATTCTCCACCCTCTGAAAGGCCCCAGTGTGTGTTGTTTCCCTCTATGCGTCCATGTGTTCTCATCATTTAGCTCCCACTTATAAGTGAGGACATGCGGTATTTGGTTTTCTATTCCTATGTTAGTTTGCTAAGTATAAGAGCCTCAAGCCCTATCCATGTCCCTGCAAAGGACATGATCTCATTCTTTTTTAAGGTTACATAGTATTCCACAGTAAATATGTACCACATTTTCTGTATCCAGTCTACCATCGATGAGCATTTAGGTTGATTTTATGTCTTTGCTGTTATGAATAGTCCTGCAATGAACATACACATGCATGTTTCTTTATAATAGAATGATTTCTTTTCCCTTTGGGTACATACCCAGTAATGGAATTGCTGGGTTGAATGGCATTTCTGCCTTTAGGTCTTTGAGGAATCGCCACACTGTCTTCCACAATGGCTGAACTACTTTAGACTCCCACCAACAGTGTATTAGCATTCTTTTATCAATAACCCAAAACATCTTGACTGGCATGGGTGGTCCCCTATCCCAGTGTCTCAGTTGCTCAAGTTGATACTCCATGCGTTAGTTTTCTACTGCTGTGACAAATTACCACAAACTTTGTGGCTTAAAACAGCATGAATATATTATCTTACAGTCTGAAGGTAAGAAGTCTGACATAGTTCTCACTGAACTAAAAATCAAGGTGTTGGCAGGGCGGCACTTCTTGCTGAAGGCTTGCTGAAGGGTAGAATCTATTTCCTTGGCATTTCATCTTCTGGAGGCTGCCCACGTTTTTGGTCTTTTCCTCTGTCTCCAGAGTGAGCAATGCAGTATCTCTCTGACTCTGATTTGCTCCTCACATCTCTTTCTCTGACTCATTTCTTCTGTCTGTCTCCTTCTTTCTTTGTTTTGTTTGATTGTTTGTTTTGTTTTGTTTTTTGAGATGGAGTTTCACTCTTGTCGCCCAGGCTAGAGTGCAATGGCGCAATCTTGGCTCATTGCAACCGTCGCCTCCTGGTTTCAAGCAATTATCCTGCCTCAGCCTCCTGAGTAGCTGGGATTACAGGCATGTGCCACCACGCCTGGCTAATTTTGTATTTTTAGTAGAGATGGGGTTTCTCCATGTTGGTCAGGCTGGTCTCGAACTCCCTACCTCAGGTGATCTGCTCGCCTTGGCCTCCCAAAGTGCTAGAGTTACAGGCATGAGCCACCATGCCGGGCCCTCCTTCTTTCATTTTTAAGAATCTTGTAATTAAATTGGGCCCAACTAGGTAATCCAGAATAATCTCCCCATCTCAAGGCCAGCTGATTAGCAACCTTAATGCTATCTACAAACTTAATTCCATTTCTCTTTATAAGGCAATGCATCCATAGTTCCAAGGAATGTACATGGGCAATTTCGGGACACCATTCTGTTTACAATGTTTAATTATTTGGGAATTTCTTTCACGAAACTTTTCCATGTTTACTAAAGTGGAGATTTGGAGTCAAATGGAGTTGATGTTAGATCTGGTAATTATGAAGTCTGTTATTTTGACATTGCCACTGTCACATGTCTATATTGAAGTGCCTATGTAAACGTTATTTTAAAAATCAGGCTTTTTGTATATATTTAGAGGGTACAAGTGCAATTTGTTACACAAACATATTGCATAGTGGTGAACTCTGGGCTTTTAGAGTAACTATCACCGAAATAGTGTACATTGAACTGATTCAGTAATTTCTCATTCCTCACTTCTCTCCAACCCTCTCACTTTTCTGAGTCTTTGATGTCTATTATTCCACACTCTCTGTGTGTACACATTATTTAGATCCTACTTATAAGCAAGAACATGTGGTATTTGACTTTCTGTTTGAGTTGTTGATAACAGCCTCCAGTTCCATACATGTTGCTACAAAATACATGATTTCATTCTTTTTTATGGCTGAGTAGTATTCTATTTTTTATATATATATAGCATATATATCTATATATATCTCTATATATGCTCTATATACTGTATATATATCTATATATACATATATATCTATATACTGTATATATATCTATATATACATATATATCTATATACTGTATATATATCTATATATACATATATATCTATATACTGTATATATTAATACTGTATATATAAATACTGTGTATATATGCACAGTATTGAAATATTGTATATTTTCTTTATCCAGTCATCCATTGATGGACAGTTAGATTGATTTCCTATCTTTGCTATTGTGAATAGTGCTGTAATCAACATACAAGTGTAGGTATCTTTTTGTTATAATGAGGTACTTTCCTTTGGGTAGATACCCACCTGTGGAATTGCTGGATTAAATGGTAGTTCCATTTTTAGTTCTTTGAGAAATCTCCATACTGTTTTTCATAGAAGTTGTACTAGTTTACATTCCCACCAACAGTGGATGAGTATTCTCTTTTTTCTGCATCCTGGTCAACATCTGTTATTTTTTGACTTTTTTATAATAGCCACTCTGGTATCTCACTGTGGTCTTAATTTGCATTTTTCTGATGATTAGTGATGTTTAAATTTTTAAATATGTTTAAATATGTTTGTTGGCCATTTGTATGTCTTCTATTGAAAAATGTCTGTTCATGGTTTTTGTTGTTTTTGTTCGATTGTTTAAGTTCCTTGTAGATTCTGGATATTGGTCCTTCGTCAAATGCAGAGTTTGCAAATATTTTCTCCCATCCTGCAGGTTGTCCATTAAGTCTTTTGATTTTCACTTATGGAAATCTAATTCTCCCAGCACCATTTATTGAATAAGGAGGTCCTTTCCCCAATATATGTTTTTGTCTACTTTGTCAAACATCAGCTGACTGTATGTATGTGACTTTCTGAGTTCTCTATTCTCTCCAATTTATCATGTCTATTTTGATACCAGTATCATGCTGTTTTGGTTACTATAGCCTTGTAGTATAATTTAAAGTCAGATAAGGTGATGCTTCTGGATTTTGCTTAGGACAGTTTTCGCTATTTGGGCTCATTTTTGGTTCCATGTGAACTTTAGGATTGTTTTTCTAATTCTGTGAAAAATTATATTGGTATTTTGATAGGAATTTCATTACACTTATATTAGGTAGTTGCAAAAGTAATTGAGGTTTTTGCCCTTGAAGGTAATGGCAAAAACCGCAATTACTTTTGCATGAACCAAATAGATTCCTTTGGACAATATGGTCATTTGAATGATATTGACTCTTCTGATCCATGAGCATGGGATGTTTTTCCATGTGTTTGTGTCATCTACAACTTATTTTATTTGTGTTTTGTAGCTTTTCTTGTACAGACCTTTCACCTCCTTGGTTAAATGTATTCCCAGGTAATCTTTTGTTTGTTTATTTGTTCGTTTTGTAGGTATAGTAAACGGGATGACTTCTTGATTTGATTATCAGCGTGATCATTATTGTTGTATAGAAGTGCTGCTGAGTTTTGTACATTAATTTTGTATTCTGAAACTCTGAAGTCATTTATCAAATCTCGGACTCTTTTGGAGGAGCCTTTAGGGTTTTTTTAGGGAGAAGGTAAGAAAACCAGTAATAGGGTGAGGGTGAGTAATGGGATGGACCATAAAATGATCCGCCATGAGTAGGGTCAGGGCCAGGCTATATGGAACCTGATGGTTATAGAATTTCAAGGCCCTCTGTAAGAAAAAGATTGCAAAAGTACAAGCAAAAACATGTTACAAAAGTAAATATTTATTTAGAATTAGAATATAAATCACAACAAATTGCCCAAATTTCTCCAATCTTACCAAAAAGCACAAACATCACAAAATTCGAAGAAATAATGTAATATTCTGTATTTATTATCTCCTTGATATAATTCCAGGATACATTTTCTTATTCCTTTTAGCTGCAAATTCTTTTATTGCTTTTTCATATGACAACAATTTTGTAATACTTTTCATAGAAAAGAAAGATTATGGTTTTGTTGATTGGGATGTATTTCTGTTATTATTGATGATTGTGTTTTATAAAACGTGTCTATACAGTGAGAACTGATTGTAGTAGAACTGAAGGATTTCACCCTAAATATTCAAAAGATCTAATGAATTTTATTTAATATGATTCCCATATACATATATAAACTATGTGATATTTAAAATTGTATTAGCTGTATTTTTCTAGTATACTCCTTTTGGTAATAAATTTTATTTTGAGTAGTTATCAGTGAGAGCCAAGTCAGTTACACACATTTTATATATCTTATGATTGGAAGAATTTTTTACAGACTTGTTTCTACCATCTTTCATTTCAAGTCTTATTCCTCCCTCACTGCTCACTTATTTCCAGGGCTTGGGGCTACAGAGCCCAGGCACATCATGAAATAACCTTTTCCCAGCATTTTCGTATCATGACTCCTGATGGGTATACATAGTGGGTGGAACACATGTTTCTTGAAGGCATTCCTACACTGGGTTGTAGCAATAGTTTAATTCTCCATAAAAGTGACTGAAAACTACATTAATATGTCACGCTCAATCACACTAAATGTATCTCCCACTCAAATCTCTTGGATGGATCACCAAAATGCCTGTGCCATTTGGACAACCATAACACAAGAGGAAGTGTAATTAAGAAGGTTGATGGGATATCATTAATAGTCTTAACTGATAGCAGGTAAAATACTTTGTCTTTGACATTTTTAGAAAACTTATGACCATATACATGCATTGCTAGGCTTCCTCCCAGGGTCTTGAAGAAAACCAGTGTAAGTAAACATCCTTGAAGCATGAGATGAGATTGAGAAATTGTAGAAGGTTCATAGATGTGATAAAAGAGAGGGAAGGAGGTGAGGTTTTTATTGCATAAATTATGGGATAAACTGAAAGTTTTGGGGGTTGGTATTTATTTTATTGGCTGAGTCGAAGTATTCCTGCCTCTAAATCCATACGACACAGATTTGAAATGGATATTTTACTCTCTCAACCTCCACCCATTTGGTATTTTACCATTTTCAAAACCTTTTTACATTCGTGATCTCATTAGAATGCTATTTTCTTAAGTTTTCCCATAGCATCTAGCCTATTTTAAGGTCCTCATGTAATGTCAGTGGTCTGTGTTTTTGTATGTGCACATGTGTGCCTTCTTCTGACCAAAGAGAATTTATTATTGAGCCACACATATCTTTTAGGATGAGTGTTCTCCAAAGATCCTAGTTGAACTTCTCTATCTGTCTACTAGACAGGAGCGGATATGGATCCTAAGATAGGTTAAAACTGAGAATCACCCCACCAGCTTCAAAACATACCATCTTTTAATAAATATACCCACAACACTGCCCTTCATTTAATAATAAATATTCATTCAATATCTACTATGCCGTGAGCACTCTGCAGAGTAGTTGAAGAAAACAATGAGCAAAACTGGGAAACACTTTGATGAGAAGCAAAAAGATTATGGGTGTTCTGTCTAAAAGTCTCTTCGTCATCTCAGTCCCTGTCCATCTTTGAGCTATTTCTCAGCTCTGCAAATTGTAGAAAACAGATAGCAATGCAAATGATTCTTGTGCATAGAAATGCAAATTCTGTCCCATGGAATGCAATTGATTCTTGCCCTGTGGACATCGACCAGTTTTGCTTCTACTTGTAAATTATTTTCAATATTCCTGATGTCTATATGTGTATCTGTTTTTTGGATTCTTCTTTGAATTATTTGTAACATCTTATGGGTTTCTGCATTAACTAAAGGGTTAAATGGAATCTTTTGACAAACATTCATGTTATATTTGTAAGAGAATCATGATTTTACTGTTTTTAAACATTGCAACCTCAAAACTCAAAATTTTACTATTTTTAAACATTGCAACCTCAAAACTCAGCAACACAAACAAAATGGGCTTCATGGAGGTTACAGCTTGAATACACACATTAACCACATTATCTCATGCAACTACACATGGGCAGGCTCTTTGGGAGTCCCGAGAATCTATACCAGGGGGAACTGATATTGTCTATTTGATCACTGCAGACTCCCCTGTGAAAGTGACATCTGAGTTGACCAAGCATGGGGTTTATAAGGTATGTAGCATGTGTAGGAGGAGAGAGGAATTTAGGAGCAAGTCAGCTTGTCACAGAAGCTGCCCGAAATCATTTCTTCCAGGAGGAGATTTGTGGTCCTGCGAAGGGTGGGCTTTGGACAATACTTCAGAGAAGCTGGAAGATTTGGCAGCTGCCATTGTCTGTGCTTTGTGATAAGAGAGTCTGCCAGTGAGTGATCTTCAGATGGGCTGAGGCCAGAGGTTTGGGGAGATGAGAGCTGAGAACCTGGGGGTTGGCTGTCGCTCACCTCCCTTTCCTGGGATGAGTGTTCCAAGCACTTGCTTTGATGATCAAACAGTCTCCTTTTTGAAACACATTCACTCTAGGCTTTGACGACAACACTGCATTTCAAAAAGTGGTGGCATCATTAGGAAAGAAGGATCCTGGCTTTGTGACCAGCATAGGACATGACACCTATTTCCACCAAATTTCATTGTGTTTTTTTTTTTTTTTAATTTTTATTTTTTTTATTGATCATTCTTGGGTGTTTCTCGCAGAGGGGGATTTGACAGGGTCATAGGACAATAGTGGAGGGAAGGTCGGCAGATAAACAAGTGAACAAAGGTCTCTGGTTTTCCTAGGCAGAGGACCCTGCGGCCTTCCGCAGTGTTTGTGTCCCTGGGTACTTGAGATTAGGGAGTGGTGATGATTCTTAACGAGCATGCTGCCTTCAAGCATCTGTTTAACAAAGCACATCTTGCACCGCCCTTAATCCATTTAACCCTGAGTGGACACAGCACATGTTTCAGAGAGCACAGGGTTGGGGGTAAGGTCACCGATCAACAGGATCCCAAGGCAGAAGAATTTATCTTAGTACAGAACAAAATGAAAAGTCTCCCATGTCTACTTCTTTCTACACAGACACGGCAACCATCCGATTTCTCAATCTTTTCCTCACCTTTCCCCCCTTTCTATTCCACAAAACCGCCATTGTCATCCCGGCCCGTTCTCAATGAGCTGTTGGGTACACCTCCCAGACGGGGTGGTGGCCGGGCAGAGGGGCTCCTCACTTCCCAGTAGGGGCGGCCGGGCAGAGGCGCCCCAAATTTCATTGTTATTTAATAAGGATCATGTCATAGTTTTCTGACCACTTTTATTCTGGAAGCTGGCTACAGGAGATTTTTTTGTGAGCAGACCTCTCTACCTGGGATGCTCTTTCTCAGAGCATCTCTCTTCCCTGTACTTCATTTACTTTTCTACCCCAGGTTCATTTCCTCTGAATGGCCTTTCCAGATTGCCCCATCTAAAATGCATCTTTCCCTCAATCTCTACCATTATATCCTGCTGCAGCATAGCGTGAAACAGAAATTACGGGAGATCTTTTGGACTGAGCTCCTGCACTAGGCCCCAGTAGACGGGACCAAACCAAGTGGAGTCGCGCATGCTAAATGCTATATCGTCAAACTAAAACTTAAAGGAAGCAGATAGATCCCCAAACAGGCCAGTTTTTCCTGAAAACAGGAGGTTCCAGTCTACTTGAGTCAGCATAATAAGAAAGTCTGCTCTGCTTTCACTCTTACAGAAAAGTTAACTTGAAGTAACTCGATGTTAAACAATCAGGTTTTCTTTCCCCCTATTGCTCTGTTTCCTTGCTTCCACGTAAAAAAAACAAAAAAAAAAACAAAAAAAAAACAAAAAAAAAACACTCTTCTGCTACTTCTGCTATTGCCCAGTGGGGCCATTCATTCTCTTTTGTAGAATGGAGGCTGCCTGATTCATAAATAATTAATAAAGGTCAGTGATATGGTTTGGCTCTCTGTCCCCACGCAGATCTCACCTTGAATGGTAATAATCTCCATGTATCCTGGGGGGGACCTGGTGAGATGTAATTGAATCATGGGGGCAAGTTTTTCCTGTGCTGTTCTCTTGATAGTGAATAAGTCTCACAAGATCAGGTGATTTTATAATGGGGAGTTCCCCTGCAGAAATTCCCTCTTGCCTGCCACCATGTAGGGCATGGCTTTGCTCCTCCTTGCCTTCTGCCATGATTGTGAGGCCTCCCCAGCCATGTGGAACTGTGAGTGAATTAAACCTCTTTCCTTTATAAATTATGCAGTCTTGGGTATGTCTTTATTAGCGGCATGAGAACAGACTAATACAGTCAGTTAAATCTATAATTAAATTGCCTGTAATTTTGTCTTTTGATAATAAGCTGGCGGCTCTCCTCCACTAGCCATTCTCCCCTCTTCCACAGAAAATTTTAGCTTAGACCAAGGGGATGATGGGGGAAAGTGAAACACCAATTAAAATGCCTCTTTATATCCGATTTAAAAGAAAAATAAAGAAAAAGAAAAACAATTTTCAATGGACTTCTATCTTTGGTGCTTTAGTGTAAAGCCCTTTTTTTTTTCTTTTTTTTTCATACGGAGTCTTCCTCTGTCACCCAGGCTAGAGTGCAGTGGCACGATCTCGGCTCACTGCAAGCTCTGTCTCCCGGATTCACGCCATTCTCCTGCCTCAGCCTCCCAGGTAGCTGGGACTACAGGTGCCCGCCACCACGCCCAGCTAATTTTTTGTATTTTTAGGAGAGACGGGGTTTCACCATGTTAGCCATGATGGTCTCGAAATCCTGAACTTGTGATCCGCTGGCCTCGGCCTCCCAAAGTGCTGGGATTACAGGCGTGAGCCACCGCGCCAGGCCTGTTGTAAAGCACTTCTTATCCGAGGAACCCGCGCATTCGTTGATGGGACTTACTCAAAAGGAACAGCACTGCAAGGAGGAAATTCAATTGAAAGGATTTTGATAACTCTCAGGATTGCATATATATTTGTAAGACGTTGTCTTCATAGGTCAGGGGAGGGGTCTTCCAGCCGCAAAGAATCTCCCTTACAGATCATTAATGAAGCCACAAGTCCTACTTTTAGGTTTCATTGGCCTTTGTCAAATAGAATTGCTCTGGAAAGCATGGGCATATACGTATTCAAATGTTAGTTTGCATTAACTCAACATCTGCCTCTTGTAAATTCATTGTTTGGTTTTACCAGATATTAACATCTAGATGTGAATGAGATCATCAGATTATTTACAACCTGAAAGACCCTCGTCAATCAGAGAGTACTTGGTTACATAGTTTGTTGTTGCAATAAGAATACCCTATGTTTATGAGTGACATATGTCAATTACTACATCAAACACATGGATTAGCTCATTTATTCCACCCAAACACCCTGTAAAATAGGTTTTATTGTCCCCATTTATAGGAGGAAGTGAACCCAGAGAAGTGAATGGCTTGTGCCCAGTCACACCAAGATTGGGAGCCAGGATTCAAACCAGGACAGTCTGACTCCAGTGTCCCCTATCTTAGAACCCATACTGTGCTTTTCCTATTTATCCTCTCAGTTAACTCACACAACCAATGCTGCAAAGGATGACTTCTCTCATATATATTTTTTGTAAACTATAAAAGCTGATGCCGAACGAGTGAAGTGATTTACCTAAGGCTGTGGTTTTCAGACACATCTGCACAGTAGAATTATCCTGAGCATTAAAGCAAATCCATGCCTAGGCCTATCCTTCACTAAGAGATTCTGATTTACTTGCTCTAGGTAGAGCTCAGTCACTGATACATATATTTAAAGTAGTCAAGTAGTCCCATGTAGTCAGAGTTGAGAACCACTGGACTAAGCTTGCTGAACAAACATGAGATTTTTGACTCAAAATTCTTTAGTCAAAATCCTTGGGCACCATCCAGAGGAGAGGGTTTCAAAGTCCCAATGAAGTTTGTTGTGTTGCCCTATGGTAGTTTCAGATACTTAGCACATATCTCTTGATAGCATGGCCTGGGAATTTCCCTCTATTGTCACCTGACGCCATAGTCCTCTTGGCCCTCAGAATCCTATTCATAGGGACATACTTGTAGTAACTGCCAAGAGGACATCATCCCTCTGGTCTCCAGGCTGATAGTCCACCCATGGTTTGTAAAATACATTCTTCTGCCATTTGACAGATGGTTCCTGCCCATCCATTAAGTTTTAACTTAAACGTCAGCTCTTATAGGAAGGCTCCCTTGACTTTCCAACCTGAATTTGCCCCCTGTCCCCACCCTGCCTAACCTTAAGCTTGTGCAAATTTCTACACTTCTTGCTATCATAGTGCTTATTATACTAGACTTCAGTGATTCTCAAAGTTATCCTACATTTGTTTATACCTCTCTAAGAAGTAGGACTGCCAGGTTCAGCAAATAAAAATAGAGGATACCCAGTTAACTTTGAACTGCAAGTAAACAACAATTTTCTTTTAGTAAAAGTTTGTTCCAAGTATTGCATGGGACATACTAAGCCTTTAAATTTTTTTGTTATCTATACAAAATTCAAATTTAACAGTATTTTGCCGGGAAACCCTATAAGGAAGGTTTTCAGAATGTGGGGGAAAGTTCTTTTGAAAGCTCTTAATGTTCTCCCAACCTTAAGACTGCAGTAAGCTTATCCTGAAAGGATAAGACCTCATAGAACCCTGCTACTCAAAGGGTGAACCATGAGCCACCTGATCATAACTATTCAGAAAACTGTGAAAGCAAAGATTCTTGTAATCCATTTAGGCTTAATCAATCAGATCCTCAGAATCTCAGGCAGGAGAGTCAGACAGTGTACTGGTTAATTTTATATGTTGACTCGACTGGGCTAAGGGACACCCCCAGATAGCTGATAAAACATTATTTCTAGGTGTGTCTGTGTGAGTGACTCTGGAAGACATTGGCATTTGAATCAGTAGACTGAAAAAAGAAGATATTCGTACCAATGTGAGTGGGTACCATCCAATAATCTGCTGAGGGGTAGAATAGAACAAAAAGGTGGAGGAAGGGCGAATTTACTGTCTCCACTTGAGCTGGGACATCCATCTTCTCCTGTCCTCAGACATTGGCACTTCTTGCTCTTGGAATTTTGGACTCAGGCCAGGACGAACACCATTGGCCCTACCTTCCACTCCCAGGCCTTCAGACTGAGATTAAGTCACACCACCTGCTTTCCTGGTTTGCTAGCTTGCAGATGACAGATCATGAAACTTCTTTGCCAATTCCTATAATAAGCCTCCTTTTACATCTTTCTCTATATGTCCTGTTGATTATGCTTCTTTAGATAACCCTGTCTAATACAGACAGTCATCTGCATTTAGAACTAGCAACCCATGCAACAAGATGGGTGGAACTGGAGGTCATGATGTTAAGTGAAATACGCCAGGCACAGAAAGACCAACATCGCATGTTCTCACTTATTTGTGGAATCTAAAAATCAAAATGATTGAACTCATTGACATAGAGAGTAGAAGGATGGTTACCAGAGGCTGGGAAGGGTGGGGTGTGGGGTATTGGAGGAGAGGTGTGGAAGGTTAATGGGTATTTAAAAAAAAGTAGTTAGAAAGAATGAATATGACCTAATATTTGATAGCACAACAGGGTGGCTATAGTCAATAATAACTCAATTCTACACTTTAAAATAATGAAAAGAATGTAATTGGATTGTTTGTAACACAAAAGATAAATGCTTGAGGGGATAGAGACCCCCATGCTCCAAGTGGTGATTATGATGCATTGCATGCCTGTATCAAACATCTAATGTAACCCATAAATATATACACCTGCTATGTACCCTCACAAATTAAAAATAAAAACAAAATAATAAAAAAATAGAGTAGAACTAGTAACCCAGACAACTGTAAGGAACGAGGAAGTTTGAGAATCTATGGCAAAGAAAATCACTTTGGTATGGAACTGTTGGGCTTAATTCTCAACTGTGTGGAGGTAGAAAATATCAAGACTTATTTCAATGTCACCTCTGTTTATTTTATCCCCCTTTAAACTGAGAGCTTCTAAAGATCATGTTTATATTGTTCAGGGCTCTATTCCTACTTACTAGCATAGTGATCAGTATATCATAGTGCTCAGTAGACATTTGCTGAATGGACACAAAGAAAAAAACATGAAAGAATGCAAGTTGAATTGGCATGAGAATTATTTTAGCAAACAAGATTATTTCAACAAATAAGATTTATTTTGCATTTACTATGTGCCAGACACTGTTCGGGAATGAGAATACTGTTGTGAGCAACACAGGCAAGTACCTACTCATATTAAATCTATGTTTTATTGGAAAAATATAGGCAATAAAAGAAGTTTATTCCTAAAAGTAATAGGCCTAATAAAGAAAACAAAATGGAGAATTGGTGTAAAAGGCAGATGGGTCACTTCTCTAACATCTACTTTCATATTTTGGTGTTTGAATATCCAACCACCAGGTGCATAAACTCTGATTAGGAACCAACTGTGGTAATCCCTTATTCCTTGGCAGTGGTTGCTTTAGAGGTGGGCAGGTAATCCAGCTGTGGCCATTGAAAGGTGGGGCAAAGTGTGTTGCTAAAGCCGGGCCTATCTGCAAAAAGTTCCTTTGCTCTTTGCATACAATGCACATAGATGCAATGGCCTTTTCTTCTCGTGGACTTTATTGTGCTTGCATATGATACCCAGAGTCTCACATCATTTGTGGCCATTAACTGGGACGGCAAGACAATGTCACATAACTAGGTTCCTGATAACATCACTGAAAAGCTGAATTTACCAACTGTGGATCCATCTACCTACACTACATGACATGGTACATCTTCTTTATTTTCGAAACTGGTTTGAGTTGTCTCTGCTTGTATCAAAAGCACCCTAAATAATGCAATGAAATAGAGGAAGTTGGGTTGGCAGTGAGTGGAGGTGTCCAAAGATGAACTCTCTGATGTCGTGATATTTGAGTTGGATACTTAAAAATGGGAAAGACACAGCTGGGTGCGGTGGCTCACGCCTGTAATCCCAGCACTTTGGGAGGCCGAGGCGGGCAGGTCACCTGAGGTTAGGAGTTCGAGACCAGCCTGACCAACATGGAGAAACCCCCGTCTCTACTAAAGATAGAAAAAAATTAGCTGGGTGTGGTGGCACATGCCTGTCAGCTACTTGGGAGGCTGAGGCAGGAGAATCACTTGAACACAGGAAGCGGAGGCTGCAGTGAGCTGAGATTGTGCCATTGCACTCCAGCCTGGGCATTAGGAGTAAAACTCCGTCTCAAAAAAAAAAAAAAAAAAGTAAAGACTCAATCCTCTCTGAATACCTGAGAGCAATGAACTCAGGCAAACAGGACACCAAGTGCAAACATCCTATATTGGTAATAAACATGATGTGTTCAAGGACTCGAAAGAAGGCCAGCTTAGGTGAGGAATGGACCAGGCTGTGTGGATCCAACAGTGGCACCATTTAAGACCCCAGAGATAAAGACAGAGACCAGATGAAGCAGATGTGGTAGGCTCATTAGCGTCTCCCTTCCAAAGATGGCCACATCCTAATTCCAAGAACCTCATGAGTATGTTACCTTACCTGGTAAAAAGGGTTTTGCCTATCTGATTACCTTTAGAAACTGGAGGTGGTAAGACCATCTTGGATTATCCCATGAACCCAATAAAGTCATAAGGGTCTCTGTAAAGTTCCTTGTAAGAGATGGGAGGGTCAAATAGGAAGAGAGAAGACAAAGTGATGAGAGAGCAGAGGGAGAAAAGGCTATGTGATGCGAGGCCAGGAGCCAAGGAATGAGGATGTTGAAAAAAGGCAAAGAAACAAGTTGTCCTCTACAGCAGCAGTCCCCAACCTTTTTGGCACCAGGGACCAGTTTCATGGAAGACAATTTTTCCATGAACCCAGAGTGGAGGGTGGTTTTGGATGATTCAAGTTCATTACATTTATTGTGTACTTTATTTCTATTATTACATTGTAATATATAATGAAATAATTATACAACTCACCATCATGTAGAATCAGGGTGACCCTGAGCTTGTTTTTCTGCAACTAGACGGCCCCAATAATAGATCAGCAGGCACTGGATTCTCATAAGGAGCATACAACCTAGTTCCCTTGCACGCACAGTTCACAATAGAGTTCGCAATCCTGTGATAATTGAATGCCGCTGCTGATCTGATACGAGACAGAGCTCAGGCGGTAATATGAGCGATGGGGAGCAGCTGTACACACAGATGAAGCTTCACTCCCTCACCCACTGCTCTCCTCCTGCTGTGCAGCTCAGTTCCTAACAGGCCACAGCTGGGGCTTGGGGATCCCTGCTGTAAAGGTCCTTGTAAGAGGTGGGAGAGTCAGATAGGGAGAAAGAAGGCAATGTGATAAAGCTGAGGGAAAAAAGACTATGTAATGTGGGTCTGTTGAGGCTGTTTGGAAAAGGCTAAGAAACAAGTTGTCCTCTAGAGCTTCCAAAAGGAATGAGTCCTGCCAATGCAATAACCTTGGGTCAGTAAATCTGATTTTACACTTCTGATCTTCAGAACAGCAGGGTAGTACATTTGTATTGTTTTAAGTTGCTAAGTTTGTGGATGGCAAGAGCAGCCACAGGAAACTAATACAATGAGCATTGCACGCCATGGTAAGAAGTGTAATCAAATGAAGGGTTTTATGCAAGGGGGTAACATAACAGGTATGAAGATATAACTGCAGCAGAGGAAGAGTATAACCAGACACGATTGAAGTTGTGAAGAAGAGAGGGGATTGTGGATGTGAAGGCAAAAGGGAAGGTGTGACTAACCGTTGGATGGTTACCAAACCATCCAATATCCATATCAACCCATTGGATAGTTACCAAACCTTTCAATATCCAATATCCGATATCCACCAAATAGGATGACTAACCATTTCCATTTACTGAGGATCAAAGGGAGGAGTTTCTATTGTAAAATGGAGATAGTCCTTGCAAACCACCGTGGCTTATCTGGGACTGAGGAGGGTCCTGAGATGTGGGACTTTCATTGCTATTAGGTTGGTGCAAAGGTATTAAAAGTAATGGCGAAAACCTCAATTACCTTTGCACCAACATAATAATACCGAGAAAGTCTCAGGCAACCCTGGACAAGCTGATCATCCTAGTGAGAAGTGACTTTGAGTTACAGTTTACTCTTAAACAACGTGGAGGTTAGGGGTAACCCCCTCACTCCATGTAGGTTGAAAATCTATGTATCACTTTGACTCCACAAAAACTGAACTGCTAATAGCCTGCCATTGACCTGAAACCTCAGTAATAAACAATTGGTTAAAACACATTTTGCATGGTGTATGTATTATATACTGTCTTCTTACAGTAAAGTAACATAGAGAAAAGAAAACGTTATTAAGAAAATCACAAGAAAAAATGTATTTACTATTCAAGAAGTGAATGTGGATCATCAGAAAGGCTTCATCCCTCTTGTCTTCATGTTGAGTATTCTGAGGAGGAAGAGAAGGAGCAGGAAATGGAGGGATTGTTCTTGTGTTCTCAGGGGTGGTAGAGGTGGATGAAAATCCTAGTATAAGTGCATCTGCATAGTTCAAAGGGTCAAGTGTGTATCTATAGGAGATAGAGCCAACAGAATTTGCTGATTTGTTTGTGGTAAGAGGTGGGAGATCTAATTGACACCTAGATTTTGGCCAGAAATGGAATGAAAGGTAATTCCATTTAAAAAACTGAAGGAGCCTGAATTAAAAGCACATTAGCAGGAAGCTAAAGCAGTCGATTGGACCCCATCTTTGGAAGCTCCCCTAGGAGAAGGGAAGGATAGTAAAGAAAATAATTTGGTGCCACAAAAATCAAAGTATTCTACCTTAGCATTTTGTTAAGCACCGGCCTTGAAGTTATTCAGTCCAGAGGCTACTTTTTCTTCATTTGAAATAATTGTGACAACAGCTTCATCCTTACAAATTGAGTTTGTCTTCTAAGGTGTTTGCTAGAGCTTTACAAGAGGCTTAATCAGTTTCACATGAATTAATGATGGCTATCAAATCGGGGGGTTGGGAGAGGAGAATGAATTCCAAATAAATACTTATTGCATAATTGAAGTTGCAAGAATCCACTATGAATAAAATATATTTGTATTTACAATGCATAAATCTGATGGTGACACTGTGGGGCGACACACAGCTTTTTGATAAGAACCTTGAACAGTGTTAAATTAGTAATAGGCTGAATACATTTCTTAATTATGTCACGAGCGCTGAGCTCAGAAACACCATTTGCAATAAATTGAGTCCCATTTGTATGCATGCAGTACAAGGAGAAAGTGCTGTATTTTGAAAATCCTAATGTACTCATGGGAACACAGGTTAATGTCATCTACTGCTTTAAATTAGTCCTTTGTTTCAGAGCTTGCAATTGCATTAAGACTTATCATGTACTCTTTTCATCAAGGTAATAATTACTATAGATTTACATATCCTGCCACAAGCAGAAACATGGGTCCTTCAGGGCTGTACAGAATGGGAAGTAGTTATATGAAAGAAGTGTGTATATATATATGTATATGAATATATATACATATATACACATACATATGTATATACACACATACCTATATACATATATGTGTGTATATATACGCACATGCATATATACATATATGTGAGTATATATATATACACACATATATATGTTCCTTTTTAAAATAGTACTTTTTTCTTATTGAAATGATTGTAAAATAGGTAAAGATAAACTTACAACCATAAAAACCATGTAGCCAGTTGAATAGTGACATACACACAAAATATCCAAGTCCTTGTTTCTGGACCTTTGAATTTGACTTTTTTTGGAGATGGGATCTTCGAAGATACGATTAAGTTAAGGATCTCAAGGATTGGGCCCTACATTCAATGACATATATTCTTATAAAGAAAGGTTTGAAGCCAGGCGTGGGGGCTCACACCTATAATCCCAGCACTGTGGGGGGCCAAGGTGGGAGGATCTCTTGAGCCCAGGAGTTTGAGACTAGCCTAGTCCATATAGTGAGAACCCCGCCTTAAAAAAAAAATAGCTGAGTGTGGCGCCTCGTGCCTGTAGTCCCAGCTACTTGGGAAGCCGAGGTGGGAGGATCACTTGAGCCTAGAAAGTCAAGTCAAGGCTGCAGTGAGCTATGATTGCATCACTGCACTCCAGCCTGTGAGACAGAGCCAGACCTTCTCTCAAGAAAAATCCACAAAAAACAAACAAACAAAAAAAAAACAAAAATAAATAAAAAGAGAAGAAAAAGAAAGTTTGACAGTTTGAGACACAGAGTATAGACTAATGCTTAGGCTCATAGATCCTGCAGAAGCACTATCTTACAGGATACAGATTTTGGACAGACACAAAGGGAAGAAGGTGATATCAAGACTGAGGGAGAGATTGCAAATGTATTGACAAGCCAAAGGACACCACGCATTGCCAGCAGCTACCAGAAACTAGGAATAAAACACATTCTCCCCCAGAACCTCCAAAAAGGATCAACCTTAATTTCTTTCTTCTGGCCTCCAGATTTGTGAGATAAATTTCTCTTGTTTTAAGCCACACAGTTTGTGGTTATTTTTTATGGGAGTCTTAGGAAGCCGATACAATCAATATTTCTGTCAAACAGAGAGAAAATCATCATTGCCCTCTGCATGTAAGAGAGAGGTGATATATGAGTTAGGTGCTATCAAGAGCCCTACTTAATTGAGAAGAAAACTAAGGGACAGAGAAATTAAACAATTTGTCAGAGTGAAATAGGTAATAAATGATCACACTGGCATTTGGACCCAGGCATGCAAGTTCTAGGGCTGTGTTTTTCAACTAGTAGTCACTAGTCACATGTAGCTATTTAAATTATTTAAATTAGTCAAGATTAAATACAGTGAAAAGTTCAATTCCTCAGTCCCAATAGCAACATTTCAAGGTCCCACAGTCCACCTGCAACTCTTGGTTACTGTCTTGGTCAGCGATGATTACAGAATATTTCCACCATTGCTGAAAGTCCTTCTGAACAATGCTTCAATTTAGTCTGTGAAAACTTACCCCTATAATACCTGAGCAATATTTATGAAGTGTTTCACTCAGTGACTGTCATAAGTTAATCTGTATATATCATCATTGTATCTTTCTACATTATAAGATCTGTGTGTACCATAGTTATTACATCTTTCTAGTTTTGTGTTGTGTGTGTATGTGTCTGAGTGTCTATACTCTCCTATGCATGTGTGTTTATGGGAGGTGGGGTAATTATATTCACAAATCTATGTTTTTTGTGGTTAATAACATACTGTGCATACATGGAATTCCATTTTCTGTTTTCCACACAATAAATAATATATTGTAAGACCTTCTGGTGGACATTTCAATTCTTTGAAACAGTCTCCCCAACTTGTCCCTGGAACTGTACCGCTTTCCAGACACTGTGAAATTCCTTTCTTAGAGGTGACAGTAGCTGGCTATCAGAAAGGCTAGAATCCCAAATTAGGGGAACGTGACATGGTAGTCAATCTGACAAAGAAATAGGGTTTTCAAACATATTGTGAAGATGCATGATAATAAATCATCAGGATTCTCCGTGTAATAATTGACTTGCTGTGTAGTAATTGATTCCCCGAGTAATAACTGACTTTGTATAATAAATGATTCTGTGTAATATATGACATTCTATAACAACTGAATTTCAGCATAATAATTAATTCTGTGCAATTGCTGACTATCAGTGTAATCATGGACTCAGTAATAATTGACTGTATGATAACTGATTCCCTGTGTGATAATTGACTCCCTGTGTGATAGTTGATCCTGTGCAATAATTGACTCTGTATAATAATTAACTCTCTGAACAATAACTGACTCTCTGTGTAATACTGGACTCTGCTCATCAGCACAAACATGCAAATGCTTGGATTAGAGGAGATTACAGCAATAGGGCACTTCTGGTTGCAAGTGGGAGAAAACCAGTTCAAATCAACTTAGGATAGTGACAGGAGGAGGAAATCATTAGCTCAACCACCTGGGACACCCAGAGGTGAATTGGCCATAAGCCCACATGAATCCAAGTGTTCACATGAGGTCTTTGGGATTGTGCACCTCTTTCCCTCTCTGGGCTCTTGACTTTGTTCCCAGATGGGTCCATCCTCTGTGCGGTGGGAAATGACCCTAGCAACTCGGGCTTCTGTGACACTTAGAGTACCTATCTGGTCCCAGGAAATTCAATAGAGCAATGCTTTGCTTCCAGGATCCATGTCAGTTCCCCAAAGGAACGCTGGCTAGCTTGGTTTATGTGCCCACAACTGAGATGGTAGAGGCAGACACCTTGATTGACGGCTACATCATTATCACAGGGGGTGGGTGTACTTCACAAAATGAACGGATGCAGAGCAGAACAAACAAGTAACAGATGTCTACTCTTGTTCACAACCTGTGAGCTACAGTCTCCCGAGGGGTGAGCATGAGCTACACGAATTTGTCCCAGCAAGTTCTTCAATCCTTGGGTGAACCAGGCACCATCTTTAGAACAGAGATATGATTAATATCTGTTAATATGTTCACTTTTCCAATAAGCATAAAGAAAACAATGCAGTCATTTAAAACATCAAACTTACAGCAATATTTTGTCTTTATGTATTTTCTCAGTCAATGGCTACTAAATATGTAGCTACTACCTGTAGCATACTATAATATGTATTTCTTCTAAAAAGCTTCTCATAAAATACCTACAAAGCATTGAAGTATGTAATGTTTTACTACCAACTGGGGCCTTTCACTCCATGAGATTTTTTTCAATGAAAGTTTTACAATGTAGGTGAAAATTTTGAATTATTACCCAAAATTTTGTTGCCCTGAAACTAGGAAAATGAATCTCAAAGAAAATCCCAACTGTGTTTATGCCCCTTCATTCTCCTTTTGTCTGGTTAATCACTACATATCCTTCAGATCACAATACAAACATTACTTCTTTGAGAAAGCCTCCTTCTGAGTTCTCTAACTAGGCCTATTTCCCTTTTGTTGTATCTCTTATAATTCTATGTACCACCATCAACCCCTGCCTTCAAGAGGTGCACTAACATATATCATAGTTGTCTATGTGACCATTTGAACACTCTGTCTTTTTTACTAGATTCCAAATTCCAGGAGAGCAGGGTTGAGCCTGGCTGTATCCCTGGGACCCTAGTTCAATGTTTGGGACATAATAGATGCTCACCAAATATTTGCTGAATAGATGTATGAGTCCATAAGTGCATAAACACCAAAGGGTAATCACAGAATCAAATCCAATATTCTTCTTACAATACATAAAATTTGCAAGACAAAGTGCCCAATTTCTTGTGATCACTGGGACACAGATGGTAAAAGATTTTACTATGTAACTACATCTTTCCAGTTCATAGGAAATTTCTGTTGGTCTTGTAAAGGCATTCAGAAGAAAGCATGGTAAACCATCAGAGATCAAGGGAGAGGACTTTAGGAGAGAGTGGGAAAAGATAGTGCAAATAGGCTTGATTGGCCGGGTGTGGTGGCTCATGCTTGCAATCCCAGCACTTTGGGAGGCTGAGGCAGGCAGATCACAAGGTCAGAAGTTCAAGACCAGCCTGGCAATCTGGTGAAACCCCGTGTCTACTAAAAATATAAAAATTAGCTGGTCGTGGTGGTGTGCGTCTGTAGTCCTAGCTACTCAGTAGGCTGAGGCAGGAGAATTGCTTGAACCCAAGAGGCGGAGGTTGCAATGAGCCGAGATCACGCTACTGTACTCCAGTCTGGGCGACAGAGTGAGACTCCATCTCAAAAAACAAAACAAAAAAAAAGTCTTGATTGACGGAGAACTTCAATACTATCGTCTAATTTAGAAGAATAAAAATTTAGGTTTTGCCACATGCAGAAACAGAAATCTTAAGTCAGATCAATATAAAATCCTCCCAAGAAATAACTCTTGCTGGTTGGCCCTTTTAGTGGAGACCAGATCAAATAGGTTATGAAACCACAAATGGAAATACAGCCACCAAAGCTCAATGCCAATGGTGGTGAGTATTCGCATATTTGCCCGCCCAGCATGTCTTCTGCTGAAGAAGCAATGGCTCTTTTGAAGAACCAGTTTCATAAAGTTGGTACTGGCTCAGCCTTCCCACCTACCAGGATATATGACCCAAGTCAGAGGGCTTCATCTCATGGGTCACTGTCATTTGTACTGAGATGAACATGTGATCAGAGCTGAGCCACTCAAGAGTCTTCTCTGGGACTTTTCTGCCGAAGATAAGAAGGAAGTTACTCTCATTGTGATGGGTGGGGTGAGCTCTAATATATGGGTTTGGGGAGGCTGTGAGCATTACACCTGCTGCATGGGTGGACCCACCTGAGGAATGAAAAGACAAGGATGCCTGATTGCATCCTCTGGGACCTTGGCTGAAGTAGATGAGCCTGGTGGGAGTTGTTAGTTATTTGAGCCAATCAATGAGTTTTTTGTTTTGCTTGAGTTGCGGTTCTGTGACTTGCGACTATTAAAACACGTCTAGTTTAATTTATGTTAAAGTGAATATAAACATTTCCTGGATTGGATGAGTGGTGTTCTACAATTGCTTAGGTTAATACAACCATTTTATAGGCCTAGCCGTGACTGGTCTCAAACGGGCTATTACATAGTTCCTGCCATGTTTTAGGTTTCCATGAGATTCTGCTACAGTTGTTGAGTGGTCCATTAAACAGTATAACCAGACAGTGTGTTCAAAAGGCATCCTGAGAGTGTAGTGTTTTTCTTTATTTCAATCTTAGAGAAAAAGTGGGACATTTTTCATGTCTCTGGAAGTTCCACTATGATGCATTTGGACATTTTTGATAAAATTATGAGGCATAAAAACTTAGAAGCATTGAAGATTAATTTTCCTCCATAAATATATAGATCATTGTCAAATTCTATATGACTAGTTTTGCCCAGAGCAAAAAATATTTTCCATGTAATTTCCTAGCAATATAGAAGTAGATAATGGGACAATGGCATTGAAAAAGGCTTTTATGGATTGTAAGTGTCAGGTTAACATTCACAACCTGATGAATTGAGCAGAAGCTGTTGTTAAAATGTAGGGCTTTGTTGTTTTAAAGTTAAAAATAAAGTTGGGAACTGGTACAATAGTAAAATTAAAGTAAAAGAAAATAAATAATCCGTATCTCTTCTGTTCTGTTTAAATATTAAAGTGTCAGCTGCAATTTTGAAATGACACAAAGAAGCTTGCTGAGCTGAAAAAGTGCTTCATTTGTTGGGTTTCTATGCTGTCTGAACTGCAATTTTGTGTAAGGATGATTTTCTGGTTAGAGGTGTCTGAGTTGTATGGTCTCTTACAGGTTAAGAGGCAAGAACACCAAACATTTGATGATTTTTGTTTCTTCTAATTCCTCTCTGACCTCCTGGCCTCTTCTGGGAGTGTACTGTTAGGTGCCCAGGAGACTGAAATCACTCATTCTAGTTGGAATTGCAATTCCATCCTAAAGCCTCCAACTGCACTGTTTATTATGGCCAACTGGTCATTCCTTCTTCATGGGATTCCCAGAGGCCAAAAAGCCAGTATCTTAAGTACTTCTTTTCACATGAGGCCATCAAGGTTCCTTGCTCAGATCATTCAATCCCTTGAAACTTAAAGTCTTGTGCATAAAAATGGCTACTGATTTCTGAATATTGGTGCCTTTGTTGGAATGCTGAATGCTCCTGAATGGAGCTTTGATAACTGGAAATACTGCATCAGACATCCTGGCATGGCATGATCCGGCTGCGTTCTCTCCATGTGGAATTGGCAGCCTTGTTGAGAAAACATGAAGAAAGATAAAGGAATATTGGAGCTTTATTTTTCTTGAAGGTGTCCCAGGGTAGGATTCCAAGAACCACGGGGCTCTGGTGGAGCAGTAGAATGGGGAATTCACATGGTCAAGCCAAGGTACCTAGGAAGCATTAAGAAACCAAGCTGCCCTAGATCCAAAGCCAGATATACAGGAGGTAAATCTCAGGGTGAAGAATTTGGAAAAGGGTTGAGAAAGTATTGAAGCAAGCAGATGCCAGAAATAAACGAGGAGGATTCTAGGATACCAACAAAGATGTCTTTGTGGTATCTATTTATAGTGGAACTTTTATTATTTTTTTTAACATCAGAACTCCCTTCCTCTGCGTAAGGAATTTTCCATTGCAGAAGTTTTTGGAGAAGCAGAGCTCGCTTCTCACAATAGAACATAAAGTTTTAGCATACTAATTTTTCCAAAAATCCCTGAAGCTAGGGCAGGGTTTCTCAATCTCAGCACTCTTGACATTTTAAACAAGATAATCTTATGTTGTGGGAAGCAGTCCTGTGTATTGTAGGATTTTTAGCAGCTTCCCTGTCTTCTATGGGTGAGATCTCAGGAGAACCCCCTACCCCTAGTTGTAACAGCTAAAACTGTCTCCAGACATTGTTAAATGTCCCCTGGAAGACAAACAGTCCAGTTGAGAACCACTGGTCTAGACGGTGGCTCATGATCTAGATTCAGCCAATCAAATGCATTTTCCTCCAGAACTGGGAGCTTGAGAGTCCATGAAGAAGCCTCCAGGAAGTTTATCACCCTCATCAGCAATGAGGGCTGCACCACCAGCAGCACCAATGGTAGTCAGTTCTGAAATTATAGCAAACTGCAGGTGTCTTTGATAGGAGATCCAGCAGTGTCCAGGGCCAGCCAAATTAGCAAGCATTTAATGTCAGTGATGTCGCCAAACTAGTTCTGGACTGCGATATTGGCTGAGGCACATTCTGCCTATATCCTGGCAGAAGGAAGGAAGGAAGGAAGGAAGGAAAGAAGGAAGGAAGGAAGGAAGGAAGGAAGGAAGGAAGGAAAGAAAGAAAGAAAGAAAGAAAGAAAGAAGGAAGGAAAGAAAGAAAAAAGGAAGAAGGGAAGGAAGGAAGGAGAGAAAGGAAAGAAAGAGAAAGAAAGAGAGAAAGAAAGAAAAAAGAGAGAAAGGAAGTCAGGAAGGAAGGCAGGAAGGCAGGAAGGAAGGAAGGAGAAGAAAGAAGAAAGAAAGAGAAAGAAAAGAAAGAAAAAAAAAGAAAAGAAATAAAAGAGAACCTAGCTCTCCAACTTTTCTGGTGAACAACCATAATAGTATTTCATTAAATCCCTTATCTGCTTAAATGAGCTATGGTCCATTTTGGTTACTTAAACTAAGAGCCATAACAAATAGACCATCCCTTATATTTAACTGGGAAAATAGCCAGATCCTAGGATAGCAAGGGAACTCAATTCAGAGTTCTTGAAACAAGATACACCTAGCTGTATTCAGATCTAAAGTCCAATGGATGTAGAATGAAATATATATGCCCCGAGGAATTTTCTCCCCTGCTCCACTCAACTTTTGCCTAATCTACCTCTGAAACTTCATGAAATACACAAGAAAATGGTGCATAGATACTCTCTGCAGAAAGCTTATGTATTTAAGAATGCATTAGGAGGCCAACTCTCTGGGTTTACATACAGGCATGTAATAGTGGGTAAGTCTGGATACTTAACTGCCTTGTAATTCAGTCTCCTCATCTACTCTACAAAATGCAAGTGAAATTTCCAGTATTAAAGACAATGGATTTAAAAAAAAAAACCATGAAGGTTGGCTGGGTGCCGTGGCTCATGCCTGTAATCCCAGAATTTTCAGAGGCCAAAGTGGGCAGATCACTTGAGGCCAGGAGATCAAGACCAGCCTGGCCAACATGGGGAAACCCCATCTCTACTAAAAATATAAAGATTATTAGCCGGGCATGACGGTGTGTTCCTGTAGTCCTAGCTACTCAGGAGGCCAAGGCAGGAGAATCAGTTGAACCTGGGAAGAGGAGGCTGCAATGAGCCAAGATCGCACCAATGCAGTCCGGCCTGAGTGACAGAGTGAGACTTTGTCTCAAAAAAGAAACAAAACAAAAAAAAAAAAAAACAAAACCAGCAAAAACCATGAAGGGGTTCTCAATTGATTTTGCCTGCTCTGCATACATTTATCTTTTTTGTTTGTTTGTTTGTTTTTTGGGTTTTGCTGTTGTTGTTGTTATATCATGCCAATTTTCTTTTTCCTTAGGTGAATCGTCTATGTGTAGGAAATTGACTGAAGCCTACCAATCAGCATTTTCTATATCCTAAACCACAGCGATCAGTTTCACGTGAAATTATGACTCAAACTTGTCTAATCAGTCAGTTTTTGAATGCTGGCTGAAGCAAGCAGCAAGAAATGTTTACTGTTTCCAGTTCAGTTTCTGGGGGTTATAAATACAAGCGTGGTGCTTCTGGCAACCTTCTTGCTATTGTGAGGAAGGATCAGCTTGAGAATGGGGGGATAAAGAGAAAAGTGCAGCAGAGAGAAGAGAGTGAAATACAGTTTTGATATCTGCATTTAAAGCCCTGGATCCAGCTGTACCTTAAGCAAGTACTAGCGTTGCATTCCCCAGTGCATTCCCCTTCTTGCTTAAGGCAGTTGGAGCTGGGTTTCTGTCTCTTGCAACACAGGGTAGCTGAATTACATTGCCACCTAGTGCACAGGGAGCCCTCACCACAAAGGTACCAACAGTAAAACCACAATAAATGTTTGAAGAATTAATCGTGATGATTGTTCTTTGATTTCTGTTGCCAGCATCTGGCACAGGAGACGTCAATAATCACGTATTGTATTGGAGTTGAATTGCATGAATGCAAGGAGCCAGGTCTTAGGACATGAAATGATGAATTTCCATTTGTCAAGGCTACCGAGTTGAGACAGTTAAAGTCTTTGGGGGAAAATGAGCCTCTTGCACTCGCACGGAGGACATTTGTGCTTCTCAAACACTTTATAGCTCTCCAACTCTGTGGGGATTAAGGTTTGTATGTCCAGGAAGGTTTTTAGAATGCTTTTTTTTTTTTCCAGGATGCTTTTAGGGTAATGAAATTGCGACAAGCAATACCAACCTGGGATTGTTGCCCGGGGCTCAGTCACAAGTCCCTCAGCTTCAAACTCTGCAGCCAGGAGCTCTAACATGATCTCTGGCATAGAATGCCCATATTTAAAAGTCACCGCCAAAGGACTTTCAGATCAATATTATCTGCCTGTAGCATTTCCTCACATATTACATTAAAAAGACTAATTCCTTAGAGAGTTGTAAAGATGTTTTAGTGCAGAGCATATATTATGAATGTTTCATCATTATTCCTCAGGATTTATTTAACATTTTACTCGACAGTCCCTTTGGATTTTTGATTGATTACTAGGCAAATTAGATAAGAAAACTCTTTCTGTAAGAGATTCTCGTGCAGCATCCATAGCCGTGGTGGTGATAATGATGATAGCATAGCGCTTCTTGTGTCAACAACGATGCTAAGCAGTTCACACATACAAATGTCGTTTAGTTTTTACCCCGTTTGAAGAAGATATTATCTCCATTTTACAGATGAAGAACTGAGGTTTATGGAGTTCATGAGTCAAGGTCAGGGTTTGTTGAACTTCAAAGCCAATGTTTTTAATACATGCTCTTTTCACATTCACTTAGTCCGCATAATGTTATCATGAGGTGAGTGGTCTTTCTATCAACCCATTGTACCAAGGGGGTAAGAAATATTCAGACATGCATATAGTACTGGTAGAGACTAGTTTGATCCCCAATAGCTGAGATCCCTAGCTAGTGCAGGAGACAGTTATGCTTCTCTGTTACCTGATACACCCTGATTCTCAGTGTGTATACCTTTAGGTTAATGTTGCCATGAAAAACAAATTTCAGGTTCAAATACAACAGGGAAGCATTGTTTATTCTCTGTCCTCTCTTTGGGATTCACAAACATATGCCCCAGTGAAAGGTTCTGAGACAATCTATGGAGAAGAATCCTGTTTTAAGCTTATTTTACAAATGTGTTTGGAAGTATCAGGTTCTGGAACTTTTGGGTTTGTTGGTTGTGTTTGTTGGTTTCCTCCTTATAACAACAGTTTACTTACTTGAGTATATTAAAAAAAAATCAGGCCTTCAGTGTCATCTCTTAACACTCCTCAGGCAACACTATGGTGAGAGGGTGGGCTCAATGTAGACATAAGGAACCCCATGTGTGATGGCAGGTTTTAAGTTTCTTTGCTAAGTAAATGACAGTCATTAGATTGACTGGCTCATTTTTCTTCTCTCCATGGAAATAACATCCTAAGGGATAGGTGGCATATATTCTTACTGCTGATTCTACTAGAATCTACAGAGGACCGACAAGTAGTTCATCTTCATCTTGTTTTGGAACAATTTTATAAAGTCTGTAGCTCTACTTTTCAGTATTTCAGTCAGTTTGCAAGTCATTAGGATTCTTGATGGGCAGGGTCCAGTGGATGTAGAATGAAACAAATATGTCCCCAGGAATTTTCTCCCCTGCTTCACCCAACTTTTGCCTAACCTACCTCTGAAACTTCAGGAAATACACAAGAAAATGGTGCATAGATGCTCTCTGCAGAAAGCTTGTGTATTTAAGAGTGCATTAGGAGGCCAACTTTCTGGGTTTACATACAGGCACATAATAGCAGGTACATTTGGATACATAACTCCTTTGTGTTTCAGTCTCCTCATCTACTCTACAAAATGCAGGTGAGATTTCCAGTATTAAAGACCATGGATTAAAAAAAAACATGAAGGGGTTCTGAATTCATTTTGCAGCCTCTACATACGTTTCTCTTTTATTTGTTTCATTTTTGTAGTTGTTGTTATATCACACTAATTTTCTTTTTCTAGTCAGCCTGGACCAGCGATTCTCAATGGGAGTGATTTTTTTTTTTTAAGCTACCCTAACCATTTTCCCCTTCCAGGGATTTGTCCTGTTAATAGTTGATTTAGAAAAGTTCAATTTTAAGAAAAAAATATAACTATTGTATCCATAATATAAGGAAGATAAAGAAAAATCAAAATTTCTCAATGGAAGGAGAAAACGCACCAGGAAAATGTCACTACAAGGTGGAGAAAAATTAGCAGTACTTTCTTTTTTTATTATTATTATACTTTAAGTTTTGGGATACATGTGCAGAACATGCAGATTTGTTACATAGGTATACACGTGCCATGGTGGTTTGCTGCACCCATCAACCCGTCATCTACATTAGGTATTTCTCCTAATGCTATACCTCCCCTGGCCCGCCACCCCCGACCCCAGCTCAGGTGTGTGATGTTCCCCTCCTTGTGTCCATGTGTTCTCATTGTTCAACTCAATGGGAGTAATTTTTAAGCTCCTCCCACTGCCAGGGGGCATTGGGCCATGTCTGGAGATAGTGGTGGTTGTCGCAACTGAAGGGGGGCAGTACTGGCATCTGGTGGGTAAAGCTAAATATTTTACAGTACACACAACAGTCTCAAGCAACAAGCAAATGTTCAGACCAAAATGTCAGTAGTACTGAGGTTGACTCAGAACTACTGGGCTAGAATATGTGGGGATAACACATAAACTCTTCATTTCAGGGGCTTAAAGTGCTATGTTTTGTTTTTGTTTTCTCACGTATGCAAGATCTAATGGGAATGTTTGCAGCTTGTCACTCTTCTGAGAGATGATTCTCCAAATAGTATCTAAAGGATACACACTTCCAAGCTTCTTCCATCATGTGAACTGCTGACTTAGAAGCCTTAATTTCCAACTAGAAATACAGGTGAAAGAATACACGGATGACTGGGCGCGGGCAATCGCAGCATTTTGGGAGGCCAAGGCAGGCAGGTCACCAGGTCAGGAGATCGAGATCATCCTGGCCAACATGGTGAAACCCGGGCTGTATCAAAATACAAAAAATTAGACAGGCATGGTGGTGCATGCCTGTAGTCCCAGCTACTCAGGAGGCTGAGGCAGGGGAATCGCTTGAACCCGGGAGGTGGAGGTTGCAGTGAGCCGAGATCGCGACACTGCACTCCAGCCTGGTGACAGAGCATGACTACGTCTCAAAAACAAAAACAAACAAACAAACAAAACAAAAAAAAAGAATACATGGATGATTGTGCAGATCTTTCAGGGCTCAAGCCCAGAAATGAGGTACAACCTTTCCACCTACGTTCTTATGGCCAGAACAGTAAGGTAGGCATATTAAGACTCAAGGGGTGGGGGGGCAGTGCTGGGAAATAGCCTTCCTGCATTTTCAGATGGAAAATGAAATGTTTTGATGAACACATCATATCGTCCCTGGCATGCACAGAAAGTTCGTTTTGAATAAATGCTGAATAAATAAGGCACAAGAGCCAAAATGTTTATACAGCAATTAAACAGTGGCAAAACATAATTTTAATTTAAGAGACTAGCATTGTTGCTCAGAAAATAGTTCTTAGGCCCATGCATCAAGATTTAAGCAACAGACTTAATATTTTTTAAGTACCCACTACTGTCACGCACTTGGATTGTGTTAGTTCATTAAATACCTCTGTGATATAGCTATCACACGTTTCATAGATTAGGTAATTGAAAATCAGAGAGTTCAAGATTCCAGCATGAGTGCACACAGCAAATAAGTTACAGTGTCAGTATGCAAATCAAAGACACATTCCAAAACCCCTGTTCTTTTCTTTTCATCAGCATCTTTCACCGCCTTTGTCATGCACTATTCCTATGACATGATCCTTGCCAAAACAGTCTCAGGAGCTAAGGCATTTGAAAAACTCTGAATACTGTTTTGTCTTATTTTTCTTGTAACATCACAATGCCTATTAGGTTACGTAAAGCATATACGGCTTATTTTAAAGAGACCAATTAGACCAAGTAGATGAAAGACTCCTTTATTTTCATTATACATATTAATATTCCATGCAATTAAGTAAAATAAGTCTTGGGAAATATTATTTTCTTGCAGCAGTTCTATTTGCAATTTGGAATTTAATTTTATGCCCACACCAATGCATATAATAGGTACTATTATATCTAAATCACTGTTTTTAGAGAGCAGTGTAGTGTACCTATAATGGTAGTAACTGGGCAATCCGGAAATAGAGGTTTGGTTCTTATTATTTTTAATTTTATTATTATTAATTAGCACAATGGTTTTTCCCTAGATTTTATACTTTATTTGGTTAAAATATTTACTTTCCTAGATTTGGGGGTTCATCATATATGATGGGGGTTGGTGCTGAATTAGTTAAGGGGTGGCATGTAGGTCTTATCTTCTATTCCAAATAAAATATGATTTTGTTTTGTTTTACGTTATCTGGTTTTATTTTGTTTATTTAGTGTCTCTGGGGATTAGCTTCAGTTCAGAGCCAATATCAATTCATCCCCAAAAGAGTTTTACCTTTCACCAATTTACAGTCACACTAGTAAATGGCCCTACTTGCGTCTCGGGAAAGTTTTACTGAAGATTCACAAAACACACATGTGTTCACATGGCAGGGTCCTTTGGGGCCCCAAGGATGTGAGTAGGTTTAGCTCTATAAACTGGATAGGAGGCTGTAAATCCCCACCCCAATGACTTAGGTTGGGTTCCTGCCCACCAGCTTGGAGTCATTGCCTGAATATGTCAGGAAGCCCTGTGGTGGGGGCCGCCCTTGTACTTAATTCCTAAGATCTTGTGAACAGTTATGCATTGTCACATATCCCTAGAGGTCCTGCACTCCGACTACTACTTCATCTCTGTGGGTTATTCTGGTAATTGTACTCGCCTTGTGTTATGGGCTACCTGTTTGTGACCCTGACAAAAAGACAAAAAAAAAAAAATAAATTCCAACTTAAATATGTTGAGTGTGACTGCCCGGAACAGTGTGTTGACAAAGAATCTGAGTCCAGATTCAACAGAAATGAAGAGTTCTCTGAGTGGTGCATAGGGTCTGCCTTGACCACAGGTGGCAGAAGTGGTATGCCATGTGCTGTAAATTTGTCATGACTGAACTAAGGGAAGACTGAGGTCATTTTCAACTGTAATTTCTGTGATTGCTGTGGAAAATTAGATAATGATATGCTCCTCCTCCTACCTACAAATACAATGTGGTGGGAGAACAGGGTGGGTCATTGACCAAGCATAACCTACCAGGTCCATGGCATGTTCTAAAATCCAAGTACAAGGGAATGTGAACCCTCTGGATAGATCAGAGAAATACATTGCTGATAGAGGCTGTAGGACATCTTGTAAAAAGTGAGATTTCAGCTGGATTTTGAAGAATGTGTAGGAGCTTGGCAGGCAGAGATGAGGGAAAGGCAGTCCAGGCAGAAGAAATAACACTGCTAGAGGCTGACGAAAGGAAGGTCTGTTTGATGACAGTGAATGCCCAGACTAGTGGGAGCATTTAGAGACTTTGGGCCTGAAGCAGGGACCAGGAGAGACCGTGGAACAGACTGAAGCCAGGTAAGTGGAAATCAGTTCTCCATGTACTTTCAATGCTGAACTCTGGAGGTTGCTGGCTTCCTGGTGTTCCTGTAGCTGTGGGGACTCATGCTGCTTGAAGCAGCCTCGACAGAGTGTCCTTGGAAGAGCTGTCCTTGCTGGTGGCCTGCTCACTTGCCCAATGCTGACGGAGCTGGCTTGGGGCGTCTGTCCCCTCTGCTTTTCCTCACCACCCAGGGCTCCCTTCCTGGGACTGGGCCTCATGAAATGTTTCCCGTTTCAATTTCAGCTCTGCTGGGAGGAGCTCTTTTATCTCAGCTGCTTCTCTACCATCAAAGCCCACTCAACTTTGAGTAGCTGCCCGCCCCCTCGCCGGTCCTGTCCTCCCTAGAATCCTGCCTGGAGGTTTTAATTCAGAGTCTCAGAAGACAAGCAAGGGGGTTGCTTTTGATTGATCAGTCAAACACAATCCCCTTCACAATTGTCTTTGGAGACTCAGGCTCCTGACATGAAAGATAAAAACAAGAGATGCCAGCTTGGTTTAAGATGGAAGTTTGTGCTAGATCTTTCTGTTCTTCCTTCAACTCAGAAAAAAGTAAAATAAAAGGTTTCTCTCTCTGTTCATTCAGTGCCTTGTTTCCTTTTCTACCCATCTTGTTCCATTTCCCAAGGGAATTTTTACTTATTTCAGAAGTAATAAAAGCCATCCTATCTTTACCGAGGTTCCTCTGATCACTTTATGTATATTCTAGGCCTTCTACTTATATGACTTATTTAATCTTAACCACTATCTGATGAAGTGGGTACCATTATTAACCCCATTTTACAGATGTGGAAACTGAGTCAGGAAGTGCTTAAGTAATTCATCCCTGGTAATGCAGCTGTTAAGTGATGAAGCTGAGATTTAATATCAGGCAATCTGGCTCTCCAGAGTCCCTGCTTTTTTCCAACATGCTACGCTGTGTCCCTGACGTTTCACTTTTGGGGTGATACACTGTATGTTGACTTACAGCAAGGAAATCTACTAATCCAGTACTTCATCACTGAAACTTTTTTTTTTTTTGAAACGGAGTTTCACTCTTGTTTCCTAGGCTGCAGTGCAATGGCATGATCTCAGCTCACTGCCACCTCTGCCTCCTGGATTCAAGGACTTCTCCTGCCTCAGCCTCCCAAGTAGCTGGGATTATAGGCGCCTGCCACCGTGCCTGGCTAATTTTTTTGTATTTTTAGTAAAGATGGGATTTTAATATGTTGGCCAGGCTGGTCTCAAACTCCTGACATCAGGTGATCCACCCGCCTTGGCCTCCCAAAATGCTGGGATTACAGGCGTGAGCCACTGCACCTGACCTGAAGCATTTTTTTAATCACCTGAATGCATGGACAAAGAATGATGGGTTAAATGAAATGAAAATATGTAACCTCAAGGACTGATATCAACTTTGTGGGAGGTCTCCTAGGTGTGCCTAGTTTAATATTTTAATCTAGAAAATGGACAAAGAAAATATGCAAGATTCTTCAACCTTCTATACTTCAGCCAATAGGAGAAGGATAAAAACAGGGTAAGGAATGAATACCATAGGATCGTGTCTTAGTCCATTTTTTGTTGCTATAACAAAAAATGCCTGAGACTGGAGAATTTACAAAGAAAGGAGATTTATTTTGGCTCATGGTGCTGAAGGCTGAGAAATGAAAGATCCTATGACCACAACTGGTTGGGTCCTGGTGAGGGCCTCATGTGCATCATAATATGTTGGAGAAACAGAAGCAGAAGCGATTAAGCAAAGGGCTAACCATGGGAGGCAGCTTCACTGACGCAGTTTGAATATATGTTCTCACCAAATCTCACGTGGAATTTTAATCCCCAGTGTTGCAGGTGGGGTCCAGTGGGAAGTGTTTGGGTCGTGGTGGCAGATCCCCCATAGCTTGGTGCTTTGCTCACCACAGTGAGTGAGTTCTCATGACATCTTGTTGTTTAAATGTGTTGAGTACCTCCCCACTCTCTCTCTCTTGCTCCTGTTCTCTCCTATTCCTGTTCTTGCCATGTCAGACACCTGCTCCCCCTTCACCTTCCCCATGATCAAAAGCTTCCTGAGGCCTCACCAGAAACCAAGCAGGTGCCAGTGCCATGCTTCCTGTATAGCCTAGAGAAGTGTGAGCCAATTAAACCCCTTTTCTTTATAAATTACTCAGTTTCAGGTATTTCTTCATAGCAATGCAAGAATAGCCTAACACACTCACTTTGTAACAACCCACTTTCATGGGAACTAATCCATTCCCTCAAGCACTAACCCAGTCTCACTCGAAAGATATGAATCCTTCTTAACAACGTAATCATCTCTTAAAGGCACCACTTCTCAACATGACTGCATCAAGCACCAAGCCTCAACATGAGTTTTGGTGTGGACCAACCATATTCAAACCGTAGCTACAAGAAACACTGTCATAAGAGAAGGGAACTTGGCTAACTTAAATCACTTTCTATAGCTCCTGCTAAAATTTGGGGGTGAGAGAATATTAAGGAGTTGCATCTAGTATGATGAAATTTTCTTTGCATAAACAAGCTCTGACACTCACATCCAAAACTCCACTTATAATGTGTATGGAATGCAGAAGCCAAAAGTCACTTGGAGAATATGAAAGAAAAATAAAAACTGAATACATTTTAAGCACAAAATATCCCCCATGGAACATCAGACATCCCCAAAAGTGTCTAGGTTCTTAGATTGCCCAGAGAGTTCTACTACAGGCACAAATGCATGGCCGGAAGACTGGAAACAGCTCACTGAGACTTTTTGGTTTGACCAGCATAGGTTTTGTTCTAATTGTATTATTTGAAAACACTTAAAATTTGGAATCATTTATATCCTGTTGATAAAATGGCAGATTCAGAAAACCGACTTTAAAAAACTCTGAGGAAAATACTTCACTAAAGGTATTGAAAAAAGTTGGAACTGAGTAGCAGCTGCAGTTTATGGACCGTCCGTGATCTTTGGTTGACAAAGGGCCTTGGCACTTCCTTTCTTTTCTTCAGCCAACGTGCATTTTACTCATGCACTTTCTTTGCTGGGGCCTTATAGATCCCACAGGAATATCTGCTGTAAGAGAAGTGATAAAATTATCTGCTTTCTGCTTGTTGGGCTACTCCTAGAGTGTGGTGTTTCACTGTAGTCAAGAAGGACCAAGAAGAGGCAGAGAATATACAAGACTGAATGATGGATGTTTTCTCTTGACCTAAGTGTGACCGAGCAGAAGCTTCAGGAAAATTATTGTCCCAAACGTAAAGAGTTCTTGGACAAATCTATTAGACATAGATTGGGTTGTTTTAGGTGACAGAGGGCTTTCTTATGGGAAGTTAATAAACTGGATCTGGTTGTTGCTGTTTTCAGAAGATTGTAGACATTCTGCAAACACCATGATAATAATCGTTGCAGGTAGGAACCATCACTAGATGCCAGAATTAGGGGAGAAAAGTGCAATGACAACAGGATATGTGTGCAGTCTCAAAGTATCTCCTCACAATATACTTATTAATTAAAGAGGGAAAAATGTTCACTTTGCAGTGGAGAGGTCTGACATCTATTGCCTTAGCCAAGAGACGAGGGCTAACATCACCAGTAATAAGACATATCAACATCCTGATACCCAGACATAATGCACTGGGGAGTGCACATCATTTCTGTGGTATTCTTGCCTGAAATGCAAATCTTCCTTCTAATTGGAAGCATCTAATGAGGAAACATCAGATAAACCCAATCGAGGGGGGCATTTTACAAAATAACTCAACAGTACTCTTCAAAAGTGTCCAAGTCACGAAAAACAAAGAAAGACTCAGGAGTTGTCACAGATTGGAGAGGTCTAAGGAAAAATAACGAATGAAGTTTGAGAGCCTGGATGGGTTCCTGGAACAGAAAAGAGAAATCAGTTGAAAAAAACCTATTGAAGTTGTAGCAAGATCTGCAGATTAGTTAATAATATCATATCCATAATAATTTCATGGTGTCAATTGTGCTATGGTTATGTAACATGTTAACATTAGAGGGAGGTGGTTGAAGCATGCGTGGAAAATCTTTGTACTGTTTTGCAATTTTTCAGTGAGTCTAAAATTATTTCAATGTTAAAAAATATGTTTTAAAGATGCTGCCCAGCAGATTTATCAAATGTATAAGTAAAATTGATTTTAATGTTTTTTTTCTCAAGTGCTGAATGTCTCTACAAGCGTTTCTTGTCCTTTTCTCCTGAACTTTCTCTCTTGTCATTTTTTTTTTTTAACTTTTCTGGTGCAGTGGCTCACACCTGTAATCCCAGTACTTTGAGGGGCCAAGGTGGGAGCACCACTTGAGCCCAGGAGGTAGAGGTTACCGTGAGCTATGATGGCACTATTGCACTCCAGCCTGAGTGATGGAGCAAGACTCTGTCTCTAAAACTAAAAATAATAAATACAAATAAAAAAGATCTTTGGGTCCAGATTACTTTTTAACCTAAAAATTTCTGAATCTTTCTTTGTCTTTCATGACTTAGACACTTTTGAAGAGTACTGATGAGTTATTTTGTAAACTGATGTATTTTCTCTTTCTCCTCCTCCTGCTCTTTTTCTCCTCCTCTCCCTTCTTCTCTCTCTCACACAAAAGCACTTTTTAAAAATCACTAAAACACTTGCCAGATTCTGCCAGAAAGCACTATAAATTATCTTGTCACTCCTAGAGGAGAAGATGCAGAGAAGAACCAGCAGCTTAGAGAATAAAGAAATGGAGGCTGAGTGAACCCAGAAGGGCATTCTCAGCCTGATATCATCATCAGTGATACAAAACTGCCTTGTGCAGAGGGAGAAGCAAACAGGTACATCAGGCACCCAATAATCAGTTATAAAAAAAAAAGTTCTGATTATTTTCAGAAGTTCTTGTGGAGACAGAGCCCTACTGGTTGGTAACCAGCAAACTATGGAATCAGCCAAGAGAAATTTGTTCTTAGTTAGGCTTCTCTAGAGGGACAGAACTAATAGGACATACATATATATCTATATCACATATATATATATCATATCTATATCATATATATCATATCTATATCATATATATCATATCTATATCATATATATCATATCTATGTCATATATATCATATATATCATATCTATATCATATATATCATATCATATATATCATATCTATATCATATATATCATATATAACATATATCATATATAACATATATAACATATATCATATATATCATATATAACATATATCATATATATCATATATAACATATATCATATATATCATATATATCATATATCATATATATCATATATATCATATATATCATATATATCATATATCATATATATCATATATATCATATATCATATATATCATATATATCATATATCATATATATCACATATATATAGAGAAAGATATATATTATATATATATAGAGAGAGAATTTATTAAAGAGTATTGACTCACACAGTCACCAGGTGAGGTCCCACAATAGGCCGACTGCAAGCTGAGGAGCAACGAAGCTAGTCTGAGTCCCAAAGCTGAAGAACTTAGAGTCTGATGTTTGAGGGCAGGAAGTATCCAGCACGGGAGAAAGATGGAGACCAGAAGATGAGACCAGTCTAGTCTTTCCACGTTCTTCTGCCCGCTTTTATTCTGGCCACACTGGCAGCTGATCAGATGGTGCCCACCAAGGTTGGGGGTGGGTCTACCTCTCACAGTCCACTGACTCAATTTTTAATCTCATTTGGGAACACCTTCACAGATACACCCAGGAACAGTGCTTTGCATCCCTGAATCCAATCACGTTGACACAATATTAACCACCACATCTACTAACCATCACTCTCCTTGTATCCAACCTCCTGTCACCTTAGTTGCTCCCCCACTAAAGGAGGCTCTGCTCATCCCACTCATCCTCCTGCAACCTAAGCACGATCAGCCAGTCCACAGTGAAGCCCTCCCCTCCTCCCTGCTTGGACTCCGACACTCAGTGCTGGCCAACCTCAGGAATAGGTGGCTTCGTTTTCCTGCTAACCTTCACCACCTGTTACCCTTTGCCTAAATGGGGATGCCTGCTCTTTCCATTAGAGTCCAGTATCCTGTATCAGGCTACTGCTAAATAGAAATGGCACTTATTTCCACTAGGGCTCCATCACCCCTTATAAAGGCACCCCTCAATAGGAATGTCCACTTCTCCCCAATAGAGCTGTGGCCGCCCTTCCTCGGGGACACCGCACTTACCCACTCAGCCTACAAAACCTTACTCTGCTGTCTTCCTTACCCTGTCCCAAGCCATTTGCCCTCAGCCTCCAACCAGGATGTCTATATTACTCAATCCCATCTAAAGTTTGCTTTTTTTTTTTTTTTTTGCATCTTGCTGAGACGCCCAGGCTGGAGTGCAATGGTGCAATCTTGGCTCACTGCAATCTCCACTTCCCAGGCTCAAGCAATTCTCTTGCCTCAGCCTCCAAGTAGCTGGGACTATAGGCATGCACCGTCATGCCCAGCTAATTTTTTATTTTTTTATTAGAGACGGGGTTTCACCATATTGGCCAGGCTGATCTCAAACTCCTAACCTCAAGTGATCTACCCACCTTGGCCTCCCAAAGTGCTAGGATTACAGTCATGAGGCACCATGCTCAGACCTATCTAATGATTTTTGGACTGAAGGCAAGGGACGAGGAAGTAGGAATACTGTTCTTTGCTTTTGTCTTCCTTTTTCTGTTTGAAAAACTCCTCTAAAAATATGCAGGTGTGTGTCTGCCCAACATTCAACATCAAACTAAGCTGGCCCTACCCTCTTGCCAATAAAGATGAGTTCAGTCCAGGTCAGCCTGGGCACTGCAATAGCTTTTGCTCCTCTTTACTCTCTCCCAGATTCTTTCTATTGTCACCTTGACTTTCACTGCACAACAGCTAAGGGGGTAATGTGGCAATGAATAAAATAGGACTAGAGGGTGCTCACCCTTTCTAAGGATCTTTGATGGCCTGGGTAGCCCCTTTGTGTGACTTAGAAGCAGGCACTGTTTCCTCCAGGAAGACACAGCCCCATGGTAGGGTGCAGGACTTAGGAGCCATAACTGGAGTGGAAATTTACTCCTCACTGCGCAACTGAACTCAGGAGCCTGGTCCTGCTTATTAGCTGTGTAATGGCACAGCCTTGAGTCATTGACTTAATTCTCTAAGGCTCACTTTCCTCATATATAAAAATTAGAGACACTTAGAGTACCTATCTTAAAGGGAGGTGGTAGAACTAAATGAAATAAGGCCTCCCAAGCATTCATCGCCATACCTAGCCTATGGAAAGCACTCGATAAGTTGCTTTTATGCAATCTCCACATCAAGCCTGCATGAGGTGCACACTTCAGACTTCATCAAAGCCTTTCTTTCCCCCTGGATGGCTGGTAAGGGCTATGAAGGCAACATTTATGTCTGACCTGCTTTGTTGTATTATCAGCACCTAGTATGGTATCTGATATGCAGTCAGTATTTGATTAAAATGAATGCATGAATGCATGAATGAGATTTTTGAGATCAAATGAGATAATACATAAGTAAAAGCCTGCACATATGCTAATAATAGGTGTAGATTGTTTACCCTTCATCCCTTTTGAAACTCACGAGAAGTGTCAGAGACTCTCTGAAATGGTCTCACCCCTGCTTTCAACTTTTCCTCAGGGCTTCAAGTATGTGTGCCTACTACTTCTAATTTCTACCAATCATCAAATAATTAAGTAGATAGTGCATCCTCTTTCATAGCACTGGACTGTTTACACATATGTGTATGAAGCTCACAGTGTGGACCCCAGCCTTCAAGGCGGCCCCACTGATGCTTGCTCACAGATTTGTGCCTTTGCGTAGTCCCCTCCCATGCTTAGTCAGGTCTGAGTACTGTGAATCCTAGAGTATAGAGTAGGGGGTGGCATGTAATATTTAAGGCAAAGTTATAAAAAGCATTATGGTTTCCTTCTTTGTTTCTTTTCTCTCATTTGTTTGTTTGGTTTTTTTTTGGAAACTGAGTCTTGCTGTGTTGCCCAGGCTGGAGTACAGTGGCATGATCTTGACTCACCACAACCTCTGCCTCCCGGGTTCAAGCAGTTCTCCTGCCTCAGCCTTCCAAGTAGCTGGGATTACCAGCATGCACCATCATGCCTGGCTAATTTTTGTATTTTCAATACAGATGGGGTTTCTCCATGTTGGCCAGGCTGGTCTCGAACTCCTGGCCTCAAGTGATCCACGTGCCACAGCCTCCCAAAGTGTTAGGATTACAGGCATGAGCCGCCACACCCAGCCTCTTTGTTTCTTGTATAATTGGCTCTGGGTGAAGCCACCTGCTATCTTAAGGACACTGAAGCTGCCCTCTGGAGAGGACCACACACTGAGGACTTTCACCAACAGTCAGTACCAGCTGCCAGTAATATGAGCAAAGCATCTTGGGAGTGGCTCCTCCACCCCCAGTCAAGCCTTCAGATGACTGCAGCCCCTGCTGACACCTTGGCTGAAACCTCAGGAGGGACCTCAAGTGAGAATCTGCTCCAAAAATCCTGAACCACAGAACACGTGAGAGATAATAAACTTTTGTTGGTTACGAATCACTAAGTGTTGGAAATATTTTGTTATTCAGCAATAGATCACTGGTACAATGTGTTCTGATTTTTGAAGGCAGAGCTTCAATTTCTCATTTTCTGCCCAACTGTCAAATCATGTGTTCTTAATAGTGCTGAAAAAAAATTATTTATGTATTTGTTTTAGAGACAGTGTCTTACTATGTCACCTAGGTTGGACTGCAGTGGCGCCATCATAGCTCACGGTAACCTCGACCTTTTGGGTCAAATGATCCTCCTGCCTCAGTCTCCTGAGTACCTGGGACTACAGGTGTGCACTACTATGCCCAGCCAATTTTTTAAAAAGTCTTTAAAAGTGTCATTAGTTTACTTACTAAGTGCCTCTGTGTTACACACTTTTAGGCACTCTCATTAATCGTCAGTGCATTACTATGAAGTTATCTACTATTAAATCACTTTTCAGATAAGAAAACTGAGGCTCAGAGAGAATATATTGCTGAAGACTGTAAAACCAGTAAGTAGGGAGAGCCAGAATGTGGATCTGGTTCTGGCGAAATCCATGGCTCATGTTCTTAACCATGGTGCCAGATTGTCTTACTGCTAAATTGTTGACAATTAATTACAAAGTTCTGGGCTAAGTCTCTAACATGTAGCATACATTATCCAATTTGAACTTCACCACTGTGAAGTCATTTTAAAGATGAGAAAACCATGGCATTGGAATTCAGGGTCCAGTTTTTTTGTTTGTCCATTATTGTTTTGTTTATATTGTTGTTGTTTTTTGAGACAGAATCTCGCTCTGTCACCCAGGCTGGAGTGCAGTGGCATGATCTTGGCTCACTGCAACCTCTGCCTCCCAGGTCCAAGCGATTCTGGTGTCTCAGCTTCCCCAGTAGCTGGGACTAAAGCCCAACAACACGCCTGGCTAAGTTTTGTATTTTTCATAGAGATGGGGTTTCATCATGTTGGCCAGGCTGGTCTCCAACACCTGACCTCAGGTGTTCCACCCACCTCAGTCTCCAAAATTGCTGAGATTACAGACATGAGTCACTGCATCCAGCCTTCAAGTTGCATATTCCTACTTATTGTTTGGGGGAAAAGCATCATGCAATAAAATTTGCCACATCCTTGAGAAGGTAAGCCACATGACCTTTCTGTATATCATTCACAGTGACTGGAAACAGGCTAGACACATAGGAATTGTTTAGGAATTACTTAAGGGAGGAAGAGAAGGGAGGTCAGGAAGGACAAAGGGAGAAAGGAAAAGTTAGAAAGAATTATAAGATTCCCCTCAAGTCCAAACCTGGAGTGAGGGGGCAATGAAGAGATCTGGTTGCTCCAGGATCTCTTCAGGGATGGAGGAGAATTATAGATCAGCATTTAAAACAGCATCTGAGTAGGGAAACATGTGACATGGGCCTGGAAATGCATTAGAGGGAAGTGGTGAGTTAGCAGTATGAAACACACTTGTCCAATTTAAAGAAGGCCGATCTTTTCCACTTAGCCCATTAGACAACAGATATGCTAGCTCAATGTTGCAGATAGTTCCTTCTTTTCTTCCTTCCTTCCTTCTTCCCTCCCTCCCTCTCTTCCTTCTTTCCTTCCTTTCTTCCTTCCTTCCTTCTTCCCTCCCTTCCTCCCCACTTCCTTCCTTACTTACTGAAAATCTGGATTTCTATGTGAAATCTCCCTTTCTTTAAGAGTCAACAGCTAATTGTTTTTATTTTATTTTTTAAAACACTAGGTGGGCCAAGCAAAATAAGCCTGCAAGCTTGTAGTGACCCGCAGGCTGTAATACTGTGGTCTCTGCTGTAGAGAAACAAAAGGGCAGGATGTGGCCAGACTGAGAATGTCCAACTGCTACGAGAGAGAAGAACAAAGAGAAGGAGAAATCAAGAAGATTGTTGCTTGATTTTCCTCCCATCTTGTAACTTACAACCCAAAAGCTTGCTGGTATCACCACCAGAAGATGGACTTGGGTGGGGCTGGGAGATCTTTGGAAGCTTGTGGGTGAAGAATAACCAGTGGCCCATTCTGGCAACTGTTGACTTCATACCCTCTGTTCTTGGGGGAGAAAAAGTGCTGTCAAAACAGAAAGAAATTTTATACCAGCAGCCCTTGGTTGGACATGAGCTCTATTTTTCGTTAAAGCACACATTTGATCGCTGACAGCCTTTTTTTTCTTCTTCTTCTTTTCCCTTTTGACTCTGGGACAGAAGGGATTGAGCACAAACTGGCAGTGAATGATATCCCTCCCGACTTTGGGTGATTATGTTCGTTAATAATGATTATCGCTTCTATGTAATATTTGCATGATAAACTATAGACATCTGGTGGAGTGTGCATGTGCACGTGGTGTTTGTTAGAAAACAGAAGCAAGTTAAATGCTGATGAAATGTGAAATCGAACCGTTCAGACTAAAAATAAAGTCGGCAGGCTTTAGGATTTCTGCATGCCAGCAATTCTGAACTGCTTACATACACCGTCTTAGTTACCGTGGCAACACTTGGCTGTGCATATACAGACACAGAGTACACAGTTTGTGGGCTGGCCCTTGGGGGTCCCATTACAGAATTTTGTATGTTTAGAAATATTTTGTAATAAGGCCCCTTGTGTCACTTATTAGTGATAAAATGTACAGCTGCCTTCATCAGCATCAGTCTCAAATTTGTTTCTTATTGACATGAACCAGCATGCTTTCAGGTAAGACAGAGTATGTGTGTATATATATATGTGTATGATTTTATCTTCCTCAAAGTGTTGTGTTATAGTTTAACTTTCTTTTATTTTTTCCCCCAGAAATTCTATCTCTTTGTTTTTCTTTATGCTGTGGAATCAACTGAAATTCCTAGATGATAGACAAACATGTATGTCTCGAGTCCAAGCTCAGAGGCAGAGACACATTGAGGGGAGCATGAAGCCTGGGGTTTGCGTGTGTTTTCTCTTAAAGTACAGATTTTAGATAATGGCTGATTTTCAGCATCACTGGCATCATGAATTCCAGGAGCCCTGGACGGGAAAACCTTTATCCAGTTGTAAATGCTGTGTTGCTTTGGCGCCATTTGAGTAACATTCACATAAAGGATCTAACAGTAAAGAGATGACTCTGATTTTTTTTTTTTTCATTACCTGCTCTGTGTGGCCAGGACCAAATGACTCCCCTTGATATTTACTTTCTTGGTTCTTTTCCAAAGTGTTAATCTAACTGTCTTCAGTAGCAGAGGATGGAAGGCTCTCCTCTGTTAATGGTTTTCTGCCTGTTTCAGGAAGGCCTGCAGTTTAACGCTCCCTGGTGGGTTCTACAGAGTTAGAGGAAGGACGTGCATTGCAGAAACTCCAGATAGCCTGGCACTTTCTACGCAAGCGCGGCCGCTAGCTACAGATGCCCTAGGCCACACTGACTGGTCTGAGTTTGAGCTGTTCTTGTAAATTGAAACCGATGCCCAGTGGAGCTGGGAGATCTTTGGTTCTGTAGCTCTTCAGAGCTGGGGTGGAATACTGGCTCTGCCATTCATTCATCATGACCTTGAGTAATTCTCTTCATTCTTTTGAGCCTTTTCCTCATCTCAAAAGCTGAGGGACTAATCCCTTCTCCACTAGAACTTTAAAAACATTAAACGGTATGAAGCTATATAAAGTTTCCAAAACATAGCCAATAAGAAAATTTTTAAAAATACTAATAGTAACGATTAACAGATAAGTTGATGACTTTGTGCTGTATTGAGCAATTAATATGTATTTTATTTTTGTAGCCTCACTATAATGCTTTAAAGTGAGTCACGATAATAATAATAATAGTAATATTTTCGTTTTACAGCTGAAAGAAGACTAGAGGCTTAGAGAAGTAAACACGTAGTCTAAAGTTTACAAAGCCAGTTGTTGCAGGGTTCAAACCGAGGGCTGACTAAACTATGGGCATTTTCTACACAAGTAAATAAATGCTAAGCACTGTTGTTAATAAGAAAAATGGAGACAATTGGAAAATTTACCCCTGCAATTTTTGAGGGGGGAGGAAGGATGGGATTGGAGCATTAAAAACAACTGAACTCCTGGGAGATTCCATACTGATGGAATGTTTACCAGGGAAATGATTCCATTTACAATCCAAACAGTGAAAAAAAAGTAGATTTCCAGTTTGGAAATTTTATATTAGAATTTAGAACTAAACACATCAAATGGTTAAATACATTGGTGTGGCTAGCTCTTATCATGGTGTACCAACAGTGAGATTGGGATGGGTTTTCTGGGATTCAGGAGCTGAAACTATCTCTCTCCCTGGCATAGGGGCAAAGGTTAAGAAGAGCCATCCATGCATGAGCTCTCTGCTCCAAAGTGAGATTGGCAATGATGGGAACCAACAGATCTAACTTTGTCTCGGTGCACCCATGGTGGGATTGGGAATGGGCTTTCTGGGATTCAGGAGCTGAAACTCTCTCTTCTCCCCGGCACTGGGGCAAAGATTAAGACGAGCCATCCATGCATGAGCTCTCTGCTCCAAAGAGAGATTGGCAATGGTGGGAGCTGACAGAACTAGTGCCAGAGTTGATTATTTGTTCAAAAGAAATTCCATTTACTTTATAGATGAAGATTGTTTTATAACAATCCCATTTACATTGTAGATTTTCATTGTTGATGTAAGAAAATCAAGCCAATATAGTAAGAGTGTGATCCTCCATCAATAGCTTCATTGAACTGCACTGTCCTAAGTGCTAGGGATACCAGTATGGAAACGAGATTCCTGTCCTCTGGGGTAGCACTGTGCGATAGAACTTTCTGTGATGAAGAACATGTTCTATATTTCTGCTAAACATTACAGCTATTGAGTTTCTGACATGTGCCTACTGTAACTGATGCACTGAATGTTTGATTTCACTTAATTCCTTAAATTATAAATTTAACTGGACAGTTATGGATAGTGGCTACCATGTTGGGCAGTGCAGATCTAGAGGATGACATGTGGGATGAGGTAAACCAGTGACAGTGAAGAAGGCTATAACTTTAGGACTTACAGGAGGTGCTGGAGTCTGCAGCATCCCCTACTGCTAGTGGTGTAAACTCTGGAAAGTTAAATATTTTATCTGAGTGTAGACCATGCATCTGTAAAATGGGGACAATTGTAAAATTATTTCAAGATTGTTATGAGTGTGAGCTATTCTATGCAAGTCTCTTAATAGAGCTTAAAACAGGGTGGAGAAAATACGAGCAGTTATTATTATTAATAGTGTTGTCATTATTATCATTATTTTGTAACCAAAGGATGCACAGGTTGCTACAAGGATCATTGAGAGATTAACTCTGCTGTGATTGAGGCAGACATAGAAGGAAATATTGAAACCTAATTCATAGAAGGGATGATATTTGAGCTTCATTGTCTACTAGTGTCAATTACTCAACAAGGCGACAGAGGGTGATTCAGGTAGAGCATGTGCTTGGCTAAAGCACTGTGATTTGAAGGAGTCAGGTTTGTTTGGGGAATTGGGGAACTGCAAGTAATGAGTCTGTAGGGTTGCGTAAAACCAGGGTCCTGGTGTCTCGCAACCACGGTGGATGTCTGGAAGCATCTTGTAGATTTCAGTGATCCATCATATAGATTTATGGGAGGAAGTGAGATCACATTTTCATATCAAAAAATAAATCCGGCTGCTGTGGGGGAATGAATTAAGGTAGAAAGAGACCGAAGGCAGAGAGATCAATTAGAAGGAGGTCTGGTGCAAGAGGACAAGACATTTAATAAGGTCAGCAGCCATGGTGATGGGCAAGGCATTTATTTGAGAGGCAGGTAAGAGGAAAAATTGACAGAGATTTTGCAGAAAGAGAAGTTGAGACTTTTATACGCAAAAGCTAGCTTTAGGTCAATAAAAACAACAATGATGATAATATTGATTAACACGTTTATCATGCTTTTCAGTTTACAAAGTGTTTATCTCCTTCAACCTTCCCAATAACCCAATGCATACATCGAAGATTAAAATCGAGGATGTGTATGATGTGCTTAGTCCTGGCTGTGTATGCTACTGAGTACTTAGTAAGTGACGGTCATAGTTGAGGTTATTGTTGGCCATAATCAAGATCCTCGTTGCTGACAATGTTCTTTTGCTAAGAAAAGTGGATTTTATCCATTTGAAGAGGTCCAGCCCAGAGAGAAGCCTTGATAAACCTTAGCACAAGAGAAAAGAATGAGATACTAGAAAACCCTCAGAGACAGCCTCTTGTCTCTGGGGTGAGATACTACTAGAAACAAGGGCTATTGGGTGCTTCCCAGGGCTCCCCCACCTGATAGAGATGCTGGCGTCCATTCATGAAAAATCTCTGATTATGAAACTGATCATCTGCTTTGCCCCTTGTGTGCTTTCTTTCCAGGTTGTTGATTTTGCCTTTACTTGGACTTATCCTTCATGTACACAGTGTAGTGAAAGGAACTCTGACTAAAGGTTAAGCAGCAGTGGACTTGCATATTATTTCTAGTACTTCATTTTTTTTATTGGTACAAATTTAGGGGGTACAGTGCAGTTTTGTTACATAGATGTGTTGTGTAGTGATAAACCCTGGGTATTTATTTATTTTATTATTATTATTATTATTATTATTATTTAGGCAGTCTTACTCTATTGCCCAGGCTGGAGTGCAGTGGTGCAATCTCAGCTCACTGCAACCTCCGTCTTCTGGGTTCAAGTGATTCTTCTGCCTCAGCCTCCCGAGTAGCTGGGACTACAGGCATGCACCACCATGCTTGGGTAATTTTTATATTTTTAGTAGAGTTGGGGTTTTACCATGTTGCCCAGGCTGGTCTTGAACTCCTGACCTCAGGTGATCCTCCCACCTCGGCTTCCCAAAGTTCTGGGATTACAGGCGTGAGCTACCACGCCCAGCCAACTCTGGCCTTTTAGTGTAACCATCACCCAAATAGTGTACATTGTACTCATTAAGTCATTCCTCACCTCATTTTTTTTATTTTTATTTTTATTTTTATTTTTTGGCTTACTGTTTAATTTGGAAAGTGGGTAAGAAGAAACCAGAAAAAGCTTTCTGGTTTCTCCTTGTTTGTCTCATCTGTCAAAATCAGGATAGTATTATCTACCTCATAGCATTTGTTTCACGCTGGTAGTATCCTCATATGTTTTCTGTGGAAGGGGGAGTTGAAAGATGTAGATTTATCTTTTTTCTGCCTTTTTTTTTTCTAGTATTTCTATGGCTTGTGTGACCTTAAGACTTTGACCAGTAAATCTGAGAGGCATCTAGAGAATTCCAAATGGCAATAATCAAATTTAAACCAGCCTTCAAGGCAACTTGCTTTAAAATCTTATTAGCCAGGGATGGCTAAAAAGAGTCTTGACAAACACTTCTAGCCTCAGAGCTGAAATGTGTTTCTCAGGATCAGTCCATGGGTGCTGACTCTTTGCACCCATTTCTCTAGGATGGGCAAGACTGACTCCTTTTTCCTCTGGTGTTCTTCACCATTCTGGACCAGAATAATTTCAACCGTCACACTAGCACTGGTAAATGTGCTGTAGTGGGCAGTTGGTGCCAATGTTGGTAATTTTTTTTTTTTTCAATTTCGATTCCATAAGCTTTAGATTTAAAGGTGAGGAGGTCTCAATAGCAGGAAGGGGCTTGCAACACTGTCTTAAAATCTTTGGTTTCTCTTGGGATAGGTTTCTGTCCCTTCCCTCCATGATAGCACCTAGCCATATATCATCTATTCTGTTCTGATAAGTCACTTATCAGGCAACATAAGGATGTGAATCACTCTGTGACAATTTAACTTCCAAATAACTTAAGTTTTAGCTCTTTATATACTCAAGCGATTTGTTCTTACTTTACCTTTTATTTTTCATGGAAGCATTTTAAATAAATATCTCACTTTCCCTTCTGCTCTCTAAAGAAAAATTCATCCAACACAATATACCTTTTCTCTAAGGATTCAAGGTCAAATGTCAAGCACGTTCCTTGTGGGAGGGTAATAGAAAAAGAGGATACTCTGGGGTTGACTCAGGTGGGAAGGCAGGTTTGTCCTAGCACTAAACACCCTCACATACCCTCAGCTTTTGAAACTACCCTGTCCGCTTTTTGTGTGACTTTTAAGACTTGCTCTTTTTCCTCACTGTAAGTCTGGCATCCGATTTTACTTCTAATTATCATCAACTTCCAGAAAACTCCTTTTCTTCTCCCAATTTGTGGCTTTTAATCTGCTTCCCTGTGTGAAGCTAGATTATGAAAGCTTATTACAATGGTTACCCAGGCAAAATAAAACAGGCTTGGAGAAAAAGTATTGGGGACAATCCCCTAGGTCAAAGTGCTTGAATTCCAGAGGCTCTCTTTTGTGAAATATTCTCTGGCCACTCAGAAACCTGACTGCATCTTGTTCATTGTTGCTCTGGTTTCAGTGATGGTCTCCTCTTTCAAATTCATGTTGAAACATATTCACTAATGCAGTAGTATTATGAGATGTTGCCTGTGGGAGGTGATTGAGTCATGCCGGTTCTGCCTTCATGAATAAGATGAGCACTCTTATAAAAGGGCTCAAGACTGAGAGGAGCAGAATCTTGCCCTTCCGCCTTTCACCATGTGAGAACACAGAAGCAAGGCACCATTTTGGAAGCAGAGAGCAGCTTTCCACAGACACCAATGCCACTGCCTTGATCTTGGACTTCCCATTTCCCAGCACTGTAAGAAATTAATTTTTGCTCTTTATAAATTACCCAGTCCAAGATATTTTGTTATGGCAGCACACACAGAACAGGCCAGTTGTGAAGACTGATAACTGGTGATTCATTGTTGAGAGTGGACAAAAATGGGCAGATAAAAAAGCATCACCAGCATTTTGATATGTGTAGCATTTGTTTGCCATGTTTTGTTTATTTATATTTATTCTGATATCAAGACTCTGACTCATAAAGGGTAGAGAGGTGGGAGAGGAAACTCTATCTCAGTGGAGAAATATACATGAAGGCATATGATACAGAGACTGTGTTATCTACTGGAAGAATAAATTAGTTAGGGTAGAATTTTGTAGATAGTGCAAAAGCCATCTTCACACTGTTTTGAAAGGCATTGGAATGGCCTTCCTGCCAATAATCTCCCTGATACCCAGGTAAAAATGGATCTGAAATCCCATTAAAGATGCATCTTCTCCCAAGGGCCCTTACAAGGAGGGTAAGCTCTTCAAACTCACATTGGGACTCTTGCTTTACCTTTTCTTCTATTTCGTAAGGATCCAGAGTCATCAGAATCATCATAAGATCTTCCATCAATCTTTATTGAAGTGAGTACTACTAATTCACATGGAGGAGTCAATGGTGGTCACAACTACTTTTTAACCACAAGAAGCAATAGTTACTGGTTAGGCTAATATCAGAAGAAGTGGGAAAGGTCTAGAAAAAATAAGCTAGAGAGAATGAAAAACAATTGTGCTATGTTTTGCAATTTTGGACAAAAGTAGACTCACGAAAGTGGTTTTACAGACATCTTCTTTGTCATTTCCTAGAGTACTGGCCAGATTTAGGATCCCATAGAGGGAAAGTTACTGTGTCAAATCCTATGTAAATCAAAAAAAGGATTTACCCATGGCTTGTCTAAGTTGCCTCTTGAATGAAACTCTAGAAATTGATGTAGAAAAAGCTACTGCCTCCCATAATCACTATCTTTTCCTAGTCAATAAGTAGTATTACCCTATCACTTATCCTTGTAGATCTATTCCCCAAAACCTCCTCCAAGAAAGAAACCTGGTCTTCATTGTTTTCTGAATATTTTGCTAAAGATCTCCTGCTGTTTTCCGAAATTGTTGTCCAAAACTCCTGATTCACCTGACTTTCGAGTCTGCAGATCTTGTCTTCATGAAATTTTTATTATATCCAACTTCTGCCCAACCTCAGGGTTCCTAACACATCATCTTTGCCTTTTTTTTTTTCATTTTTTGTTTCATTTGTTTCTCCATTTCTTTTCTTTCTTTCTTTTTTTAATTTCATAGGTTTTTTTGGGGACAGGTGGTTTTTGGTTACATAAGTTCTTTAGTGATGATATGTAAGATGGCTATGGTTCCCACTAAAGTGAAGGAATACTCTTACCATTGATTATCTTGGAAAGCAATTAATCCTGGGACAGGGAATGAGAAGGATTAAGTGTAGATGACAGTTTGGCGTAAGTAAAATCTTTCCCCTCTATTTGGGACAGAATCAATGGTAAAGAGGCACCCAGTATGTTTCAGTGTAGTAAGTGGTAAGCTGCCGAATAAAGGAATCTCAGAGGCACAGCTTTGTACAGCACCAAAGGAGGCTTTCCGTCATTGTAAGATTTATTTGCAATATATTTGCCGTCTCAATCCCCAGCCTTCCTTATATTTTCAAAGCTGCAGCCCAGACTCAGGTGTGCTTGAGGAATTTGGCAAGGGCCCTGTCCTCACTTGGAAGGTGGCCTAGTGTGGTAGCAACAATGAACTCTGAGAGCAGAGCCACGTGCAGTGACAATCTCAGGTCAGCAGCAGCGTTGGCAGCAGTGTGGCTGCAGAGCAAGGAGGCCAGTAGAGAGGAAATGAAAGCACCTGTTTCTCAGCACACTTGAGCTTGCATTCTGCAAAACCCTTAGGCAGTGGTGGAGCATGCATCAGGGCCAAATCCCAACAGCCCCTGTGGATTACTTTTCCTTCTTGTCTTCATCTTATTATCTCTCACTTCATTTCTTTCCTTCTCTCTTTCTCCTTCCCCTTTTTTTTTTTTTTTTTGTTTCCTTCCATTTTTTTTCTTTGTTAGGGGTTAGGGTTGTCTTTCCTTCCTTGTTTTCTATCTACCTTCTTTCAACATTTCTTCCTTTTCTTTTGTGACCTGATCATATTAGCCCTCTTTCCATTGCAAATGAAAACATCTAATAACCTAATAATGTATTGGCTTGTGAAAAAAAAATCCAGTTTAACCCAACATTTGATTGGCTAATAAAACTAATGCCTGGAGGGCTCTATTGAGGCAGTGAGAGCTGCCATTCCTTGCAATGATATCATCAGGATTCCATTCCTCTCCATGTGGTTGCCTGCTTTCCTCTCTGCTGCCTGATCATAAGGCAGGACTTCTCCAGTAAGAGCAACAATGATGACCAGCAGCTACAAATTTATATTCTTCCATTGCAAAGAGAGTGCATTTTTCCTAATGATGCAATGAGGAAAAAGATAGTTTTTGGTATTCTTGCTAAAAGATACAAAGCCTAAATTTAAAAACAGGCGGAATGGGGACTATTATTCTAAGTGAAGTAACTCAGGAATGGAAAACCAAACATTGTATGTTCCCACTTATAAGTGGGAGCTAAGTTATGAGGATGCAAAGGCATAAGGATGATACAGTGGACTTTGATGACTCAAGGGGAAAGGGTGGGAAAGGGTTGAGGAATAAAACACTACAAATTGGATTCAGCGTATACTGCTTGTGTGATGGGTGCACCAAAAGCTCACAAATCACCACTAAGGAACTTACTCATGCAACCAAATATCACCTGTTCCCCAAAAACCCATGGAAATAAAACAATTTAAAAAACGAGGGGAAATCAGGCAAACCAACATTAAGGGACATTCCAGAGAACAACTTGCCTCCAGTTTTCACACAATTTCACTGCCATGAGAGACAAAGAAAGGCTGGGAAACTGTTTCCAATCATGAAACATGGCAGGTAGGCAATGTGTGACCTTGGCTTGGACCCTGGAATTTAAAATGCTGTAAGGGACATTGTTAACACAATTTACTAAATTTAAAAATATTAGATAATGATATTGTATCCACATTAAAGTTCTTGATTTTTTTTTTTTTTTTTTTTTTTGAGACAGGGTGTTACTCTGTCACCCAGGCTGGATCGCAGTGGTGCGATCTTGACTCTGCAGCCTCCACTCCCAGACTCAAGCGATCCTCCCACCTCAGCCCCCAAGTAGCTGGGACTACAGGTGTGTTCCACCACACCCACTTAATTTTTGTATTTTTATTACAGACAAGGTTTCGCCGTGTTGGCCAGGCTGGTCTCGAACTCCCAAGCTCAAGCGATCCACCTGTCTTGGCCACCCAAAGTGCTTGGATTACAAGCATGAGCCACCATGCCCCAGCCTTGAATTTGATAATTCTATTATGGTTACAAAGGAGATTGTTCTTGTTCTTAGAATTTACCTGCTGAAGTATTTTGTAATAAAGTATCATTATAGCTGTGACTTGTTCTCAAGTGATGCAGAAAAAAAATATAGACTTTATACTCACAGATTCATATATATATGCACCCCCCCACACACTGAGAGAGTGAGAATGAGAAAGAATCAGAACATATTGAAGTGTTAACATATTTAAAAACTGTAAATCTATTTGAAGGATATCAAGATAATCGCTGCATCTTTGTGACTTTCAACTTTTTAGAAAAGTTTTAAAGATGTTTTTAAATAGAAAGAAACAAAAGCAAAACAGTTTCTCTTTCATGGTGTTCACAGAAAGTATGAGATGATTTTGGTTTGGCTATATTAATATCACAAACTATAGATGGACAAGGGTTGTGAGTCCTCATGGATAGGGGAGGCCAGGTCATATGGGTGTTGGTTCAGTGCCACCTAAACAAAGAACGGGGGTAGGGGGAGCTCCTAAAGGAGAATTGAGGTCCTATCTCCAAATAAGGGGAAGTGGATGCTGATAGATAAAGCAAGAATTGTCTAGTTCACTCTTATCTCCCTTTCACTGTAAGACAAAACTGCAGAATTCTGAAGCATTATCTTCAATATTTGCCCTAAACTACCATTAAAAGTTTGAGCAGCACTTAATGAGCTCAAAGCAACCTTCACATCTGAGATTCCACAAAGCCATTCCAGCTTCTTTTTCCTGTTTAGATGAAAGACGGTGAACTCATTGGCTGATCTGAACACAGACATCAACTAATTTAATTGACTTAAGGGTTGTTCTTACATAAAATGCTACTCTTTGAATTGTTTTAAAAGACATCAATTTGTCGTTAAAAAAAATACCTAATGGAAACTTTATTTTTTTCTTCCAATTCCTTTAATGTCTGTTTTGCTAAATGCTTAGCAACAAAAGGCTGGCTTGGGTTAGGGCTTCTTTGCCCAAGATAAAAATAATCTAAAATTTAGATGTGTCTGCAGTGATCGTGGCAGTGTAAATTAATTAGCCACGCTGAGCCTGAATCAGCAGCATCTCTGAATTGATCTTGCTTTTATGCTGCTCTGTTTTCTAAAATGTGTTCACCCTTGAAAGTAGCCATTCTTGTGATTACTTCTCTTTCTCACTCAGAAATCACAGTTGGCACAAAAGTTCTTTTTTTTTTTTTAGTGTTGAAGTTAATAATACATTAATAAATACTGGAATTTGAATTTTGTGCCAGCGGCCAAGCTAAAGGCTACAAGCCACGGATGAGCATATAAAAATAAATAAGAGATTATCCCTATCCTTGGGGAGTTTACATTCTTTTGGGGAGGTATTAAAATATGTATACCGAAAGTTAAATTACACAATATCAAACAACAAACCATGTCATGAGGCAAGGTGAGTTTCGATGCCAAGAAATAACTACAAATACAGTTATGTAGAGAAAGTCGTCCATGCTGGGTGACAGGACTAGTATGAGAAGACTTTTTGAAAAAAGAGAGTTGGAATAACAGTGTCGAATATGTCTATATTCCATCCTAAAACTTTATATATCTTTTTAACAGCTTCAGTGAGGTGTTATTTATGTAACTTAAAATTCAATTATTTTAAGTGTACAGGACAATGATTTTTAAGTGAATTTACAGAGTTGTGTAACCACCACCACGATACAATTTTATAACATTTCCATCACCCTAAAAAACTCTCTCAAGCCCATTTTCAGTCAATCATTATTCCTATCTTCAGTCCCAGGGAGCCAGTAACTTGCTATACTTTGCCTTTTCTCGACTTAATGGGTAATCAGGATCACATAATATGTAGTGTTTTCTGTCTATCTTTTTTCACTTTGTGTAATGATTTTAAGGTTCATCTATGTTGTAGTATGTATGAGTACTTTGTGTTTTTTTTATTTCTAAATAGTATTTCATTATATGGATAACTCACATCTTATTTATCCAGTCATCAGTTGACAGGCATCTGGGTTGCTTCCATTTTCTGACTATTATAAATAATGCCACTATTAATATGCACATAGCAAATTTTGGAATGGATATAGGTTTTCATTTCCTTAAATACTTAGGAATAGAATTGTTGGCCGGGAGTGGTGGCTCATGCCTGTAATCCCAACATTTTGGGAGGCCGAGGTGGGCGGATCATCTGAGGTCAGGAGTTTGAGACCAGACTGGCCAACGTGGTGAAACGGCATTTCTAGTAAAAATACAAAAATTAGCCGAGCATGGTGGCACATGCCTGTAATCCCAGCTACTTGGGAAGCTGAGGCAGAAGAATCGCTTGAACTCGGGAGGCGGAGGTTGCAGCGAGCTGAGATCACACCATTGCACTCCAGCAAGGGCAAGAGCGCGAGACTGTCAAAATAAAAAAGAAAAAAAAAGAATTGCTATCACACATGGCAAACTTATGCCTAACTTTAAGGAAACTGTCTTCCAATGTGGCCTCCTCACTTCACAATTCCATCAGTGGTGTCTAAGGTAGAGCTTTAACTCTATTATTTCACTTAATTATCACATGAGCTCTGTAAGGAGGAGAATTTGAGGAAACAAGATAGGTTGATTGTCTTGCCCAAGATTATATATCCCACATTTACAGAGGCTGAGTTCTAACGAAGGTTTGACTGTATCCAAAACATCTGGATACAGATTTTGAGGCACACTTTTAAGAAGAGCTTTCGAAATCGGATTCAAAGGGTAATAAGCGTTGATTAATAATGTCTGCCAAGGACGCAGGCAGGCGATCGGCAGCCACTCTGCTGCCTTTACCAGCACTGGACCGGTGCACATGCCTCAGTATTCCGCAATAACATGCAATTCCTCTCTTGGCTCCTCACCGTCGTTGTTGAAGCCAGGCTAAAGATTATTTTAGAAAAATTATCTTCTAAACTCCTCTAGCACAGAGACTATCCTCTTACTGCAAAACTGATTGCATTGTATTATAATTTTCTGTTCAATACCTGTCTCTCCCGCTGGCGGGAGAGCATTTGGCGGAAAGATGATCACTTCTGCTCAGTATCCTTACCCAGTAACAGAGTGCCTCGCTTAGAAATGGTGCCCAATGAGTGTTGCTTTGATTGAATAAATGTAAGAATAAAAGTGAGCATAAAATTAGGTTTCTCCTTTCCATTTTAAACATGGTGAAGCAAAGAGATGTGGACTTTGAATAATGTACCACATCTAGAGAGCCAAAGAAAGACAGAGAGAGGAGCCTTGAGTCCCCAAATTTCTTAATCATTGAGCTTCAGCTCACTTCTCCAGAGACATTGGCCTCTGTCTGTGACTGCAAAGCGATTGATGTGGCCCGTTAGATTGTGCTGATGCTGGAATGTATTCAGGCGAAGGCTTCCAGGATACAAGGCTCTCCCTTGGTTTAAAGTGAACTAGCCATGGTCTGCCCGATGTGCAGAGAAGAAAACACAGAACCAAGTATTCCCCAGCAACATTTAAACAAAAAATTAAAAGATAATGTTTTGATCCAATGCAGTTGGTCAGTGGGTAGCCTGTGAATGTTATATAATTATATAACCAACAAAGAAGGCTGCAAAATTCGATAATTCAGAAGCATGGTGCTGGAGCCTACAGTCCTCCTTTTCTCCAATCTCTCTCTCTCTCAGCAGAAAGACAAAAGAGAATGTGTTAACAGTATTCAGTGTTAAAATGATGAAATTGGGGTTTATTTTTTTCCATAATTTTCCATTTTTCATGCAAAAAACATTATAGCAAAATACATATTTTTTAAGGCTTTGATACTCTTTTAAGCAGTGAATTATCATTGGCATAAATGTATTAAGAAACAAGATTATATTAGATAACAAAAATGGTTTTATGCAAATGACACTCTCCATCTCTGTTGGAAAAACATTAAGCCAAGCTCTCTAATTCCATGAGATCTTACCTAGCAGAGGTGAAGGTGAGCATAAGGGAGTTGCAGGAAGAGAGTGATCTGTGAAGGGGCTGGTGGTAAAACTCAGCATAGTGAACTCCGGAGATTAAAGGCAGAACATCTTAGCTGGGTGTGGTGGCTCACACCTGTAATCCCAGCACTTTGAGAGGCCAAGGTGGGTGGATCATCTGAGGTCAGGAGTTCGAGACCAGCCTGGCCAGCATAGCGAAACCCTGTCCCTACTAAAAATACAAAAATTAGCTGGGCATGGCAGCACGCGCCTGTAATCCAAGCTACTGGGCAGGGGGCTGAGGCAAGAGAATTGCTTGAACCCAGCAGGCAGAGATTGCAGTGAGCCGAGATCACACCACTGCACTCCAGCCTGGGCAAAAGAGCAAGACTCCATCAAAAAAAAAAAAAAAAAAAAAAAAAAGGCATGTCTGGATTTTAGAGCAAGGGATAGCATAAGGTGGAGGTGAGGAGGGAGGTGTGCACCAACTTTTATAAGACCTCAAGTGGGGTATTCAGGATAGGATGCAACTTGGTAGTTTAATATTTGCCAAACCTAAGGATGAGTTGTAAGAAAGTACAAGAATACTCTTTACTCAATTGTTTACAAAAGTATCTCCTTTGTGAATCACTGACATTTCCTTCTATATACCTTATATCTGTAACTATGTGCCAGTGCCTTTTTGGGTAACACACATATACATATACACAAATATATGATGTACACATACAAAGATTATAGATAGATATAGATATACATATAATATAGATTATAGATAGTAGATATTAGAGATATATATATATATATATTTAAGTAAAGATCTAATTTCCCTCATTTGGGGTAAATTGAATTGTCATATCCCTTTATTCCTAAATTCTTCAATGTCTATTTTTGCAAAGCAAGGATAGTCTCTTACATAAACACAATGCAATAATCAAAAACAGAAACTTCCACTTTGACACAATGCTATAATTTAATCCAGAGCCCATACTCAAATGTGACAATTATCCAAATACTGCCCACTATAGCTACTGTTTTCCTCTGTGTGCAATCCAGAATCATGCTTTAGATTCCTTTAGCCCACTTATGCCATTATTGGAACACTAAGCATGTGGGAGTTATATCCTACTGCTCAAGGTTGTCGCCAATGTCTCATTTTTTCACTCATACAAAAATTCAAAAAATTGTAACCTCAGGCATAAATGGGAACATTTTCTCAGGCTTTTTTTGTTTTTCTTGAGCTTGATATTTTTGAAAAATACTGGTCAGTTGGTTTATAGCATGCTCCTCAATTTAGTTGGTGTGACGTTTCCCCATAACAGAGGTCATGAGTCTTTTTTTTTTTTTAAGGAATAACACAGAAGTGATGCTGGATCCTACTTAGTGCACCATATCAGGACCATCTCAGGTAGTAGCAGTTTGTCCTGATAGTAGTGATATTAAATTTGGCCACTTAGGAATCCAACTGCTGGGTATATATACAAAAAGAAAGGAAATCAGTGTATCCAAGAGATATCTGCACTCCTGTGTTTGTTGCAGCACTATCCACAATAGCCAAGATTTGGAAGCAACCCGTGACCATCAACAGATGACTGGATAAATAAAATGTGGTACATGTACACTATGGAGTACTATTCAGCCATGAAAAAGTCTAAGATCTTGTCATTTGCAACAACATGGATGGAACTTGGGAACACTGTTAAATGAAATAAGCCAGGCACAGAAAGACAAACATCACATGTTCTCACTTATTTGTGGGATGTAAAAATCAAATCAGTTAAACTCATGGACATAGAGAGTAGAAGGATGGTTCCCAGAGACTGGGATGGGTAGAGGGGGCTGAGGGGAAGGTGGGGATGGTTAATGGGTACAAGATAATAGAAAGAATGAATAAGACCTACTATTTGATAGCACAACAGGGTGATCCTAGTCACTAATAAGTTAATCATATATTTTTAAATAAATAATGTAAATGGATTATTTGTAACTTGAAGGATAAATGCTTGAGGGGATGGATACCCCATTCTCCATGATACACTTATTTCCCATTGCATGTCTGTACAAAAATATCTCATGTACCCCGTATGTACACCTACTATGTACCTACAAAAATTTTTAAAAATTAAAAATTAAAAAAATGTGAAAATAAATAAATAAGTGTGGCCACTTTGTTAAGTTGGCATCTGCCAGGTTACTTCTTTGTAAAGTTACATTGTACCTTTTCTAAATAATAAGTGATTAGAGGAAAAATTATTTGACTATGTGAATATCCTGTTATCCATCAATCTTTCACTCTCCAATTTTAGCATCCACCAGGGGTTTTCTAAGTCTGTCATTTATTCAATATTTGTTATTTTGCAATAGAAAATAAGAAAAAGCTTCCCCTCCTATTAATTAATCTATAAATATCAGAATTCATAGACTCTTATTTTATTTAATAGGTAATAATGCATTTCTGTCATTGTTTATTTAGATGCTTACGTTGTCCCAGATTTGGCCAGTGGGAGCCAGTTTAAAGAGTTTTGGCCTTTATCCCATAAGCAATGGGAAACATATTGCAGGATTTTAGGCAGATGGGTGAAAATATCAGATTTGCTCTTTGACACATTACTCCAGCTAAATCATAAAAAATGATTGGAGGAGATTATTGTTATTATTTTATTGTGGTAAGAACACTTAGCAGATCTATCCACATATATATATACATATATATATGTATATATATATATGTATATATATATTTTTTTTTTTTTTTTTTTTTGAGAAAGCGTCTTGCTCTGTCACCCAGGCTGGGGTGCAGTGGCACAATCTCAACTCACTGCAACCTCCGCCTCCCGGGTTCAAGTGATTCTCTTGCCTCAGCCTCCCTAATAGCTGGGATTAGAGGCATGCACCACCATGCCAGGCTAATTTTTGTATTTTTAGTAGAGACAGGGTTTCACCATGTTGGCCAGACTGGTCTCAAACTCCTGACCTCAGGCGACCTGCCTGCCTTGGCCTCCCAAAGTGCTGGGATTACAGGCATGAGCCACGGTTGCCCAGCCAGCATATTTTTAAATATTCAATACAGTATTGTTACCTATAGGCATAATGTTGTACAGCAGATCTCTAGAGCTTTGTTATCTTGCATAAATGGAACTTTATGCCCATTGAATAACAACTCCCTGTTTCTCCCTCAGCTCTACCCCTGGCAACCACCATTCTACTTTCTGATTCTCTGAATTTGACTATTTTGGATACCTCATACAAGAGGAATTATGTAGTATTTGTCCTGTCTTATTTCACTGACTGTTATTTCCTCAAGGTTCATCTATGTTGTAGCATATGTCAGAATTTCCTTTTAAAAGCTGGAAAACATTGGCCAGGCACGGTGGCTCAAGCCTGTAATCTCAGCATTTTGAGAGCCCGAGGCGGGTGAATCACTTGAGGTTTAGGAGTTCGAAACCAGCCTGGACAACATGGTGAAACCCTGTCTCTACTAAAAATACAAAAGTTAGCTTGGCTTAGTGGCGCTCAGCTGTAATCCCAGCTACTTCGGAGACTGAGGCAAAAGAATCCCTTGAACCCTGGAGGTGGAGGTTGCAGTGAGCCAAGATTGTGCCACTGCACTCCAGCCTGGGCGACTCCATCTCCAAAACAAGAATAAATTAAATGAAAGCTGGAAAATATTCCATTGTATGTATACACCACATTTTGCTTATCCATTCAGCCACAGATGGACACTTGAATTGCTTTCATATTTTAGCTATTGTAAAGAACGCTGCTATAAACAGGGGTATACAAATATCTCAAGATTCTGCTTTCAAGTCTCTTGGCTAAGGATCCGGAAGTCTGATGTCTGGATAAGATGACAGCACTATTTCTAATTTTTTGAGGAATCCTCATACTGTTTCCTACAGCAGATGCACCATTTTCATTCCCACCAACAATGTATAAGGGTTCCATTTTTTTCATGTCCTCACCAACACGTTTTCTTTTAAAAAAATAATTCTAATAGGTGTGAAGCGATATCTCCCTGTGGATTTGACTTGCATTTCCCTGATGAGTGGTGCTGAATATCTCCTCTTATACATGTTGGCCATATGCAGAAATGTCTATTCAAGTCCTTTACCCATTTTTAAATTGGGTTGTTAGGTTTTTTGTTTTTTGTTATTGAGTTGTAGGAGTTTCTTAAATGTTTTAGTAATTAATCTTTTTTTTTTTTTTTGAGATGGAGTCTTGCTCTGACGCCCAGGCTGGAGTGCAGTGGCGCAATCTCGGCTCACTGCAAACTCCGCCTCCTGGGTTCACACCATTCTCCTGCCTCAGCCTCCTGAGTAGCTGGGACCACAGGCACCACCACGCCCGGCTAATTTTTTTTTTTTGTATTTTCAGTAGAGACGGGGTTTCATCACGTTAGCCAGGATGGTCTCAATCTCCTGACCTCGTGATCCACCCGCCTCAGCCTCCCAAAGTGCTGGGATTACAGGCATGAGCCACCGCGCCTGGCCAGTAATTAATCTCTTATCTGGTATGTGGCTTGCAAATATCTTCTTCCATTGCATAGGTTTCCTATCACTCTTTTGATTGTTTCTTTTGCTGTGCAGAAGCTTTTTAGTTTGGAAGTTGTCCTACTTGCTGATTTTGCCTTCATTACCTGTGCTTTGATATATTATCCATGAATTAATTGCCAAGACCAATGTCACAATGTCATGAAGTTTTCCTCCATGTTTTCTCCTACGAGTTTTACAGTTTCAGTTCTTCTGTTTAAGCCTTTAATGCATTTTGAGTTGAGTGCTGCGTATGGCATAAGCTATGGGTCCAAATTCATTTTTTTGCATGTGGATACAAAGAGAGGATGGTGCAAGAGCTGTGAAGAACATGGGAGGAACATACTGGAAGCTCTCTGTCTCTTTATGCTTCCTGTGTGTGTGTTTCTGCCGTGTGTGTGTGCATGCATGTGTGTGTCTGTGTATGTGTGCATAAGCTATGGGTCCAAATTCATTCTTTTGCACATGGATACAAAGAAAGGATGGTGCAAGAGCTGTGAAGAACATGGGAGGAACATACTGGAAGCTGTCTCTTTATGCTTCCTATCTATGTGTTTCTGCCGTGTGTGTGCGTGCATGCATGTGTGTGTGTGTGTGTTTCTCTGTCTGTGCTGGTCTCACAGTCTCTCTTTTATGTGAATACATAGTTTCCTTAACAGTGTGTACTTTTCCTCTAACAACTGTACCCTGATGCTTTTGGAAATTCTCTGAACTACTTTTCCTTTTACTATGGTAATAAGCCTTCAGAAACATAATTGAATTCAGATATTAAATACTGTAAGCACTATCATTTAGCTTCTGATGAAAATGTGCATTATTGTATTTGAAACGATAAAAGAAAGAGTGAATCAAAACAACATTTTTTTTCTTCCTCCTGTGAAGTCTTTGTGTGGAATAACTCAATCTCTTGTAGGCTGCATTCTCTGTGATGTGGGAAATAGAACCAGGGCTATTAGGCAGAGATAAGATGTGGTTTCCAATTCTGCAGCACTGTGGGAATCTGCTCCATTGTAGGTTTTATCACCTTCCGATTTGCCAAGTATTTCTAGCAGGGAGAGCACAGAGCTAATCATCGTGGGAGATGGATACAGGAAAAGAACATGAACTTTGGAGTTAGCCATTTACTTGCTCATTCATTCAATCAAATAATACTTATTGATCACAGATGCTGGACACTCAACTAGGTGCTGGGGATACAATACCTGACAAGAGTGACAGGATCTGAATTCAAAGAGTTTGCTAGCGCTACTTTTACTACATGGTGGGGGTTTTCATTTTGGTCATTATTTAAGTTCCTTGACCCTACTTTTTGATCTATGCAGCTCTGTCAACCCTATTAGGGTGATGTCAAACATAATTGGGGGCATAGCAAGAGTTTCTTGCTTAAGCCGTATGGGTCAAGGTGGTCACCATTTTCTATTTACAGCTTTTTTTTTTTCAGATTATTACTTTTTTTGAGACAGGGTCTTGCTCTGTTATACAGGCTGGAGTGCAGTGGTGCAATCGTAGCCCACTGCAGCCTTGAACTCCTGGGCTCAGGCGATCCTCCCATCTCAGCCCTCTCAAGTAGCTGGGACTACAGACATGTGCCACCACTCCCAGCTGATTTTTTTTTTCTTTCTGTAGGGATGGGATCTCATTGTGTTGCCCAGGCTGGTCTTAAATTCTTGGGCTCAAAACAATTCTCTCACCTCAGCCTCCCAAAGTGCTGGAAATACAGGCACGAGTCACCGTGCCTGGCCAGCATTTTCTTTTCTCTTCCACTGAACCCCCAAACGAGGCTTTTAAATTGCTTCTCACTTTTGCTCTTGGTTGATGCATGAGCTCTGTGCCATATGGGCAGTCAACTGGACCTTGCAGATTCATGCTCCAAGGAGGCTAGAAAATTCTCCATTTTTTAGGTTTCTATGCATAGAAAATTGGTCATAAGGTGCTATAAATTTTCCTAAAAGAAAAGTAGGAGACATCAGAGGGAAAAGAGAAACATTTCTGAGGCAAACTATTGTATTTTCTTTCTCCTGATACTGTTCCCATCTGGCTCCCTTTTCATAGAATTTGGGTGTTTCTGTAGAGTTAGGAGAGGCACAGAATTAGGAAAAGTTTTGAAAGCTCTGCAGTCATTCTTGTGACCTGTGTCAGTCTTGGTCAAAAATGTATACGCTGAAACAGACAAGAGGAGTTGCATTAACTGTCCTGTTTGTAATTCTTTCATGAAATGAAAATACTAAAATATTGTACATTAATCTCACGTAGCTTGGACTTTTCCTGTGTTTCAGCCTCTGGGCCACTCATGGTCTAACGCTTTGAGACAGGATGCTGGATGCTGCCTGATATTCATTCTTCCCTTCGTTCTTCTTTCTTAGTCACAGAATTCTGATTCTCAGCTAGATACATGACTTCCCAACCAGAAGTTTACTCTTTTTTTAACCTCTTTCAAAGCTAGATGTGATGTGTAACTAAATTCTGGCCAAAGGGCTGTAGGTAGAAGTGTCTCAAGAGTCTTCTGGAGAGTCTCCTTAAAAAAGAATAGTGTGTTCTTTCTCCTTCTTCTTAGCTGGAACTTGGTTGTGATGGCAGGAGCTAGGTCAGCTCTCTGGTACCATGAAGTCAACATGCTGAGGTTAGTGGAGCAATAAGATTAAAAAGCCCAGGTCTCTGAAACCATAGAGCTGCTGTACCAGTCTTGAGTTATCTACACTGGGCTATTTTTATATGAGAAAAAAACAAACTTATTTTCCTTCCTTCCTTCCTTCCTTCCTTCCTTCCTTCCTTCCTTCCTTCCTCTTTCCTTCCTTCTCTTTTGTTATAGACAGCTGAACCCCTCAATATGCTTTTATTTTAAACAAGAAGAAACAACCCAGAGAGGGTATATGACTTACCTTGGATTCCAGTGGCAGGACTGTGATTAGAATCCAGCTTTCCCGACTTGAAGTACAAATCTCTTCCAATAATCTCAAACTGCCTCTTGTTAATTTTGGGTCCGGTGTAAAAACAGGAAATACTGGACAAGTCAGATATATATCATTAAAATTGCTAGAGAATCACCAGCGAATGAGATGAAGGAACACCAAAGGCATGCTTCTAGTATATCATGGATATTCTGGAACATGTGGATGTCCAAAAATGCATAGATTTCTTTCTCTTTTTTTTTTTTTTTTAAAGAATGAAGTAAGACAAATTGAGAGATTAGTCCATCCGCCAATATTGATTTCCTTGAAAATGGTTGGCATGGAACAATTACACCTACTGACTAGTTGATATAACAAATTGTGAGTTGAAATGAAGTGGAATTACTTGGTCTTGGTAGAGTCCCGGGGGTGGGGGTGCATGTGTTTGTAAAGTTGAGTTGAGTTCATAATGGTGCTTTTAGAGAAAATTCCTTTAGAAGCCTTGTTTAGAGAAAACAGGGACATAATAGTCCTCTCGGATGTGTACACATATTTAAGTGGCTTTTACTGCTGAATCGGGCTTCTTTTCCTGCTGTGGTGGCATCTTCTTGTTTAAAGCTTTTGTTTTTAAAGTATGAAATGGTTTATATGTGGAATCTAAAAAAGTAGATTCCACAGACACAGAGAAGAGAAAGGTGGTTATCAGAGGCTGGGTGGAGAGGAGGAGGGATTGGGAAAAGAAAGATATTTCTCAAGGGGCACAAAGTTTCAATTGGATAGGTGGGATGTTTTACAAAACTATTGTACTGCGTAGTGACCATAGTTAATTATGATGTATTGTACAATTCATATTTGCTAACAGATTTTTAAAATTCTTACCAACAAAATGTGATAAGGTGGTGAGGTAACAGGTATGTTATTTAGCTTGATTGACTCTTTCTGCAGTGTACCCACAGATCAAGACATCACATTGTATCCCATAAATATACACAATTATTATTTGTCAATTAAAAGTGAACTACTTTTAAAAATCATGAAACAGCTTGTAAAATGGGAACAGTGTGATATGGTAAAGATCAATACATGAAAATATTTGACTTAGTGTTTACTGGTGTAATGTGAAACAATAAAATTTATTGTCTTCTGATAGCTAGTGCTGTTTTTTTGTTTGTTTGTTTGTTTGTTTCTTTTTGACAGAGTCTTGCTCTGTTGCCAGGCTGGAGTTCAGTGGCACGATCTCAGCTCACTGCAATCTCCAACTCATGGGTTCAAGCAATTCCCCTGCCTCAGCCTCCTGAGTAACTGGGATTACAGACTCCTGCCACCACACTTGGCTAATTTTTTGTATTTTTAATAGAGACGGGGTTTCATCATGTTGGCCAGGATGGTCTCGATCTCCTGACCTCGTGATCAGCCTGCCTCGGCTTCCCAAAGTGCTGGGATTACAGGCATGAGCCACCACGCTCGGCCAGCTGGTGCTTTTTTAGAGTCAGGGCACTGTTTGAACAGTCGTTCTGAGGAGGCAGGAGTCTGACTGACTTGGAATGTGGGCTGGAAAACCACAATTTGAGTCTTTAAAAATCCCTGAAATGTTGAAAGTGGTAAAAGTAAATTGAAACCCATTCCATGAAGATGTCACCTCCTTCAGAAAGCCTACCTTGATATTCAAGTCTTGTTTGTCGGATCCTCCCACTGGCTCTCAAGCACCCTGGGGGTTTGACTGTTAGAGCACATATGGCAATGTGTTACTGGAACTTGTTACATGTACACCTATAGCAATACTTATCCAGCCCTTAGCATCATCTATCTAACCTTCACCATGACCATCTTAGGTAATATTAGTATTGTTCCTACTGTTTTTTATTATCGTTATTTTGCAAAAGTTTAGTCTTTCAATGGCTTGTTCAGGGTCTAACAGTGAGTAAATATAAAAGGCAGAGTTTAAACCTAGTTTTTTTTTTTTTTTTTTCTACCCAACTAATAACAATGTACGATTATGGAAATAAGAGAAAATTCAGAGGACTGAAGATTGGCACACAGTAGATAATTTAGCAACACGTGTCAAATGCTTCAAAGATGTGCATAACCTGTGAGTTATCCTTTTTATTTCTAGGGATTTATTCTACAGATGCCACTGAAAATGCCACATTAGTTTTGAAGGTAGAAAAGAAAGCAAGAGGCTGGGTGCAGTGGCTCATGCCTGTAATCCCAGCACTTTGGGAGGCCGAGGCAGGTGGGTTACCTGAGGTCAGGAGTTCAAGACCAGCCTGGCCAACATGGTGAAACCCTGCCTCTACTAAAAATACAAAAATGAGCTGGGCATGGTGGCAGACGCCTGTAGTCCCAGCTACTTGGGAGGTTGAGGCAGGAGAATCGCTTGAACCAGGGAGGCGAAGGTTGCAGTGAGCCGAGATCATGCCACTGCACTCCAGCCTGGGAGACAGAGAAAGACTCTGCCTCAAAAAAGAAAAGAAAAGAAAGCAAGGGTGATATTTCACCTCCCCCAAAAGAAGACTGTTTGATGTCTAAAAAGCATAGGGTGTCAACTGTGCATTTGTTACTGTTGATTTTAGTTCTAAAGAAAAGCTAGTATTACACTCTTCATTTCTGGAAGAAACAAAGTAATTTAAGGCTAAGCATGCAACTGAGTTCTGAGGTTTTCCTTGCTGCAGAGGTTCTCTAAAAGTCTTAATTCCTGTAATGCAGTTTGGATATTAACTTTTGGCTGTTTTGCCCCCAAACCAATTTGAATGTAGGAGGCTAACGGTACACCAACGTCCTCTTCCAGATTTCCAATATCCTGAAGACCTTGGGCAACAGCTTTTGGCCTTGCAGGGAGTTCTCAGGCTACAATTGCAGTTTCTGACAAGCATTTCCTTCTCTCTCCACATTTTGCCTCCCCTCCAAGCCCAGTAATGAGGAATCCAGTATAGAATAATTAGACTGTGATTGGGGTGCCTGCCAATTATGCTGATGGAACTGAAGTCTTATTAGACTAATAAGGTTTTCTAAATTGGACTTGGGGTTCTTGGTGATGTGAGTATTCCTGAGAGAAGTTGCTCAAGTATTGAAAATGAGTTTACCTAAGGATAAATGTTCACCTTGGGTGAACTGGAGTGAGAAGTGGGTTCACAATCGACTTCTGCCACTCATCCGCTATGGGACCTCAGGCAAGCATTTCAATTTACACATGGAGAATCAGTCTCCCGCCCTATCAGTAAAATGGCAAAACTAATTCCCACACACCTGAAAAGATTAAGAGGATAATGAGCTAAAAAAGCAGCACGACCTGTGATATTTTACGTGAATTATCTTATAAAGCTTAACTTTAAGCATGGTTACTTAATCATTCTACATAGTAAACAATAAAATACAGGTAATCATATTATTATCATTACAAATGTCGCATAATCTTGAAGAGTTTTGCAGACAGGGAAACTTGCATTTGAATCTCATCCACAACACTGGCAAATACTGTTTTGTCATGCTTAACCTTGGTTTATCTCTGTCCTTAAATAAAGAATAAAAACAGTAACAAAAATCGTAGGTCATGTGACATCGTTATGAGGTTAAATCAACGAATACATGAAAAGTGCCTTTACCACACTGCCTGACTTAGGAAAGGAATTTCCCGTTACTGACTGAACGGAAGTGTGATTGAGATAATTATTTTCAATTGAACTTGAAATATATTGCTGGTACAAGTTTTCCAATTCAAGGATGTCCAAATGTACAAAACATATTTACATCAGGATTGTGATGCTATTCATGTTATCTGTAATCCTATGCATTAAGATGATTTTGGAAATAATTAGATCAAATCAACTAAAGAAAAAAATACTTTTTCATATAATGGTTAATTAAGTCTAGAGTTTAAGTTGAATTCAAGATCTTGAACCTCATTAACAACAGTGTGTCTTTTTGTTCATCTCTTGCGTCTCTTCATCTTTAATCACGTATCTCCATGTGGATACTAGCCCTCCACGTGGGAAGTGTGGTTCTCTCTTCCAATGCTCAGATATTAATCATGGGAAAAGCTCTGAGACACTCTGCTTAGGTCTAATTTTAAAAAGTGCTATTGGTTCAACTGGAGTTGCTATCCCCATTTCAAAGCCTTCAGAGGCATCCTGGCCAGAGATCTCAAAGTCCTTACATAGCTTCTGACCCCTAACCTCTGTCTGTGCTAATCTTAGCAGCAACAGGGTCCCCTACTGTAATGACATCCAAATTCCTATTTTAGAAATTTCTCTAATTCCACGTTTCCTGACAAAAAGAGTTAAGCAGGGAATGGCAAGGAACTCTGGTAGCTAGTGAGGAATTTTTCCTTTCTTAGAAAGGACAGAGCAATGTTAGCATGACCTAGAGAACATCCACTTATTCTGCAAACACACCTTAACCATACTGTTGGAAGGCTCCTTAACACGAGGGTTTGAGAAATGAAGATGTAACATTGGGTTGTTTGGAGCTCCCATGTTTAGAGGGACAAACATTTCACAAATGACCGAAGTTAATATTGAGAAGTATTATAATAAGAATAATAACACTGAGTGAACAGGCCAGTAAACCAGCCAGAGCTGGGTTTTCAGTGTCTAATAGGTCTCCTGGAGAAGACACTCCCTCATTTGGATCCTACAGGATGGGCAGAAGTCATTTTGCCCTGAAATGGAGAGTAGAACCACTCCATATGATTGGTTGCCCTCCAACCTGCTGTCTTTTGGGAAGGCCTGAAGAGCTGCTTCACAGGTGGACTACAGATCCCCTGGCACAAGATAACATCATGCTTTACCAAGGTGGACCCATCTGGGTAAGACAAGAAGAAATATTTTTAAAAAGAAAAAAGAAAAAAGTGAAAGAGAAGAAAAAGAAGCAAAAAAAAAAAAAAGTGTTTACCCAGTGCCTGTGTCCCAGTGAGAAGAGATTGAGCTGCCAATAATTGAGCAAGTCTCTCTGATGATACAGATTAAACCAGAAGGGCCAACAGTAAACAAGATGAACTTCAAAAGAGCAGCGTTCTGGCTCTCTGGGGACCTCCATTAACGAGTCACCAGATAGGCAATTACTGTACAGTTCTTGCAATGACCGGGATCAAACGCGAGCATTCTGCACAGTAGGCAGTCAGAAAGCAGGCAGACAAAAAACTGTGAGAATATGCCATTAAATCTTAATTATTCTTCAAAGAGAGCAAGCACAACCAGGGGGCAGAGAAGGAAGGAATATTCAGAATCTCACCAATGCCTGGGGCTCGGGGCAGTAGCACAGCTACTGTTTCAATGCTTGTATTTACTTAAAACTGAATCTCTCCTTCTGACTTCTGCGATGGGCCGGGGAATTTGGTTTACATAAGCAGCCCCGTTTCTCAGACCCTTTGTATCTTCTTCTGGAGTATATGAAGGCTGTGGTACCAGGCCAAATTTTGCACACAAGGTTTGAATTAGAATGATTGATATTTTTATGATGCAAAGAAATAGCACACCCTCCAGTGTTGACCACAGATAACACTCGAATTCAGAGTAGTGTTTTCGTGCCTTTGGAATTAATAGTCTCTGTTCTGTAATTCACAGGCATCAAGTGTCATGCTAGTCACGTGTCATTTCCCTGAGGCACACAACTGAGGTGTCCTTGATTAGTGCATGAAGCCACAGTATCCTAAACTTAACACGTGGTCCTGGTTAAATGGAAGGCTTAAGGAACTCAAAAGGTGTTAATTTTGAATGCTGATTTTCAATACTGTATGTATCACTCCGGTGTGCATGTGTGTGTGTGTGTGTGTAAGAGAAATTGAGATTTTATAGAATATATGAATTTAGATCCCATTTTTATCACTTAGCATTATGGTTTTAAATATTCTGTATCTGTAGGAGAAGCTAACCCAGCACTCACAGTGGACATACAATGTGAAACGTGTGTAATTTTAAGTTTGCCAGTAGCCACATTTAAAAAAAGATATAGCTAAAATTAATCCCAGTAATATATTTTATGGAACCCAATATATTCGCAATATTATTCTAATATAAAAATTATTAATGAGATATTTTACATTCTATTTTTTTTTTTTTTTTGCACTGCCTGAAATCCAGTCTGCATTTTACAATTCCTGCTTATCCCAACTTGAACTAGCCACATTTCAAGTTCACTTGGGGCTGCTGGTTTTCATACTGGACAGCCCAGGAGTAGACTGTGTCCCCAGTTCCATTCCAGGTCATTTCTACCTGTAAACTTTCATCGAAGAAAGATGTGCTATGCTGTACAGAAACTTCTGTTTGGCTGCCACCAGCCTAGTAAAATAGATTAGACATCTATGACCTAAGATCTGCAAAACCGTAAATGAAGAGGCCTGTGATGGGGTCAACCTTGACAACTTCTCAGCACAATAGCTGTGTTCGAGGTCACAATGAGGACTGCACCAATGAGATCCTCTACACTGGATAGTTTGAACTTGGGACAAAGGGAGACCCCCCAAGTCTTTTTCCTTCACTCTCCATTCAGCCATCGGAAGCACTCTGTATGAGAAAGGGAGAAGGGCAAATTGGAGTTCCCAGGACTTGTTTGTGCATACGAATCACGATAATGCTTTTGAAAAGGTAGATTCCCAGGCCTTACCACAAGAGATTCTGAATCAGTTTGGAGGTATCTGTCTAACAAGTCACCTTTTCAATTAAAAAGAATTCATTATAGAAGCAGCCCACTGAGCTTTGAGAGGAAACACACAACCCCATCACCCTACTCTGTAACCCCCATGTATTGCTGTGATGGTTAATACTGAGTGTCAACTTGATTGGATTGACGGATGCAAAGTATTGTTCCTGGGTGTATCTGTGAGGATGTTGCCAAAGGAGATTAACATTGGAGTCAGTGGACTGGGAGAGGCAGGCTCACCTTGAATCTGGGTGGGCACCATTTAATCAGCTGCCAGCATGGCTAGGATAAAAGCAGATAAAGGAACGGGAAAGGATTAGACTGGGCTGAGTCTTCCAGCCTTCATTTCTCTCTTGTGCTGGGTGCTTCCTGCCGTCAAACATCGGACTCCAAGTTCTCCAGCTTTTGGACTCTTGGGGTGTTGCACCAGTGGTTTGCCAGGAGCTCTCAGGCCTTCCGCCACAGACTGAAGGCTGCACTGTCGGCTCCCCTACTTTTGAGATTTTGGGACTTGGACTGGCTTCCTTGCTCCTCAGTTTGCAGACAGCCTGTGTGGGACTTTGCCTGGTGATTGTGTGAGTCAATACTCGTTAATACAGTCTCTTTCAGATATACAACTATCCTATTAATCCTGTTCCTCTAGAGAACCCTAATACAAAGACGTTTGCCTCACAATCTTTCATGTTTGGGGGTAAAGAAATGAGAAACTGCAAAATGAAGTGACTTCTTAACTGCACTCTGATTGCAGTATTTTATTCCCCGCCTCGCCCTCCCGCCCCTCACACACACAATTGTTCCACCTTCCCTGCACTGTGTGGCTTTACTTATACTGTGGAAAATCTGCAGACATGTTGGATTATCCACCTTTTACCCCAAGTGTTTCCTTCCCGTGTTCCTTACTTTTTCTCAGCCCCGTTTACTATCCTTAGGTACTTGTAAAATCACGAAACAAGATCCCTGCTCCAAAGACATTTGTAGAAGACAAAACAGACCTTTCAAGAGAAGATGATGCCTATGACTGGGGTTCCATAGCAAATGGTACATACAGGAGCCACTGAAGATGACATGTGGAAGTTGTCTGTTCTCACACTACTATGAAGAAATACCTGGGACTGGGTAATTTATAAAGGAAAGAGGTTTAATTGACTCACAGTTCCACATGGCTGGGGAAGCCTCAGGAAACTTAAACTTACAATCTTGGCAAAAGGCAAAGGAGAAGCAGGCACCTTCTTCACAGGGCAGCAGGACAGAGTGAGTGCAAGAAGGGGAAATGCCAGACGCTTCGAAACCCATCAGATCATGTGAGATTCCCTCACTATCACAAGAACAGCATGGAGGAAACCACCCCCATGATCCACTTACCTCCACCTGGTCCCAGGTGGGACTTACAGGGATTACAATTCTAGGTGGGATTTGGGTGGAGACATAGAGCCAAACCATATCAGAAGTGTTGTTTACATTTCCTCAGCTCTTCAAAAGCTAATTTCCCCAATTTCAACTTGACTGTAAATGTGAAATCTTCATTCTTCAACTGTTTGCATCACCTTTGAGTGATTCCTCAACCTAACCAAAGAGTTCTCTAGTAAGAAAATTAAACACTCAAACCTGGCTGCTTATTGTTGTAATCAATAGTAGAGCCTTGACTTTCATAACACATCCTCACTTAGAAATGCTTCATAATCTCATGACTTTGTAAATGTGACTGTGTTTTGTGTGGACTTGAACCACAATGAAGCTTGATGTCCGTAGTGTTCATTTTTTAATGGATATTTTACTATTCAGAAAATATTTGCACACACATTGTCTCTTCTGGCCCTTGAAACATTCCCTGTGTGGCTGAAGAAAGTCAATAGTGGAACCATTTAATAGATAAGGACATTGAAGTTCAGGCATATTAAATGCAAAATCACAGGATGATGGGATGGCACAGTCAAGGAGAGGATGCTGGTCTGAGGCCTCATATTTTGGTCCTCTTTCTGCTTTACCTCTCACTGCCACTTTCTCAAAGAATATCAGATTCTCACATATATCTGGCAAATGTGTCCTTTTTGACATTCTAGGCTTCATCTAAAATGATGCTTCTGTGCAGAAATTCAGTCCTGACCACAGGACTCCAGGAAATGCCTATCATGAGCAACAGTGAGAACTGCCCCCGCTGTATTTGTGTTTCAAATCTATCTACAGAAAAGATTGAGAACCAGAAGCCCTTTTCGTTTTTTGAAAGCTAGCTGACTCACTGTTCAAGAAAGGAGAACACTTTCAATTATGCTGTTTGACTGCAGTGTCAGGGATCCAAAGGAAATGACTCCATCCCTTCCCTTTCATCCCAACCTCAGTGACAGCAAATTCTGATGTGACTGAGGGTTGGCTTGTGAAGGAGTCATTAGGAAATTCTGCCTAAGCCATAGCGCGATGAGAAGGATGTATCCTATGGTGGTGATTTTCCTGTGCCCCCTCAGAGGAAAGTTGTCAGATGAGCAGGTGGAGTATTCTATAGCAAACAGCAAGCTAATAGGTTACACAGATAACTCTCTGACTTTGCCTTACAGAACCTGTGCTATTGACCTTAGGGCAAGGTTCATGCTCAGGGGGCCAACTCTGTGGGTTAGGATTTGAGTTTAAGCAGCTTCTGCTCATATTTCATGGCAAGCCCAAAGTCCTCTGCTCTCCAGTGAATAGGTCAGGCTATGCTGGTTTCATAGTTAGTTAAATAAAGCAAAACTTAGGTGTCTGGAGCCTAGGTCCAAGCTGAGGACGTGCTGGTTGCATTATCTCAGGGAAGCAAGAGTGAAGCATCCATGTGAAATGCATCTCATGACCATCTTCGACTTTTTCACTTGGCAAATATGAGTACTTGAAACCTGAAAGGGACTGTGACTTTCTAAAATCATACAGAGAGGGGCCAGGCACAGTGGCTCACACCTGTAATCTCAGCACTTTGGGAGGCAGAGGCGGGTGGATCACCTGAGGTCAGAAGTTCAAGACCCCCCCGAGCAACATGATGAAACCCTGTCTCTATTGAAAATATAAAAATTAGCCGGGCATGGTGGCATCCACCTGTAATCCCAGCTACTCAGGACGCTGAGGCAGAAGGATTGCTTGAACCTGGCAGGTGGAGGTTGCAGTGAGCTGAGATCACGCCACTGCACTCCAGCCTGGGCAACACAGTGAGACTCTGTCTCAGGAAAACAAACAAAAAAATTCAACAAAATAAAATCATAGAGGGAGGAAAGAGAAGGTGTTTCTCCTGTCTTCTGGTCACCTGTAATTCTTTTGTCCTAGGCCAAGTGTACATCTGTCACCTCAATGTTTATGAGTCTATGTCTGGATACTTGGAATACAATTCCAACTTCTTTTCTAGGTTTTCACAGCTTTGAAGAAGCTCCATCCTGTGTCCCTGGGCCTCATTCCCTACATCTTCTAATCTCCTTCTCTTTGTTCACTTCCTTGAGCCATAGTAACCTCGTTTTGTTTATTGAATGCAATATATCAGCCTCAGAGCCTTTTCCTGACTGCTCTTGGTCTGCAGTTCTCTCCCTGTGATGCATCTGCAGATTTTATCTTCCCATTCTTCAGACCAGGGCTCAGAAGTCACTTTCTCTGAGAGGCATTGCTGTGGGGCGATATTCAAAATTGTCCACCCTCTTCATCACATTACTTCACTTTCTTGTTCTCTTAATGTCAACCTCTGAAATTATCTTTTGACATGTGTGTTTAATTGATTTTCACTTTTGTTGCTCTTGCTCTGGACGGCAATCTCAGTGAGTACTTTGTTCATCACTGTATCCCTGGTAGCTCCGACAATGCCTTTCAAATAGGAAATGCTTAAGTAATATATGCTCAATGAATTGATACATGAGATGCACGTTTATTTGCTTGTGATTTCTTTTTCTTGAAATCAGGATCCACCTTGAGCCTGATATCTACATTTTCAATGGTAGTGCTGCTTTTTGCTGTATTTCCATAAATTCAAATACCTATATATCTACAGCGATGCCTATACACATATTGACATTTTGTCTATTATTATATTAGGGAGTTTCCCTTGTTAGAGCTAGATTTTGGACTCCTCAATCATCTTCAACTTTTCAGGAGTTGGCAGCCCAGTCTTGGTTGATACTACGACTGTCGACTCCACCACATAGCTGCAACATTGGTAAATTTTGATTTTCAAATACAAATAAATTTAATCCTTAATAATTTTCAGATGGGAAATTTCTGGGGGTTTAGTAAAAATTATGGCAATAACTAGAGACTTCTTTTAAAGTTATTAATTCACACTTAGAACTAATGGCATAGGAAAAACTTCTGTTTTCTTGATTACGAACTGCAAAAGCAAATGGTTTGGTCACTATTATTTCTGTAGAAAAAGTGATGTTATAGAATTAAAGATACTTGCTTCTCCAAGATTTCCTTCCCTCCCTCCTTTCTTCCCTCTGTACATCCTTCTCCTCCTCCATTTTCTTTTCTCCTTTCCTTTCTCCTTTTCTTCTCCTTTTTTTAATTGTCTCTTTCTTCATCCCCTTTCTTTCTTACAAAAATGGCTTTCTGAAGCAGTAAAACCACAGTCTCAAATGAATGCAAGCTCACATTCCTCAATGGGAAGGTGATTTTCCAAAAGCTCACCTTTTTAAAGGCAATTTTTAAAAGGAAATCCTCACTTTCTCCATACAAAAATCACCCTTGTCAGATGGGCTTCTGAGATAAAGATGAAGTGATCACTGTGCCCCCAATTATACAAGATACTGTATTTTTACAAAGGAGTTTACCTTGGAGAATAAAATTATTTTTTTCCTGATTTAAAATTGTTCTTGCAAAATTGCTATCTCCTTTTCTCAAGGTATGTATAGTGCACCATGATAACCTCAGCAAATAAATGTAGTTCCAGCAGGAAAGGAGGAAAAAGCCTGTGTGGTATAACACTCTCTGGCTGACAGATCAGCCCACATTGCAAAACACGAGGAGAGTAAAACAAATGACGAATAAATGAGAAAGCAAGCAGGATAGTGATTGACCCCTACTCCACAAATGGAGGGGCACTTGCACCCAGGGAGAGAATCCAATTGGGCATTATGATCGCAGGTATGCTTTTATGGGTATTCTTGAGAAGGCAAAGAAGAACTTATTCCAGTCCTGCCTCTATGTGGACACGTTTTCCCTCTGGCTCCAAAACTGCAATTGTCTCCCTTATGGTGCTTGGTAATGAATCCTCAGCTCTGTGACATAAAGGCCAAAGAGGTTTGTTTTGTATCCGTGGAGTTTGCAAAGAGATTAGCAGGGTGTAAAGTAATGAAAAAAATAAAAACATATGGAAACAGGGGCTTTGCGTTTTCCTTTTGCCCTGGGTGTGTTTGGAAGCTGAGAACTGGGGAAAGGAGCACTGAATTTCCTTTCTTTCTTTCTTTCTTTTTTTTTTTGAGAGATGGAGTCTTGGTCTGTTACCCAGGCTGGAGTGCAGTGGCGCAATCTCGGCTCACTGCCACCTCCACCTCCCGGGTTCAGGTGACTCTCCCGCCTCAGCTTTCCAAGTAGCTGGGATTACAGGCACGCACCACCACGCCCAGCTAATTTTTGTATTTTTAGTAGAGACGGGGTTTCACCATGTTGGCCAGGCTGGTCTCGAACTTCTGACCTCAGGTGATCCACCCACCTCAACCTCCCAAAGTGCTGGGATTACAGGCGTGAGCCACCACACCTGGCCTGAATTTCCTTTCATGTTTCCAAGCCTAGTACCCACCATGATTCAAATAGGTAAATAGGACAGGGTCAGTCAACTCTCCTGCTAGGAGCACTTGTAGCCAAAATGATGACTGCTGTTGTAATTTCTGTTTCAGTTTTTTCCAATCAGAGTAGTATCTTGAAGCAGAGGTATGCAGATAAAATTTTTGAGGCTTCTTTCTAATGCAGCAAAAATAGATTGAGCATTTGATGTATATTAATCACTGTTCCAGGTGCCCTGGGAGAAAATTAAATAAGCCTGTTCTTGCCCTTATGTAAATTAGTGATGTAGAGGGAGAGGCAGATATACACACAAGTACTTATAAGTAAAGGTCAAACTTTGTATTTTACTTTTGTATTGTATTTGGCTATCTCTCCCATCAGAATGGAAATTCCTTGAGGGCAGGGATTTGGGAGAGAAGGGTTTAGTTTGTTAACTATTTTGTTCCATTCACTAGAAAATAGTAAGCACCCAATAAATAATTACAAAATCAAGGAATTAGAAAAGTAGGTATAAAGGGCAACACAGAAGTTCCAGAGAATCAGAATTGTTCCAATAGGTTTGCTCTAGAAGAAATTGTGTTTGAGCATGGATTTGAATAAGACACGATATCCTTCCCAGCCTCTGGTAGCCATCCGCCTACTCTATGTTCATAAGTTCAACTGTTGTGATTTTTAGATCCCACAAATAAGTCAGAACATGCAATGTTTACATTGCATCCCTTTATCAAAACATCTCATGTACCCCATAAATGTATATACCTACTGATATGGTTTGGCTGTGTCCCCACCCAAATCTCCCCTTGAACTGCAGCTCCCTTAATCCCCACGTGTTGTGGGAGAAACCTGATGGGAGGTAACTAAATCATGGGGGCAAGTCTTTCCCATGCTGTTCTGGTGATAGTAAGTCTCACAAGATCTGATGGTTTTATAAAGGGCAGTTCCCCTGCACAGGCCCTCTTGGCGGCTGCCGTGTAAGACATGACTTTGCTCCTCCTTCACCTTCTACCACGATTGTGAGGCCTCCCCAGCCATGTGGGACTGTGAGTCCATTAAATCTCTTTTTCTTTATAAAGTACCCAGTCTCGAGTATTTCTTCACAGCAGTATGAAAATTGACTAATAAACCTACTATGTATCCACAACATTTTTAACTTTCTAAAAATGTAGAAGTAAATAAATATAAATATCATGCACAAGGTTGATAGTGAAGCCAGGAAAAAAAAATGATGAAACAACTTTAGTTCTTTGATTATAAAATTGATATCATATCATAATATAAATTAATTTTGGGAAAAATAAAGAGCAGTGAGCAACCCAAAGGCTCAATTTCCCGAGAACCACATGTGCTACAAAGGTACATTCTTCCCTTTTTAAAAATTTTCCTCAACATGTTTATCCCACACAGCTGCAGAGCCTTCCCTGCACTTGTGATACAAAATCTTACTTCTTTCAAGTAGTGTGTGTCTATGTTGTTATGCAAGTCTTCATAGGTATTATTTTCAGGAAAGGAGTGAGATCCTCCACCAAGTTAGCCAAAACATGATTCACTCAAGTATTCAATGAGTTGGGCTGTAAAAGACAGGTCAGCAAAAAACCAGAGGCAGGCAAGGACAGGTGGTCCTAATGGAAAGTTGAGTTGTGCCATGATGAGTGTATAATGGCGTGAGGGACAAAGAAGGTGAGACTGAGAATAAAAGTGGATGCCCACAGTTTAAACTGCTCTGTGAGGCCAAGGCAGCCAGATCACTTGAGGTCAAGAGTTCGAGACCAGCCTGGCCAACATGGTGAAACCCCGTCTCTACTAAAAATACAAAATTTAGCTGGTTGTGGTGGTGCGCCCCTGTAATCGCAGCTACTCAGGAGGTTCAGGCACAAGAATCACTTGAATCCAGGAGGCAGAGGTTGCAGTGAGCCAAGATTGTGCCACTGCACTCCAGCCTGGGCAACAGAGTGAGACGCTGTCTCAAAAGATAATAAAGTAAATAAAATAAACTGCTCTATGGCCCCAGAGATCCTTTGATGCTTACAGGAAGGGGGCTGAAAGATTTCAGCAGTGGAAATCACATGAACTGGTCCTTGAAGATGTAGAATTCTACTAAAAGGAGAACAAGAAAAAACACGAGCAAAACCTTAGCAGATGAGGTTAGTACAGGAGAAGTAATTGTCTACAAGGAGCCACTGTGTCACGAGAAAAAATATTTTGGTTTATAATTTGAAGTCCTGAATGCCATTTGACTCATGGTCTTGTTATCCTCAGTCAGAACACCAGGTTCACTTAATAAGCTTTTGCACACATGGCTGAGGCCTATTGTCCCTGCAGCAAAGAGTGATTTCTGGGTGTGCCGAGAGTATCTGCTGAATGTGGGCAATAAGGAGGTTTCCCTCTCTCACCAAAGGCCAGATAGGGACTTTTTGTCAAAGCATCCTGGTCTCCCAATCTGGGGCACTCAGATTCCTCCACGCTTCTGTCTTTCTAGAAGCCCAGAGGATGAATCCCAACTTTCTGGTGATACTTTGGAGCAATGCAGGGGGTACTGAAACGCCAAATGCATGCCCTAAATGACCACCAATGACTCCTGTTTTTATACATATATTTTTGCGACTGAGTCTTACTCTGTCACCCAGGCTTGAGTGCAGTGGTGCCATCTCAGCTCACTGCAACTTCCACCTCACTGTTTCAGGCAATTCTCCTGCCTCAGCCTCCTGAGTAGCTGGATTCACAGGCGTCCACCACCACACCTGGCTAATTTTTGTGTTTTTAGTAGAGACGGGGTTTTGCCATGTTGTTCAGGCTGGTCTTGAACTCCTGACCTCAAGTGATCCGCTCGCCTCGGCCTCCCAAAGAGCTGCGATTACAGGCATGAGCTACCATGCCTGGCTTGTTTATAAATTTTGTTCTTAAAGATACATTCTTCAGTGTCATCTCCAGCAACGTTAATCAACAGTTAAGGACACCGTGATATTTGTTTTGTGGTAAAACTTGTTTTAGAAGAACGCGTGTTTAATCAAAGGGAGACTGTCATGTATTTTCACATCCATTTCCTTATTCAGGTTTTTAATATCAACTGGTATGCTACTTCCTCCAGAAAAACACCCTTAATATCCGTTTTGGCCTCTTTTAAAATTCCTCTTCTCCATGTTCCTGTAGTACTCCAGTTTACCTGTGTCTGACACTGAAGACGCTGTGCTTTACTGTACATTTGGGAGTCTCCCCTTCCCACTGGAGACTGGGCTCCCTAAGGGCGGGTCTGTCCTGAATATCTCTGTGGTGTCCCCTCTGGTGCAGTGTCTAGCATTGGTCAACAGATGTTCATGGCACCGAACTGATAAATTGATGTGTGTGTACGTGTCACGTGTTCCTGGCAAAGGATTAAGTTGCTAGCCAGGCACAGTGCCTCACGCCTGTAATCCTGGCACTTTGGGAGGCTGAGGCAGACAGATTGCCTGAGCTCAGAAGTTCGAGACCAGCCTGGATAACATGGTGAAACTCCGTCTGTACTAAAAATACAAAAGATTAGCCAGGCGGGGTGGCACATGCCTGTAATCCCAGCTACTCGGGAGGCTGAGGCACAAGAATTGCTTGAACCCAGGAAGCAGAGGTTGCAGTGAGCTGAGATCGTACCACTGCACTTCAGCCTGGGTGACAGAGCAAGACCCTGTCTCCAAAAATAAAAAATAAAAATAAAAAAAGGATTAAGTTGCTGCAAAATTCTAATGGGTCTTCTCGAATGAAATTATAGATGATTGTAATTTTCATATATATATACAGTTATATAAATTACATGTATCTCTATATATTTATATAGAGAGATAACATATATATGAATTAGAACCATCTATATAATTTATAATACTAATTTGTAGCACATTATTTGGTTTCTAAGGTAACCAGTGACATGTTCTCTGTAATCCTTAACAAGTATCTTCCCCCATCTTAGGTCTCAGATCCTTCATCTATACATGGATGGGACGAGATCTAAGCTTCTTGTGGTTTTTCGATAGTAAAGAAACTCAATGAACACTGATACATGGTTAGTGGGAATGTAAATTGGTACAGCCACTATGAAAAACAGTATGGAGGGTCCTCAGAAAACTAAAAATAGAACTATCCTGTGATCCAGCAATCCCACTTCTGATTATATATCCAAAGGAAATAAAATTATTCTGTTGAAGGGATATCTGCACTCTCATGTTCATTGCAGCATTATTCACAATAGCCAATGTATGGAAGCAAACTGTGTCCATCAGTGGATTAATGGATAAGAAAATGTGGTACATACACAATGGAATAGTATACACCCTTTACAAAGAAGAAAATTCTCTCATTTATGACAACATAGATGAACCTGAAGGACAGTGTGCTTAGTAAAAGAAGCTAGGTATAGAAAGACAAATGCTTCATGATCTGATTTATATGTGGAATTGAAAAAAACCCATCTCATCGAAATAGAGTAGTATGGTGGTTACCAGGGGTGGTGCGAGGAGGGATGGGGAAAGAGGAAATGTTGGTCAAAGTGTACAAAGTTTCACTTAGACAGGAGGAATGAGTTTTAGTGATCTAGTGCACAGCATAGTTTAAAATACTGCATCGTATATTTCAAAATTGTTTTAAAAACAGATTTTAAACATTCTCAGCACACACAAAAAAACCCATAGGGAGGTGACGTCATGGATACGTTACGTAGCTTGATTTAATCTTTCTATGTCAAAACATCACATGATACCTCACAAATAATGTAATTATAATATAATTACATATAATTATAGTAATAGTTATAATAATATAGTACATATAGTATATGCTAAGAATTATAATATAATAATATAAATTATTATTTGTCAATTAATTAATTAGCTAACCAATACATTTTTTAAAATAGTAAAGAAACTTACTGGCATAGTTTATAACTGGATTTTGGTTTTATAAATTATTTCACACATGGACCATTCAGCAGCCAGTCAGCAACTATGAAATGAATTAATTCAAAGTGTCCTGCCTGGGAAAAATTCTTGGCAAATGTTTCCTTATATCTCATGATCTTCCATTCCAGGGGTGGCAGACAACAGCCTGCAGGCTAGCCACCTGTTTTTGTAAATAGAGTTATATTGGAACCCAGCCATGCCTGTTGGCTTATAGATTGTCTATGGCCACTTTAGTGCTTCAAGGGCAGAGCTGAATAGTGGCAGGGCAGACTGTGTCCCCCACTGTGCCCAAAATATTTACTATTTGACCATTTAGGAAAAAAGCTTGCCAACCACTGTCATATTTCATTACCATTGTTATTGCAAAAGTCCTGGATTCATTCAACCATATATTTTGTCAAGAAAAATTGTGGAAGACTCTGATTTGAACAAAGAAGATTACTGGGTATACTGTGTCGTGTACCCTCCTGGGTTATGTGTGCCTTTCCCCTCTTTAACCTCTTTTATAATTCTATAAGTGGTAGAAAACTGAGATGAATGCAGATGATCCTTATCCAAAGAAAAGCAAATGAATTGTGTCCTGTGAAATGCAATTGATTTATACCCTTTGGATATTGACCGGTTTCACTGCGATATTTGGGTGTATTTCAAATTCATTTCAATATCCTTGATTGCCTATAAAAATATGGGATTTTTAAGCTTTCCTTTGAACTAATTGTAACATCTTACTGGCTCCCTTATGAACTGACAAAAAAATAAAAATCTTTGGCAGATATTCATTTTCTATTTGTATGTGAATCATGATTTTACCAATATAAAAAATGTCTTTTATTAACTTCTATGTTATACATATGCACACCTAAAGCCCTGTGCTGAACAGAAAGCACAGAGTTAGGGTTAAAAGGGAATCCTTGAGTTAGAGGACTTCAGTTTGTCTCCTGACCACACTATTAATTAGGTGTTTGAAGTCGAGCAAATCACTTAACATCTCTAAAGCTCAATTTTCTCCTCTGTAACACGGTTATCAGAATAATTCCTACCTCATATGGTGGTATGAGGATTAAATAACATAATCCATGCACAATTATCTAACATTCAGTAAACAACCTGGCAATGTTAACTACGGCTGTAACTGTCATTGGAAATTGCATTCTCATTCATTAACTGAATGAGATTTTCTGCATCCACATCATCTTACCTTCTGCCAGTTGCCTGTATGCAATGCCACTGACCTGGTTTGAGTTCTTTTGAAAGCAGAGCCTGAGATAAGATTTGGAGCAGGTTGGTTTTTAGACAATGTCCCTGGAGGCAAGAATGAAAAAGCAGCAAAAGTGAGAACTAGAGGGAAGAAAAGAGGAAAAGGATGTTTTTTTCCTCCACATGGGTACCACTGTAGAAGCTGGGGCTCAGTCTTGCTGGAGACTCTCCAAAAAACTGTAGGATTTGCCTCAGAACTGTCTCTTCTAAAGACAGGAGGCCCAGACATTAGCTGTCAACATCCACCGCTCATTGGCAGAAGATATTATCCAGGGACATCAATTCTTCCTCAATTCCTGGCTACGCAGATTGAGGCCTGAGCAAACTCTGGTGGCACAGAAATGAACCTTGAGACAAAGTTAGGTGCTTGGGGAGGACTGCTGTTGGTATGTTTGGGAACTGTTCATAACAATAGATGCATTGGATCCCCAAAGACAGGCCTAACCGATATGACAGGAACACAAAATTATTGCCTATACCCACCATTGAAAGCAGATAAATGAGTATCCTGCCCAATCTCTTCTCACACCACTGCTGAACATACTCTCTGTGTTCCCACACCTTTCACAGAAGCAGAAAGCCTAAAGAGTATGAGCATAGCAGCCATGCCAGGACCACCAGATGCAACAGGGTGGGGAAGTCAGTTCTTGCCTTAGTGGTGAGGCAAGGAAGATTCCTCTCCATCCCTGCTGCAGAGACTTATCCTGTTCCAGGATTGGGGTTTGCAATGGGACCTTCTGATTTCTCCCCTATGGAATGCTTCAAGGAGGGCCTTAGAGAATGACAGGAGCCTGGATGTACCTCCCCAGTAGCCAAACACTCAGGAGGAGAGCCGGCTGGACTTTCTAGATCTTTTGTTTGCTTGCATCTAGGGGAATCACAATTGGATATCTTATAATACAGCCATTCCTCCTCTTAGAACTTCTCAGGTTGTTGGTCAACTACCTGAAATTTGCATTTTAAATACGTGGCATTTGAAATTCATATGTAACTATAATGCACTGATGCTACGTTGTTCAGCCGTTTACCAAACACTCAGTCTCTTCGCCTGTATTATCTCAAAAGTTTATAACAAAGGCAAACTACAGAGACAGTAAAAAGATCAGTGGTTGCCGGGGCTCTGGAAGTAGGAAAGGATGAATAGATGGAGCATAGGGGATTTTTAGGACAGTGCACCTATTCTGTATAATATGGTAATGGCCAATCCATGATAATATAGATTTGTAAAAATCCGTATAACTGTACAACACAAAAGTAAACCCTAATGCAAACTGAGGACTTTATTAATAATAAGATATCGATATTGTTTCATCAATTATATCAAATACACCACACAAACACAGGATGTTAGGAAAAACAGTGTTGGGGGGAGAGGAATATAGGGGAACTTGTACTTTCTGCTCCATTTTTTATAAACTTAAATTGCTCTAAAAATAAAGTGCATTAAGAAAAAAAAAACTTTATAGCAAATCCTTATAATTGTATCCTTGCTACAGATGAGGCTCTGACTGGCTAGAGAAGTTCTTGTAGGGGCCACAAGTCTGGTAACGGCCCAGCAGAGATGGGGACCCTGGTTTATGAGGCTCTGAAGCTCAGGTCCCTGCCATTCAGTCTCCTCACTTCCTTCTTCACTGGCCTCCTGCCTCCTGGTGCGGTGCTCTCTTCTCCGTGGCGAGCTGCCTTTGCTCTTCACTCTCCATGCTGCTTTGACATGGCCCGTCCCCTTGTGTCAGCCTGCCAGCACTCTGCAGTCACGCTGGGCGAGTGGCTCACCAACCTGAGGCTTCCTAATGAGCCTGTGAAGTGCCATCAATCCTCGGTCCCCATTTCACTGAGGCATCTCGGCGCTGTGATGTATGGATCAATCTAAGCGTTTCTGGTCTTTGAAAAGCCTAGTCCAGTGGCAGCCCTGGGAATCCGGCTCACTCGGTTACCCTTTCGCTAATTTATAATTTAGCTGACACAACTCCACGGCTGTTTTATTTGTCTCAAATGAATGTCAATTGGTACAGAGGACAAGGCGTTTGGGAGGTAAATTAACGAAATCATTACATGAATTAGACCGCGTTGAAATACAACACCCATTCCTTCTTCCACTTTTTTTTTTTTAACATTTCACAAAGAGCCTTCCCCTCCCCACTCTGGCACCCTGACACACTTCTATATCCTCTCTCAATCCTACACCTCAAAATAATTTACTCTGGATATAGTAGCACAGCTGGGAGTATAATCTCCAAATATATAAATAATAATGAGAACCTTTAATAAAATCAGACATAAGTTATACAGCAGACATCAATTACAATGGATTTTAAAGGTTTTGATCTAGAACCTGGGTGGTGTTACATTTAGACTAATATCTGTAACCATGATTTATGTGTTTGCAACCAAAATGGTTTCAGTGCCTCGATATATGTCCAAAGGAAAATTTATAGTCTGCTACAGAATGTATAAATAATGAACAGCCATATGTCATCACACATTTAAAAATGTGACTCCTTCTGCAGCAGCAATGGGATAAAATGAATTAAAATCTTAAGTTCATTGGGAATCAACGTATTTGGGAGCACTTTAAGAAATGTGCACAAATGCAAACATTGATTTAATATTTTTTTTTCTCAAGTCAAAGAAAAATGGCTGTTGTAAAAATGACAAACACTCTGGGGAAACCTCAGGAGTCATCAAATTAAAGAGTAGCATGAAAGAGAAAAAGAGAACCGGTTCGAATATGGAAGAAATGATGCTGGGGAGGCTTTTTTCTGACTCTGCTGTGAACTCAAATTATTAAAGAGCTTACAAATGATCAAAACCCATAAAATCAGTTGCTGATGGCATTCTACCTTACAGTTTCCCATAAAGTGTATATAAGGTTTTTGGAGGTTGGGGAGATGCTACTGATAAGGACTGCAAGCCAGTTCACTTACATTTTGAGTCCACACAGAAGTTGTATACCAGTCGGAAACTCTGCTTTGCCATCTGAAAATACGATGAGTACAGTCCAGTAGATGGCATTACTAGGATTAACTAAAGGATGTCAAAGCAACTAGTCTAGTGCCTGGCAGAAGTAGTTGGAGCTCAGTAAATGTTAGTCGTGGTCTCTCCTTTATCCCTCCCCCAGTGGAAGGTATGGTGTCAGAGACATGAACCATGTCTTATTCATCTTTCTGTGGATGACATCTAGAAAAGGAATTCAGGGTGAGCAAATATCAGTGCATCTTCCCTGAATGAATCAATGAATCAATGAATGTGTTTCCATGGCTCTAACAGCACTGGGAAATCCAGACATCAGAAAGAGTTATGAGGCAAGAATATGTTGCAAACGTAAGACTGTTGGGGAATTGAAGTGGTCTTCATTAATAAATTTATAGAAAATCAAATCTTGCTTCCTTAAACTCTGGGACAATGTCACAGTTTAATTTTTGACAATCAAAACCTTTTTTAAAATAACTATTCCTTACCTCCTTGGGTTCTCCAATAATGTGCTGATGAGAATGTAATCTTTCTTCTAACTTCAAGCTGTCATGAATACATGATTCTTAAGTGATGTAATTTAGTAATGTTTACTGTGAGGAGCCTAGTGCTGGGTTTGGCAGTTTTCTCCCCTCTCTTCCTGCTAAATGGTCTCCAACTGCTGTGTTTTGATTTCTTCTTTTGATTTTAATGGTCTCTGTTCCTTCCCTCAAATTTAACTTCCAGTTCCTACTGCTTTCAGGTCTTACCTCAATTAGTCTTCCTAATTGCTCTTGCAGAGCTGGAAATTTGGTAGCCAAGTTTTTCAGGTATCTATTACTGCATAACAAAATTCAAATGCATTGGTTTGAAACAGTTTTTTAATGTAGCTCATGGTTCTGTATGTTGTCTAGGTTAGAAGGCATTCCCTTAAACTGCCTCCCATGGTTCCAATCAGATGGCAGCTGGGGCTGGAGTTACCAGAAGGCTCAGCTGGACTAGACATCCAGGGCTGCTCATCACACGGCTAACAGTGACGCTGGCTGTCAGCAGCAGGCTTAGCTGGGGTTATGATGAAGGCACCTATGCATGGATTTCTTGTGTCTTGAGCTTCTCACGGCTGGGTTCTGAGAAAGAGTAATTCAATAGCATGCATTTCAAAAGATCCAGCTGGTAGGAATAAGCCTTCATGTGGACTACACTGCATCACTTTCATCCCATTCTGTTGGTCAAAATATGGAAGAAGACAACCCAAGGATGAAATACCAGGAGGTGTGCCTCATTGGGGAACCGTCTTTGGAGACTGGCACCCATATCAGTTGTTGAAATTAGGTTGAGAACATTGCATAGGGGGTCATCAAGATCTTCTGGAAAAAAAATTGCTGGATTTCAATGCATAGAATTATGTATTTTATTTTGACTTCTCAAACACTTTTTTCTTCCACCACTTATCTTCCAATTATTTCCCTATCAAGGTTGCCATTTACATGATATTTAAATGAGTGAGGTTTGGCAGTACTTAGAAGTCAATGGACTTTCAGGTAAGACTTATTAATGTATTGCATGAATTTGCCATTGCAAAGCGCTTTTACTATACTAGAATTCCCCATTGAAAAGCACTTTTACTACACTAGCTTGTCTACTTAGCTCTGGTTGTTGGTTACTTCCTTTTTTTTTATGATGGAAATTAATTTTGCTAACTCAAAGCACATGTTTTTTCTATAAGCTAGAGTTTGGAATAGAGAATGTGTCTGTTTTGTGTATGAGCATTGCTGGTAGATAAGAGTCCTTATTTTAGGAATTTTTCTAAGCGTTTATCCCCATGGGACCAAATACCAGCTCAGTATAGTAAGAAGAAAAAGAAAATCATTCTTACAGGCTATTTTGTGTTCTGTAGATCACAAATGAATGAAAAAAAATACTCAGGAGGTAGGTCATCTATGCCCCTTAAGTGGCTGTACTATAGTTCATTTAAAGAACTCTCTATTTTTAAATTATTTGCTTACTTGCTTCTCTTCTATAGATAAATCTTTGTGAGTATCCACTCTCTCTTCCTCAGCAAAGATTCGCCATGTTCATTTCTATCTTTGGGTCATCCATATAGCAGTCAACAACCACACCATTTGAAACTTCACCAAATTATATAATTTGTATCTTACTTTTTAGAATCCTGTAGCCTTGCACATACATTCTGAAACATCTAATTGGTTGATGCAATTCACTGAAGACAGGAGGGTCCCTAGGGCTCTAGTCTTCTCCCCTTGTGCATTGGTCTAAAATTGAAATCAGGTTAAAGTAGGGCACTGGGTCCTCTTTAAACTTTCATAGCAGCTTGACTGACTGAGTGGCACAGTGAAGAAAATGCCTGTTTTGTTGCATTGGGCAAGATGCTTCCGTTCTCTAAGCCTTCGTTTCTTTATCTGTGAAATGGGAAGAATACATTTTCCCTCCAAATGTGATGAAGATGCTGGGCGTGGTGGCTCACGCCTGTAATCCCAGCAGTTTGGGAGGCTGAGGAGTGAGGATTACTTGAGCCCAGGAGTTTGAGAGCAGCCAGGGCAACATAGTGAGACCTCATCTCCATATTTTTTAAAAAAGTAAAATGAAATTAAATAAAAATGTGATGAAGAAGCTTCCAAACAAAAATGCACACCCAGCCTCTGGTTCAGTGAGCAGCAAAACACAAGTTAATTGCAAAGGTGAGTTCTCTTCTCATCCACTCCCCCAATAAACATATGTATAGTGTGTGTGTGTGTGTGTGTGTGTGCAGGCATGCACACATGTCCGCATTCCATTACCTTATTATATTGGAGGCTGCAGGTGCTTCTAGTCTTGTTGCCCAGGTAAGCACCTCTATTAATCAAAGTCCTGGTAGGGGAGGGATGCATACTCAGATTGAATGATTTGAGGTGAGTTTATAAAAGGGGCTAGTTTAAAAAGTCAACGTAGGGTTAGGGAAAATTACAACGCGTAGTGCAGTATCCCTGAGGTAGGGGACTAGTAATAGTGGAAAGGAAGGGGATGCCTGCTAAGATTTATGGCCAAGTAATTGCATCCAGCCTTGCTGACCTGAAGGGAGGAACCTGGGAGATCAGGAGCTCCCCCTGCATTTTCTTCCTTCCCTCTAGGTCAGCTGGTGCCTCCCATGAGATGAACCATTACCAAGATCAGGTCATACTGGAGTCTGAAGCTTGGGCTCATGAGAAGGGCTGTCTTTTTTATTATTTGTTCTCAAACTGAAGTTCACCATGCCTCTAGGGTCTGCAGATACATTGTTGAGATCTCAGGATTCTCCAACAAATGTTTTATTTCTATCTAGGTGATAACCAAATAAAATTAAAACATTTTGGGATTCACCTTATTACCAAATACTGCCACACAATTCCTGAGCCTGTTCTTTTGTGTGTGTGTTTCTACTTGAGTTTGGCCCAAAATTGCATTACCGTATATTGTAGAGATGAAGGTTTTGTGGTGAATAGAAAGAAGTATGTGTGCTCAAAGCAAAAAAATAGTATAGGAAGGCCAACCTGCAAATGTCTTGCACCAGAATTTTTAAGATCACAATCTCTTGTGAGTGGATGTGTTTCATGGATATCATCTTTGTTTGCATGTGTTAACTTTGTAATGGTTCATGAGCAGTATGTTTAGAGTAAGTTTTTTTTTTTCTGATCCAGTCAAACTAGGATTATATGTCCATTTAATTCAGACTCTAAAAAGTGACAAGGCTAACCTCATCTTTCAGTGAACAAGTTAGCTTCATAGAAAATCAAGTGGCCCCCACATAAGCTGACCTCACTCAATAGAAGAATTTTGGTTATGTATGGGGGCCTTATGACCTGATTATTCTAAAATAGCAAGTAAAAACTGACACATTAATGCCACTCAATGCAATATAATTATTGGGGAGTGGACATTTCTATATTACCATCCCTGAGACAAAACACTAAAAGGGATTAAGTGTAAGCCTATACCTGAGACTAGTTTTCTACTAGTGAACACAATAGTGTCCATTTATTTTTTTAAATCTTTCACTTTAAATTAAGGCAGTTAATTTGGATTTTGTTGGTATATCAGAGCTTGTGTGCATTCAATTTGTAAAATCATTTTGATTTTTATAGTTGCATAAGAGCTACAAGCATGAGGGTTTATGTCTACCTCATTGGTCATACATCTTTCACTGAAGATGTTAGAAAACTAATGAGTCAACACCAAAGGTCTTCATTCCTCTTCTTCACCAAAAGTTATCCGAGCAACAGTGAAGTTTGAGAAACTGCTGTCAGATAATTCTTTCTCTTTGGGACTGGTTTTGGCAATGATCTTCAAAAGTATTACTGTGTTATCAGGTTCCTGCTGCTGGGAAGACAGGACCAGTCACTGTCAGAGACCCCAGAAACAGAAAAGAAAAAAAAAAAAAAGTACCCGTAGCTCCACCACCTCCTGCTCCCAGCTCCAAAGTCCCCTTTATGGTGACGAAGGTTCACTTTCATCCTTTTGGAAAGTGACAGGCTGCACTGCTTCCCACCTGGGGAGACGTAGAAAAAAGAAAACTCAACTTGTTCTGGAGCAAAGCTGTCAGCCATAGGGACCCCTCTCCTTTAGCAAGCTGCCCAGCATTATTGGGAAGTTATCTAAAGTGTCAGAGAAAACACTATTGATTTTTTAGTCTGTTTTGTCAACTAGTCAATAAACCTTGCTTTTTCCAGGATATTTTTTCTAGCTCCCTGCCTCTCACCTATCTTCTTCTCTTATCCTTGTTTCTCTTTCACTTTCTCTCTCTCTTTCTTTTCCCCTTTTCCTTTTATTTCTTTCCTGCTTTCTTTACAGTGTCAGCAAGCAGGTACAATAACTTCTCATTTATTTAAACTTAGCTAATATCAGATTCATGATAATTTATCCACAAAGTTCTTTTTTAAAAAATAAATTGAGGTTGATTTGTATTGAAGAACACTAGCTTCGAAGCTGCTAGAGATTTTAAATATATCCATTGCTCATCCTGCCTGTTTGCTTCCCCGTACAGCAGGACTTTGCAGTTCCTTGCAACTCTTCCTTGTTGTTTAAATGATTGCATAAAGAAGGCATTGGCAGACTCCATCACCATATTTAAAGCTCCTTCCTAAAACCTGAAGGGGTTGTGAGATCACACTTAAGTAGAACTCATTCTATGCCAGGCACTGTTCTCAGTGCTTTACATATGGTAACTCATTTAATTTCTGCAACAACTTTATAAGGTAAATTCTATTCTTATCACCATTTTATACATGAGGAAACTGAGGGGCTAAGATGTTTCTTCCAACCCTCTACTTGCTGAGGAAGGCCTATGCTAAATCATCTAAGACCAATATTTGACTGCCAGCTATTTAGTTTTCCCCAGAACTGATTCCACAGGGCAGAAATGACGATGGCTGTCATAATGTCTCATTATTAGGCATGCAGGCCACATACCCAGTGTGTCTGGCCTGTGTCATGCCAGTGTGTACAGGGGTAACACAGCCCTTGGCTTCTCCCAGGGCCAAGAACAACTAACTAACTACACTCTTCCTTACCTCCCCAGTTCCTCTCTTTTCCTGGCATTTTCCTTTAATCCTACAAACATGCTCAAGTTTGTCTGATTACTTTCTCTCCCTTTTTGTCCCCACTCCCTCACCTCCAAGTGACAGCCTTATGTTGGTAAGGATGGGTTAGGCTTTGCTGTAGAAACAATAAAGCAATCTTTGTGGCTTCAAATAACAAAGATTATTTCTTGCCCATGTCAAACGTCCATTAGGGTCACCCGGGACTCTGCTTGATATGGTTTGGCCATGTCCCCACCCAAATTTCATCTTGAATTGTAGCTCCCATAATTTCCACATGTTGTGGGACGGACTCAGGAGATAATTGAATCACAGTTTCCCCCATACTGTTCTCGTGATAGTGAATAAGTCTCACGAGAGCTGATGATTTTATAAGGGGTTTCCCCTTTCTCTTGGTCCTCATTCTTTCTTGCCTGCCACCATGTAAGATGTGCCTTTTGCCTTCTGCCATGATTGTGAGGCCTTCCCACGCATGTGGAACTGTAAGTTTATTAAACCTTTTTTTCTTTATAAATTACCCAGTCTCAGGTATGTCTTTATCAGCAGCATGAAAACAGACTAATGCATTGCTCTTCCCAGTTGGGAAGAGCCCTAAGCTAATGGAGTCTCTATCTTGACAAATTCTTCAGGAATTACTCTGGTGAGGCAGGGATAAGGAGGTATGAGAATAGCTAGCTCCTCTTTTTTTTTTTTTTTTTTTGCTATCTTAGCCATTTTTAAGTGTACAGTTCAGTAGTGTTAAGTATATTCACATTGCTGTACGTCTATCCATGTGATTCTTAAAGACTAAAAATATTGGTAGTACTTTCCCTTTCTCTCATGTTTCAAGTTCAAAGGAAAAAATTTGTAACTTTCACAAGCCAAGGATTCAACAAACGTCAAGATCTTAGTAGCTCTGTGCGTTTCTTCTTTGATCTTCTAATGGAGTTTCGTATCAGTGATGTGTGAACAAAGAAATGCTAAGTGTGAGTCATCATATTCACATTTAGTTTAATACTACATATTTATGTTAATTGACAATATGTATATAAGAAGAAAATTGTTATTTAGAGTTTCAACTGTGTTCTAAAGAGAGAAGATGTTGGAAAATGGCTCTGTATTTTTCAGGGTATTTTGATTCATTTTGGAATTAAGGTTTGAAGGTAAGAGATGATATGTTGAATTTATCTCCTCCTTCTGTCATTTCTCCACTCCTCCTCCCTCCCTCCCTGCCTCTCTATTTTCTTTTCCTTTCTTTCTTCCTTCTCTTTTATGCATAAATACATATGGAGCTTTAAGCATGTTAAAATATGAGTTCTTGCCAGGCGCAGTGGCTCACACCTGCAATCCCAGCAACTGGGGAGGCAGGGGCAGGAGATTCACCTGAGGTCAGGAGTTTGAGACCAGCCTAGCCAAAATGACAAAACCCTGTCTCTAATAAAAATACAAAAATTAGCTGGGCGTGGTGGCTCTTGCCTGTAGTCCCAGCTACTTGGAAGGCTGAGGCACAATAATTGCTTGAACCTGGAAGGAGGAGGTTGTGGTTCAGCTGAGATAGCACCACAGCACTTAAGCCCAGACAACAGAGCAAGATTCTGTCAAAAAAAAAAAAAAGTTTTTAGATAAGTTGGGAATAACACAGGAAACCAGGCAGACAAGGAACCTTTGAAAGTCTACATTTCTAATGGGTGAAGAAAAGTAAATTCATAAGCTAAAAAGGCAAGAGACTGTCTGACAGAAAGGAGAAATTTAAATAGAACCATGTGACAGAGCATGGCCAACTGTCCACATGAGTCTGAGAGGCAAAGGAGAGCCTCTCCAAGAAGCTATCCCTTGAGCTGAGACCTTAGAAAAAAGATAACCCAGCAAGAACCACATTTAAGCAATGGTAGGCACAGAAACAATGGTTGGGATGAACATGATGCATTTACAAAACAGAAAAAGGCCGGACTATCTGGAGAGAGGGAAGTGAGGAAGGATGTTGGCATACCAAGGACGTTCGTGCTCTCATGTTTTGAAAATGATATTTAAGCAAAGTATTGAAGCTGAGCACAGCGATGGCCCTCCCTGAAATTCTCTGAAACCAACAAATCATCTTTGAAAAGAAGAAAATAATTAAGGCACTGGCTATTTTCTTCAGGTGGCTTTGTCCCAAACATTTTCTCCAACTATGAGATGACATTTGATTCACCCTTATGAAACAGACATGAGACGGGTAATACTGCACGGGAGGTCTGAGAGGGTGCTACCCTTCCTCTGAAATGATCATAAACATCATTTTGTGAGTCCAAACTAGCAGGCTTGATTCAGCAAGTGCAAGCTTACTCACTTGAAGCAACAGGGTACTGGAATATAGACTGTCTGAGCAGATCTAGTACAAACGGTCCTTGTATTTTAAAATGAACATTTGTTAAAATGTCTTTTCAAGTTATGTTTCATTAAAGTATTTTCCTCTTATTACAAAGGAAACATGTTTATTGTAGCCTAAAGCAGAAACTAATGGGAAAAACAGACTATCCCATCCAGAGCTCACCAGAATCAACCTATGTGTGCATAGCCTCCTCAATCCATTCTACATTACTTCTTCCTCAAAATTAGATTATGTTTTATTAACTCATCCTTGCATTCAATCAACAAGTATTTATTCAACCCCTATGGTGAGTCATATGCCTAGGATACAGGCTTGAACAAAACAGATATTACCGTTGAGCTCATGGAGAAATTAGCAAGGAAGACATGTTTTTTTAAAAAACTCCAGACTTTCAGTTTTACAACAGTAAACATATTTTACTTCATTCTTCCTTTAGATATCATTTCAAAACAACAAAAAGAGAAATTTAAATGCCTACTTCATTTTTGAAGATGCTAAAAAAAATTTGTAGTTCAAAATACACACATACACACACACACACACACGGCTTCCAAATGTGGCGAAGTTCATCAGAAAAAGGAAGAGAACAAGGGTTACTATATGCAGAAAGTTTTCCAAAATCAGAGTTACAATCTGAAGAAAATAATCGTCTATTCATCTTTTTCAGTATCAGAAGTGATGTGTAGAGAATAACTAGTGCCTCTTCTTTCTGCTTAGCCCAATAGATAAGTGGTCGGTGGAAACAAAATAAAACACACACGCATAAACCCACATACACCTATGCACATGCATGCATGCCATATTTGTAGGAAGCTATTTATCAACAAGGCAAGGTGAAGAGAGCCCTGAAGCAGAAGTAATACTTTAGGTGCTGATCTTGGTTGTCTGGCCTTAAAAAAAATAATAAATTACCAAAAGTCATTCTGGGAGTGAAACAAAATGTAAGTATATTAACTACTAATGAATGTTGTTCAATAATAATTGAAAAAAACCTCTTCAGAAAATTACTGGACTCAGATGATTTTGAAGGGGAGTTTTACCAAAAGTTAAAGGATCAGACTACTTCTATACTATTTAACCTCTTACACAGGTGGCCCATACACCTGTTTAATCAGCAGCCCTCAGCATAGCATTTTAAATAAAATCACTACCATATTATAATTCCACCTAAAAAGTAACAATAATTTCTTAATATAATCCAGTATCGAGTCGGTGTTGAAACTTACTCAATTGTCCCATGAATGTGTTTTAACACACTTTTTCTAGCATAGCTGTTTTAATCTGCTTTTCAGGTTTAATAATCATTAACTTTTAATATCATTAATGCATTTCTATGATAATAATTATTCAGTAATCACCATCCTAATGAAGGAATAGTATTTAGCATACGGATAAACTGTAAGTGATGTCAATATTTGCCGTTTTTGTTACTTCAAAGGAAACCCAACTAAGCTGTTCAGTAGCTAAACATGTTTGCATGTTTACATTCTTAAGTCCTATTTCTGCAAGTGTAAATGATACACAAGGAGTATTTTTCTCTCCTAAAATTTTTAAAATACATTTTCTCCTAGAGTTGCTATATATGTAAGTGCCTTTTTCTCAGACCTAGCTAGCACTACTATTGGTTTATCAGTTTTTTTAATATCTACATGAATCATAGGAAACTACATCTAATTTTTCTTTTAAAAAAAGTAATTTTTAATTATTATGGACATATGATAGTTGTAAATAATTATGGGCACATGTGAAATTTTGACACAAGCATACAATGTGTAATGATCAAATCAGGGTAATTGGGATATTCGTCACCTCAAGCATTTATCATTTCTTTGTATTAGCAACATTCCAATTCCACTCTTTTTGTTACTTTGAAATATACAATAAATCATTGTTAACTATAGTCACCCTATCGTTACCAAATACTAGATCATATTCCTTCTATCTAGCTGTATTTTTGTATCCGTTAACCATCCTCTGTTTATTTCCCCTTCCTCACTGCCGTTCCCAACTCTGGTAACCATCCTTCTACTCTCTTATCTCTGTGAGTTCAATTTTTTTTTTTTTTAAGCTCCCACATATGAGTGAGAACATGCAATATTTGTCTTTCTGTGTCTGGCTTATTTCACTTTCACTTCCCAGATTCCAGTTCCATCCATGGTGTTATAAACGACAGGATTTAATTCTCTTATATGGCTGATTAATAGTCTATTGTGTCTGTACCAGGTTTTCTTTATCCATTCATCTGTTGATGGACACTTAGGTGGCTTCCAAATCTTGGCTATTGTGAACAATGCTGCAAAACACATGGGCATGCGGATATCTCTTCGATATACTGATTTCCTTTCTTTTGAGTGTGTGCCCAGTGGTGGAATTGCTGATTCATGCGGCAGTTCTATTTTTAGTTTTTTGAGAAACTCTGTGCTGGTTTTTATCGAGGCGCTAATGATTCGCATTCCCACCAATAGTGTACAAGGGTTCCTTTTTCTCTGCAGCCTCGTCAGCATCTGTTATTGCCTATGTACTTCATAAACAGCATTTTGACGGGGATGAGAGCATATCTCACTGTGGTTTTGATTAGCATTTCTCTGATGATTCGTGGTGTTAAGAGTTTTATCCTATACCTGTTGGCCCTTTGTATGTCTTCTTTTGAGAAATGTCTATTCAGATCTTTTGCTCATTTTTAATTGTTTTTGTTTAGTGTATATTCCTTCCTTAATGAGACTGACCTCTTTGATATATGCTTATTAGCCATTTGGATTTCTTCTTTTTATTTGTCCATTTTCCCCCTTCTAGAAGTTTATTCTTAGACTTACCAATTTGGGTGTTACTTTGATTCTCAATATTCCGCTTAGAAAATAAAACCAACATGGTCAAGCTATAGAAGGATATGCTAAGAGGGGCCAGGGCCCTTTGTAGATATCGTTGAGGTTTTTAGAGAAATGAGTTCTCTGCAAGAACAAGTATTCAAGAAGAAGTTTTAATGCTTTGGAGAAGCTGTCACTGGAGAGATTCCAAACTAAATGTGAAAATAAACCAGGGAGTTTTAAAATTTCTTGGTATCTTGAGATCTTCCTGTTAAGGAAAGATGGCTGTTTAAAAAACAGGTATCCAATTCCTCAAAACTCTGAAAATTATAGAACAACTTGTATCCTGCAAAGATAGCTTTTTATACTAGCTGGTTGAAATCTTGCCTGGTTTTCTTGTTTATCTTTCTTTCTTTTTTGTGTTTTTCTTTTCCAAGTCTCACTCTGTCACTCAAGCTTGAGTGCAGTGGCGTTAGCTCGGCTCACCATAACCTCTGCCTGCTGGGCTCAAGCAATTCTCTTCTCCTGCCTCAGCCTCCCAAGTAGCTGGGATTACAGGCGCGTGTCACTACACCTGGCTAATTTTTGTATTTTTAACAGAGACAGAGTTTCACCATGTTGGCCAGGCTGGTCTCGAACTCCTGACCTCAAGTGATCTGCCCGCCTCGGCTTCCCAAAGTGCTGGGATTACAGGCGTGAGCCACCGTGCCCGGCCTTTGCCTGGTTTTCAAACTAACAAGATTGTAAGAATCAAGCTCTTTCATATAAAAGTTTACTGTAATTTCAGTGATAATGAAGATCATTTAATTTAGGAGATGAGAGAGAGAAATAAAGAACACAGAAAGGCAGAGTCAGATATAGAGAGAATGGAAATGGAAAGAAGGAGAGAAACATGGAGAGAAAGAGAAGGAGGAAGGAAGGGAGAGAAGGCAGGAGGAGCAGAGACGGGAAGACAGAGATAAAGAGAAAGAAAGAGAGGGAGACAGAAAGGGAAAAAACCCTTCATTAACTCATATATTGGCCTGAGTCACTGGATATGATTTGTATGACGTTGAATTTAGTATTTTTGTTTAAACTTCCCCCTGTCCTCCTTTTTTCAGGGGTGGATTTCTTTAGCCTCTAAAAATATTTACATAAAATCGGTATCAGGTTTTTTTCATGTTAGCTGAGTGCCATTGTTGAATTCCAAGATACAAAACCAAACAAGGATAGAGTGATAGCCTTGAATTAAAGCCCTCTCAAGGGTGACTTTCTGGAACACCACTCAAAACATGAGCAAGAAAGCATATGTGCAGCCTCTGTGCACAAACCGCCCTCCCTGGTTTTCAGAATGTATCACCCTTCCAGTAAGCACTTCCTGAAGGCAGTGTGGATTCCAGTGTTTATTGACAATGTCACTGGATTTGCGGTTAATGCTGTTTCTTTTAAGTGCTTGGGTGAAAATAAGAAAAATAGTGAACAAGTCTTGAGCAGGTAAGATGAATTAGGCATTGCATTAAATTGTGTCTTCACACGAAACAGAATGTTTTTATTCTGTAATCTCAATTTCCAGTGCTTGCATCCCCAAACTTTAATCTCACTTCATAGAAGGCCCAAATCTACGTGACCCATCAGGAGTATCACTTAAGAGTGCAAATCTAACAAGAAATCTAGGATAATTCCTTGAACTCTAAATTCTATGAAACTAATAATGATTGCCCATATTCCTTCTGAAGAAAAACAACCAAACATAAAAGACTACTCAGTTAGCTTGATTATAGAATGGTTTCACAAAGATAAATATGTTCCATTCTGGGGTTAACCCCTGGATTCTGTTTTAAGACAAAGTAGATTAAAAATACTTTTACAGCTCTTTGAGGAATTGCCACACTTCTTTCCACAATTATTGAACTAATTTACACCCCCACCAACAGTGTCTAAGCGTTCCTTTTTCTCTGCAATCTTGCCAGCCATCTGTTATTTCTTGACTTTTTAGTAATAGCCATTCTGACTGGTGTGAGATGGTATCTCATTCTGTGTGTGTGTGTGTGTGTGTGTGTGTGTTTCTGTTCTGAGACGGAGTCTTGCTCTGTTGCCCAGGCTTCAGTGCAGTGGTGCGATCTCAGCTCACTGCAACCTCTGCCTCCCGGGTTCAAGCACTTCTCCTGCCTCAGCCTCCCAAGTAGCTGGTATTACAGGCATGCGCCAGCAAGCCCTGCTACTTTGCGCATTTTTAGTAGAGACGGGGTTTCACCATGTTGGCCAGGCTGGTCTCAAACTCCTGACCTCAGGTGGTCCACCCACCTCGGCCTCCCAAACTGCTGGGATTACAGGCGTGAGCCACCATGCCCGACCTCACTGTGGTTTTGATTTACATTTTTCTCATGATCCACCTATCATGAGCTTCTTTTTTTCATATGCTTGTTGGCTGTATATATACCTTCTTTTGAAAAGTGTCTGTTCATGCCCTTTGCAGTAGACTGAATAAAGAAAATTGGTACATATACACCATGGAACACTATGAAGCCATCAAAAAAGAACAAACAACATCCTGTCCTTTGCCGGGACATGGATAGAGCTGGAGGCCATTATCCTTAGCAAACTAACACAAAACAGAAAAAGAAATGCCACATGGTCACACTTAAAAGTGGGAGCTAAATGATCAGAACACATGGACACATAGAAGAGAACAGCACACTCTGGGGCCTGTCGGAGGGTGGAGGGTAGAAAGAGGGAGATGAGCAGGAAAAATAACTAATGAGTACTCAGCTTAGTAACTGGGTGTTGTATAGAAATGATCTATACAACAAACCCCCAATTCCCAGATTTACCTATGTAATAAACCTGCACGTGTACCCCGAACCTAAAATAAAAGTTAAAACAGACAAAATAAAAACATACTTTTATAGATTGTCTATGGCCCATATGGCTTCTAAAGAATATCATAGGCCAGGGGCGGTAGCTCATGCCTGTAATCCCAGCACTGTGGGAGGCCAAGGCGGGTGTATCACGAGGTCAGGAGATCAAGATCATCCTGGCTAACACAGTGAAATCCCGTCTCTATTAAAAATACAAAAAATTAGCTGGGCATGGTGGCACACGCCTGTAGTCCCAGCTACTCGGGAGGCTGAGGCAGGAGAATGGCTTGAACCTGGTGGGTGGAGGTCGCAGTGAGCAGAGATCATGCCACTGCACTCCAGCTGGGGTGACAGAGCGAGACTCCGTCTCAAAAAAAAAAAAAAAAAAAGAAAATCATGGAAGGACTTTATTCTCTGAGAACCTTCAAAATCCTCTCCTCATGCAAGAAAAAACTATCCCCAAGTAGAATTCTTAAAAATTATGTAACATATGTCTCCATTAGTCTTCCTCTAGTACATATTTGGCATTATCATAGAATCAGTCCCTGTTTAAAGAGACTCACCTAAAGGAAGTAGGGAGACAGAGCCCCAAACCCAGTGTTCTTCCCGTTCCCCTTATACTGTTCAGACCCCTAATCAGTGGTGAAATGCAGGATTTTATCCTACCAGACTCTTGTCCTTCTATTCAGAAGAAACCTTAGCAGAAACATCCAGACGTTCCCCATTTCCCATACATCTGGGGATCCAATTCTAGGTCTGTGTTTCGAGGAAGAGAGACATGAAGTAGCAATTGTGACTTTTTTTGACGGAGTTTTGCTCTTGTTGCCCAGGCTGGAGTGCAATGGCGCCATCTCAGCTGACTGCAACCTCCGCCTCCCGGGTTCAAACGATTCTCCTGCCTCAGCCTTCCAAGTAGCTGGGATTACAGGCATGCACCACCATGTCTGGCTAATTTTGTATTTTTAGTAGAGATGGGATTTCCCCATGTTGGTCAGGATGGTCTTGAACTCCCGACCTCAGGCAATCCACCTGCTTCGGCCTCTCAAAGTCAAAGTTCTGCGATTACAGGCGTGAGCCATCGCGCCTGGCCGACTTTTTTTTTTTTTTTTTAAGTAAGCACAGATAATAGATGACTCCACAGAGTGTGAAGTAGATAGGACTGTCTGCATTTCACATCTACCAGAAGCAGACCCAGGAAAAACAATTCAAGTACAAGTAGAGTTTAATTAAGAGTTAAAGAAAATATGAGACAGTGGGTGGGGAAGTAAGACAGGCAAAATAAGTGACACAATAAAGGGTGTGTTGTCATGTCAGTTATCCTGGTGAAAGACTGCGGCTTAGTTAACCTCCCTGGAGACTCTCTGGCAGCCAAAGTAGAACATGCACCTCCATGTTACCCCATCTGAGGGGTGAGGACAATGGGGTATTTATACACCAACTCCGCTCTACCATTGTTTGAGGGATGCTTGTGAATGATGTTAATTCTCAGGTCTTCCAGCCTGCCACAGAGTGCTCAACACCGACACTGGTAGCTAAAGAAAGCTCCCGTGGGTAATGAAGTGCAGGTGCTGGTGGGTGGAAGTCTGACCAGCTTTTGCAGAGGCATTAAAGATGAGGGAATATGGGCAGAACATCTACAACTTCTGCTCAAAAGACAAATATTTGTCTTTCCCCTGAGAGAGAACTTATCTTGCTGTTAAACCTTAAGCATATCACTTCACCTCTTGAGATATCAGTTTTCTCATCTTAAATGAGACTGAGGGTGCTGGGGGAGGAGGTATTGGAGGGAAATCCAAAGAGATCTTTGGTCCATACACAAGTACTGTCCCATTTCTCTAAACCTGTGTTTCTCTGTGCCTCATACAGCCACTTCCTCAGTAGCTCTATCTTCAACTAATGGATAACTTTGGAGATCCTTTTTCAAATTCTTGATTGGGCTCCAGACTCATTGATATCTCTCCCTGGATTAAAGCTTCTGATGCATTCTGCACCCTCGTGAAATTGCCGCTGAAAGCAGCAAGATGAACATCAAACTATTTTGCCATGTAGCATGACTTTTTTTTAGATGCAATCACCATTTTAATCATATTCGCATTTGTGAAGGGAGAACTTTTGGCAGTTAATGCACTTTAAGAAATTTGGGGAAAGATAAACTCAAAATGGAAATATATTATGTCAGCCTTTGGCCGTGTTGCACTTCACTATGGATGTTTTACCATTTGCTGGCATAGTTATCTGTCTTGTAACTCATCTGTAAATGTGCAGACAACAAAGTTGAAAATCATAGCAAGTGTATCACAAAACTGACAGACTTGCTTTGCACTCAAGATACTCCCAGCCATGTATGGCAACGGAATCTTCAAAAATACTAGAAGGCTTGGGTGACCCAGTTTCATTGTATCTTGTGAGTGTCCTACCTACCATCTGCACCAATAAGAAGGATCTTGCCCACATCCACAGACTACCTGTTATTAGACTAGGTTCAAATCTCGTTACTTGACAAACTACCTATCCTTGGGTCCTCTTTTTCTCTTACATGTTTGCCAAAAAAAGAGGCTAAAAACAAAAAGTGTCTTGTCCTCAAAACAAGGATTTATTACTATTTTACTACTCTTAACCCAAAGCATATCTGTTATGGCAGACATAATATATTGACCAACACAGATGGATTTTAGCTCATATGGGATTGAGACTATTATATGCTGAATTGAACTCCTTTGGTTTTTGCCACATGGCTGTGATTGAGTTTATCACCTAAGCCCTTTCATGTGGCTGAGAGAGGGAGTCTAGAGGCTGATGTTCTGACAATGAGTTGACACACATAACTATAACCATAATCCTGGCAATGCAAATATTCATTTGGATTGGGCAATTTGTAACTTTTTCTTACCTGGAAAGCTATCACTTAAAATGGCCATTTGTATTTGGCCAGTCCAAGAACATGATAGAATTATTGAAAGAAAGAAGCAGAGGTGGTTGGTTGGATGTTAGGGAGCAAAGGAAGTTTGGGATCATCCACTGCTATCCTAACATTGCTTGTCACAAAAGAGCAGGGAAGCAAGAGACTAATATGACCTCCGAGAGTACATGTTTGGGGAAACATGCATTCCTTTCTCTTTCTAATTTATGCTTCAGTGCCTCTTCAACCGAGAACCAGGTGTATGTCTTTGATTACGAAGGTAGGGTGAAAGGGCTGTCCTAGTTATTAGGAGTGGCAAATGAAAGCTTTTGTGTGCAGCCTTTAAAAAGCTGATGCATGGAAACTAGTACAGAGTGGAAGGTGGAAAGAGTAGAATTTCCAGGAGACTGTGTAAGAAGGAAGCAGCCCCAGGCAGAAGAGTTTTTTCTTTTCCATTTCTACAAGAGAAAAAAAGGAAAGGGAGAGAAAAGACTCACGTAAGTCCAGACATTCTATTTCCTCTGTGAACCAGGATTGGAAGGTAAACTCCTTTCCTCAAAGTTTCTATGGGGAAACTTCTATAATGTCCTCATTCTACTGCATGGAAGAAGACATCTAACTGATGAGTGAAATTCCTGTGACCACTGGAACGTGTTTCTTGATTGGATAAGCAAATATATTTAACACTGCCACATAGGTGGTCTTCTTCTCTCTACTCCCCTCTTCCATTTTCCACTACAGTTTTCCTCGCCATATATCCAATATCTTGCTCCAAATCTGTTTTACTTTTCTCAGTTGAAAATGTGGCTGAGTGTAGTGGTGCATGCCTGTAGTCCCAGGTATTTGGAAGGCTGAGATGGAAGGACTGTTTGAGCCCTGGAGGCTGATGCCGTAGTGAGTCATGATTGCAACACTGCACTCCAACTTGGGTGACAGAGTGAGATCTTGCCCCCACCTCCACGAAAAAAAAAGAAAAGACAAGTAATAAATTTTCACCTTCAAATGCACCGAAGGATCCAAAGCCCTCTTTTGAAGGTCAAGGGCAATGTCAAAGAGCAAGTATCCTGGGAAGGGGAGGATCTTTTAAGTTACATACAGGGAATGGGATAGAGAATTGACAAAGGCACCAAGAGAGCCCTGAACAGCTTAGGAGGCCTAGTTTATGTTGATGCCTTCATTTGAGCCCCCATCTGATGCCATACCTGCATTTAATTAGCCCCGGAAACACAATGATGTATAAACATGGTCCCTGACCTCAAAAAGCTTAATGTTTACGATGTATGCAGGGTGGAAAGTGGATATTTGTGTATACTTTTAACTTCTATTGAGGAGAAACAGGCAATCACTATTGTGTGATAAGTAGAAGGGGAGATATTCAATCCAGGTCAGAAGGCTTCATACAGCAGGTGACACTAGAGCTGAAAATAGCAGTTAAAGAGGGGTAGTGGGGAAGAGTACACAAACAGAGAGAGTACAGGATTGAAATCCCAGAGGCAAGAGAATGCATGACTTTTTGAGGGTGGGGTAGTGTTTCACTAGGGCTGAAATATTGTCCTTCTATTTTTCAAATGAAGCAACTGGAGTTCAGAAATTCAAGTGCTTTACCCAAAATCACGGAGTTAATAATGCATAGAACCCAGGCCTTAGAACTGACAACCTAGTGCTCTTCCACTAAACCTCACCTCCTGCTTCCCCACTGAGTCACCTTAAGATAAGGACGCACATCACTGACTCTTGTTCAGCTCTTCTTCCTGTTTCCTTCCAAAGATGAACAAGAAGATGGAAGCAAAGAGAAATGAAACCTCCCAACTCGGGGCAAAGGCGCCATATGTCTTCTAACTCCTGGGCACCACGGGGAGTCTCTTTAATGACCTTCCTAATTCTACCCCCCTCCTCCTGTTCTTGCATCGCAATGTTGGCTGCACATATGGTGCCTCTCCCTTCCCGAGGAATTGCTTTTACTGATATCGTTTCCTGTCACAACCTTAATATTCTTTTAATGTACTGCCATTGCTCGCTGCAGAGCTAATCTGTTATCCCTTGTTATGGAGACCTCATTCCATACGCAGAGCAGAGAATCGTGTCTCTGAACTAGAAGCAACACTTTGTGTTAGTATTAAACTTTGACTTTCAAATGATGGACATTATATTCTGGGTTGTGAAATTTTGAGTTTGCACAAGACATGACTGTATTACTTTAGACGGCTTTCCACCGCTGCAGTTGTTATAACAGCAACTGCAACTGCAATAGCAAAACAAAAAAATTATACTGTTTTAAAAGCATAATTCCACAGAACTGAAAAGTCCAACCATGGAGTGGAATACAAGTAAGGCTATATCAAGCAGATCACTAGTATCACCAAGGATCAAGGGATTTTTTACATCTCTTCACTTTACCTTCCTTGGTCTTGGTTCCTTTCTTACCTAGGGTACATTGTTGATTCCAGAATGATTGACATCAATAACCAGGTTATGAGTTTCCCAGTTTACAATAAGCAAGAGAGGAAATATCTCCACCTGAAGTCTCCAGTAAACGCCTTAGTCTCATTGGCCTGAAATGCACCATATGCCCACCTGTCATGTGACCAGGGATAGGAGATGTGCTGATTGGCTTAAGGCCAACCAAACTAAACCTCAGGTCCAGATCTTTAGGAAGGATGGTAGGGGGCTGGGCGCAGTGGCTCACGCCTGTAATCCCAGCACTTTGGAAGGCCAAGGCAAGTGGAACACTTGCGGTCAGGAGTTCGAGACCAACCTCTCCAGCATGGTGAAACTCCATCTCTACTAAAAATACAAAATTAGCTGAGCATGGTGGCAGGCGCCTGTAACCGCAGCTATTTGGGAGGCTGAGGCAGGAGAATTGCTTGAACCCAAGAGGCGAGGTTGCAGTGAGTCGAGCTCCCACCATCACACTCCAGCTTGGGGAACAAGAGCAAAACTGTCTGGGGGGGAAAAGACAAAAACTACAGCAAGGAAGCATGGTAAGAATGCAGGAATGGGTGCTGAAACAGCTACCAATGAGTCAGAATGGGCTTTAGGGGGTCATTACAGAGATAAGGATTTAGGTTTCAACTGTCTCCATTTAAATACTAGCCCCATCCCTCCCTGAGTGATTTTGGGAATCACTCAATTACTTAATGTCTCCGTGCTTCATTCTCCACATTTGTAAAATGGGATTCATGTAAAAACAAGCTAGTAAACTAATTTTAAAAGTGTAAATTCTGTGTGTGGCATTTAAAGACCTTCCAAAAGCTAAAATAAAGACTAAGATGAGGAAGGTTCATTTCACTGAGGGTGACCTTTCTCTCTAAACTTTACAGTTGTATGAAGTACCACATTTAGTTAAACTCTTCCATCTTCCTCCACTGCTTTTAGCCATACAATAACGACATGAGGCAGGGAGAGAAGGGTCTCTTGTACCCACCTTACACAAGAGAAAACCAAGGCCCAGAGGCCTTCAAAGACTTGTCTGAGTTGAATATACAGATCAATTGACAAAATTGTTCTTCAGGGTTCAGAGCCCTTTTCAATATGAAAAGTGGGCATTGGAGTCCTTGATTTATTTTTCAAGGTTCTAAATCTGCACTGTCCTATACAGTGTACACAAGCCACAAGAGACTGTCTAAATTTACATTAATTAAAATGTAAAATGAAAACTTCAGTGTCTCAATCATACTAGCCTTGTTTCAAAGGCTCAAAAGCCACATGTGGTTAGGGAATACCATATTGGTCAATGCAGATATAAAAATATTTCCACCATCACTGAAAGTTTTATTGACAGTACTGGCCTAAACCAACAAACACATTAAATGCCTAATATTAGGTTACTTTTTCACAGAGCTGAGACAGGAAGTGATGGAGTTAAAATACTTGGCCAACATTCCTTCGTTGTCCTGGTTAGATTACAATGCAGGTAGATTAAAATAGTGGTAAGATTTATTAAAACTGACTGGTTAGGATTTTCTTGGCTATACGGGCTCTTTTTTGTTTCCATATGGAATTTAAAGTAGTTTTTTCTATTTCTGTGAAGAATTTCAGTGGTGGTTTGATGAAAATAGCATTGAATCTATAAATTACTTTGGGCAGTATGGCCATTTTCATGATACTGATTCTTCCCATCCATGAGGATGGAATGTTTTTCTATTTGTTTGTGTCCCTAAGCAGTGGTTTGTAGTTCTCCCTGAAAAGGCCCTTCACATCCCTTGTTGTCTGCATTCCTAGGTATTTTATTCTCTTTGTACCAATCGTGAATGGGAGTTCACTCATGATTTGGCTCTCTGCTTGTCTATTGTTGGTGTATAGGAATGCTCGTGATTTTTGCAAACTGATTTTATATTCTGAGACTTTGCTGAAGTTGTTTATCAGCTTAAGGAGTTTTGGGGCTGAGACAATGGGTTTTCTAAATATAGAATCATGTTGTCTGCAAACAGAGGCAGTTTGACTTCCTCTCTTCCCGTTTGAATATGCTTTATTTCTCTTGCCTGATTGCCCTGGCCAGAACTTCCAATACTATGTTGAATAGGAGTGGTGAGAGAGTGCATCCTCTTCTTGTGCCGGTTTTCAAAGGAAATGCTTCCAGCTTTTGCCCATTGAGTATGGTATTGGCTATGGGTTTGTCATAAATAGCTCTTATTATTTTGATCTATGTTCCATCAATACCTAGTTTATTGATAGTTTTAAACAGAAGGGATGTTGAATTTTATTGAAGGCCTTTTCTGCACCAATTGAGATAATCATGGAGGCATCACACTACCTGACTTCAAACTATATTACAAGGCTACAGTAACCAAAACAGCATGGTACTGGTACCAAAACATACATATAAATATAAAAACCAATGGAACAGAACAGAGACCTCAGAAATAACACCACACATCTATGACCATCTGATCTTTGGCAAACCTGACAAAAACAAGCAACGGGGAAATGGTTCCCTATATAATAAGCGGTGCTGGGAAAACTGGCTAGCCATATGCAGAAAACTGAAACTAGACCCCTTCCTTACACATTATACAAAAATTAACTCAAGATGGATTAAAAACTTAAATGTAAAACCCAAAACAATAAAACCATAGAAGAAAACCTAGACAATACCATTCAGGACATAGGCATGGGCAAAGATTTTATGACAAAAATGTCAAAGGTAATTCCAACAAAAGCAAAATTGACAAGTGGATCTAGTTAAACTAAAGAGCTTCTGCACAGCAAAAGAAACAATCATCAGAGTGAATAAGCAATCTACAGAGTGAAAGAAAATTTTTGCAATCTACCCATCTGACAATGGTTGAATATCCAGAATCTACAAGGAACTTAAACAAATTTACAAGAAAGAAACAAACAACCCCATCATAAGTGGGCAAAGGATATGAACATACACTTCTCAAAAGAAGGCATTTATGCTTCCAACCAACATATGAAAAAAGCTCAACATCACTGATCATTAGAGAAATGCAAGTCAATACCACAATGAGATACCATCTCATGCCAGTCAGAATGGCGATTATTAAAAAGTGAAGAAACAATAGATGCTGGAGAGGCTGTGGAGAAACAGGAATGCTTTTACACTGTTGGTAGGAATGTAAATTAGTTCGACCACTATAGATTCTTCAAAAATCTAGAATCAGAAATACTATTTGACCCAGCAATCCCATTACTGGGTAGACACCCAAAGGAATATAAATCATTCTACTATAGAGACACATGCACACGTATGTTTATTGCAGCATTATTTACAGTAGCAGGGACATGGAACCAACCAAAATGCCCATCAATTATAGACTAGATAAAGAAAATGTGGCACATATACACTATGGAGTACTACGTAGCCATAAAAAGGAATGAAATCATGTCCTTTGCAGGGACATGGATGAAGCTGGAAGCCATCATCCTCAGCAAACTAACACAGGCACAGAAAAACCAAATACAGCAAGTTCTCACTCATAGGTGGGAATAGAACAATGAGAACACATAGACACAGGGAGGGGAACAACACACACCAGGGCCTGTTGCAGGCTGGGGGGTGAGGGGAGGGAACCTAGACAATGGGTTAATAGGTGCAGCAAACCACCATGGCACACGTTTATCTATGTAACAAACCTGCACCTTCTGCACATGTATCCCGGAACTTAAAGTAAAAAAATAAAATTGACTGGGTACGTGGCTCACACCTGTAATCCCAGCACTTTGAGAGGCTGAGGTGGGCAGACCACTTGAAGCCAGGAGCTCAAGGCCAGCCTGGCCAACATGGCAAAACCCCATGTCTACTAAAAATACAAAAATTAACTGGGCATGGTGGTGCATGCTTGTAATCCCAGCTACTCGGGAGGCTGAAGCAGGAGAATTGCTTGAACATGGGAGGTGGAGGTTGCAGTGAGCTGAGATCACACCACTGCACTACAGCTTGGGTGACAAAGCAAGATTCTGTCTCAAAAAGAAAAAAACAACAACAGATTTATTAAAACTGAGAGAAGAGATAACCTCCAGAATGGGAGACTATATGTGCAAAACATACATTTAATAGAGGGTAAATATCCAAAATAAACAAATAATTCAAACAACTCAATAGTAAAAAAAACAATCTGATTTAAAAATGGGCAAAGGACCTAAATAGATATTTCTCAAAAAAAGACATACAAATAGCCAACATATATATTTAAAAATGCTGAACATCACTAATTATCAGGGAACTGCAAATCAAAACCGCAATGAGATATCACGTCACACCTGTTAGAATGGCTATTATCAAAAAGACAAAAGACAACAAGTGGGTGGTGAGGGCACAGAGAAAAAAGAACCCCTGCACCCTGTTAATGAGAATCTAAATTAGTACTGCCACAGTGGAGAACAGTATGGAGGTTCTTCAAAAAATTAAAAATGGAACTACCATGTAAGCCAGCAATCCTACGATTCAGTATATATCTAAAGGAAATGGAATCAGCCTATCGAAGGGAGATCTGCTCTCCCATGTTTATTGCAGCACTATTCACAATAGCCAAGGTATGGAATCCACCTAAGTGTCCATCAATGGATGAATGGATAAATAAAACGTGTCATATATACTCATAGAATATTATTCAGCCTTAAAAAAGAAAGCAATCCTGTTATTTGTGACAACACAGATAAATGTAGAAGACATTATGTTAAGGGAAATAAGCCAGGCACAGAAAGATAAACGCTACGTGATCTCACTTACATGTAGAACCTTAAAAAGTTAAACTCCTAGAAGCAGAGAATAGAATGGTGGCTGCTAGAAGCTGGGAGCAGAGATGGGGGTGTGTTTACAGAGTCGTTGGTAAGAGAACACAAAATTTCAGTTGAACAAGTTTAGGAGAGCTATTGTATCATGGGGACTATAGTTAATAATATACTTAAAAATTGCTAAGAAAGTAGATTTTAAGTGGTCTCATCACAAAAAAATGGAGAAGTATGTGAAGTCATGCACTGAGTTAAGTAGCTTGAGTCAGCCATTCCACAATGTATACATAGATCAAACCATCCTTCTGGATGCCGCAAATATATATAATCTTACATGTCCATTTAAAATCATGAATAAATAAATAAAATCACAAATGGCACCCACATTTTGGTAGGCCAGGTGTAATTGTAAATAACAGCATGAAGAGGGTGAAAACACGGTTAAAAAAAAGCCCTGCAGATTATGGCAACCAAATAAAATTTTTTGAGAGAATCAATAAAAGAGAGAGATTGCTGTTGGTCACCCAGAATCCTTTCTGTCTACATATATAGGTGCTATTTTATTGGATATTAAAATAAAATGAGATAAAGAAAGAAACCTTTTGACTCAGTTTGAAGCAAATTCTAATTTAGAAGAGTTTTAAACTTTCTTTCTCCCCTCTCCCAACCCCATCTTTTATTTCTGCTCTCCAAAAATCACTCTTCTCTGCAGCAAGGAACATCCGGAGTACAGAAACAGTGAGCGGAAGGGCTTTGGCAATTTTAATATACACATTGAAAGCTACGAGGAACCTGGCATCCTACTTTGGAATGGTTTGGAACCATCTCCCCATTTTCATGCCAGACCATGTTTTTATAATTAGCTTCTCTAAAAAGGACTCCATCCTCAATGCATGTTGTGATTTGTGGACATGCTGCAAACAAAGAGGTTTCATGGCAAAGGAAATGTAACAGGGCCTCTTCTGTTTACTCTCCCTCATTTTTCTCCATGGCTTATCTTCCTCACAAGGCCTTAGGTGTGCCGTGTGTGTGTGTGTTTGTCTGTGTGTGCAAGTTGAAAGTGGCAAATAATATGGGTAAGTGGAAATATCATTGAGTGAAAAAAAATTATTTTTTCTTGCTCATCTGTTACCTGGCCAGCCAAGACCATCATCGGATGACAAGCACTCGGCCTCTGTTTCCCCAAAGCAGCATCTGGCTTTCTGGCTGACCCTCGCATGCACGTGTGCAGAAACGCAGCTGGTTTCTCTGGATAATGACAAGCTGCGAGTTGCTTCCTCTCTCTAGAGCCATTTTCTTTGGCTCCCCTTTGACCTAGTCATTGCAAGGTTTTCTCCCCATTTGGAAGCTTTTTCCTGCATTCATTTTTCATGAAGCCTTTATGTGTCTCTGATCACCCTTTTAAGAAAGGGATGAGACAAATGAATTCTTCATGTGCCTCTCCTATGCCTGTGTGTAATATATTTTAGAGCCTCTGGTGGGCTAAGCAGGACTTTAATACCTTCTATGTCAGGGGAAAATGATATGTTGATCTGAAAGAAATGTTATGCCAGCGGTGACATGTGTGTTCTCTTGAGTATTTACAAAGAGTATTGCTCTTAAAACTACCCTAGTTAAAAATGTGAAGTCTTTAAGGAGAACAAACAAAAACAAAGGCAAAATAAACCAAAAAACAACAAAAAATAGGGTTTCAGAAGTATATGCATGAGATGATTTTAGCTGCAACTTTGGTTCTAATTAGGAAAGACTTTAAAGAGAAGGCTCTCACATCTAAAGGTGAGGTTACCTATCCCCACCCCATTACTTTAATATGGTCAGGGAGAAAGAACTAGGAACCCCATGCTAACAGGTCCCCACAGCACCTCGGCCTCTGCTCCCACTTCCTCTCACTCCGTGTTTTTCCCTGCTCAGAAGGAGGCAACACTGTTTTTCACGCACCATCATCAACCTAGTTCTCAAGGCAGAATTCTAGAATTCACCTTTGATTCTTTCCCGGTTTTTAAATGTTTGGCACCAAATAGGTTAGCAAGCTCTGGATGTTCTATGTATAAAATATCTCAAATCTAGCAACTTATCGGAACCACACTCTCAACACCCCACTCCAAGCAACAAACGATCTCTCATTTGGATGATTTGCAGCTGCATCCTGACTTGCCTTCCTGCTACCATTCTCCTTTTCGGGATTCTTGTCTCCCCCAGCAAGAGCTTCCCTGGTGAAATGTGAATCAGGTGAGACCATTCCACGCTTGAATAGCCTCATCTCTTGTGCTTAGATGAAGCCCCTGTCTTTCCTTGGTTTGTGAGACCCTGAATGTTCTGACCCTGACTTGCACCGCCAACTGCACCCCACTGACCTGCTTCCCTACTCCCTAAGTTTCAGCCACATCTGCCTTAAATTAATTCATAAAGGCAGGCTCTTATCAGATCCTAGGTTTTCCCCACAGGCTGCTTCCTCTGCATAGAATGAATTTCCCCAGATCTTCACACACCTAGCGCTCGGTCTTCCATTAGGTCTCATCCAAAATATGACCTTAAATTTTGTTTCTGAGCACTTAATTAAGGACCCCCACCTCACTGCCTCCAGGAAGATCTTCTATCCTTGCCTTGTTTGTTTGCTACAGAGCACTTATCCCAACAGCTGTTATTTTGTTGATTTGCTTTATTTTTTTTTCCTTCTGTCTCACCCACCAGGATGTCTCCTCCATTGGAACAAGGGTCTGGTCTTCTTGTTACTTCTGTATCCCCAGAGCCTGACTAAGGTTGTGCACCTAAAAAAAAAAAAAATTCAGTAAATATTTTTTGAGCAAATTAATAAATGAATGAATGGGTGCATGGATTTTTTTTAAGTGGAGTCTCATTCTGTCATCCATGCTGGACTACAGTGGCACAATCTTGGCTCACTGCCACCTTCGCCTCTTGGTTTTAAGCAATTCTCTTGTCTCTCAGCCTCCCGAGTAGCTGGGACTGTAGGCACACGCCACTATGCCTGGCTAATTTTTGTATTTTTAGTAGAGACAGGGTTTCACCATGTTGGCCAGGCTGGTCTCAAACTCCTGACCTCAGGTGATTCACCCGCCTTGGCCTCCCAAAGTGCTGGGATTATAGGTGTGAGCCACCGCACCCTGCCCTCTTAACGGTCTTCTGGATGGATTCTCTCTGTTTAAGTATGAACTGTTAACCATTGCAGAAATATTGATCTTGAAATCTGGAAAACTCTGAAACGATTCTATTTCATGTGGTCTCATTGCAAACACTATGTCAAGAGGTTGGGGAAAATTTTAGAGTGAAGGAGGACTTTCTAATACTCAAAAAATTAATAAAACAAAACAACAAAATAAAAAACAGTCAACTTGCCAGCTCAGTTCTGCATAGCAGTTCAGATACGTTATGATGTGCTGACATAAAAAACCCTGGCATTTGGGAAGGTGCATTTGTCTGGAACAGCTGGGGGCCCCAGACACAGAGGATGGGAGGGTCTCACTCTTAGGATATTTCCCACAGGCCTCCACGAGTACTCACCTATGACTGCTGACAGGGCAGGTGATCAGAAAAAGACCCCTCTCTCATTAATGCAGGTGTGCAAGAGATACCTGAATGCCACCGTAGAAAGGAACAGACCCTGCTCCCCACCTTAAGCTCCTACAAAGCAAAGTCCTTAAGCAGCAGCAGAGTAACAGAAAGCACCGTCACCTCTAGAACACAAGTAAAGACCAACCGCTGCTAAGAGAAAAGCAGGAGCCATCCACAGATTAAGGTCAGCTTTAGACTGTACGAAACCAAGAGGAAGCGTCCTGTGGCATCAAAGAACACAAATTTTAGACTCAGACCCTCTGATTCTACCTTTCTCATATGTAAAATGACAATAATAAAAGCATTATTATTAATATCTGTTAATATTTTTGTGAGGTGCATAGAATAGAGCCACACATTATATTTATGCATCAATCAATCAATGAGTACTGAAACACACATAAAAAAATGCAATCTATGTCAGTTCGTGTTTATTACTATACTTTGTAGACTATGGAGATGATTTGTTTATTACATGTTTGATACACGAAAAGAGCTAATCAGTAATGGGATGGCTGGGTCAAATGGTATTTCTAGTTCTAGATCCCTGAGGAATCGCCACACTGACTTCCACAATGGTTGAACTAGTTTACAGTCCCACCAACAGTGTAAAAGTGTTCCTATTTCTCCACATCCTCTCCAGCACCTGTTGTTTCCCGACTTTTTAATGATTGCCATTCTAACTGGTGTGAGATGGTATCTCATTGTGGTTTTGATTTGCATTTCTCTGATGGCCAGTGATGATGAGCGTTTTTTCATGTATTTTTTGGCTGCCTAAATGTCTTCTTTTGAGAAGTGTCTGTTCATATCCTTTGCCCACTTTTTGATGGGGTTGTTTGTTTTTTTCTTGTAAATTTGTTTGAGTTCATTGTAGATTCTGGATATTAGCCCTTTGTCAGATGAGTAGGTTGCAAAAATTTTCTCCCATTCTGTAGGTTGCCTGTTCACTCTGATGGTAGTTTCTTTTGCTGTGCAGAAGCTCTTTAGTTTAATTAGATCCCATTTGTCAATTTTGGCTTTTGTTGCCATTGCTTTTGGTGTTTTAGACATGAAGTCCTTGCCCATGCCTATGTCCTGAATGGTATTGCCTAGGTTTTCTTCTAGGGTTCCATTACTGGGTATATACCCAAAGGACTATAAATCATGCTGCTATAAAGACACATGCACACGCATGTTTATTGCAGCACTATTCACCATAGCAAAGACTTGGAAACAACCCAAATGTCCAACAATGATAGACTGGATTAAGAAAATGTGGCACATATACACCATGGAATACTATGCAGCCATAAAAAATGATGAGTTCACGTCCTTTGTAGGGACATGGATGAAATTGGAAACCATAATTCTCAGTAAACTATGGCAAGAACAAAAAACCAAACACCGCATATTCTCACTCATAGGTGGGAATTGAACAATGAGATCACATGGACACAGGAAGGGGAACATCACACTCCGGGGACTGTTGTGGGGTGGGGGGAGGGGGGAGGGATAGCATTGGGAGATATACCTAATGCTAGATGACGAGTTAGTGGGTGCAGCGCACCAGCGTGGCACATGTATACATATGTAACTAACCTGCACAATGTGCACATGTACCCTAAAACTTAAAGTATAATAATAAAAGAAAAAAAAAAAAAGAAAAGAGCTAATCATTGTTATTGTTCAATTATCCTCCTGTGATGATTGAAACTTTTATAAAATGTGTTTAACTTTCCTGTCTTGCTATTAGCCAGATTTCACTGGTCCAAGGTTGAAATTAACCAGGTAGCATTAATATTGAGGGAATTCTGGAATGAAACAATGGAAAGAACCTGAAGCTAGCCATCTCTCTTTACCCTAGTACATGCCAATCCACATTCCCTCGGAGGACAATGTAAGCGCCCTCCTCTCTGCTCACCAACATAAAAGGAAAGTCAACTGCCAATGAAGCAGAAAGATATTACTGATGCTTTTCAAGAACAATCTCTTCCTGAATCTCCTTCCTGGTCCTGAGATGATGATGGGTGTGATGTAGTTATAGGATCTCACTTGGACAAAGCAGGCTTTGTTCCCACGTTAACTATAGAGTTGCAGACAAACAAATGCCTCCCTCCTCTACCATTGGATTGGCCACCTTGCACTGCTTAAAATGAAGCAGTGATAGAGTATCAATGAAAACAAAATCTATTTATTTATAGCTGAGTGACCTTCTGTTCACTAGTGTTAAGGATCCCTGGTGCCTGACCAAAAACCACATTCCTCTGAATATTTGGCTAACACCTTGAAATTTAGGACCTTTGGCTATCTTCTAAGAGGGGGTCATATTTGAGCATTCTTTGTGCTGAGATCTAATGCTGATCTGATACAGGATATATGCAGACAGCGATCTCATCAAGTGATTAGTCCCTCTCCCCAGTAGGCCACTAGGTTTTCTTCCTCCAACTCATTTATCCCACACTGTTGGTTTGGTGTGAATGTAATAGCTTGAAAGAAAGATTGTTCTGGGTGCCATGAAAGAGCTCTAGGTGTGGAAAAAGCAAACCTAGTTCTGTACCTTGAATTAGTTACTTTATGTGCCACAACAGACTACCCTTTTAATTTCTTTTAATGTTAGTTTCCTGAACTATTACATGCAGAGATTAATATCTATTTGCTAAGCATGGTTGCTTTGGGGGAATCGAATATGTAATACTAATAATTGAATTGAACCTCGTGCTTCTGATATGCCAGGGACCATTGGAAAACTTCACCTGTTTTATTTTATTTAATCCTTAAGCAACCCTAGGTGATATCTGTTACTATTATTTCCATTTAAGAGATAGGGAAACCGGCTGGGAGTGGGTGGCTCACGTCTGTAATCCTAGCACTTTGGGAGGCCAAGGCAGGCGGATCGCCTGAGGTCAAGAGTTCGAGACCAGCCTGACCAACATGGAGCAACCCCATCTCTACTAAAAATACAAAATTAGCTGAGCGTGGTGGCACATGCCTATAATCCCAGCTACTCAGGAAGCTGAGGCAGGAGAATCGCTTGAACCCGGGGGGGTGGTGGTTGCGGTGAGCCAAGATTGCGCCATTGCACTCCAGCCTGGGCAACAAGAGTGAAACTCCGTCTCAAAACAAAAACAAAAACAACAACAAAAAACGAGATAGGGAAGCCGAGGCCTGAGAAGTTGAGTAAATTTTTTTAGCTTGGGTGTGAATTCAAATCGGATTAATGCATTCCAGATCCTGAACTCTGAAACATGGACATATCACCTCCAATGAACAAGCCGAAAAAAATGTTAATGCATAAAATGCTCTGAAAATGTCAGTACTCTCATTACTTGTATTGCTAATACTCTAGTACAGTACCTACATAGAAGAGTTTTACATTTCTAAAAACACAAACCATAATGAAATGACGTTTAAAGAAGTCATTAAATGGCCGGGCATGGTGCCTCATGCCTGTAATCCCAACATTTTGGGAAGCCGAGGCGGGCAGATCACTTGAGGTCAGGAGTTCGAGACCAGCCTGGCCAACATGGTGAAACTCCATCTCTACTAAAAATACCAAAATGAGCATGGCATGGTGGCATGTGCCTGTAATCTTAGCTATTTGGGAGGCTGAGGCAGGAGAATCACTTGAACCCGGGAAGCGAAGGTAGCAGTGAGCCGAGATTGCGTCACTGCACTCCAGCCTGGACGACAGAGTGAGACTCCATCTCAAAAAAAAAAAAAAAAAGTCATTAAACATCTAATATGTTAACTATTGAGCTGATTGCAAAGACTCTGACCAGCACTGAAACAGCACTCTGAAAATAAGAGAGATGTTTAAAATTTGGGTAAAATTTTTCCAGATACAGATTCTAGGCTTGATTAGAGAACAAAGTGACAGGTTGAGATGTTATAACAAACGCAGCCTTCTTACAGACTCATTCCTGAGATGGAGTAAATTAGACAGATGGAGAGAGAAGAGTGAAACCGTGACCTCACCCCTATTTCCTTCACACCTTGCTTCTTCAGTTTCACAGGTGCCTATGGGAGGCCTAAGGGATGAGACAGAGATGTTCTACTCTTGGATGGCCTGAAAGTTCAGCTTCTCAATCTGCCTATGAGACCATGAGGCAAGAACGGACATCTAAGAGACTCCAGTTATAACATGGTCTCTTTTCTCCTTTCCAAGACTAAGTCTCCATGTAACTTAATAATGATGAATTTATTTACATAAATAAAATACAAAAGGGCAAAACTGTACTAATAAAACAGCACTGTTATTTTCATTGACAAAGACAAAGAATTTAGCAAACAGAGTTATTTAACATTGGTGGTAGAAAGAATCTTGGTGATCTCATGATTCAGCCTACATAGAGGAAATGGACTTGTTCTTGGACATATAGCTAATTAAAGACAAAAATTCTAGTCCATGGAAGTTCAGCCATAAGAAAGTGAGGCTCTCAGAATTAATTGATTGACTTATTGATTCATTGATCTGCTAATCCATGTATCTAATGAATACCAGCTGTGGCTCAGACCCTATGCTGGTAATTGAGATTCCCAAAATGAATATATCCTACCTTGAAGGAACTCACTGTATGGAAGACAGGAAAAAGTGCAAAAATAAAAACTGGTTCAAGATGAATAGATTCAAATGGAAGTGTAAACACAGTGTCCTAACCTCACGAAGTGGTGGCACTTATAGGAAGAAAAGACATCTTCAGACACACTTATAACCAGAGTGCTCTCTTCCTGGCCCTATGCAGAAATCAAACTGTTGTGGTCCCTGTCCTTGTGGGGCTCACAGGTTAGCAGGGAAGATAAGACACCATGCAGAAAAACTTATTGCAAGGAAGGAAATAAGGAATGTCATGAAACAGATTCAAACAGGGAGTTGAAGATTCTGGGGAGGCAGAAATGCACCCAGTTGGGGTTATCAGAAGGCCTTTCTGGAAAAGGTGGTATTGGGTCTGGTTCTGAAGCTTCTGAGCATACATAACACCCCTGGGGTACCGGGCATGGAAAGATCCCACAAACAGTAGCACATTCAGTTTGATTTTGTACCTGACTTCTTGGTGCATGTGGCATTATTAAGTTCCTAAACATAAACATATTCCTTTTAAAATCCATCTTCAAAGTAGACTAGAGTTTTAGGCCTATGGGGACTTGACATACCAAAAGAAACTTGCTGACACAAACTGGAGTATGCAGCATGATCTGTTCTAATATACGATTTTAATGTTTCTCATTTTGCAGCCGTGCCAGCCTCCATCTATCATCGACTGTCACATTTAAGTTTCCTAAATTACTGCTTTTTAACTTTTGTCACTTATTCAGCAAAGAGATATATTCTAAAGCCTGACCTCCCCCCAGCCCACCCCTGTGATTGTATCTCAATATTAATAGTGAGAGAGGGAGAAGAGAAATCTTTGCTCCACTCACAATAAGCCAAGGACCTTTTTTTAAAAAATAAAAAAAATAAAAAAAGAAAGAAAGAAAATAAGAGCAAAACATGTTTCTGGTTTCAAATTCAAACATTGATAGAATTCTGTCACCTCTCAATGATTTGGCATGAAAAACATAAAACCAGTAGGAATTGGAAGAATAGAATGTATTGAGAGTTGCAATTAAAGGAGAGAGGCAGGGAGGGAAGGAAAGAGGGAGGGAGAGAGACAGAGAGAAAGAGAGAGAGAGAGCAAGCGAGAGAGAGAGCGAGAGAGAGCTCTTTGTAACATTTCTGCATAAAAGATCAAAGGAAATATCTCCCTCTTCTCCAAAATGTAGGAGGGAAGGAGCCACACATTTCTAGACTCACACGCTGAGAAAGAAATAAGTGTGTTGTAGGCTCTGCTTTAACATTACTATCCTGTGTTTTTTTAATCTGACCTCCAGTTGATCACCTCTAAAGGTGCCGTGATGTTAGGTGAACTTCCTGGGTGGATTCAGCTTTTTCCATCAAATGGAAATGACTTATGGTGGTTAAAAGTGTGAACTAAGCACAGATGATGTGAGATAAAGACACTTATTGTAGGATGACCACATACTCTGCTTTTCCCAAAATGAGCTCCAGTTGACACCTGTTTTCCCAGCATTTCACCTAGTTAGTATTCTTTTTTACTAGTGTCCTGGTTTAGACAATGAATTACATGTTCACCCTGCTTATGGGTGAAATACACTCAGCATACAAAGCCCACAGCACAGCGAAGAGAACACTAAGAAACACGGAGATGCCACAGTGTATGTGGAGCCAGGTGAGTAAGGTCAGTCTCTCTCTCCTTATCCAAGGACAAGAGGCCAATATCTGTTCAAGTTGCTCTGTGTGACTCTCCCTATAGACCAGTTTAGTAATATTAAACCTGAGAAGGTGCTTGGTAAACCCCCAGTACTTTTCAGAGAATAGTCCTTTGGTAATATTATTGGAAGCTACTCATCTGTTGGAGTAGCATGCAATCAGCAACTCATACTTGTCCAATGGGAAAAATATGCTTAACTATCAACTCCTGATCTCTGTTCATTCAATCTCCATTAGAGACACCACAGGCTCTCTGTCCATGTTTTTAAAAAGAAATGAGAGCTTCTGGTTCTAGCTAAGATGAAATAAGGACATTCCATTCCGTCTTCCCCACTGATTGCAACTCAAGACTCAAAATAGAATATATAAAGAAACTATGTGCTCATTCTGGAAAGCAAATGATTTCAAGGAAATTGGGCAGGAAAATTAAAACTCAAAGTATAATTCATAAGCTGGAGAGTATTCTAGATATTTTTTTCACCTGTATTCAAGGTTTAAACTGGAGAGCAACCTAAATCCCAGAACTACACAGTATATGTGGACAGAAAAAACTCTAGGAGAAACCCTCTCTGTCTTGTCAGAGGATGGAAAGGGGGACATCTGCAGAGGGGAAATATGGAAGGAATCCTTGTGTGGCCTTTTCCCTCTTTTTACTCCCCAGGTCCCGCGCCCAACGCAAACACCAGTCAGGAACATATTGTCCTGTAGCAGCAGTGGCAACAGCAGACCTGCAGGCCTTTAAAAATTATCCGAGATAAAATATTTCTCTCTGACAAGAGAAACTGAAAACAATAAAAAGCTCTGTGTTCTGAAGATAGTGAGGGGATTTTTGTTATCTCTCTCTCTCTCACTCTCTCTCTAAATCACTGCTTTCAGCCTTACTGGAACCTAGGTACAAGAAAAGTGTGGCAGTAAAGGAGACTAAAACCCAAATTTTCTAGTTAAAAGACCAGGAAAAGGAGCCCACAGATGCCAGTGAATATAGATGGATTCACAGAGAGGTAAGAATTAGAAAAAATAGGTACTGTAAATCTCTACGTGACATCCTGGCCTCACTGCTGAACATATGTCTGGAATTGACCTGACACAACACAGAAAATGCTTTGAAAAGTGAACTAGAGAGTAGAAACACTATCCAGGGTCTATATTGGTCTCTGGGTAGTACCCTTATGGGGAGGACCAAAAGGCACCTCCAGCTGATCAAAGCCTTTGAAAACTTAACTGACATAGAACCACAGACACGGAAGTCAGGTCAGGACTTGTGATCTGAACCTAAGAAAGTTAGGACCAGCTAAATAAAGAATACCCATCCTATCTACATAATTTTAACAGGATCCAGATTCTCATAGCCTAATCTTCAAAGTCACCAGGAAATCATTCAAGTTAGACATTAGAGGAACCAGTACAATATCAATGACTCAAGGAAGGAGACAATCTACAGACACTAATTCTGAGATGGTCCACATTTTGAAATGATCAGACAGACTTTAAAGTAGTCATTATAGACATGTCCTATGAAACAGCAGTGACCAATTATTAAATAAATGGTAAGATAGACAGATTCAATGGAGAATAAAAACTCTAAAGAGAATTCAGTAGAAATTTCAAAAATAAAAATTATAATAACAAAATAAAACAAAAAATAATTGGATCATAAAGGTGATAAAGGAAAAATTCTTTGAACTTGAACACAGATCAAGAAATCTTATCCAATCTGAAAAACAGAAAGAAAAAATGTAAAAACATAAGTCGAACAGTCTTAAAGACCAGTAGAACAATATACAAGATCTAAAATTTTTATCACTGGGGTTCTAGGAGAAGAGGAGAAAGAATTGGTTCAGAAGAAAAAGATTGAGAATGTAATGGCTGAAAACTTTCCCAAAAAGTGAAAGATGTACATCTACAACTTCAAAAACCCAAGTGACCCTTAAAACAGAATAAACTCGAAATAAACCATGCTCAGAAAAATTATAATCAAAGCACTGAAAACTACAAATAAAGAAAAATTCCCAAAGCAGAAACAAAAGTGATGCATTATATTCAAATGAGTTATAGATTTATCATCACAAACCATAAAGAACAGAAGATAATGTAACAGCATTTTTACCATGCTGGGAGGAGAAAAAGAAAACTGTCAACCCCAAATGTTATATCCAGCAAAAATATTTCTTAGGAATATTCTCATATAAAGTAACAAAACAAATGTATATGTATATGCATCTAAAAACAGCAATTCAAAATACATAAAGCAAAATATCATAGAACTGAAAAAAGAAACAGACTAATTCTAAATTATGTTTGAAGACATTAACACTCCTATCTCAGCAAACATTAGAACAAATAGAGAGGCCGGGCGCGGTGGCTCACGCCTGTAATCCCAGCACTTTGGGAGGCCGAGGCGGGTGGATCATGAGGTCAGGAGATCGAGACCATCCTGGCTAACAAGGTGAAACCCCGTCTCTACTAAAAATACAAAAAATTAGCCGGGCGCGGTGGCGGGCGCCTGTAGTCCCAGCTACTCGGGAGGCTGAGGCAGGAGAATGGCGTGAACCCGGGAAGCGGAGCTTGCAGTGAGCCGAGATTGCGCCACTGCAGTCCGCAGTCCGGCCTGGGCGACAGAGCGAGACTCCGTCTCAAAAAAAAAAAAAAAAAAAAAAAAGAACAAATAGAGAAAAAAAGTACATATGTAAAACACTACCACTCAACTTGACCTAAGCTACAATTATAGAACATTTTATCCAACAACAGTGGAATATATATTATTTTCAAATTTACATGGAACATTCACCAAGATAGAACGCATTCTGGGTCACAAAACCATACATTCATGACAAAAGAACAAATCTTTCAGCAAACTAGAAATAAAAGAAAACTTTCCTAATCTAATAAAGACCACTTATATAAATTCTTAAAACAGTGCTATATTATAATTGTGATAGTGGTAACGCAAACCTACACATGAGATAAAATTGCATGAAATGACATACATATGCACACGTGCACACACACAAATGTACATAAAACTGGGGAAATCTGAATAAATTTTGTGAATTAAACAAACGTCAATTTCCTGGGTTCAAGATTGCATTATAAGACCCGGTGCAGTGGCTCATGCCTGTAATCCCAGCACTTTGGGAGGCTGAGGTGGGCGGATTGCCTGAGGTCGGGAGTTTGAGACCAGCCTGGCCAACATGGTGAAACCCTGTCTCTACTACAAATACAAAAATTAGCCTGGCACAGTGGCACATGCCTGTAATCCCAGCTACTCAAGAGGCTGAGGCAGGAGAATCGCTCGAACCCGGGAGGCGGAGGCTGCAGTGAGCCGAGATTGTGCCATTGCACCCCAGCCTGGGCAACAGAGGAAGATTTCAGCTCAACCACAACAACAAAAACAAAAAGATTGCACTGTAGTTATGCAAGGTGTTAACTTGGGGAAAACTGGGAGAATACATGGGACCCATCTGTGCATTTTTTGCAACTTTCTGTGAATCTATCATCATTTTCAAATAAAAAGTTAAAACAAAACAAAAACATATGGCTAGCATTAAATCAGTGGTGAAAGACTGAATGTTTTCCCTCTTACATTGGGAATAGGCAAGGATGTTCACTCACCATTTCTATTCAACATGGTACTAGAATAAGTTAAATGCAATAACATAAGAAAAATAAATAAAACTCATACAGATTGAAAAGAGGAAGTTAAATTGTTTCTATTCTCAGCAGATGTAATTGTCTGTGTAGAAAATTGCAATGACTCCACACCAAAGCTCTTACATATAAGAAGTAAAGTTAGCTTCCGTATACAAGGTCAATATGCAAACATCAATCTTATTTCTTTACCCTAATAATGAACAATTAGAAACTAAAATTTAAAATATAATATCATTTACAATAGTTTAGAAAATAAAATAACTAAGTATATATCTAGCAAAGTGTGTGCAAAAGTCCAGAACGTGGATGAAAGAAATCAAAGACCTAAATAAACAGAGGGATATATTGTGTTTACGGATTTGAATACTCAATGTTGTCAATTCTTTATAAATGAATCTATAGATTTAACAGTCATAGTAGAAGTCCTAGCAATTTTGGGGGTAGATATTGACAAAATTATTATGAAATGTATATGAAGAGGTAAGGAACTAAAAAAACCTAAACAATTTTGAAAAAGAACAACATTAGAGGACTCACAGTGTATGATTTTAGGACTTTCTATAAAACTACAATAATGAAGACAGTGTGGTATTGGAGAAAATGTAGATACGTAGTAGGATCAATGGAACAGAACAGAGAGTCCAGAAATAGACCCAGCACATGGGGTGCATTGATGTTTCACAGAGGTACAAAGGCAATTTAGTAGAGAAAGAATAGACTTTTCAACAACTAGTCTGGAACAACTGGACACCTATACACCAAAAAAAAAAAAAAAAAAAAAAGAATGTTGTTTTATACCAAACACCTTTATGACAAAGTACTGAAAGTGGATTTTAGTCCTAAATATAAAATGTAAAACTGTAACACTTTTAGAAACAAAAAACATCAAAATCATCATGATGATGGGTAATGCAAAAAATTCTTAATATAGCATGAAAAAATACATAAAATAAAACTGATAAATTAGGCTGGGCACAGTGGCTCACACCTGTAATCCCAGCACTTTGGGAGGCTGAGGCAGGTGGATCACTTGAGGTCAGGAGTTCATGACCAGCCTGGCCAACATGGAGAATCCCCATCTCTACTAAAAACACAAAAATTAGCTAGGTGTGGTGGCACAAACCTGTAATCCCAGCTACTCAGGGGGCTGAGGCACAAGAATCTCTTGAACCCAGGAGGTGGAGGTTGCAGTGAGTCGAGATCACGCCACTACACTTCAGCCTGGGCGACAGAGTGAGATTCCATCCCAAATAAATGAATAAATAAATAAATAAAAATTAGCCTTAATAAAAATGAAAAACTGTTGTTCTGAGAGAGACGTCATTAAGATAATAAGAACATAAATTACAGCATAGGCTGGGCGCAGTGACCCACGCCTCTAATCCCAGCACTTTGGGAGGCTGAAGTGGGTGGATCACCTGAAGTCAGGAGTTTTAGATCAGCCTGACCAATATGGTGAAACCCCGTCTCTACTAAAAAGTACAAAAATTAGCCGGGCGTGGTGGCACGAGCCGGTAGTCCCAGCTACTCAGGAGGCTGAGACAAGATAATTGCTTGAACCCGGAAGGCAGGGTTTGCAGTGAGCTGAGATCGCGCCACTGCTCTCCAGCCTGGGTGACAGCAAGATTCCATGTCAAAATAAATGAATAATTAAATTACAGAATGGGAGAAAATATTTGCTAATGGCACATCTGAAAACTTATATTTAGACTATACACTCACAGATTTATGTGTATATTTATATTTATATGTTGTACGTGTATAGTCAAATCAACAATAAGATAGACAACCGAATAAAAATCGATATGAAAATCGAACAGATATAATAACTTATCACAGCACACCTTTTAGAGTGCCTTTGAATAAAATAACAATACCAAGTGTTAACAAGGTAGCAGAGCAGCTGAAACTCTCACACATTGCTGGTGGGACTGCAAAATGATATAGCTACTCTGAAAAGTATTTTCATAGTCTCTCATGAGGTTAAATATACCCTTATATTATGACCAAGCAATACTACTAGTAAGTATTTATCACACAGAAATGAAAGCAGAGGTTCACACGGAAACTTTCTCATGAACGTTTATAACAGTGTTATTCATACAATTCTAAAACTGGAAACAGCTCCAGCCTCCTGCAGCAGTAGAGAATGGATTAAAAACAAAATGATTCATCCATGCAATGGAATCATACTCAGCATTTTATTGTTGGTGTACACTACATGGGTGAATGCATTATGTTTAGTTAAAGAAGTCACTATCAAAAGATTATTCATTGTAAAATACCATGCATATAACATTCCAGAAAGGGAAAAACTCCAGAGAGAGAGAGAGAGAAACAGATCAGTGGTTGGCAGGGGTTATGGGCTGATGAAAAGTTTGACTGCTAAGGGGCAGCACCAGGAAATGGTGGAGTTGAGAGAACTGTTTTGTGTCCTACTGTGAATGAGGTCACATGTCTCTGCATTTGTCAACATTAGCAGAATTGTACATCAAAAAACGAATTATACAAGATGTACATTAAATTTCACTGTGTGTAAATTTAAGAAATTAAATAGTGACAGTGGAAAAAATAGTCCTAGGATCAGTTAGATCACAAGATTGTGTCTCCTCAATTCTGAGCTCTTTAAACCACCCTGGCCCGCACAACAGACACCCAGCAGTGACATAAAAAGAAATGGTCTAAGGTTGCAGACATGGTCCCGTGTGCTGGAAATAGGAGCATCAGTTGACTTTACTAATAGTCAGAGTAGGAGGATTTGGTTACGTTTTCTAAAATTTGCAAGTCTAGAGCAAAACAATTTATGTCTTATGAAGGGACAAGTTTCAAAAATGGACTCTCAATAACATTAACAGGGTGACTATAGTCAATAATAATTGTATATTTTAAAACAACTTTAAGAATGTAACTGAAGGGTGAGGCAGGTGGATCACGAGGTCAGGAGATCGAGACCATCCTGGCTAACATGGTGAAACCCCGTCTGTACTAAAAATACAAAAAATTAGCCAGGTGTGGTGGTGGGTGCCTGTAGTCCCAGCTACTCAGGAGGCTGAGGAAGGAGAATGGCATGAACACAGGAGGCGGAGCCTGCAGTGAGCCGGGATCGTGCCACTGCACCCCAGCCTGGGCGACAGAGAGAGACTCCGTCTCAAAAAAAAATGTAATTGGATTGTTTGTAACACAAAGGATAAATGCTTGAGTGGATGGGGAACCCCATGTTATATGATGTGATTATTATGCATTGCATGTCTGTATCAAAACATCTCATGTACCTCTCAAATATATCCACCTACTATGTAACCACAAACATTTTTAAAAATAATAAAAAAAATTTTAACTTAGCTTAAATTCAGGTGGAAACTCCATCCACCTCAGAAGTAACCACTATTCCAAATGATGTTCATTATTTTACTTGATTTAAAAGAAATAGTGCTTGCACGCATACACATAATTTAGCTTAATTCGTTAATATACTTTTTTAAAATAGTATCAAACTATATCTTGCTTGTGGGACTTTGTTTTTCAAACAATGCTCCTAAATCAAACCCATAATGATTTGTTCAGCATTCATTTTCATGGCTGTATGGTACTTTATTGTATGAATATATCTAAATTTATTTACCTATTTTCTTCTTCTGGAATTTAGGTTGTTTCCAAGTCTGTTTGTCTATTTGTTTTCACAGTAGATAATGCTGCTAGGACCAATCTTATATGTGTTTCCAGGGAGTCATGTGGGAACATTTCTCTGGAGTAAAATTGCTAGGCATAGAATTGCTAAGTTGTGAAGTATATGCAAATATCAAATTTCACAATATAATATAAACTTGTTTGCCAAAGTGCTTGGACAAAATTATACTCATACCAAAAGTTTATAAAGTAATCCTCTTCATCAATACCCTTTCCTACCCTTATGATTATTAAGACTTTTTAAGTTTTGCCAACCTACTGGGCACAAATGTTATTCTCACTGGGGCTTCTTTTACATTTATTTGTTTTCTAATTTTTTTCATATTATGGAATACATTAAAATTATCACATTGTTCCTTGTTCTTTCATAAGTAACAGTAAGACTGCTCTCATCTAGAAGTGACTTACCCAGCAGATTTGGACATTTCAGATCCCATGTGGGTATACTGAGGGTTGAAGGGATTAATATCTCATTCTACTAATATACCAAATAAGTTGGGGAGGTCTGGATAAAGAATAAAATGGATAATGGTGCCTAGGAGAACTGGAGAACTGTCTACAGACCCAATTAATTACCCACATGAGACTGACGACTTTCATACACACGCAGATAAGTTCAGATGTTGATGGGAACAAGGAGGATAGAAATTCTTTCTAAGGAGACTTCTCCTTGATGTATTTTCTGCTAAAAATTGTGTAATGTGCAGTTGCCAAAGTCTTGGGCCCTCAGCATCATTGAGCAAGTGTAACAGCATGGGGTTTCCCAGCCCTATAATTCGCTTTCACAAGACAAATGATTCTATATTTCTCAAAGCTATTGTTAGTTGGGCCTTTGTTGCATACAGTCTAACATGTTGCTAATTGATATACATCTCAATATTTGTTGAACACCTCCTATTGTCTTAGCACTAGACATCTTAATAATGTCAATAAATAGAGAAAAAAGTGCACCTCCAACCACTGTCATCAAGAAGTGATATGTAAGAATAAAAGATAATGGTAATAATAATATCCATCATTCTTGAGAGACTTCTTTTTTTTTTTTTTGGTAGAATCTTGCTGTGTCCCCCAGGTTGGAGTGCAATGGCGTGATCTCGGCTCACTGCCACCTCCGCCTCCCCAGTTCAAGTGATTCTCCTGCCTCAACCTCCTGAGTAGCTGGGATTACAGGTGTCCACCAGCATCCCTGGCTAATTTTTGTATTTTTTGGTAGAGACAGGGTTTCACCATGTTGATGAGGCTGGTCTCGAACTCCTGACCTCAGGTGATCCACCTGCCTCGGCCTCCCAAAATTCTGGGATTACAGGCATAAGCCACCATGCCCAGCCTATTGGGAGACTTCTAAGGGTCATATTCCTTATTTCTGTCATGTTTATAAGCAATCAGGCAACTGGGGACATGCATGTAGCCTAGACAAGTAACTTGATGTTCAGCTGACTTCTGTCATACCAAGATCATCTAATAAGTTAGTGGTAGAATATGTGTTCGAGACAGGTTTATGAAGCTCCAAAACCCACACTCTTTCTCCTAAGACTTTTTCATCCACTTCTACCACTAACTTATTCCCTGACTCAGCTTCGCAATGACACAATAGAATTCACATATGAAAGAAACATTCTGACACCAGTAATTCAAGACAAATGCTACAGTAAGACCTGTGCACCAGCTGCAAATGGCGCATTGGCATAAGGTAACTGTACTCAGGTGGGAATTCTTACATCTTCGTTTGCCTAGATTAGTCCTGGTTTATTTCTGTTGTCCCATCCAGTTAGTGGCTCTGTTAACTCTCAAAAGTGTCCCAGTTTTCCTTTCTATAGGAAACATCAGGATGACATCCATGTACATGAAAGTCATGGTTTGCACCAAGAATTAATGTCTTATGGGCTAATGTTTCCACTCAGTTGTCATCATTGTCATCAACGTGTTTCTTGATGTCTGTCATAAAGTGTCACTATAGATGTTTGCATGTTCCTCTATTTTTCTGCAGCTGAATATGTTAAGGAGAAAATAGGGTGTTTGTGACTTTTCTTAAGCTGAAAATCATTTTGAAGTTGCGAGCAACTCCTTTAAGAATTAATTTAACAGTCTGATCACAAGCAAAGGATTGCCACTTTGCAATCAGCTTTCTGGAGTTTTGAGAGATGACATTTAAAGAGCTGGAGATTTCTCAGCACTGCAGCATTTACAGGTGCAGCCAACACATTGTTATCTTTGCTTCTGAAATTCAGGCAGCACATGGATAATTAAAATATATAGAAAACTCCCAGCCATATTTTACTCTTAAGAGATGCAGTAGAATATTATAGTTAGGCGTTCAATTGGATGTAAGATTAGAGATGGGAGGACATAGTATTACTCGGAGATGGTCTCTGTAGGCAAACTGCCTGGGTTTGAATTTAGATTATCCCACTAACCAATCATGTGGCCCTCTTCAAGGTATTTAATTTATTTATGAAATATCAATTTTAATAAGACACGGAGACTCTACTGAAAATTATATGATAGAACATATGCAAAGCAGTTGGGATAGTTCCCTAGCCTATAGCAAAAATTTGATCTTATCATTGTTAACTTAAAGAGAGATGGAGGCAGTGCAATACACATCTGGATTCTAGAGATGAGGGTCAAACACTGGGGAAAGTGAGTATCAATATCTATTTTTACCTTTATATCTAATTATGCAGAAATTCATGTCAATGAAACATTGAAATGCATCTTTCAATCTCCTTCACTTTTTGTTATCATCTCTTTCACCAGCCTAGTTGTAGCCACCAGTATCTCTACCCCATAGCTTCTTTTTTTTTTTTTTTTTTTTGGATGAAGTTTTGCTCCTGTTGCCCAGGCTGGAGTGCAATGGCATGGTCTCGGTTCACTGCAACCTCCGCCTCCCGGGTTCAAGCGATAAGCGATTCTCCTACCTCAGCTGGGATTACAGGCATGCGCCACCAGGCCCAGAAATTTCTTATTTGTATTTTTAGTAGAGAAAGGGTTTCACCATGTTGGCTAGGCTGGTCTCAAACTCCTGACCTCAGGTGATCCACCCAACTCAGCCTCCCAAAGTGCTGGGATTACAGACATGAGCAATAGTGCCTGGCCTCCATAGCTTCTTTTATTAGTCATGTTGCATCATCCACTTCTTCTCTCTTCCAACCCCTTATGAACAGAGTAGCTAAGTGGCTTCTGGAAAAGTAAACATAATCATGAAACTTGGTTGTGTAAAGCCCTTCGTTGTCTTCCCACGGCTCTCCTGATGTGCTCAATAGGGTCTGGGTAAATCCATTTTACTGCCCTTCCAGGTTTGTCAGGTACCAATTTGCCACTTGCCTACCATACTCACTCCATATATATTCTCAATTCCTTATTGAAGGCCTCCCCCACTGAAGAACCTGGGACATGTACCCCTCACTAACTCTCTTGTCTTCTGTGTACATCTCAATTATTATTAAGTGTCAGTTTAAATGGTGTGTCTCCCAGGGACCCTCCCCTTATCACTCAGACACAGGCAGCTATCCTGTTTTTTGGTCTCCAAAACTGCATTTCCTACAACCTATTCCTTGCTTAATAACTTTAATTAGTTACTGAAACCCAGCCACTAAATAGAAATACAAAAATGAAATATTTACATTGATATTAATGGGAAAATTATTGGTAGTTCTGTATCAAATCAGTATATCTAAATAATTCATACAGCTAGGAATAGCATATAGGAATTGAATGATAAGAAAGTAAGGAATAAGCAATAGCTTGAAAGTAAATAAACAGTCTGCATGTGGAATGTAATCTAATGAAGATTTTACCAGTCAGGGTAGAAAGAAGAGCTGACTGTGGATAACAGCTAGAAAAGCAGTGAGAGGAAAAGGAAATTATTTGGAAGAATTCTTTCTCCTGTATAAATGTCCCAACATTTTGGGGGAACTCATGCTACCTTTCACTCAAACTGCACTTAAAAGCAAAGTTATAGCACAGAAAAATATCTTTATAGCAAAATTAAGACTAAACACAAAAGTCTTTAGTTTTTGCTCTGAAATAATACTTAAGTAAAAAGAACATATGAGTAAGATGCTATATCATCATCCCTCTCACTTGGCATATGCAAGATATTTGAGGTTCATGTAAACATTGCACATAATTCAAATTTGTTACACATGACATTCTCTTACTAGAAATTCTTATGAAGAGAAAATGGATTGTAATGTCCAAATATAACTGCTTAAAATGTGCTTTATGAGAAATTTTACTGAAAGAAAGGGTTTTATTAAGCTAAAAGTAGTATACATTTTCAAAACAGCTTATAACTTCAAACTTTTAAATTATATATGTAATACATGTGTGTATAATTGTGTTAGTTCTAATTTATAACTTTAAGTCAATAACTAAGATATAATTCTCTAAGGTAAGTCTATAATTACACATTTACTTGCATAAATATTTGTTTAATATTCCATCTCTACCACTAGAGAATAAACTCCATGAAGGGAGTTTACTGTTGTATTCCTGGCACCTGGCACAGTGCAATAAACAATGTCTTAGGATAGTGTCCCATGGTACAGAAATCGGAACCAGGAAAAAGCAAGGTTGAATTGAAAGCAAGAAATAAGCAAGTTGGTGGAGGGATAAAGAAAGGAAAGATCTTAAACTATTACCATGAGAGAAAGGGGTGGGGGACTATGTGACAAACACACACGTCATTTTCATGCATTTTTTATACTTAAACTGGTAAATAGTTGATTGTTTTTGTTTCTGCATTTAGACCCAAAAGTAGAAAAGATGCGATCGGGTCTCTGTATAATGTCTCTTTTTCTCTCTGTCTTTCTATACAAATAAAACATCTGATGTGATGGTTGTTGCGGGAAGTGACAAGACTCAATAAATGGCTTGCATATTTCACAGGGTAATTTATTTCTCAAAATACAAATGAACAATATAAGTTGTTATGTGTGCCATTAGCTCAGTGTGTGATGCCACTACAACATATATGCTAAATCATGTGCGAGCTTTGTAACACCTTCTCTCCTGGTTTCAGCACCGTGGGTTTGGACAGCTCCCTTTGGCTAGGCAGGTTTGGCCTTTCTAAGCCACAAGTTCAATGAGATTCAACAAATAACCTTTGTACATGCTAAGATAATTTAAACATGAGACAATGTGACCGAAAAACCACAACCCGAAGTCTTTTCCTACAGGGTGAAGCAAAATGTGCAGCAGCTTTGAAAATGACCTTCTTAATGAAGACATAGGTTGGACTGGTAGCGAAGTTTTATTCAAGTGCGTTTCAGATTCATACCTGTTTTCAATCTAGTTAAATCGCCCCCCGCCCCACCCTGACCCCTGCCAAAAGGGAAAGAAACAAGTTTGACCTATCTTGAGCCAAAGTCACACTGTTCTGGCTGTTAAGAATATGATTAGCTTCTGAGAGTGACTGACGCCCTGGGTTTTCAATTATGTTAGAATTCTGGAATAATGGAATTTCTTATGAGGTCCATGAAAAAGTCTTATAGACTTTCAACAGCAACTTCCTTCTCCTTCCTGGGAACCAAATTTACTTCTGCCAATCAAATTCTGTTTACTGCTATCTGGACATACAGGTTTATAGTTTGGTCTATGTCAAAAGATCTGAAAAGTAGTGGTGCATTCAGTAATTCTCCTAGGTTCAAATGCCAATTGATCTTGCTTTCACGGAAGTTCATTAGTTTTTTTCCAGCATTAAAAATTCAGACAAGTATTATTTTAATGAAAATTGGTATCAGTCTAGGCCATAAGTAAAAGTAAGACCCCATTATCCATATGGAAACCTGTATTTGAATCCTAGATTCACCACTGACAAGCAGTGTGAATTTGATTATTGCTTATTTCCATGTGGTTTAATTTCCTTATCTACAAGGTGGGAATTACAGCAATATGTAATATGGCAGAGTCCCTGGCATACTACTATTAGCAGTAGTACAGAAGAATCAATGTCATGCTTGGTATTATTTTTATACTTGTAGAGTTTTTAAAATGAAATATAAAACTTAGAAACCATTTTTCAATGAAGAAACTGCTTTGGATTAATATTTTAGCCTTTCACCCAAGAAGTGGAGATGCTGAGATACGAATTCATCTCCTGTAACTTTTAGAGGCATTTTTATTGATAGAGATTGAGAAACATTATTGTAAGTTTTCCAAATTGTATATGTGGTTAAATTAAATGCTACAGTTATAATTTACACACACTTCCTGAGATAAGCCCTATGCTTTTATCAGATGCAGCTCTAATTTTTGGTTTGCATTTTTGTTGAGTTCATTACCTGGTAAACACTTATAAATACATGAATCATATTAATTTGTTAAAGAATATATACTTCCAGCCCCAGGCGTGGTGGCTTACACCCGTAATCCCACCACTTTGGGAGGCTGAGGTGGGCAGATCACTTGAGGTCAGGAGTTCAAGACCAGCCTGGCCACCATGGCGAAACCCCATCTTTACTAAAAGTACAGAAAAAAAAATTAGGCAGGCATCATGGCGCATGCCTGTAATCCCAGCTACTCGGAAAGCTGAGGCAGGAGAATCACTTGAACTCAGGAAGCAAAGGTTGTTGTGAGCCAAGATCACACCACTGCACTTCAGCCTGGGTAACAGAGTGAGACTCCATTAAAAAAAAAAAAAAAAAAAAAAAAAAAAAATATATATATATATATATATATATACTTCAGTTTGTCTTCCAATATGACTGAGAACCCTTTTACTATACTGACCCTGCCATAAATAATAACTATAAACTCCAAACAAAATAAAAACATAGCCACTTGAAGGCACTTGGAAACAAACAAACAAAACATGCATAGATACATGAAAAGAATCATTATTTGAAAGAAGGGAATGACACTGGGTGAGTTTCCCATTTTCACAGCTTCTAGCTGATGGCAAGCACCCCAGCATGCTATGCTGGGTGATTAAAAGTCCAATGGAAAAACCGCAGTATGTTTTACCTAACAAACCAGAGGATAGAGATTGGGAGAATCATAGCTACAAAAAGTGAAAAGGGTTCCAAAAACAGAGAAATAAGAGGAGGACTCTAGGTTTTGAATATAAACTTTACCTGAATCCCTGACTGACTGTTGAAATACCCATGCACAGGAAAGGCTACTAGCACGCAAGCTACAGAGAAGATAAGTAAACTGAGGTTGGAGTTGTTTCCCAAAAGGTAAAGGTTACAGTTTGAGTTCAACAACCAACTTAATTTTCTGCTAAAACAGAAGAGTTATCAATAGGCTTTGGAGGAATTTAACAAAATTTAAAGTCTTGGCAACATAATATCAAAATAGCCTCAATACAATCCAAAATTATTTACCATATTAAAAAAAGGCTAATATGATTGATTTGCACCAAAGAAAGACAATCAGTGGAGACAAACCTGGAGATGCTAAATAATTGGACATTTTTTAAAAAATTGTTTTAAAACAGCTATTATATTTATGCTCAGTGATGTAAGTAAACCTAGGTTTATAATAAATAAAAAGATAAGTATCATCAGAGATACGTAAACTATTAAAATGAAGAAAATTGATATTTTAGAAGTAAAAAAAATTTGAAATTAAAATTTACTGGATGAAATTAAGTTACATTAAAGATCATAAAGAGTTGGTAAACTTAAATATAGATCAGTGAAAAAGTATCCTATCTGTAAAACCTAGAAAAAAGTAAAAAGAAATTGAGTCTCAAGGGTCTGTAGGACAATATTGAAAGATCTAACATATGTGTAATTGAAGTCCCACTGAAAAGACGAGAAGGAATAGGGCATGGTAATTTTTTTAAGATCTAACGTCTATAAGTTTTGCACATTTGGAGGAAGAAATGAATTTACAGATTAAATACATATAGTGAAGCCCATTCAGAATAAATATAAAAATTTCATGTCCAGAAATACCGTAAATTGTTAAAAGCAAGAATAAAGAAGCTTAAAACCCGCCAGAGGAAAAATATGACATACAGGGAAATTATTATTGACTTCTCATTAGAAACAATGGAGACCAGAAGATGATGTAGTAACATTTTTAAATGTTGAAAGAAAACTAAAAATAATCCAAAATTATTTTAATATATACTTTAAAAATTAAGATAAAATATATGTATTTCCAGATAAAAGAAAACTAAGATAACCCATTGACAGCAGATGTCCAGTATAAAAAACCCTAAAGGAAGTTTCTCAGGGTGAAAACAAATGATGCCTGTTGGTAACTCAGTTTTTAGAAAAAGGGAGAAAAACACTGGAAATGATATTTAGGTAAACATAAATGACTATTTTCAACTTAATTTCTTAAAAATACCGGTTTCTTAAAAAAAAATAAAAAGAACTTTTAGGTTCAGGAGTACATGTGCACGTTTGTTACATAGGGAAACTTGTGTCATGGAGGTTTGTTGTACCCAGGTATTAAGCCTAGTAACCATTAGTTATTTTTCCTGAGCTTTCCCCCTCTCACCTTCCACCCTCCAAAAGGCCTCAGTGTGTGTTGTTCCCCTCTATGTGTCCATGTGTTCTTATCATTTAGCTCCCACTTATAAGTAAGAACATGCAGTATTTGGTTTTCTGTGCCTCTGTTAATTCACTTAGGATTATGGCCTCCAGCTCCATCCATGTCCCTGCAAAGGACATGATCTCATTCTTTTTTATGGCTGCATAGTATTCCATGGTATATATGTACCACATTTTCTTTATCCAGTCTATCATTGACGGGCATCTGGGTTGATTCCACGTCTTTGGTATCATTAATAGTGCTGCAATGAACATACTCGTGCATGTGTCTTCATAATAGAATAGTTTATATTCCATGGGTTACATACCCAGTAATGGGATTGCTGGGTCAAATAGTATCTGTTTTGAGGTCTTTAGATAACAGATGCTTAGTAATTTGGAGTTGAATGAAAAAAATAGGGAGAGTAAACAGAAAGTTGCATCAAAGAGAAAAATGAGTGATGCTGGTTACTTTGATTCTGATGACCATTGTATTTGTAGAACTCAGACATGGTGATTTCATAATAAACCAAAGGGTCATTTTAAAAGCCTGTCTTGTATGTCGACTAAATTCAAGGAACTTTGTAGATGTTCAGTATATAGTGGTATTGAGCAGGACCCTGGCTTACAAACAGATGGCACATTCAAAAAAGGGTGATGAAAAGCAGTTTAATGAATGTATTCCTTATATTGTGTTGGAAATCAGTCAACAGGGGATGCAAGAGTATCCTGAAGCAAGCAACAAGGGGAATGCCATTATCACCCCTAGATTACTCCACCAGGGGAAAGTGAGGAAAGTCACTGCTAAAGCCTGATGAGAGCTGTAGTTGTGCAATGAGCCTGTCTGGTGGAAGCTGTGGTCTTGGTTAGAGGAACCCAGCTATACTAATGAACATAAAACCATAGTAAACATACTAAACCATAGTCTAGGAGGAAGAAAACTGGGAAATAAACATTGTAGCATCTCTCTCCTCTCCTACTTCATCTGATCTCCCACCAGTCCCTCCCATGGGCTTAACTAAACTAGGGGCTAGAAGGCAAGGAAGCCCAATTGGTGCAGCCTCTTAGGGCTTCAGTGAACAAAGCAAAGTGGGGATGGTTAGAAGGCAGATCCTTTCAACAAATGGGGGAGAAGGAGAACACAGCAGACAAAGCCCCTATCTTTTCAATATCTGTAGTCGAGTTGTTAAATAACAGGACAACCATAGGCTTGGTCTTTATCACCAACACCTCAAATCACCCCCACGAAGTGATCTTGCTTGAACTATTCTATAAAACCAACATTGATTCCCTAATTATGAGCATTTTCAAATGCACAATCAAGCAGGGTGTGACCTTAACATCTCCAACCTAGGGATGCTTCATCACCAAAGAGACAGGCTGAGAAATATAAACGTAATTTGCCTAGGGTTACATGGTTAGTTATTGTGAGGACCAGGATTGGAACCAAATTTTCTGAACTTAATCTCACCAGCATTTCTTCCATTACAACTTTAAACATAAAAGTTTAAATGTGAAATGCAGGCATCTTATTTTGGTTCCCAGCGAAGTCTCTTGCAGCCTGGTTTTAGAGCATTTTACCACGTCTAGTACGTTTCCTCCGGCTCCAGTTGGATCTGCAACAAGTGTCTGCTTCCCAAGCATAGAGCACAGGCACGATGTTACATCCCGGTCGGTTTCTCAAAATCATTAACGTGCTCCTAAGAGCAACAATGCAATGAGTGTTTTTAAAATACCAGACACTGAAAAACACCTCTAAAAAAGTAATCCCAGCACTCTCGGATGCCAAGGTGTGTGGATCACCTGAGGTCAGGAGTTTGAGACCAGCCTGGCAAACATGGTTAAACCCTGTCTCTACTAAAAATACAACCAAGGAGCCAGGCGTGGTGGTGGGCACCTGTAATTCCAGCTACTCAGGAGGTTGAAGCAGGAGAATTGCTTAAACCCGGGAGGTGGAGGTTGAAGTGAGCCGAGATCACACCATTGTACTCCAGCCTGGGCAACAAGAGTGAAACTCCGTCTCAAAAAAAAAAAAGGCATTAATTCATTGAATTATTTCAAAGACCACGCAACGTGGGTAACATCATTCCCATTTTACAGATGAGAAAATTGGAGCGCCAAGACATCAAGTAACTTGCCATATGTCCTGTTATTAAGATGAGAGTATAGCCAGAAGCTGAACCTCTGTCACTGAAGCCCTGTGCTGTTAACCATTCTATCACCTTGGGGGTAAGTGAACTGAAGCCATGCCTGACCTTGGTGGCTGGTGATGTATTAGCACCAGGCTGATGGAGTGGGAGCCAATTCATAATTTATCTCTGTAAAAAAATGCTTCCTGTATTGTGCCCCTGACAACTGAACCCTTTAGCAGCATCGAGGGGAATTACGTTGGAAGAAAAATGGCATGTCTGTGAATACTACATTGTCTTCGGGTCCACTAAATTGATTTTTATTTTGAGAGATAAAATATTTCCAGGAGTGCTGTCTGCATTGGCAGGATGCCAGGGACAGTTGAACTTTTCCTTCAAGTCTTTTGGGTTAGTCCAAGCTTTCTAGTTTCAGTCTTCTTAGGGAAGCCTGTTGGTGTGGAAAGAATGTAGACATCTCTGCTCCTGTTAGAATTCATCTTTGGAATTAAAGAATGTGTGTTCTTCACATTTCTTATCAAAGAGGCCCAGCACAGGAGAAATAAAGCAACCCAGAAAGAGGGAGCTTTGCTTCTATCAAGAGAAATTACGGGCCAGGAGCCGTGGCTCACACCTGTAATCCCAGCACTTTGGGAGGCCGATGTGGATGGATCACTTGATATCAGGAGTTCGAAACCAGCCTGGCCAACGTGATGAAACCCTGTCTCTACTAACAATACAAAAATTAGCTGGGCATGGCATGCACCTGTAACCCCTGCTACTCGGGAGGCTGAAGCATGAGAATCATTTGAACCCGGGAGGCAGAAGTTGCAGTGAGCTGAGATCACACCACTGCACTCAAGCCTGGATGACAGAGTGAGACTCTGTCTCAAAATAAAAATAAAAATAAAAAGAGAGAGAGAAATTAGGGATTCAAACCTCATCTTGGAGCCTTTTAAACTGGCTGACTCCAGTGTCTTCTCTTTCATCTGCATCACTGAAATAAATATTCATAAATCAAAAAAAAAACTTGGCAAGAATACCCAACATTCACTAGGGCTTTTTTTATGTGCCAAGTACTGTCCCAACTGCCTTACATGGCTTATCGCGTTCAATCCTTGCAACCAACTGATGAGGTTGGTACAATTATCAACCACTTTTTCCAGATATGAAAACTAGAAATTTAGAAAACTAATCATGAAACCGACATTAAAATTAAATTTTAAATTTTTAAATTTAAATTTAAACTTAAAAATTTGTAGCTGGGTGCATTGACTCATGCCTGTAATCCCAGCACTTTGGGAGGCTGAGGTGGGAGGATCACCTGAGGGCAGGAGTTCGAGACCAGCCTGTCCGTCATGATGAAACCCCATCTCTACTAAAAATACAAAAATTAGCCAGGCAGGGTGGCAGTTGCCTGTAATCCCAACTGCTCAGAAGGCTGAGGTAGAAGGACCACTTGAACCTGGGAGGCAGAGGTTGCAGTGAGCCAAGATCATGCCAATGCACTCCAGCCTGAGCGACAGAACGAGACTCTGTCTCAAAAGGAAAAAAAAAGTTTTTTAAATGTAATTTAACATTAAGTATTAATCATGAAACCATGACTAAATTTCTAAAATTTAGAACTTTAATCATGAAACCAAGCAGCTCAGTATTAAAATTTATATTTTAATTTAGTTCTGGTTTGATCTCAAAAGTTGTTTTCAGCCCATCTTTGAATTACTTGTAGAAAACGTTAAATCTGCTGATACCTAAAACCCCTACTCAGAAACCCAATACAATTGATCTGGAATAAGCACTGTGCAACAATTTTCAAAACTCCCCCAGTGACTCTGATGTGTAGCTGAGAAACTATAGCACAAGAACTCAGCACAGGAGAAATAAAGTAACCCAGAAAGAGGGAGCTTTGCTTTTATCAAGAGAAATTAGGTGCCAGGAGCAGTGGCTCACACCTGTAATCCCAGCACTTTGGGAGGCCGATGCGGATGGATCACTTGATATCAGGAGTTCGAAACCAGCCTGGCCAATGTGAAGAAACCCCATCTCTGCTAACGATACAAAAATTACCTGGGCATGGTGGAGCGCACCTGTAACCCCAGCTACTCGGGAGACTGAGGCATGAGGATACATCGTATCAGCAAGCAAGCTCACTGAAACAATGATGTCACTTAATATTGGTGGGGTTTTTGTTTTTGTTTTCGTTTTTGTTTTGAGGTGGAGTCTCGCTCTGTCGCCCAGGCTGCAGTGCAGTGGTGCGATTTTGGTTGACTGCAGCCTCTGCCTCCCAAGTTCAAGTAATTCTCATGTCTCAGCATCGCAAGTAGCTGGGATTACAGGTGCCCACCACCACGCCCGACAATTTTTTATATTTTTAGTAGAGATGGGGTTTCACCATGTTGGCCAGGCTGGTCTCGAACACCTGACCTCAGCTGATCCACCTGCCTCAGCCTCTCAAAAGTGCTGGTATTACAGGCGTGAGCCAAATAATGGTGTTTATCTTCATAATACTCTACACATCACGCTACCCTCTTATAAGAAAAGGTCCAAATCCCTCTATAGATGAAGACTTGCTGAATTGTTTCTAGCAGCCAAGATATAAGGTTGACTTTTAGACATCAACTTATGCAGGAAGTGTTAATATTTCATCTTGGTGGCTCTGTAATATTTCAGGCCCATCCAACTGTCCTCGAGGCAACATTCAGAAAGAGCAATCTGAGTGACCAAGAGGGAGATTTTCTGTCACTGATAAAATATAACACACCAGCCCCACATCAAGCCTGAGTGCATTTTTACCACTGGAGCAAGCAGAGACCACCAGAAACCTAAACATTCATTCTCTAAAATAACTACTCCCACATTTTAACGGGACTCATCAGCAGAATAGAGCAGTTTTCATATTAACCATTCTGACAGAAAAAGCATCCATTTTTGTAGGGCAACAGACACTGACTACAAGATTATTCTATCACCCATCTTTAATCAGTCAAATGGGAAAAGTCTTTACTAAGGGCAATTGAGGAAAAGAAACTATTCATTGCCTAATTTATAAGCAGCATGGCTTTCAAAGGGTTTCCATTCATGGAGACCATGTTTTTATTAAAGCAGATTTAAATATAAATAAAATACAGCTAAACATCTAGGGAAATGGACTCATTGCCCATTCATTGGCCTTCCCCTGGACTCAGAAAGTCAGAATAGAAAAATGGGTCTCAAAGTTCTATTTACCAGTACATAGTTGGTAGGAAAATAAATACTAGGAGAAAGCAACAGAATTACCTAACGAGTCCTTCCACAATTAAAAATGTACATACTATTTCATGAATGAAAATGTACTATTGATTTATAAATTATAAAGTAATATATAACAGTATACCAGTCAATCACTAGAGACAGGATGCCATTGAAGGTTTCAATATTGAAACCTTTCTCGTGTAGCCTACCTTTAATGCATCCTCTTACATTCAGCCTCAAGATTTTGAATTTTGTGATGATCACATCCTCACTTTTCTTTAAAATTTTACCAGATGCTGCTTTTTCTTTTTTGTTTTTTTTTTCTATTTTATTTTACTTTAAGTTCTGTGATACATGTGCAGAACGTGTAGGTGTACATGTAGTATGTACACATAGATGTACATGTGCCATGGTGGATTGCTGCACCTGTCAACCCGCCATCTAGGTTTTAAGCCCTCCATGCATTAGGTATTTGTCCTAACACTCTTCCACCCCTTGCTCCCCCACCCCCCAACAGGCCCCGGTGTTTGGTGGTCCCCTCTCTGTGCCCATGTGTTCTCACTGTTCAAGTCTCACTTATGAGTAAGACCATGCAGTGTTTGGTTTTCTGTTCTTGTGTTAGTTTACTGAGAATGATGGCTTCCAGCTTCATCCATGTCCCTACAAAGGACATGAACTTATTCTTTTTTATGGCTGCATAGTATTCCATGGTGTATATGTGCCACATTTTCTTTATCCAGTCTATCATTGAAGTGCTTTTTCAATATGTCATTTATTTTTCAAGTTTGGGAATAATATATAAAAGAAATCATACTGTACATAATATTTTAATATTTGTTTTTGTTTTATTTCTTGCTCAAAGTATTTTGTGAGATGTATTTATGATGTGTGCAGATATTGTTTATTTTTGTTTCTGCATAATATTCCCTGGTATGAATATGCCCCAATTTATTTACCTGTTTGGCTATTGTTGGATTTGTTGGATGTTAGCAGTTTTGTTGTTCTTTTCTTTTTAGATGTCCTGCTGGAAGCAATGGAACTAACAATGTTGAAGAGGTTCCTTAGTGCATATTCCTAGAAATGGAATTGCTGGTCTCTAGGACATAAATTACTTTAACAATATTACATAATCATGAATGCATTCTAAAACCGTTGCAATGCTAACAGCAAGCAGGCGTATGCACGTACCCATTCTTCACATCCATATTTTCAGACTTTGCGATTTGGCAAAACTGGTATATATGAGTATTTTTTATTGTGGTTTTAATTTACATTTTTCTGATTACCAATGAAAATAAGCGTCTTTTTCTATTTTATTGGCCATTTGTCCTTTATCTTCTGTGGAGGCTGTTTTATGGATTTTGCCTATTTTATTATTGGTTGTTTGGTATTCCTTACTGAGTTTAGGGGACTTTTTAATGTAAACTGTCACCAACATTTTATCAGTCATATGTGTTGTTAATAACTTCAGTAGTTTGCAATATGCTTTCAGTTTTGTCGGTTAGATCTGTGTCTCATAAACAAAACTTCAAATTTGGGCATAGTCAAATTTATCAATCTTTGTCTCTGTGGCTATGATTTTAATGCCTGGATTAAGAAATTCTGTCTTATCTAGATGTCATAAAAAAGACATTCTTCTGTATTTTTCACTCTTAAAGTTTTAAAAATTTAGTTTTTTATATTTAAACATCTAATTCCCTTGAAAACATTGAAAGATGCAGCCATTCTCTCTCTCTCTCTCTCTCTCTCTCTCTCCCCTATACTCTGTTGTGCTATTGAGCTGACATTGGTTATTAAAGATGCTCTCCTTTCTTCACTGATACACAGTTGCTAATCTCTTTCACAGATAGTTTTCATAACCTGTAGGTGTTTTTATCTAGACACTTGTTTTTCTCTAATTTATTCTGATCCATTGCTCTGTTTGTACATCTCTATACCACACTCACACTGCCTTATTATACTTTTACATTAGGTCTAATTGAGTTTGGCAAGAATTCCACTTTTTATTTCATCTAGGAATGTCTTTGGCTATTTTTGGTCCTTTGTTCCTTGATATAAAACTTAAAATCATTTTATAAGTTCCACAAAAAGATGCTGTTCAGCTTTACTGGCAATTGAATTGGATCTTTTGATCAGTTTGGGGAAAAACTGGTGTTTTTCTGACATTATTAAATCTTCCTGGAACATGGAATATTTATCCATTTACTTAATTATTCTTTAAGTTTTTTCAATAAAGCTCAAATTTTCTCAAAATGATCTTGCCCGTATTTAGTTAGACTTACCCTTTGGAGCTTTGACTATTTATTCTATTTTTAAAATTTCTTTTATTTTCGTCTCTGTGACTAATTGAACTTCTTACTCACCCTACCCCAATTTTTTCCCTCCTTTTCTAGTTTGTAAGTTATGTCCTCTATTTCAACTGCATCAGTATTTATTCCAGAATTTATTGCAGGCACACTTGATAAAATCTAAATATTATCTCTATTTTTGATTTTCTACTAAATATTATATAAAACATAGAATGCATGAACTTGAATAACTTTCCTCCTAATTTATAGTATATCTTTATCAAATAGTTTTGGTCAATTTTGTTCATTTTTAACCTTACAAACGGGTATTATTTATATTGTTTTATAGCAACAATATTGTTGATATGTTTACCATTTTCTTTGATCACCATCTTTTCCTTGCTTCTAGGATCAAGTGAGTTATGAAGACAAAGAAGTGCTGTAGCTTTTGCTTCATTTGTTCACTCATTTATTTTACAAATATATTTTTATAACCTATTGGGTCAGGCACTGTGCTAGATGCTAGAAAATAAATTAGGAGCAAACAGCCCAAGTCTTCTTCTAACTTGCATTCTGGTGGAAGAGGAGACACTAATCACACAAATACAACATTACACTGAGATGAGGCTCTCTGATGGAATGGTACCAGAGTTATGGGAGTAAATGACTGGGGTTGGGGATCTCACTTGGTCTGGGACTCAGAAACAAGTTAGATTAATATGAAAGAGGAAGGTCTTACCTAAGTAAACAGGACAAGGAGTATACAAAATATGAAATAGTGGGAAAAAAATTGGGGCCAATTCCAACCAAACAAACAACATTCCAAAATCCTATATAAGAAAAGAAAAACATGGAGTATTTGGAAAACAAAAAGAAAGCCCCATGGGTGGCACATATATGGAAGGGGGAAAGGACCACACAGGAAGGATGAGACAATCCTACGTCTAAACTTAGATCTGGGCCGGGTACGGTGGCTCACGCCAGTAATCCCAGCACTTTGGGAGGCCGAGGCGGGCAGATCACCTGAGGTTAGGAGTTCGAGACCAGCCTGGCCAACAAGGTGAAAAATGGTCTCTACTAAAAATACAAAAATTAGCCAGGCATGGTGGCAAGAGCCTGTAATCCCACCTACTCAGTAGGCTGAGGCAGGAGAATCACCTGAACCCAGGATGTAAAGGTTGCAGTGAGCAGAGACTGCACCACTGCACTCTAGTGTGGGTGACAAGAGTGAAACTCCATCTCAAATAAATAAATAAACAAACTGCGACCCATTATCCTCAGATTTCCTCTCTACTCAGTATTATTCTCATTTCACAAACAGGGTGCTTGATGTTCAGAAATGCTTAGCATCAGGTGTGAGTTCCAACAGCTAGCAATTGATCAACCTGAAGTTTGAATGTATTCATCCTGTTTCCAAAGCCTATTCCCATTCTGTCTATTTGCACCACCCTGTCCCCCAGGCTGAAGAATTTGAACTTGAGCTGGGAGATATTTGATAGTTATTGAGGCAACAAGGTACCTGATGGAAGGTTCTTAGGTTTGTTGTTTTGTTTGTTTGACGTTTTGTTTTTAAGCAAAATTGACCTGGCAATGGTGGGCAGGAATCATTCATCTTTATATGCTTTGCTACCAAATGGTTTCTCATGCCTAAAATTACCCCCATCATGTCCAACTTGCTTACCTTCCCCAATAAGTTCACCCTAATTATTTGAAATGGCATAAATGATGCTCTCCTCTCTAATCAGAACTGGTTGGTAAATATCTCTATCCAATCCCTCAACAGTTGGTGTTTCAGGCAGATAGCAACAAAATTAACATATTGATAAACCAACCAGTGAAATCCACCTAATTTTGTTGCTTGGAAGGCTGTGAAGCATTTTAGGAAACAAGTGAGAGAGCCCAAAAGCTCATGATTTAAATTTTTAGTCATTATTACATAAGCTATAATGGGATCAGGTAGACATCCTAGTTTTCTCTCCTATATCTGCAGATGAGAATTTTTCAAATGCAAAGGTGGCCAGATGTGGTGGCTCATGCCTATAATCCCAGAGTTTTGGGAGGCTGAGGAGAGCGGATTACCTGAGGTCGGGAGTTCAAGTCCAGCCTGACCAACATAGAGAAACCCCATCTCTACTAAAAATGCACACAAAAAAATTACAAAATTAGCTGGGTGTGGTGGCGCATGCCTGTAATCCCAGCTACTGGGGGGGCTAAGGCAGGAGGATCACTTGAACCTGGGAGTCAGAGGTTGTGGTAAGCCGAGATTGCGCCATTGCACTCCAGCCTGGGCCACAAGAGCAAAACTCCATCTGAAAAAAAAAAAAAAAAAAGAAAGAAAGAAAAGAACAGAAATATTGTCTTCCCAGAAATCTGTACCAATTTGCCATCCTAACAGGAGCATATGTATGCCTATTTTACAACACCCTTCTCACCATATTAGAGCATCATCTTTCAAACAAGCATTATTGATTGAATAAGTAAAATGTAATTCCACTGCTTTTGTAATTAACATTTTTTTCTTGGGTTATGAGTGAGGTTGATGTTTTTCTGTAAGTTTCTTGAGTAGTTGTAATTCTACTTTCGTGATACATTAATGTCTATACTTTTCTGGTTTATCTGTTTTGTATGTCTTGATTAATTTGGAGGAACTTTTTATATAATAAACACAACAATCCTTTCCCATATTGTTACACTTCTTTCCATTTATTTTTTGCCTCTGGTTTTGTTCATGCACTTTAATTATTAGTATTTTAACAAATAGTCATTTGTTAGTTGATTTTATTTCCTTGCATGTATTAAATAATAGTCAGTATCTGAGGTTATTTTTTCTCTCCAGCAAAGTAAATAAAATGATAATTATGAAGAGATTGAATGTGGTTATGATATTACAATAGTGTCAAGCCAGTTTTGGAAGTAGGGAATGTCCTACCAGACATATGACCCTACTAGGTCATATATATCAAGTCCTGACACAGTGGATGTGTGGCTCACTTCAGCTTTTGTGGAAAGGGGAGCTTAGAGAAAGTCTGGTCAATTCAGAATATGTATTTGGGCTCACTGACCCTGTCTCTAGACATCTCACATTCATGCTAGGTTTCTTAATTTAAAAAGCCTACACTTGCCATGTCTTATTCCACTAGAGCACCGTTTTAAACATATTAGCTTAGGTAATCCTCAAACAACCTTATGAAGAGTGTATTAGTCAGAGTTCTCCAGAAAAACTGAACCAATAGGATGTATATATAAATATATAAGAGCACATTTATTTTAAGGAATAGGCTCATGCAATGATGGAGGCTGGAGAGTCCAAGATTTGCAGGGTGGGAGGTCTGATTGGAGACCCAGGAAGAACCAAGGCCACAGTTGAAGTCCAAAGGCCATCTGCTGCAGAATTTTCTCTTGCTCAGAGAAAGTCAATCTTTTGTTCTAGTCTGGCCTTCATCTGACTGGATGAGGGCCTGCCTACATGATAGAGGACAATCTGTTTGACTCCAATCCACTGATTTAAATGCTAATCTCATCCAAAAACACCCTCACAGAAACATCCAGAACAATGTTTGAACAAATATCTGAGCATTGTGGTCCAGCCAAGTTGGTACAGAAAATTAAGCATCACAAGGCTGGGCGCGGTGACTCACGCCTGTAATCCTAGCTGTTGGGGAGGCCAAGGCGGGCGGGTCACAAGGTCAGGAGTTCAAGACCATCCTTCCAACATGGTGAAAGCCCGTCTCTACTAAAAACACAGAAATTAGCTGGTGAGCGCCTGTAGTCTCAGCTACTAGGGAGGTTGAGGCAGGTGAATTGCTTGAATCTGGAAGGTGGAGGTTGCAGTGAGCCGAGATTGCACCACTGCACTCCAGCCTGGTGAAAGAATGAGACTCCGTCTCAAGAAAAAAAAAAAATTAAGCATCACAGAGAGGTACTTTTATTATTTCCATTTTATAGAGGACAAAGTTGCAGCACTCATAAGTTAAGCGGCGGATACAATTTTAGAATCAGACCTTCACTCAGGCAGCTGGGATCTTCACCACAGAAGTAGCATTCACCCTGCTCTACAAAGTCCCTGGGATGTTAGTCAAGTTGATGTGTGTAAAAGGTTTAGTTTAATATCTGACAAAAAGTAACTGTCCAATACAGGTTTTTCAATAATAAAATCTCACCAAATCTAATTTCTGGATTTGCATAGAGTCAGGAAAGATCTCTTTCTCAAAAGAGTCAAATCCATAGCAGCTCTGCCTTTAATAATCATGTAAAATGCAACCGTTTCTGATTTCCTTGATTAGAATTTATATTAATATCACTTATTATCCTGGTTCAATTAAAAATCCCAAAGCTGGGGAATATACGCGTGTGGGTTCTTAACTGAAAGACTTAATTTTACGTTAAGGTTTTCCTTCCATTTTTATTTCTATGATCTTCATCACTCAAGAAGTTTTTGTCTGATCAGAAGCATAGACACTGGTCTATGAAACCTAATTCCTGCCCTCTCATTTAGCAGCTAGGTGGCATTAGCTATATGAGGCATGAATGTGCCCATTTCTGAAACGGGAATGTGACCACCCACTGTTGCAGGATGATGGGTTAATCATTAAAGCACTCTTCCCAAGCAAATGTGAATACAAATGAATGGTGTTACATAAAGACTTTATCCAAAAGGCAGATAATCCTCATGCCTATGGGGCTGCACTAAACATTACAGAAGAAATTTGAAATTTAAAAAAAAGTTAATTCTGTCTGAATAGGTACTATATTAATAATAACAAATGATAATTCTAGATTGCCAGATTTAGGGTAATTATTTTAATTGCATGTTTCACCATCTCGATGACAGTCCTGGGTGTTTAAATAAGTTTTCAATTAGTATTTCGAGGAAGTGCCAAGAAAATTGTTCTCTAAGCGTTAAATTTCTTTCCCTTCTTTCATAATAATTTCCCTTTGTTTTCCCTTTTAATTTTAGGTTCTAAAATATCTGTACCTCTGGCAGAGTGAATACAGTGACAATGACAGTAAAGGCAACAATTTGGGGATGAACTTTGGCTCTGCTACTCAGGTAGATAGGAGTTTGACTTCTTGGTGCCTCAGTTTCTTCATGTGTCAAATTCGAAAGGATACCTATTAAACGGGATTGTAGTAAGGATTCAATATGACAAGTCACATGAAATTATTGGCATGGTGCCTGACACATAGAAGTTCTATGCAATCTACCTCTCATTACCAATGGCAAGAACATCATTTTGAAGAGTGCAAAGCTATTTTAGGCACCATATATGATTGTATCCTCACACCAACCCTACAAGTTGCAGATTATTAGCCCTGTTTACAGACGTGGAAACCGAAGCTCCAACAGGTTAAGAAATGAGCTCCGGGCCAGGCGCGGTAGCTCACGCCTATAATCCCAGCACTTTGGGAAGCCGAGGCAGGTGGATCACCTGAGGTCAGGAGTTCAAGACCAGCCTGGCCAACATGGCAAAACCCTGTCTCTACTAAAAAATACAAAAATTAGCTGGGCATGATGGTGGGCACCTGTAATCCCAGCTACATGGGAGACTGAGGCAGGTAGAACTGCTTGAACCCAGGAGGTGGCGGTTGCAGTGAGCCGAGATTGCGCCACTGTACTCCAGCCTGGGCAACAGAGTGAGGCTCCATCTTACCAAAAAAAAAAAAAAAAAAAAAAAAAGAAAAGAAAAAAGAAAGAAAGAAAAAGAAAAGAAAAGAAGAAAAGAAAAAAAGAAACGAGCTTCGTCTCACTTGGCTTCAAGTGTCTTCACACTGGAGCCTGTCCTTCTGATTCCAAGTTTCATGTTTTTTTTACTGAGCTATGGAGTTTACCAATGTACATATTTTGTATTAGAGATCTTCCTAAGAACAATTTCGGTGAAAAAGGATGTGATACAAATCAGAAATAATTCATAATAGCTTACAGTCACACCAGGCACTACACCAGGAGTTACTTACTTTAATCTTCCCAACCACCGTACAGTTTAGTTTTTGTTCTTCCCATTTGTAAATGATGAAACTAAGGCTCAGCTACTGTCACACAAAAAAAGGTTTCACATCCAGAAGCTTCTGAATTGAAGCCTGTATTTTTTGCTGTAAGTGTTTAAAGGAAATCAAGAATGATGGTCAGAGATGAAAGGTGCAGCCCAAAATGCAAACACAAATATCTCTCAGCCTCACCTTCCTCAGGGGCACGATACGAGGCATTCACGGGTAGCGCCTGGCAAAAGCAACGATCAACTTGTGAGATGTGGGCAATACAGATGTTTTAAGATGCTTGAAAAAGATTTTCCGTGAGGATAGACCTGAGTTGGAAATGCAAAGCTGAACCTCTCTGCACACCAGGGAGGGAAAGATGGCAACAGCGGATCATCGTTTCTCTCTTGGTATGGAGCAATTTGCAAGCTGGAAGTGAAGTTGGCTTGGAAAGGGAGAGAGATAACAAGGGAAAAAATATTCAATTTGAAGTTGCCTTCAAGGAAAAAATGTCACCCAGAAAATGATTTTATCAGGTTTGAAATGCAAATGCAATAAAATCCTTGACATACTTGGATTGGTAAAATAATATCTCAGTATTGGGTGAGGAGAGGTTTTCAGTGCAGAGGAAGTTGTATGACTGGCTATAGTTAGGATATAAAAATCACCATCTCTGGATCGCCTAAGGTCAGGAGTTTGAGACCATCGAGACCAGCCTGACCAGTATGGTGAAACTCCATCTCTACTAAAAATACAAAAAAAAAAAAAAATAGCCAGGCGTGATGATAGGCGCCGCATAATCCCAGGTACTTGGGATGCTGAGGCAGGAGAATCGCTTGAACCTGGGAGGCAGAGGTTGCAGTGAGCCAAGATCGCACTATTGCACTGCAGCCTGGGCAACAGGGCAAGACTCCACCTCAAAAAAAAAAAAAAAAAGAAAAGAAAAGAAAAGAAAAATCACTATCTCAGGAAACAAAATTCCTAATGCTGGGTCATGACTATGTAGAAACGAGATATTCAGGTGTAGCCAAACTGGGTTATGACTATGTAGAAGCGAAATATTCAGGTGTAGCCAAACTGGGTCATGACTATGTAGAAATGAGATATTCAGGTGTGACCAAACTGTCAGAGCCATTTGAACCACAGCAACCCCGTCTTGAATAGGGGCTGGATAAAATAATGCTGAGACCTATTGGGCTGCATTCCCAGGACTCATTCTTAGTCACAGGATGAGATAGAAGGTTGGCACAGGATACAGGTCACAAACATCTTGCTGATAAAACAGGATGCGGTAAAGAAGCCGGCCAAAACCCACCAAAACCAAGATGGTAATGAAAGTGACCTCTGGTCATCCTCACTGCTCATTATTTCCTAATTATAATGCATTAGCATGCTAAACGACACTCCCAGCAGGGCCATGACAGTTTACAAATGCCATGGCAACGTCTGGAAGTTATCCTACTTGGTCCAAAAAGGGGAGGGACCCTCAGCTCTGGGAATTACCCACCCCTTTCCTGGAAAACCCATAATCTACCTCTTCTTTAGCATATAATCAAGAAATAACTGGCCGGGCGCAGTGGCTCATGCCTGTAATCCCAGCACTTTGGGAGGCCGAGGCGGGCGGATCACGAGGTCAGGAAATCGAGACCATCCTGGCTAACACGGTGAAACCCCGTTTCTACTAAAAATACAAAAAAAAATTAACCGGGCGTGGTGGCGGGCGCCCGTAGTCCCAGCTACTCGGGAGGCTGAGGCAGGAGAATGGCGTGAACCTGGGAGGCGGAGCTCGCAGTGAGCCGGAATTGCGCCACTGCACTCCAGCCTGGGCGACAGAGTGAAACAAAAAAAAAAAAAAAAAAAAAAAAAAGAAATAACTGTAAGTACACTCAGTTGAGCAGCCCATGCCTCTGCTCTGCTTGTGGAATAGCCATTCTTTTATTCCTTTACTTTCTTAATAAACTTGCTTTCATTTTACTCTATGGACTCTCCCTGGATTCTTTCTTGTGCAAGGCCCACGAACCCTCTCTTGGGGCCTGGATCAGGACCCCTTTCTGGTAAGAAAACATTTCTCTAGGACCATATTTCCACTTCCTCTCCTGAAAATACCTACGAAAAGGAAGACCTCGACCAACATCACCTGTATTTCTTTGTATCCTGCTGTAGTAGACAAATGTTGGGTGCCTTACCATCTTATGTCACTCTTTTCACATGACTTTATGCCACCCTCGGGGTGGGCTTCTATCGTCCTATGTATATGAAACAACCTTGATTGGTATCTTTCTTCTATTTAATAATATAGACGGATGTTTTTATATAGAGCTCTCCATGTAAATCCTATATAGATACAAGGTCAAATACTTTAGTGTCACTGCACCAAAATAGTGGGTGGTGTAACTCCTTTTGTGGAAGTAATTTGCCAGCAATTGAGCCCCATGGGTCCATCGTTACATGACTCAAGCTGTCCAGTACCAGAGGCAGGACCCACAGGTTTTTGTCGTCTGACATGGAAGCTTGGGTAGCGTGCACTCTGTGTTAAATCTTTTGGACAAGGAACTCTTAGATATCTATGGAAGCGCAAAGTTGGGGGAATCTAGGAATTTTGTAGGAATTGGGTAGTGGTATCAATAGAACATGTTGTGACCACAAGCAAAGAAAAATAAAAGACCCTTAATGTAACAGCAAGCTGTATTAAATGAGAAAATGACTAGGATAAGAGAGAGAAGGCATTTGACTGCAGTGTTCTGCAAGACCTGGTATTTTATATTCAGTTCTACACAGTATTCTTTAAGAGGGAAACTAAAAAACTACAATTTTCAGTAGAAGGTAAGCAGAGTGCGATGAACACTAGAAGCTCATTGTAAAAAACTAGTTGAAGGAGAGTGAGCTATTTTTGTGTTGAGAGGCGAAGCTCTTAGGAATATAATTATCTTCTTTAATATCAGAACCTTAGTTTACTGGAAGGAGTGATAAACAGTGAAACTCTGTGATTGCTTCTGGGATACGTGGAAGAAGCTTAAGGGAGGCAAAGTTAGGAACAATATCAGAATGATGCTCAAATAATCAGAAGCTGAGACTCCCAAATCTCAGGCATTTCGGTCCCAGCTTCACTGTCTGTGCAGAAAACCTGTGCTGTGTTTTCGTCCATCTTTCTTCTCAATTGACTTTCTCATTAAATACAAATAAATGTATTATAAAAGGATATCTTACATCATTACCGCAAATGGAAAGTAAGTATCATCCTTCATAGATAAGAGGGAAAATAAAATAAATAAGATGAAAAGAAAACAATGCTATGCGTTCCAGCTGTATACTATCATGTGCCTAAGGCTTCGGGTCTGAAGGCTACTACCTCTTTGTTAAAAAAGAATATTAGAAAGCATTAGGGCCAGGCGCGGTGGCTCATGCCTGTAATCCCTGCACTTTGGAAGGCCGAGGCAGATAGATCACTTCTGGTTAGGAGTTCAAGACCATCCTGGCCAACATGGTGAAACCCCGTCTCTACTAAAAACACAAAAAATTAGCTGGGCATGGTGGCAGGTGCCTGCAATCCCATCTACTTGGGAGGCTGAGTCATGAGAATCGCTTGAACCTGGGAGGCAGAGGTTGCAGTGAGCCGAGATCGTGCCACTGCACTCCAGCCTGGGTGACAGTGCGAGACTCCGTCTCAAAAAAAAAAAAAAAGGAAGAAAAGAAAGCATTAGGTGTTCAGGACAGAGAATACTGCGGTTTCCTCATTGACATCTGAAGAAATGAGAGCAAACTGAGGATGTAACTTTCGCTCTATGAGAATTAACACCATTTAATGTTTCGTATGCTCAATGTAAGATCTTTTTAGAGGTGGATCTCACATTTTGGGTAACGCTGACCAGAATGTGCAATGATGGGCCATTTAGGAAACAGGAAGCTTCAAGTCAAAGTTTTCCAAAGAGACCAGAGTCAGCAGGGATGTTGGTAAGAATGTCACCTGGCTGCCAGGTAGCCTCTAGGGCCCTTCTGGCTCAGGGCAGCTGGGCTTGCTGCCGAGTCCCTGGACCTTGCGTCCATCCAGTCCCATGGCTGAAGCTCCTGGTGAGCTCCACACGCTGCTCTTTGATGTCTGTGTGTTCATTATGAACCACAATTAGAGCTCCCTGTTTTCAGAGACAAATGTGAGAGGGGCCATTTGTGCTGTGGCTTGCAGGCATACAAATCTGGCTGTGCAGCCGTTGTGGCAGGCCCTCATTTCTCAGCGTCACTATGGATCTTGTATAACTTGCATTGTTTCATTTTCCAAGCAATGTAGTCATGATTTCCTACTGAGGGAGTGGGAACTGGTGCCAATGTGTGCCTGCACCAGCGGTGAGGAACCCTGCGTGCCAGTTTCCAGGGTGGCTCCCAGGAAAGGTTAATTAGCTTTCCCACTTCTTCTGCATAAAATAAGAGCAGATGAGGATGAGGTGCCTCTCTCATGCGGACAATGAAGACCACATACAACAGAGTGAAAATTAGCATGAGTTTTCAAGCAGAGGTAGCTCAGCTCTGATACCAGCCTTGTCCTATACAGCTATGTGACCTTGAGTGATGAGGTGATTTAACCACTTTAAGCCTCCATTTATTCATAAATAAAATGAGGTTAATAAAATAACAAGTCATAAGACTTTTCACGAGAAATGGCTGAGATGATGTGAAACCAGTGCACATAAAACTTCTGTGTAGTCCTCCTTTTCCTTCTTAATATACTGGTGTGATGAGACAGAAGGACGGGCAGGAAGAAACCATGAGCTTACCCCCTCATTGACTTGCCTGTGTATTGTCATTCCCAAGGAAGATGAGGCAGGGAATTAGAGAAGGGTGCTTTGCGTAGAATTCAAGATAACTGAGGCAAAAAAAAGAAATTAGCCCTTTTTGCTAATTGCTGTGGCATGCATTTATTTGCTTACTTAGCAAATATTTTTATTGAGCAGCTACTGTGTGCCAGGAATCGTCTTAGGATTCATTGGCAGAAAAGATAGGCACCATCCTTGTGCTGATAGAGTTTAGAGTCTATTGAAATGGAAAAGACTCCCCCTGACTTAGCAGAAACACATACAGAGAGGCCGGGCAAGGTGGCTTACACCTGTAATCCTAGCACTTTGGGAGGCTGAGGTGGGCAGATCACCTGATGTCAGAAGTTCAAGACCAACCTGGCCAACTTGGTGAAACCCTGTTTTTACTAAAAATACAAAAATTAGCCAGCCATGGTGGTGTATGCCTGTAATACCATCTACTCGGGAGGCTGAGGCAGGAGAATTGCTTGAACCTGGGAGGTAGAGGTTGCACTGAGCCGAGATTGCGCCACTGTCTGTACTCCAGCCTGGGTGACAGAGCGAGATTCCGTCTCAAAATAACAACAACAAAAAAAAACCACATACAATAAGTGTTACGAAGAAAAGTGACAAACATAACAGGTGTCTATTACAGAGAGATTAAAGTCTCCAGAGTCAGAACATATTGTTAGGAGAAGGCAGTTTTTAATCCAATCCTTGTTGAATGAATTGAGTCAGCAAAGTCAGAAGGCCTGGAAGAGGACAAGGCTTATGTAATCAGAGTAATAACAGTAAGTCCAGGCTGTCTAGCGGCCCTCAAAGAGTGGCCAAATGTTCATTTTGCTAATTAAGTAATCCATTAAAGCAATTATTTAATATTATCATTTTATGAAACAAAAGACATTTTAATGCCAAGAAAATCAGGAGATACCATTAGATTAATGTCAGCCCTTTAAATTGAATAAATTTTATGTTATAAAGAATTCACTTCATTTTGCTTCCTTTTACTTAAAAATATGTCTGTGACCACTGTAGGTTCCTGAGAGAGGTGAAGAGTGAGCAAAATCATTCTTACTAAGTAGAGCTTTTGGCCCCAAGTCAATAACTTATTTTCTACCAGGGAGGCAACCCAGCGGATGGAGGAGCAGGAATGAGCTGCATGCATTCACCTATTCACTCATTCGACAATATTCCTTGAGCTCCTACTATGTGCCAGACAGCCTGCAAGACAATGGTGAGCACAAAATAGCCAGTCCCACCTCTCATGGAACCCAACATTGAGAAAGGCAGATGTGGAAGTCAAATGTTCATTAAATATAAAATTACAACTTTGTAAGTGCCATGAATGGGAATTCAATGAGGCTATTTATTAGGGGATTTGATGGCATCTGAAAGGTAAAAGAAAGGGTTCCGGAGGAAGAAACTTCTCCTGCCTAGATCAAAGAAAGCTTTGACCACCTGTTCCTGCTTTCTTCCACTGGCCCCCTCCTGGTCCCACTTTATCTTCTAAGGAAGCCATTTTCAGAAGGGAAGGTAAGTTCAGAAGGGAAGGTAAGTGGTGATCGCAAGTTAGGAGGGAAGACTTCCAGAAACTAAATCAGGAATGAATTCAAAACCCAAGAAGGAATATTTCATGTGAAAGTAAAGTATGTAATTTAACTACTTATCTCATCTCACTGGAAAATTCATTTTTCCAACATTATCAGATCTTCTTTTCCTAGTGGAATGGAATAAGGTTTAAGTGTATTTATGGAGTTGAAGATGGGTAAGAAGAGGGACCCTAAAACAAGTTGCAGTATGTCATGAACAAGTAATGTATTAATTAATCAATCCATTTATGTATTATTTCACTTACTAATTATCTAACAAATTTGTCTTTTGTCACAAACTTCCTGCAATTTTGAAACTGGCATTTTAAAAATCATTGACTCACATAAAGCTGAGAGGTAGACTAGGTCCAGAGTTGGAAAACATTCTTCTTCTGAGTTGAGAAAGTGTACATTATTACTTTGGCAATGTGGAGTTCCCGAAGGATTTTAGCTTATAAGAAACATGATTAATTAATCCAGTTAATCAACCATCAAGTATTTATTATCTGTTATACATGAGGTACTTTTAAATTTTCATTTTCTAAACAAAATGGCAGCAAATATAATTTCATGCAGAATATAAGAGTTTTTAGTAGTTTGCCCCAATATGGTTTTCTTTGCATTTATTTTGCTTGTGGTTTGATGGTGTTTTTCTAACTATAGACTGTTGTTTTTTCACTAATTATTTTTTTCTTGCTATTTTCTCTTCAAATATTTATTTTTTCTGCTCCATTCTCTTTCTCTTCTTCTTTTAGAACTCCAAGTATGTGTATGTTGAATGGTTTGATGTTGTCCCACATACAAATCCTAGATTCAATATTCCTTCCTCCTCCTCCTTCTCCTCCTCCTCCTCCTCTTCCTCCTCCTCTTTCTTCTTTTCTTTATTTATCACTGTGCTTCAGTGTGGACAATTTTTATTGACATGTTTTCAAATTCACAGATTTTTCTGCTGTGCTCCATGTTCTTATAAGCCCATGGAGTAATTTTTTCTGATATTGCTTTTCAGATCTATTTGCTTTTTTAAAAAATAGCTCTACTTCTCTACTAAAATTTCCTAACTGTTAATGTGCTTGGAATGTTTTCTACCAGATGCTGTAAAGTATTTATTGTAGTTATTTTACTTGTTTCTGCCAATTCTTACATCTGTGGCACCTGCAGATCTTCTTGTGTTGGCCATTTTTACTCTTGATGATGAATCACGTTATTTTGCAAATGTGTTTTAAGTATAAGTATACATGTCTTGTGTATAAACAAACAGTAGAAACACGAGGATAACATTTTCCCTGGGAAAATGCATGTCTCTTCCTTAGTCAGATTGATACAATTGGGGCTAAGTCAATATAATCTAAGTTAAACCTGTCTAGGTTTTGTTACAGTTCTAGTTAGATTCAGTTCACAACTGGCTTAAAATATTTTGGGAGTAGGATCAGGACTTCCCCTTCAACAGTTTGGGATCTGAGCACTGGCTACACTTTTAAGATCTCTCTATACTTAACTGATGAGCCACCAGCTTTGGGGTCATTTAAAAGCTCTTTTTACTCCTCAGCCCACCCCATCTTTCTCTGCCTCAAGTGATTTCTACTCACCACACTATTCTGCTCCCAGCTTCATCAGGCTACCGTCTTGTACCTGGTGAAGACCCCATGTTTCTTGGGGGATGTGTCTCAGTTCTGCTGTGCTGCCCCAACCTTTGTCCGACCACAACTAAACAGTCTGTGCCTCAAGGTTTTCTCTCAACCAATCTGACCATCAGCAGGCCATTGCCATGCACTCAGAGAAAAATGTGTACTCCTTGAGACTCCTTTAAGCCTTTCTTTGCTACTCCCAGACTCAGCAATCTCCCACTGTGCACTCAGTGAAGCCATCCCACCCAAGGTGAAGAGCTGCCAGGTTAATGCAGACTGCGTCTTTCACTGGGGCTTCATAGATTTGAATCTACCATGCCAGACCACAAGGCCTATTAAAGGTTTGGCTGATTTCTCCTTTCAATCTATGGTGGGTTTGCTGCCTCTCTGCCTTTCCCAGGGATGAGAGAACTCATGGGTTTCTGGGTTTCTTCTTTTTCATAAATATCTTAGCCCTTTGTGCAGTTTAGTTTATTTAGGGTTTTATTTTTCTATTCTTAGATATTTTTTCTCTCTCTTATTCTCTCCCTCTCTGTAAATAAAGCTAAATTTCACATCCTGCCCTCCTCAAAGACATTTTGTTACCTCTTCCCCAGAGGAAATAATATATTTTTTTTCCTATGGCCCATCTTTTGTATAAATTGACTAATCATAAAAATATACAGAATATGTTAGTAATCTAGATAAATTGTATCCTACTATGCATATCATGCTGAAACTGAATTTGTTCATTCAAGGATTCTGTTTTTTCAATATCCATGTAAATGCTAACAGATATAGTTCTTGGATTTCATCTTCTGTATAGGGTTCCACTCTATGAATAAGCTACTATATACTTAATTAATTTGTTATCCTCCTTATGGACATATAAATTGTTCTTTATTAGGGGCCAAGTATATAAACATAGAAGAAAGGAAAAAAGTAGGGTTAGATAATTTGAGCACCTGTTTTGCCTCAGATATTATTCTGGGACTATAGACACAGAGAAAGATATAATGCATTTAGAGTCTAATGAGAGAGACAGGGAAGTAAACAATAATCACATTTGCATTTTGAGAAGATTAATCTAGCAATATGTAGGACATATGGGAAGAAGGAGCAGTTGGAGACAAGGGAACCAAATAGGTCTGGTCTCTAATGATCTGCAGAATTCAAGTGAGATCATGCAAAATTAAAGCAGTGGTAGTGAATAAGTGAAGAAAATATGAATGTGGTACCAACATGAATGAGACTGAGATAGCAGAGTAGGAGATGAGTTCACATCTGTCTTTCCCCAAAGCCTCTGCTTGCCCACCAACCAAACCACATGCTGTCAGGACAGACAAAGGGTCATTTTGTGGGGACACCAGATGTTTGGTATAAAATAGTATGTAGTTCACAGCATCTGCTCTTAAGAAGTCCTTAGTCCAGTGGGAGAGATAAGCAAACTGACTTTGCAACATAAAGCAAAACCATATTCTCTGCTGATGTATCCAATTCCAGCATTAAACGGACACAAAGAATGAAGAACTAATCTAGACGATGAAAGTAAAAAGATGTTTTCAAGACATGCTGTCATTTCACCTGAGACTGATGGAGAAGTAGCAGGTAGCCAGAAAAAGAAAAAAGAATAGATTTAATCACATTTTAGGTAAAACAAACAATTTGCAGGACAATATGGCCAGGACACAGTAAGTGTTTGAATCATGTGATGATTACCATGTGCTAGGCACAGTTCTAAGTTTATCTCATTTTTATAATAACCCCATACAATGGGTAGTATTATTACTATTACCTCAGTTTTCTGGAGGATTCAAGTGAGGCATAGAGAATTTAAAGTACCCACTCAAGGTCACATAACTAGTAAGCAACACAGCCAGGAATTAAGCCCTAACAGTGAGGCTCAGGGACTCTCCTCTCAGTCACTGTGCTAAATCAACACTTGCTGTCATTACAAGCAGTTTAGCACAGATGCAGCCAGTGGCCCGTATTCCAACTCAGGATTTAGTAGGATTTTCTGTTTAACAGTGTCAGGAAGGAAAAGTCAGAGGGTGAGAAAATGGGGCCTAGGGGTAGGAGGTAAGAAATATCGAAGTGAGGAAGGATGTAGCGGGTGTACCATGGAACCCCCCTAAAAGCCGAGGTTTGGTAGGAAGTAAGAAGGGCTGGAAGTAATTGAAAATGACATTCAAATGTAACCAAAGGCTGATGCACCAGGGCCGAGTTGTGTGTGGGGCTTCGCAGATTCCTTACACAGGTGACTTTCAGTCTTGATCATTTCTCCCACTTCCTGGTCCACATAGTCAACGGTTTTCTGAACTTTTTCCAACCAGCAAATTCCAAGGCAACCCTGTTTTAGAACAGGAATGTATAAATGTCAAGTTCCTCTCTTCTTCCTTTCTCTCCTCCCTTTTTTCTTCACAAGTTGCATGAGAATCTACTACTTACAAGACCACGTGTTTTGCGATGCTAGAGTAGGCATGAAGATGGGGGGTTGGTAAGGATAGTCACAAATGTGAAACACCTATGAATTCCTGACTCCAAGAGCTTGCAGTCCAGTGGAAAAAAAACCATTTGCCCTAAACTTTTTTTTTTCCATCTGAGAAGTCTTGAGAAGTAGGTTGTGTGATGTCAGAAGTTTGAGGGCAGAAGAGTTTTTCTTTCTTATTTTTCTTTTCATACAATGATCAGATAGGAAGAAAGCTCAGAAATAATTTTATATTTCATTTTCTATCTTTCTGCTTCAGAACCCTGTGGTCTTCCCCGAGTTTCTACACATATATCTAGTCTTTTCTGAAAAATTAGTACTTTTGTGATAATATAAAAAAAGTCACTGTGATTTGTGAAATGCAATAAGAATAGGTGAGATTTACGTAGCGTTTACTATTCTTCAATGCTCTTTCTAAGTGCATTCCAAATAGAAACTCACTTGATCTTTGAAATTACCCCATGAGGGAGGTTGCTATTATTAGCTACTTTTTAGAAGAGAGAACTGAGACAGAGAAAGGTATACAATTTGTCCAAATTCACATAGCCAGTAAGTGGCAGATGTGAAATTTGCACCCAAATGCTATGACTCTGGAGGCTGTGCTTTTAAGCACTATTAAGTGTTTTCTCTTATTTATAAATAATTAAAATATTGAATACACAGAAGTTGTATTTTCTTTATTTTCTCAATGACCATTAAAAAAACAAACATATTTGGATGCTTGAAAAAATGTTTTGGCCTTTTTTAAAAAAGGCTCACACACTTTAACAAAATGTGATTTCCACAAATTTAAATCAATCTCATTTTACAGATAAACAAACTTAGAAAGGAAGTGACTTTCTCAAGTTCACAAAGTAAGGTCGTAACCGAAGCAGGATTAGCATAGAGAAACGTTGATGAGTCCAAGCTTTGAGACAGGGGCAGCTAGATTTAAATCCCAGCTCAGTTGCTTGTCAGTTCTGCAGGCTGGCACATGTTGCTCATTTGCCCTCTGCCTCCATTTCCCCATTTATAAAATGGGCATGTCATTATATCAACTTTATAGGGCTGTTACAAGAATCAATTGAGACAATGTATCTAGGATGCCTAACACAGGGCCAGCATACTGTACCACTCTATATTTTTCCTGTTATTATTGTTGTTGTAATTATATCATTTTAATTCGCCCAGATCTCTTTGATTTAAGTTTGGGTCGTGTCTACCCCCCTGGCCTCCTGGACCAATGACTGTGTCTGAAAGGAGAGCATGCTCTCATGGCTCAGCTGCAGTCACATGGCAACCTTATTGGTTAAGAAGACAGAAAGGGCTGGGCACAGTGGCTCATGCCTGTAATCCCAGCACTTTGGAAGGCTGAGCGGGGCAGATCACCTGAGGTCAGGAGTTTAAGATCAGCCTGGCCAACATGGCAAAACCCCATCTCCATTAAAAATACAAAAATTAGCTGGTCGTGGTGGCAGGCACCTATAATCCCAGCTACTTGGGAGGCCAAGGAAGGAGAATCTCTTGAACCCGGGAGGCAGAAGTTGCAGTGAGCCAAGATTGCACCACTGCACTCTAGCCTGGACAACAGAGCCAGACTCCGTCTCACAAAAAAAAAAAAAAGAAAGGACAGGATGAGAAATTTTGAAAAGAGAGATTCCAATACATCACATACTATTTCAGGCAAAACAATTTGCTCATGTGGAAGTGTGCCCCACACTTCTAGATTTTGTCAATAGAAGCACCTACTGTAGCCACATAAAGTTGGCCACATGACTTCTTATCATCATATTTGAAATGACCAGAGTTGGTGAACAAGAACACGGTGTCCTAGCTCTGTCAACAATGAAGGAATCATGTCTTCAACTGTTAAGCCCTTCAGAAGGTTCTGGCTTTCCGGCTGATGTATCACATTTCATTCATAACATTTCTGATAGTCTATAGAAGTGATCTAAAATAAAATGCCAATGTGCAGATTCTGGGACGAGAATTTAAATATCAGCTAAGGATCTTCATCGTCACATGTTCAGATGCCAAAATAAAAATAAAAAATAAAAGGAGGGGCAAAGAAACAAGAGTACAAATAAAAGGATAATAGGAAATGCTGGTTCTTTTCACGTAGTGGCTGAGAAGGATTGATCACAGAGTGTCATATTGCAGCATGAAGAAAACTTAGTTTGGGATCCTAATGGCATCCTCCTTTTCCAAAGAGGCCCATTACTCTTCTAATGGTGGTGAAAGTAAATCCAAGCTCGCATTTGAGCCTTCAGAACCTGCAGTGTGCAATTGTGCTTGTCTGTTCATCTGTGGGCAAAGGTTGTTCAGTATTCTCCATGGATCTCTGATTTTTTAAAACAATTTCCTACTCGTTTCAATATTTGTCACACTGTCTCCTCGGCTTCCTTCTGTCTTCGTTTTTGCTGCTTTCTTTCCTTCTTGGGCTTATGAAGACATCCATCCTGCTCAAGGAGACTGTCAATAAAAATCACCTCGTTTGATGCTGCGGTCAGCCAAAAACAATGCTCTGCCTTACACGAAGTTTTGCCAACTCAAAGACACGTGTTTCTGCCTTTCTTTACCTCTAGGATTTCAGATGTTGGGAAGTATTTTTTTAAATGATAAATGATTAAATCTTTCTATAATGAGAGGATTCTAGGAGAGACATTTGGCGGACAATGCAGACTTTGCTTCAGCAAACACCCCTGTCACACTGAGTGGGTCAGATTCATAGTTCTTGATAAGCCATTTGAGCAGAACTTGAGGATTTGAATGAGCCTTTTGTAGACATTGCATGGCTTGAATATAGGTCAGCAATAGACGTCTAGTCTGATATCTTGTCCGGTGTCTCCTCATTTTTCTGGTTATAAAATCTCTCTCTCTCTTTTCAAAGTTCCTCATTCTGTCCTTTCTGTCTTAACCAATAAGATGGCCATGTAACTGTAGCTAACCGATGAGAGCAAGCTCTCCTCCTAGATACAGTCATGGGTCCAGGAGGCCCACGGGTGGACATGACCCAAGAAGGGCTAATCAGGTATTGATAAGGCTACTAAGAAAGAGATCCCTCTTCCTAAAACACCAAAAGCAATGGCAACAAAAGCCAAAATTGACAAATGGGATCTAATTAAACTAAAAAGCTTCTGCACAGCAAAACAAACTACCATCAGAGTGAACAGGCAACCTACAAAATGGGAGAAAATTTTCGCAACCTACTCATCTGACAAAGGGCTGATATGCAGAATCTACAATGAACTCTAACAAATTTACAAGAAAAAAACAAACAACCCCATCAAAAAGTGGGTGAAGGATATGAACAGACACTTCTCAAAAGAAGACATTTATGCAGCCAAAAAACACATGAAAAAATGCTCACCGTCACTGGCCATCAGAGAAATGCAAATCAAAACCGCAATGAGATACCATCTCACACCAGTTAGAATGGCAATCATTAAAAAGTCAGGAAACAACAGGTGCTGGAGAGGATGTGGAGAAATAGGAACACTTTCACACTGTTGGTGGGACTGTAAACTAGTTCAACCATTGTGGAAGTCAGTGTGGCGATTCCTCAGGGATCTAGAAATAGAAATACCATTTGACCCAGCCATCCATCCCATTACTGGGTATATACCCAAAGGACTATAAATCATGCTGCTATAAAGACACATGCACACGTATGTTTATTGCGGCACTATTCACAATAGCAAAGACTTGGAACCAACCCAAATGTCCAACAATGATAGACTGGATTAAGAAAATGTGGCACATAGACACAATAAAAAATGATAAAGGGGATATCACCACCGATCCCACAGAAATACAAACTACCATCAGAGAATACTACAAACACCTCTACGCAAATAAACTAGAAAATCTAGAAGAAATGGATACATTCCTCGACACATACACTCTCCCAAGACTAAACCAGGAAGAAGTTGAATCTCTGAATAGACCAATAACAGGCTCTGAAATTGTGGCAATAATCAATAGTTTACCAACCAAAAAGAGTCCAGGACCAGATGGATTCACAGCCGAATTCTACCAGAGGTACAAGGAGGAACTGGTACCATTCCTTCTGAAACTATTCCAATCAATAGAAAAAGAGGGAATCCTCCCTAACTCATTTTATGAGGCCAGCATCATTCTGATACCAAAGCCGGGCAGAGACACAACCAAAAAAGAGAATTTTAGACCAATATCCTTGATGAACATTGATGCAAAAATCCTCAATAAAATACTGGCAAACCGAATCCAGCAGCACATCAAAAAGCTTATCCACCATGATCAAGTGGGCTTCATCCCTGGGATGCAAGGCTGGTTCAATATACGCAAATCAATAAATGTAATCCAGCATATAAACAGAGCCAAAGACAAAAACCACATGATTATCTCAATAGATGCAGAAAAAGCCTTTGACAAAATTCAACAACCCTTCATGCTAAAAACTCTCAATAAATTAGGTATTGATGGGACGTATTTCAAAATAATAAGAGCTATCTATGACAAACCCACAGCCAATATCATACTGAATGGGCAAAAACTGGAAGCATTCCCTTTGAAAACTGGCACAAGACAGGGATGCCCTCTCTCACCGCTCCTATTCAACATAGTGTTGGAAGTTCTGGCCAGGGCAATCAGGCAGGAGAAGGAAATAAAGGGTATTCAATTAGGAAAAGAGGAAGTCAAATTGTCCCTGTTTGCAGACGACATGATTGTTTATCTAGAAAACCCCATCGTCTCAGCCCAAAATCTCCTTAAGCTGATAAGCAACTTCAGCAAAGTCTCAGGATACAAAATCAATGTACAAAAATCACAAGCATTCTTATACACCAACAACAGACAAACAGAGAGCCAAATCATGAGTGAACTCCCATTCACAATTGCTTCAAAGAGAATAAAATACCTAGGAATCCAACTTACAAGGGATGTGAAGGACCTCTTCAAGGAGAACTACAAACCACTGCTCAAGGAAATAAAAGAGGACACAAACAAGTGGAAGAACATTCCATGCTCATGGGTAGGAAGAATCAATATCGTGAAAATGGCCATACTGCCCAAGGTAATTTACAGATTCAATGCCATCCCCATCAAGCTACCAATGACTTTCTTCACAGAATTGGAAAAAACTACTTTAAAGTTCATATGGAACCAAAAAAGAGCCCGCATCGCCAAGTCAATCCTAAGCCAAAAGAACAAAGCTGGAGGCATCACACTACCTGACTTCAAACTATACTACAAGGCTACAGTAACCAAAACAGCATGGTACTGGTACCAAAACAGAGATATAGATCAATGGAACAGAACAGAGCCCTCAGAAATAATGCCGCATATCTACAACTATCTGATCTTTGACAAACCTGAGAAAAACAAGCAATGGGGAAAGGATTCCCTATTTAATAAATGGTGCTGGGAAAACTGGCTAGCCATATGTAGAAAGCTGAAACTGGACCCCTTCCTTACACCTTATACAAAAATCAATTCAAGATGGATTAAAGATTTAAACGTTAGACCTAAAACCATAAAAACCCTAGAAGAAAACCTAGGCATTACCATTCAGGACATAGGCGTGGGCAAGGACTTCATGTCCAAAACACCAAAAGCAATGGCAACAAAAGCCAAAATTGACAAATGGGATCTAATTAAACTAAAGAGCTTCTGCACAGCAAAAGAAACTACCATCAGAGTGAACAGGCAACCTACAACATGGGAGAAAATTTTCACAACCTACTCATCTGACAAAGGGCTAATATCCAGAATCTACAATGAACTCAAACAAATTTACAAGAAAAAAACAAACAACCCCATCAAAAAGTGGGCGAAGGACATGAACAGACACTTCTCAAAAGAAGACATTTATGCAGCCAAAAAACACATGAAGAAATGCTCATCATCACTGGCCATCAGAGAAATGCAAATCAAAACCACTATGAGATATCATCTCACACCAGTTAGAATGGCAATCATTAAAAAGTCAGGAAACAACAGGTGCTGGAGAGGATGTGGAGAAATAGGAACACTTTTACACTGTTGGTGGGACTGTAAACTAGTTCAACCATTGTGGAAGTCAGTGTGGCGATTCCTCAGGGATCTAGAAATAGAAATACCATTTGACCCAGCCATCCCATTACTGGGTATATACCCAAAGGACTATAAATCATGCTGCTATAAAGACACATGCACACGTATGTTTATTGCGGCACTATTCACAATAGCAAAGACTTGGAACCAACTCAAATATCCAACAATGATAGACTGGATTAAGAAAACATGGCACATATACACCATGGAATACTATGCAGCCATAAAAAATGATGAGTTCATGTCCTTTGTAGGGACATGGATGAAATTGGAAACCATCATTCTCAGTAAACTATCGCAAGAACAAAAAACCAAACACCGCATGTTCTCACTCATAGGTGGGAATTGAACAATGAGATCACATGGACACAGGAAGGGGAATATCACACTCTGGGGACTGTGGTGGGGTCGGGGGAGGGGGGAGGGATAGCACTGGGAGATATACCTAATGCTAGATGACACGTTAGTGGGTGCAGCGCACCAGCATGGCACATGTATACATATGTAACTAACCTGCACAATGTGCACATGTACCCTAAAACTTAGAGTATAATAAAAAAAAAAAAAAATTAAAAAAAAAAAAAAAAGAAAATGTGGCACATATACACCATGGAATACTACGCAGCCATAAAAAATGATGAGTTCTTGTCCTTTGTAGGGACATGGATGAAATTGGAAATCATCATTCTCAGTAAACTATGGCAAGAACAAAAAACCAAACACCGCATATTCTCACTCATAGGTGGGAATTGAACAATGAGAACACATGGACACAGGAAGGGGAACATCACACTCTGGAGACTGTTGTGGGGTGGGGGGAGAGGGGAGGGATAGCTTTAGGAGATATACCTAATGCTAAATGACGAGTTAATGGGTGCAGCACACCAGCATGGCACATGTATACATATGTAACTAACCTGCACATGTACCCTAAAACTTAAAGTATAATAATAATAAAATATAATAAAGTATAATAATAATAAAACAAAATAAAAAAAAGAAAGAGATCCCTCTTCCTCAAAGACTGCGAGGTCTGTGTAAGTCTGGAACATTACATTCACTTAAAGTGGGTCTGGTTGAGAAATAAACCAACAAAGAAGAAAACAGATCTGAGTGGAGAGAGAGAGATAAAAGAGATAGAACAAGAGAGAGACAGGGCCGGGCGCAATGGCTCACGCCTGTAATCCCAGCACTTTGGGAGGCCAGGCGGGCAGATCACGAGGTCAGGAGATCGAGACCATCTTGGCTAACATGGTGAAACCCGGTCACTACCAAAAATACAAAAAATTAGCCGGGCATTGTGGCGGGCACCTGTAGTCCCAGCTACTCAGAAGGCTGAGGCAGGAGAATGGAGTGAACCCGGGAGGCAGAGGTTGCTGTGAGTCAAGATGGCACCACAGCACTCCAGCCTAGGCGCCAGATTGAGACTCTGTCTCAGAAAAAAAAAAAAAAAGAGAGAGAGAGAGAATAGAGAACTGGTGATATTATTTAAGCCCCTGCAATAAGTGACACCTGAATCCAAAATCCAGTTTCATGCAAGGAATTGTTGGTTCTACGACCTAACAAAATAGCCTCATTCTCACACCATTCCTCTGTTGTTGCTTAATTTCGTCTTAGTTGGTCATCTTTCACCTGCAACTGAGAATCTGAACTGACTTAATATCATCTTTTACAAAATTCTTCATCCCCAGTAGATTTTACAAAATATTTTTGTAAGTGTATGGTCAGTGGGCTCCCCAAAATTTCATGGCAAGGGCAGAGATACGTTCAAGTTGCCTATATTCTCAAGTATCAATGACTGCCAGTGAAGGTTTGGAACCACAGAGGGAAGGTCACCCGTGTAGGGGCTGGGAAAGCTGAGTTCCAACTCCTGCTCCGCACCTGACTTGCCATGTGTTACTGTGGATGTCGCTGCACCTCTGTGAGCCTCTGTTTTACTTCATTTCATCCTTTACTTATAAATAGAGAAGTGGGAGCTAACAGTGGGGAATGTGGTCAGGCAGTACAATACCAAAACTTGGCTCTTCCATGTAGAATTTGAGTGACCTTGGATTGAAGGAAAAGAAAATTCCATCTTTCAGTTTCTTCATGTATAAATTAGAGATGAAAATAGTAATTAAAGTATTTGGCATGGTGTCTAGTATATAGTGAATCTCAATAGATATAGGCTAATTTTATTACCTTACTAGGTCTTTGGGAATCCATAAATAATTAACAGGTGTGACATGCATAAGCCTAGCCATCAATGCAATGTGTGCGTGTGTGTGTGTGTGTGTGTGTGTGTGAGAGAGAGAGAGAGAGAGAGAGCCATATTCAGTGGATTCTGAATGCACAGATTGAATCACATCTCATTAAGGGATCATCTGATTGATAAGATCTTTCTTACTTTTCTTCTTTTTCTCCTGTGCTTCAATAATGTATTAACATATACAATGTGCCAAGCCTTTTGCTAAGAATGAGGTATAAAATAGCAACATCGTACACCTAAACCTTTACCTCTTGGACCTTAATATTTAACATGGTCTTTATGATGATTTTCCCTGCAACCACCACACGTATCTCTCTACGGAGAATTCAGACTGAGCTCTTGTCAAGTGCTTGTCTGTGTCATCAATGTTTTCCCCTCCTTTTCCAGCAATTTCTGGTGAAAAAAAGGAGGTAATAAACCTTGTGGGAGCTAGTGGAGTGCGAAGACTGACGCATGCATTTTTTTTTATCTGAGCTTCGGTCATTGGAATTGCAGAAGCAATTGGTAGCTACTCTGGGATTAGACCTGCATTTTCTTTATCTGGGAAAATGAACATACATGTAACGAAAAAGGCGTCACTCCAATTGTCCCGGATTTCACACTACAAGCCAGATTGGTTGTGCCTGGATCTCTGTGACAAGGGTAAATTATAAACCAAGAGCTGCATTTGTTCCTCATTCCTCTCCCCTTTATGCCTTGCTGCACTCCCAGGTGCCCATGATGGAGATGTGATTGCAGTTGCACAGAAGGAAATATTTTAAGACCTGCCAAAACCCTTGGCTCAGAACTCACTTTTCCAAGCAACCTGTCTGAGCATGGTGACTGCGGTGAATTATTGAGATTCTGGAGGGTTCGCCAAGGGGAATGTGTCACCGGGAGGGTGGGGCTAGAGGCTGCAGCTGGAATCCTGTTGCCTTCCCTGTTTCATACACCAGCTGGATTGTGGATTCAGTATCTCCTCTGGGAGCTGACTCCTGGGTCTAGACAGGAAGGGCAGAATGGCATCAGGCCGGGGGCAGCTGAAAATCCAGGGCATCACATTTATCCTCCATGGTGAGAAGCAAGACATTAATAGATTATTATCCACATACATCTGACTTCATGTCTCAGAAGCAGGGTTGGGTAATTAAAACACATGAAATCCCCGTTTGTATATATCACAAACAGATACACCTTCTTTCCCATATGGAAACAATCCCAATGACTGTCCCTCATTCCAGGCACTTCCCATGTATGTGTGCAGTTAATCCTCACAACAATCCATTCAGGAAGGTGCTATTTTTATCCCTCAGTCATGGGGAAACTGAGGCAGGGAATATAAAGCCTTGCATGAAGTCACATATCTAGAAAAATACAGACGGAATTCAACGCAAAATGAGCAGGTTCCCAAGCCTAGACTCTATAGGCTATTCAATATTTCCTCATGATGATGATGATGACAATGACAATGATGATGATGGGACCCAGGGCGTCACATGTATCCTTGATGGTGAGATGTTTCTATCTATGAGGGAGAAGACCCAAGACCTTCACTAATCCTCAAATTTCTAAATACCACCAGAGCAGCATTCAATATTCCTTGTGAATGCCATAAAGCATGACGGAAGAAAAGCAATGAGTCTCTAAGTATAAAACTAAATTCCCACATGAAATACGTTTCTGTCTCAGAATCACCACTTCCTTAAATCCCTGCTACTTCTTATCATTTCCATTTTCAGGACAAGCAGTGGGGTTTCCTGTAAGGAACATTTATTTCACAAAGTAACAAGTCGTGGTCACTTTCTGATGGTTCTCAGGATGGGATGACAGGCTGTGAACAACAGTGATATGCTATGTAGGGGAGGCTGAGCCTTCTTGCTAAGCCAGGCACTCATTCCTACACCCTGCATTTCAGGAAAAGAGAGATGATGACACAGCATGTTCCTGTGAGGTTGTCTATAAATAGACAAATCACACATTTTGAATCTGTGAGTAAGGATAATAGTAACATTCACTCTAATTATTATTATTATTATTATTTTGAGATGGACTCTTACTCTGTCACCCAGGCTGGAGTGCAGTGGCGGAATCTTGGCTCACTGCAACCTCCACCTCCTGGGTTAAGAGATTCTCCTGCCTCAGCCTCCTGAGTAGCTGGGATTACAGGTGATCACCACCATGCCCGGCTAATTGTTTCTTTTTTTTTTTTTTTGTATTTGTAGTAGAGACGGGGTTTCACTATGTTGGCAAGGCTGGTCTCGAACTCCTGACCTCAAGTGGTCCTCCCACCTCAGCCGAAGTGCTGGGATTACAGGCGTGAGCCACTGTGCCCAGTCAGCTCGTAAGTTCTGGATTTTTATTTTTGAGACAGACTCTCACTCTGTTGCCCAGGCTGGAGTGCAGTGGTGGTGCACTCGCAGCTTACTGCAAACTCTGCCTCCTGGGCTCAAGAGATTCTCCTGCCTCAGCCTCCCGAGTAGTTGGGATTACAAGCACACACCACCATGCCCAGCTAATTTTTGTATTTTTAGTGGAGATGAGGTTTCACCATGTTGCCCAGGCTGGTCTGGAACTCCTAACCTCAAGTGATCCATCTATCTCATCCTCAGGTGTGAGCCACCGCACTCGTCCACATTATCTCTTAATTAGTGGGAAAAAAGTAAATTCAGGTCCCTGCCTGATGTCTGCCTATCAGAGACTGGTTGAATAAAATGCCTACTATTCTTCTTCTTAAACCTTGCCATCACTCTGGGCTTCTTGCTGTTCTTCTTGAAAGTCCCTACCCATTGCGTGAATGAAATCTGGGAAGAAGGGAGGGGGAGAAATGAAAATGAGCCAAATTTGTGGCACATACAACATTCATCATGAGGCCAGCTTGGTCTCTGACCTGCTTCTACATAGCTATTTGGTGCCTATTGTCCTAGAATCATGTAAACCCTAGATCATAGTTCCCCTTCACTCCTCTACAGCTAACAACTTGAACATGATGAAATGTTATGTGTCCCATCTGAAATATTCTTTCAGGTCCTGCATACCAATGAAACTATTAATGTCAGCTGGTCTGAAGGACCCCATGAGAAGCTAACTCATTGAGGAATGCAGTCTCCACATTCAGATGATTTCAACCCCCCTTACCCTACCAATCAATGACCCCAATTTTCCAACCCCTCATCCTTCATGATTCTATTAAAAACCACAGCCCAGGCCAGGCGCGGTGGCTCATACCTGTAATCCCTGCACTTGGGGAGGCCCAGGCGGGCAGTTCACGAAGTCAGGAGATTGAGACCATCCTGGCTAACGTGGTGAAACCCTGCTTCTACTAAAAATACAAATAATTAGCCTGCTGTGATGGCGGGAGCCTGTAGTCCCAGCTACTTAGGAGGCTGAGGCAGGAGAATCGCTTGAATCTGGGAGGCAGAGGTTGCAGTAAGTTGAGATCGCGCCACTGCACTCCAGCCTATAAGACAGAGTGAGACTCTGTCTCAAACAAACAAACAAACAAACAAAAAACCAGCCCAGAACTCCTCAGGGTGATAGACTGAAGGTGCCCTCCCATCTCCTCCCTTGGTGCCCCACCATCATTAAACTCTTTCTCTGCTGCAAAGCCTGCTGTATCAGTGTATTGGTCTGTTACTGTGCAATGGCATACACACCTGCTAGTCCTATAACATTCTTATATCCCAGCCCCTCCTCTGGCCCTTTGTACTTGCTGGTCCCTTTGGCAGAAGCACGTTATCTTCAAATATTCACATAGGTGACTCCTGGTCATTATTCAACCTCCATTCCCATGCCACCTCCTCAGATCAGCCCAGATCAAGGCCTCTCTGGTCAACCCAGGCACCATGTATTATTTTACTTTGTTTTTGCCTTTCATAGCACTTAGTAGTAACTGGATTTGTATTATTTGTGTATATGTTTGTTTGATAATTATCTTCATTTCCTTCTAAACATCTCTTTGCCTATTTTGTTCACTGCTAGAAAAAGATGTCTACAACAGAGGTGGCAGAAAGAAGACACTCAATACATATTTATTTAATAAATAAAGATAAGAATATAAAACATATTTTCTTTCCTATTATTGCCAAAGAGTGGGTCATTATTTGCCCCAGCTTTGACAGAGGACTCTGGGAACATTCTACAAAAAATACCAAGTAATTGGTAAGATTCTTTTTTTTTTTTTTTTACATTAACACCCAAATTAATTCTTCTCATCACCTGAGACAGCAACAGTGGCTGTTTAGTGACCATAGATACCTTTCCCCCATTTTTCTCCTGATGGTTCTGAAATTTCCTGTTCATCAGGAAATATATGCTTTCCTCTCTGCTGATATTCTCTTGAGTTCATCGGCCACAAAACTCTCATAGGAGTTCTGTTGTTTGGATAATTTAAACACTGTGAATGTCTTTGAAATTTTGTTTAAGTGAATTATCTAACATGTACTCCTCAGAATAACTTCTACTTGGTTCCTAGAATATCCAGCTTCATCTCATTCTCTTTTGAACGGCAGCCTGCCAGGGCTTACTAATTGCCCATGGCCAAGTCTCTATGGAGGAAAGTAGAAAGAAATATTTCATGCCTAAATATTATTGTTTGAATGGCGAAGCACACTTCTAGAATTGAAAACTTAACATTTCAAGGAGACATTTAATAGCCTTTGTTTTTGGTTCCATTGCTTAATTAGATGGCAGCAGAGAACTTCTATTTGGGTGATTTGACCCTCTGGGAATGGATGGGGCTATTCATTTCAGGATACCAATGGCATAGATGAAAATATGCAAGGTAGTGAACTAGTCCTTCAGGCATCTGTTTTCCAGTGAGGCTTTTGCAATATTCAATGGACCTTTGCATGTTTCTTCTCTTTCCTTGGAGAAGTTAAACAGTGAGTGTCAACTGAGACCCTCTATCTTAAAAAGGCTAAAATTTCAGTACGCAGAAGATATTCTATTCTATGAATAAAGTAGAGGAAAGAATGGCTTACATTTGCCCTAATACTACAAATTTGCAGTGCAGTCTCTTCTTTCGATTTGCAGTAATGCATGCATATACATTCTTATTGGAAAAATGTGTGAAGGGTATATTTGAAGGGTTCCATCACTTTCCATAAACAATCCTATTCTCCTCTCAGAGGTAAATTCTATAGATAATGTAGTGTGTGCATGTGTGTGTGTGTGCATGTGAGGGTGTGTGATATGTAAAATAAGACTAAATTACACAGTAAATTTTATTGAAATATGGTCACGTTCTGTCACTCAGGCTAGAGTACAGTGACACAAACATGGCTCACGGCAGCCTCAGCCTCCCAGGCTCAAGGGATCCTCCTACCTCAGCCTCCCAGAGTAATTTTTGAAGTAAACAAAATATAAGAATAATAATAATAATAGACAGTGTTTATGAAAATTTTTCTCAGTGACAGGCACTGTGCAAAATGCTTTATCTATAGTATATTTTATCATTTAATTCTTACAATTACGCTATGCAGAAAGTATCATTTTTTAATTTTTAATTTTCAAAAATTTTTTGTGGGTATGTAGATGTGTATGTTTGTGGGGTACATGAGATGTTTTGATACAAGCATGCAATGTGAAATAAGCACATTATGGAGAATGGAGTATTTATCCTTTGAGTTACAAACAATCCAATTACTTTCTTTATTTTAACATATACAATTAAGTTATTATTGACTATGGTCACCCTACTGTGCTACCAAAGAGCAGGTCTTATTTGCTCTTTCTATTTTTTTTTTTTTTTTGATACCCATTAACCATCCCCACCTTCCTCCCAACCATCCATTACCCTTCCCAGCCTCTGGTAACCATACTTCTACTATGTCCATGAGTTCAATTCATTTGATTTTTAGATCCCACAAATAAGCAAGAACATGCGATGTTTGTCTTTCTGTGCCTGGCTTATTTCACTTAACATAATGATCTCCAGTTGCAGCCACATTGTTGCAAATGACAGGTTCTCATTCCTTTTCAGGGCTGAATAATATTCCATTATGTATATGTACCACATTCTCTTTATCCATTCATCTGTTGATGGACACTTAGGTCACTTCCAAATCTTGGCTATTGTAAACAGTGCTGCAACAAACGTAGGAGTGCAGATATCTCTTCAATACACCGATTTTCTTTCTTTTGAGTACATACCCAGCAGTGGGAATGTTGGATCATATGGCAGCTCGATTTTTAGTTTTTTTTTGAGGGCCCTCCAAACTGTTCTTCATAGCAGTCGTACTAATTTACATTCCCACCAATAGTGCAAAAGGGTCCCCTTTTAAAAGTACTGTTTTTAGATATAAAGATACTGAGGGAGCAAGGGAGCAAGTAGCTTCCCCAAGGCCACACTGTTGACAAGTAAAAATCTAGGAATGGACCCAGGGAGTCTTGCTATAGCCAGAACTCTTAATCAAAATTTTATAGTTAGTAGAGACCATAAGGCACGTAAAAAATTTGCATCATGGTTTCATGTCCTTTAACTTCATAACCAAGTGGTTCTCTTTGACGTTATCATAAACATTATATTTAAAAACTATTTCCTGAAACTCCTGACCTCAAATGATCCACCCACCTTGGCCTCCCAAAGTGTTGGGATCACAGGCGTGAGCCACCGCACCCGGCCAATGTGGTGAAACCCCACCTCTACTAAAAATACAACAATTAGCTGGGCATGGTGGTGGGCCCCTGTAGTCCCAGCTACTCAAGAGGCTGAGGTAGAAGAATCACTTGAACCCGGGAGGTTGAGGTTGCAGTGAGCCAAGATCACGCCACTGCACCTCAGCCTGAGTGCAGAGCAAGACTCTGTCTAAAAAAAAACAAAAAACAAAAACAAACAAACAAAAACTGTATCCTTTGAATGTGTCACAGTTTCGTGAATCAGCCTCTTATGTTGAATGTTATAATAATGAAAGAGCTTCTGTGGAGACCTGGACCATCAAAAGTTTTATGTGCATTTTTCCCATAGCTCTTATAAATTTCTGAAAGGAGTTCATGACACTCCTCATCTAAAATATATAGAAGATGGCCACACCTGTAATCCCAGCACTCTGGGAGTCCACACCTGTAATCCCAGCACTCTGGGAGGTTGAGGCTGGTGGATCACTTGAGGTCAGGAGTTTGAGACCAGCCTGGCCAACATCTTGAAACCCCGTCTCTACTAAAAATAGCAAAAATTAGCCGTGGGTGGTGGCATGCCTGTAGTCCCAGCTACTTCGGAGGCTGAGACACGAGAATCGCTTGAACCCAGGAGGTGGAGGTTGCAGTGAGCCGAGATCACGCCACTGCACTGCAGCCTGAGCAACAGAGCAAGACTCTGTCTCAAAAAATAAAAGTAAATAAAAACGAAAATAAAATAAAAGAAAGTGTTAAAAAAAAAGTAAAAGTAAAAATATATAGAGAGAAGTTGATGTCTGAATTTCTTTATACATTAAGGTTAATTTTTATTTACATCTTCAACAATTATTTCCTGACAGTGATCAAAACATTGGGCAGACCAATTTATCAGACATGGTCTTCACCTTTAAGGGTTACCAAGGGTATATTTGCACATAGTTATGATGACCCTTTGCAATTCTGAGATGTTATGAGCTGGGCACTACTCTAGCTAGAACAAACTGTGATTATCTGTTCCTTTGTAACTTACCCAGAGTCATAGCCACACAGATCAACATATCACTGTTTTAAAATTAGTCCTGATGTATTAATTCTTCTCTTTCTATTTGTATCAGGAATATCTTCAAAGGAAGGACAATGCTGTCCACATTTCTGGCATCTCTACCCAGCATTGCTCCCACAGATGGGCATAGAACAATTGTTCAGTGGATGCTCATTGAACATTCTTCAATAAGCCCAGAACAGAGAAGAGAATCTGGAAGACACGGATTCAAATCCCTGCAACTCTACTTACTGGCTGTATGACCTTAAGTAAGTCATTTTACCTCTTGTGTCTTCATTTTTCTCATCTGGAAAGTAGGAAAGCTAGTCCCTAGCCTGATGATTGTTTGATAGAGATTGTGTATGTTAAATTTCGAACACATAGGAAGCTCTTTGTAAATATTTGTGCTTTTGTTTTTTCTGAGTTCTCTTCCATTGGCTGGGCTAAGTCAGAAGAATGAGGAGGTGTTTCTCTGCCTGCAACTCTCAAATGACCCTTTTCCTGCACTGAGCTCCAGTCAGGGAGTGGATTTCCCTTCAAATCTTCCCATCTCTGCCATCTGCACAGCCAACTGTTCTCTGACTGTGAGATTCCTGCTAGCAACCCTGCTAAGCAGGTGTGGCTGATGCCTGCCTCCTCTCTGCTTTGCTTGCGGAATCTGATTGTGTTTGACAGGCTGCTCATAATGGAGAAAAAAACGATGAGTTGGATTAAATGTTCTTTGTTTAGACTTTATTAGCCAAAGATGTTTCTGCATAGTTAATTAGAGAATAAACTGCAATCTCACATTAAGGCAGGGACTCAGCCCCCTGAAACTCAGCCTTGCTTATGTGCAGGATGATTGGGACTGGGAATAAGGGTGAGTTCCTAATTTACTAGTGGTCTTTGAAGAAGAAATTGGCATAGATGAGGAGAGAAGAGAACAATTATCCTAAACAGCTTGGGCTGCTATATCAAAATAAATATTGTAGGCTGAATGACTTAAACAGCAGACATTTGTTATTCATGGTTCTGGAGGCTGGGAAATCCAAGATAAAAGTGCCAGCTGATTTGGTTCCTGGTGAGGGCTCTTTTCCTGACTTCCCAAAGGCTGCCTTCTTGCTGTGTCCTCACATGGCAGAAAGAGAGAGAGAGAGACAAAGAAAGGGACAGAGGGAGAGGGAGAGAGAAAGAGAGAGAGAGCCATAGTGTCTCTTCCTCTTCTCATGACACTAATCTCATTATAGGAGCTATACCTTTATAACCTCTCCTAAATCTAATTGCTTTCCCAAGGTGTCACCTCTAAATACCATTGTATTGGGGTCGTATTAGTCCATTCTCAGGCTTCTATAAGGATATACGTGAGACTGGGTAATTTATAAAGGAAAAAGGTTTAATTGACTCACAGTTCCACAGGGCTTGGGAAGCCTCTGGAAACTTACAGTCATAGCAGAAGGAGAAGTAAACACTTTTTCTTTACATGGTGGCAACAAGGAGAATTGCAGAGCAAAGGGGAAGAAAATCCCCTGTAAAACTATCAGATCTTATGAGAACTCACTCACTATCACGAGAACAGCGTGGAGGTAACTGCCCCCATGATTCAATTATCTCCCACTGGGTCCCTCCCATGACACGTGGGGATTATGGAAACTACAGTTCAAGATTAGATTTGGGTGGGGATACAGTCAAACCACATCAGGGAGTTAAAGCTTCAACATATGAATTGTGATGGCACGCAAACATTCAATCCATAACAACCATAAAGATGTGTCTTCCACACAGACCTTCAACATTTACAAGCTAGGTCACCTGTCGAGTTGCTTCTTCAGTTATAAAATGGGACAACTGTAAGGTTCTGATGAGGATGCCTGATGGTAAGCACTTGACAAGTGTTAGATGATATAAAATAATACTAACAATAATAAATTATTTCATTATAAGAATTATTATTTTTAAAGTTTACAACTCACAGAGAAGAACTCAACCATTCTCGAGTGGCTCATATTGGATGTCTGAGGTAGCCCTCTAATATCTTAAAAGAATAGAATCCCAGAAACTTCTGGGAACTTATAGTCTGATCATCCTACGTCACCTCAGTTAGCCCAGAAAGAAGAAACATCTTGTCCAGAGAGAAATAGCAATTCAGTGGCAGCAGAGAAAGGTTTCAGTGAACTGGTCTATGCTTTTTTCATGACAATGTAGATAAGCGTCTTGAAAGAGCACAAATACACCTTCCCCCTTTTAATATCATCCTATAAAAAATGCAAGTACAAGCAAAGACATTTAAGGGGTTTTAGATTCACCCCTGTCCCATGTCATTAATCTGAATTAGTGATAAAAAGCTTAAAAGAACTTTCTCAAAAAGTTAAAAAGAAAAAAAAGTCATAACTCCCACCCTATTTCAACATGTTTCCCAACTCGCTTTCCTATTGACTGAAATTCCTGTTTCTGACAGCTTTCCTTCTTTGTTGGCAAATAGTAGACATGCAGCGACCATGTGTTGAATAAATAAGTAAATCCCAGATTCTCCTTGGGCTGATGCCATCCATTGTGTCCAGCTATAATCCCCCTTGGGTCCACAATTATATTAACATAGCTATATTTGCTTTCTTTTGGATACTGTTTGCATGGTATATCTTTTCCATGCCTTTATTTTCAACATCAATTTATCCTCACATCTAAGAAACATTTTTGTAAGCAGGAAACGTCTCCCCATCTGTATCTTTCTATCTGTTCAACTGTGAGAATCTTTGTCTTTAAATTACATTAATTCATCTATTTACATTTAACCTAATTTGTGATATATTTAGGTTTAACACCACCTTACTAATTTTTCTATTTGTCCTATTTATTCTATGTCCCTTCTTCTCATTTCTCTTGACTTCTGTTGGAGTATTTTTGTTATTCATCTCACCTTCTGTTGACATAATAATTATGCATACTTTTACTACTCTTTTTTTTTTTTTTGAGACAGGGTCTTGCTTTTTTTTTTTTTTTTTTTTTTTTTTTTTGAGATGGAGTCTTGCTCTGTTGCCCAGGCTGGAGTGCAGTGGCATAATCTTGGCTCACTGCAACCTCCGCCCCGCAGGTTCAAGCGATTCTCCTGCCTCAACCTCCTGAGTAGCTGGGATTACAGGTGCCTGCCACCACGCCTGGGTAATTTTTGTATTTTTAGTAGAGACAGGGTTTCGCCATGTTGCCCAATGTGGTCTGAACTCCTGACCTCATGTGATCCACCTGCCTCAGCCTCCCAAAGTGCTGGGATTATAGGCCTAAGACACCACACCTGGCCATTTACTGCTCTTTTAATAGTTGCTCGAGAGATTATAGCATGCATCCTTGACTATGGTCAAATATAAGTTACTGCTTTATTTCCTTTCCTGATGTTAGAACCTTAGTATACTTTATCTCCATTTACTGTCTCTCCTGCCTTTTTTTATATTGTCATATATTTTCAGTCTATATATATTTTAAATCACATAAGACAATATTATTTTTCCATACAGTGAATAGATACATATTTTACATACATACATGTTTAAATATATTCAAATTTTTAAAATCCTTCTTTATTACTTTATGTATATATACGTGTGTGTGTATATATATATATATATATATATGTACAGTAATATATAGTATATGTAGAATTCAAGGTAGAAATTTACTTTTTCCCTGTGTTTCATTTGGGTTTGCATTTTGTCCCTAAGAATCAGCTATCATATTTATTACTGTTTCTCGGAATATGATGTGGATTTTTTTTCTGTGTTTTTACAATTTTCTGTCTTTTTCAACAGTATGACTATAATATAACATACAGTGGTTGTATTTGTATTTATCTTACTTTAGTTTGTAGTGCTTCCTGAATCTGTGGGTTTATGCCTTTCATCAATTTGGGGAACTTCTCAGTAATTATTTCTTCAAATATTTCTTGTTTTGTCCAATTCTGATACCTCAGATACATACCTGTTGTTAGAGCAAACACCATGCCCCATTTGCCACTTTTCTTGGCTTTTTTATTTATTTTTTTTTGTAATAAATACCTTTTCCCTTGGAACTTTTGTCTGAATGCCTTCTACTAACACCCTCTATTTCATTAATACTCTCTTCATATATGCTCAATTTGTGATTTAATTATAATGTTTTTTACAATACTAGATTTTGACTGCAGTTAATTTTTCCATATTCCCATTAAATTTCTAAATTCTCTATCTCATCTCATTTTCTGAACATGTTAATCAGGGTTGTTTTCCAGTCCATATCTGACAACTATCCAATATCTGAATCACTCTGGTTTGTTTCTGTTGTCCATTTTTTCCTATCAGCTTCATCTCTTGGTATGCCTGATCATTTCTGGATGAATACCATTGTATTCAAAACATAAATTTTTGAAAAGCATAAAGGATTTGCGTTTTCTTTCTCTTGGAGGTATTTATTTAGCATCTAGCAGAAAGTTTAATTATGAATGGATCACCTTCAAGCAACTAAGAATCAAGATTATCCGAAGTATGTTGTAATATTTTAAGAACATTTCTATTTTTATTTCAGCTCTCCCCCTAGGATGTGGTCCTTCAGTTGTCCTAACTAAATGCCTGCCATGCATGTAGAGCTCTGCACTCTGATGAATCCTAAACTTAATCCTCACCTCCTCTTTACCGTTGGCTAGATTCATAGCCTCCCAGCAGCAAGTTTCTGCACAGTGATTCTGCCTCTCATCCTGTTCTCCTGTCATAAATTAGCCAATAATGAAAGAGAAAAATTAACATAGATTATCAGGCTTTGTTATTGAACTTCTCCTCTTTCTGAAATCTTGGCCACATGGGTCTCAGAATGTCTGGATAATTCCGAACTCCATATATGTTTTTCTCTTTGGCCTCCACAATGCTTTAAGAATGAAAAGCATTCAACTCAATTTCTCTGGCTCTTAGGAGATGCTTTTTGCTCAGATTCTCTAGTTTGCTGGGATAACGCAGTACGTTTTCCTTCTCTCCAGAACCTCCCCCCACTCCAACATATAGCTGATTTGATAACTCTCAAATGTTTTTTATTATAATAAGGTGTTTTTTGATGTTCCTGGTGAAAGTGTCGATCTAATACAAATGTGCTTTTCAGAATTGGATATTTGGTTCCACACTTCAAGCTGTGGAATTTGTTAGAATCTAATTTCTAGAGAAGCCACAGTTGTCTGTGTCTTCAAACTGAGCCTCAGAAACCTGAAGGTAATTTTCTTCTAGGTCTTGTGGTTTCACTTGGGTACCCCTCAAATGAACCCCCATTTTGCTGCAGGGATGGAAACCCGGAGGAAGCCTGTGATTTTCAAGAACACCGTCTGGTCCTTTGGCAGCGTCACACCTACATTCCCTCTTCATAAAGAACGCCTAGTTCCATATGTTCCCCCAGACAGGAAGCTCTGTCCAGGGCCTCTTTCCAAAAGCAAGTATAATTTCCCACACTGAGAGTTTGGGATTTTTTTTTTAATTGTTGTTTCCTCAAGCTTTCACGTAAGTCATTTAAGGTAAGCTCTCTGAGCAGCTTTGAAGTCTGTGTCTTTTGAATGCAAAGCTTGAAACAACACTGGATGCTGGGAGTCAAGAGTGGATTCCTCTCTCAAGGCCTCGGTTTCCCCATCTTTCCAATGTGGGCCCTTGTCTAAACCCTTTCACCCCTAAGACAACATTTGAAAATTCCATTCCCTCCTTTCGACAGTCAACCTGTCTGAGTTCTCATGCCTAGATTCTGCCCTCCCCACACCCTCTGCTTCTGCCACATCATTTCTCACTCTAGGTAACTGCAAACTGGTTTCTCCTTCATTCCATCTTTCCACATGCTATGGTTTGAATATGTCCCCTCCAAAATTCAGGTGTTGAAGCTTAATGGCCAATGTAATAGGATTAAGAGATGGGACCTTGAAGAGGTGATCAGGCCATGAGGGCTCCTCCTTTATGGAGAGATTGGGGCCCTTGTAAAAAAGTCTTTATGCAGGGTTCAATTTTCTTGCCCTTCCACCATCAGCCATGTGAGGATCTAGCATTTCTTCTCTCAAGAGGATGCAGCAACAACACGCCATCTTGGAAGAAGAGAGCAGCCCTCCACAGACACCAAACCTGCCGGCTCCTTGCTCTTGGACTTCCCAGCCTCCAGAGTTGTGAGCAAATGGATTTCCGTTCTTTATAAATTACCATGTTTATTATTTTGTATTTAGTATTTTGTTATGGCAACACACATGGATTTAGATACCACCTCAAACCCATTCCTTAAAATTGAAGCAACTTCTATGTAACATTCCTAAAATACACACTTAAGTCATGTTCGTCTCTCTATCTAAAATGTTTCAGTATTATATGCAGTGCTATTTTACTTTATTGGTGTGAATATAAGCTCACTGCAGTTTCCCTAAAAGACAATTTTGCAATGCAGACTATTAAAAATGCACATATTCTTTATCCTGAGATTCCAATTTTCCTGACTTACCTTCAGAGATAGTACTCAACTATATTTGTTACAACATTGCTTACCACAAACCCTGGTAAAAAAAAAAAAAACTAAACTAAATGATTGTTACTTAATGCTGTTTAAATAAATTATGCTTACTCTAGCAGAATGCCATGCGGCTTAGCGAAAACAAAAACAAAAAACGAAGAGATGAATGCTTAAATGCTCTTATGGTTCAATTGCCAAGATATTCTTCTAGCAAAAAATCAAATTAAAAAGCAAATTCTAGGCTGGGTACAGTGGCTCATGCCTGTAATCCCAACAATTTGGGAGACCAAGGCAGGTGGATCTCTTGAGGTCAGGAATTCGAGACCAACCTGGCCAAAATGGTGAAACCCCATCTCCACTAAAACTACAAAAATTAGCCAGGCATGGTGGAACATGGCTTTAATCTCAGCTACTCAGGAGGCTGAGGCAGGAGAATAACTTGAACCCAGGAGGCAGTGGTTTCAGTGAGCCAAGATCGTATCACTGCACTCCATCCTGGGCGATAGAGCGAGACTTTATCTCAAAAAAAAAAAAAAAAAAAGAAAAAAAGAAAAGAAAAAGAAAAAAGGAAAAAGCAAGTTCCAGAAGAATGTGCGTAGGATAATCCAATCATTTATGTGTCCAAAAAATGTGACAGGAAAGTATGTTATACACTTTTTCATGCATGTTTTATGTCTGAAAAGAAAAGAAAAGAAAAAGAAAAAAGGAAAAAGCAAGTTCTAGAAGAATGTGCATAGGATAATCTAATCATTTATATGTCTAAAAAATGTGACAGGAAACTATGTTATACACTTTTTCATGCATGTTTTATCTGTTTTCCTTTTCACACCAAAATGTGATCTCCATGAGTTCAAGGACATTGTCTTCATCCTCTTATTCCCCACTCTATCTTCAGTATGTAGGCATAATAAGTGTTCAATAAATAGTTGCTTAATGTATCAGAGAATAGAACCTGGATGATAAAAGCTCTGGGGTGGGTGAGAAACTTGCTTTTTACTGATTTCCCTACAAATTCTAGAGTAGGGAAGTTCCATTCAGGCTCAATCCCCTTCCCACCATGCTACCTGACCTCCTGCCACCCTGACCTACTTGCACTGTACTGAAAACACAGGGGTGCACCACAGCAGGAAACATCCACTCACTCTGTCTCCTCTACCTCTGTTCACCTTCCCAGCCCTCCCACTAACCTCCCACTCAACTCCCACTCACCTAGCTTTAATATCTGACTCCATTATTTTAGTTGCAAGCGTACTTGCTCCTTTCTCTAGATTTCTTTAGCCTCTCAAAGCATCTACTGCTTAACCATGACTCAAGATTACAATTTTTTACCTGGACAGAGACCAACTATTACTCATCTTCACATAAGGAGACCAGAAGAGTGCCCAGAAAACAGTGGATGCCAATCAATGTTTAAGAATTAAAAAGATTCATTTTACTAAATAAGTGTATATTTAGTATACATGTTCATTAACTGCTGATTGAATAAGTAAAATGCAGTATATATACATTCAAAGAAATGTTATGTAGTGATAAAAAGAAATTAAGTGCTGGCCAAGCATGGTGGCTCATGCCTGGTATCCCAGCAGTTTGGGAGGCCAAGTCGGTGGATCGCTTGAGGTCAGGAGTTCGAGGTCAGCCTGGCCAACATGGAGAAACTTTGTCTCCAGTAAAAATACAAAAGCTAGCCTGGTGGGGTGGCACTCACTGTAATCCCAACTACTGAGGGGACTGAGGCATAAGAATTGCTTGAACCCAGGAGGCAGAGGTTGCAGAAAGTCGAGATCCTGCCACCGAATTCCAGAGTCCATCTCAAAAAAATAAAATAAAATAAATAAAGAAAAGAAATTAAGTACTGATACATGCTGCAAAGCTGATGAATCTTGAAACCATTAAGTTTAAAAAGCCAGTCAAGAAGGACCACATATTATATAATTGTATTCATATGAAATGTCCAGAATAGGGAAATTAGTAGACAGAAAATAGATCATTGAGTTCCTAGGGCTGAAAGGATGAGGGGATTAGAGGGTAAGGAGTGCCTACTTTCTTCTCAGGAAATGGAAACATTCAAATTGATATAGTGATGAATACACAACTCTGTAAATATACTAAATGCCATTGAATTGTACATTTTAGATGAGTGAATTTGTCTGGCATGTAAATTATATCTTAATGAAATTGTTTAACATTTGAAAATAGTGAGAATAAATGAGTGAAGGAGTGAATCATGAATAATATAGGCTAATGGGACATCCCTTAAGGTAGAAGTACAGTATTATTTGAATTTGTGTCCCCATCCAAATCTCATGTTAAATGGTAATCCCCAATGTTGGAGGAGGGTCATGTTGAGAGGTGATTGGATCATGGGGGGTAGACTTTCCCTTTGCCGTTCTTGTGATATTGTGTGACTTCTCACAATATCTGGTTGTTTAAAAGTATATAGCACCTCCCCGTTCTCTCTTCCTCCTGCTCCAGCCATGTAAGATGTGCCTGCTTTCCTTTTGCCTTCCGCCATGATTGTAAGTTTCCTGAGGCCTCCCTAGTCATGGTTCCTGTACAGCCAGTCGAACCATGAGCCAATTAAACCTCTTTCTTTTTTTTTTAAATAAACTACCCATTCTCGGGTAGTTCTTTATAGTAATGTAAGAATGGACTAATACAAGGTAAAAATTCTCCCTCACTTAACTTCCTATACCTCCCAAAACAATGCCTCCAAAATTATTGACTTATTTATAAAACGTATATCAACAAGTCTGCTGTATGCTTTCACCGTGCTAGGCACTGGGGATAGAAAAGTGAATAAAACAGGAGTATTCTTCTTTATCCTATAGCTAATTGCTCAAGGTGACAGTCTAATGTTTAACAAAACATTACACAAAGAGGTTTATTATTATTATTTCAATAGTATTAAACATTACAATAAAATCGGAAGCACCAAGAGAGTGTAAGGATATTGCTTGTCTCATCCAGACAAGGCCCCCAAGGTCTGGTAATTTTCATGCCTAATACCACCCATGGGTCTGGGCATTTTCTAGGAATATTGCCTGGCCTCACCTTCTCACACACCAACTGAGCTTTTAGTAGAAGAATGAAGAGATGGGCAGTGTATGCTTGGAGTCCCCTGTCCTGTTGCTGCAGAGATGGATAGCTCTACCTGGGGTTCTGGGGAACACCTGGGGATTTGGTCTGGATACTGCTCTTGGATCCAAATCTCCACTCCTGCCTTCCCATGCTCAGCGACGTGATAGATAGCTTTAATTACACCAGCTTTAGAACTCTTCCCGGCCTTCTCTGATGCATTTCATTTCCTTCTGCTATGGGCCCCTGATGCCTGGTGATATAACTCAGCGAAAGACATTACTGGGAGGGATTTTGAAATCTAAACCTCCAACTCCACTGATGTTGCAGGTATTGACTGAACTGGGCTCCCTGGGCCTCCTTTCTTAGAGCTGTGATTCACAGTTTCAGGAGCTCATGAAAATCTGGGCAAGCCAGTCTTGGACCGAAACTCCTGTATCCCCATCATCTGCAGGACAGAGTCCAAATTCCTGCTGTGGTCTAAAGGGTCCTCTAAATCAGGCCTCATTTGCACACTGGCCCCTACCACAGCCCTCGCTATTCCACCCACTGTCCTCATCTTTACCAGCACTTTACCAGCAGCATTTATTAAGTCCCCACTGTGTTATACACATTACACTGAACCCTGTGCTTGGATCATGTCATCTCATCCCCCTAGTAAACCTTTGAGACCAAAAATGTTCTTATCTTCATTCTACAGATAAAAAATATATGTATATATATCTATATCTATATAGATAGAGAGATATAGATATAGATATATAGATATATAGATATATATACACACATATATATGGAAGGGGAATAACTTTCCCAAGTCTTATAGCTAGTAAGTGGTAATACCTGGATTTCAACCCAGGCCTTCCAACTGTGATTTTAATCACCTCCCTATTTTGTGTGAGCAATAACCAAATTATTTGCAATTCCCCCAATGTGCAGTTTTCTCATGCCTCTGGGCAGGAATGGATCTGGTTTTTGTAGTGTTGAAAGCGTATATAGTTTTGGAGGCCCTCTATGAGAAAAAAAGAAGGCGAAAGTAAAGCACTAATGAAAATTTAGATAATAAAGGGACACTTATTTCAAATACCAAAAAGATGGCATGTTGCAAGTGTTAAAAAGCTGGAAAAATTCACAGAAATCTGCAAAAAGGAAATATTTCTGCAATTTTCTGTTTGGCACAGATAATATGATTTTCCTACATATTTTTGTGTTTGTATTTATCGATTGCTTCTTCATATGCCAAAAATTGTGTAATATCGTCTTCTACAAGGAGAATAGAAGGATCATTTAGAATTTCCTCAAGGGCAGGGGTTGGTAAACTGCAATGTGAGGCAAACTGCTGTTTTTGTAAATAAAGTTTTATTAGAATACAGTGTTGTCCATTTATTTACCTATTGTCTGTGGCTGCTTTTTTGCTACAATGAGACAAATTTGAGTTCTTGCAGTAGGGAATGTATGCCCTTAAAGCCTAAAATACTTACTATCTGGTCTTTTACGTAAAAAGTTTGCCAACCCTACTCTAGGGTGATGGCCTCTGAAGGAAAGTCTTTAAAAGTAAGGTGCTCCAAAACTTAGCTCCATTCACTTCCCATTATACACTTTGCTGTCTCTAGAAATGTCCTCCCACTCTGGATTTCTCCTTTAAGATTTAACACAGGTGTGTCCTCCCCGAGAAAGCACTCCCTGGGCCCTCCTCGTCCTTTTATAACTAGGGCCACCCCTCTGTCCTCCCACAATCCCATGCGAAGCCCCCTTCGTTTATTACGGGAAGAAAGAAAAACATGTCTTGAAACTTCCCTCCAATTAGGCCACATAGATTATATTAATATACCCTCCTTTGAGGAGGATGCAAGGATGTTGGTGTGGTTTGACCAGGGATAAACACTCGAAAGCTAAAATGTTGTTACAACATTGCTTACCACAAACCCTGGTAAAAAAAAAAACTAAACTAAATGATTGTTACTTAATGCTGTTTAAATAAATTATGCTTACTCTAGCAGAATGCCATGCGGCTTAGCGAAAACAAAAACAAAAAACGAAGAGATGAATGCTTAAATGCTCCAAGGCCCTGTTTGAGTGACCAACTTCACGGTCATCCTAAATGAGGCAGTTTATGTGTCTTATGCTCTAACTAGGAAACCTTAAACAATCAGTAGCTTTGTCAAAGGTAAACTCTCTACCCCATGAAAGAAATTCTAATATCAGAACTGGATTCAGGTTCAGCCTCTTGTGCCCCTGCACAAGAAATTGGGAGCTCCAGCTGTTCTTCTCCGGAAGGTACTCCTATCAACTCCAAATAGTGGGGGACCAAGAAGGAAATCTGGAATACTTTGCTATTTCATAAACTTTTCTCCTTCCTAAAGTGCCATCGAATTACTTGATTTATACCAAATAACACTACCACCTGGGGATGCAAATGCTAACCCCAAACAGATGCAATGGTTATAGGGCCATGAAATGTCACTGAAGGCATCGTCATTTGGATTTTGATTATAGCACTTAGGATTAGATTAAACAGTTTTGAAAAGACTGCAGACACATCTCTAATGTCCTCTGCCCGGCTATGGCTGCTTTCTTTGCATACCCCAGAAAACAGGGTGATTTTTTTTCACTCCCAAGTAACCCTTCTTTAACTTCAGGATGTGCTTCTCCAAGCTAAAGTGGAAAGCAATTCGAGAAAAAAATAAATGTGGGCATCTTGTAGCCTTCACTTCAAGTCCTCATCTGTAGGAAAGCGGGGATACATGCCCTCACTCTGGCAAAATCCTGCTCCTTGCCTTGCAGGGAGGCAGGATGAGCACTTGGCTTGGAGTCCAATATTTGAACTCAGCTTCCAGTCTGCTTCACATGAGCATTGTGACCTTGGGAAAGCCACTTGCCTTACTGAGCTCCCAATTCCGTGGCATCTAGATGTTATGGTTTGGATATTTGTCCCCTCCAAATCTCATGTTAATAGGAGATCCCCAATGTCGGAGGTAAGCCTAGTGGGAGGTGCTTGGGTCCTGGCAGTGGATCCCTCATTAAAGGCTTGGTGCCCTCCTCATGGTAATAAGTGAGTTCTCTGTTAGCTCATGCAAGAGCTGGTTGTTTAAAGGAGTCTGACACGTCCTGCTCTCTTGCTCCCTCTCAGCGTGACACGCCTGCTCCCACTTCACCTTGGAACATGAGTAAAAGCTTCCTGAGGCCTCACCAGACTCTGAGCAGATTGGAGCCATGCTTGTACAGCCTGCAGAACTGTGAGCCAAATAAATCTATTTTCTTTATAAATTACCCAGTGTCCAGTACTCCTTGATAGCAATGCCAAATGGACTAATAGACTATAATAGAATTAATAGAACAGAAGATCATTCTTTATGGAAAGAACCTCAGACAAAATCATGTTTCAGATAAAGATATGTACAACGGGAAACACACATGAATTTCTCACTGACACAGAGCCAGTGCAGGTTTATAGAGCTTTGCCACAAAAAAAGGTATGCGCACAAGCTGTCGAATGTATCTAGTTACAAAAATTGAACTTGTTATAAGTGCATCTTAGCTTTTATACTTCCAATTGACCTTTATTAACTTTGAAAGATGTACAACATTATAATAGATACTATGATTATCCATATGCACTAAATATTTGATAGGAATAATAATTTTATTTTTTTCAAGTGGGCTGGATGCAAATGCAAAATTTCTAGAGGGTAATAGCTTCTCAGTCCCTTTATGCAATAATTATTGACTTCTTGTGTATAAGCAGGCCTGAAAGTAATGTCTCTTTTAATTAGTTTCCTGATGACTTTCTTTTTCTTTTTAAATTAAACAATGCCACAAACTTTTGAAGCTAAAGACACTTTAATGGATATGATCTGTCTGCCTTTCTTTTTCTGACTGTATTCATTATAGGCAAATCAATGAAAATTGATAAAGTCATGATGGAAAAAAGGAATGTATTTGTATTCATTACAGAGGATTGGAGATAATAATAAAATGAAATGTTGTTATAGTGAGATATAAACCCAACCTACGGAATTGTTCAATATGAGAATAGCTAGATACATTTCATTACCATGATAGGGAGCAGCTCAGAAGCGGAAGCCAATAATTTTAAAAGTCTTCAACACAGGGTTATGCTGCCTATACAGTTCAATACGTTAATTGACAATAAATCCTGCTTGCCTCTAAAAGGCACTTGACTGGTCATTTTCAAGATGGTCATGATTTTTTATGATGTGGAACTTTTAATTTACAGGGATGATAAAAATAGATTTACTTTCAGCCACTTGTATTTGATTTAATTACCTAATCAACGATAAATCATCTACTATTGAAAAAGTAATTTAACATAGATGATATTTGGCTGTCATATTTTTGGGTTACTGCTAGGGAGAGTTTGGTGAGTGGAGAGGAAAGAACCTGTGGCAGGGTGAATTTTCCACACTTTTCTCAAAAATCTGAAAAAAGTCTGCAGAGTTGAAATCAGGTGACTTGGCTTCACCTTGGAAAGCAGTCCATTGTCATTTTTCCTACTTATTTTTTAAACAGATAGACCATGAAAGGGTGCGATCGTGTCATCATCATGAGAAAAATAGGGATTTGATTATTCTTTAGCATTTTTCTAGCTCTGCTATGCTGTTGTATCGACCCTAGCGACAAGTTTGATGTGAATCTAAAATAGTAGTTAAAAGTGACTATGGAAAATAGTGGCTCAACTCAACTGAACCTTTTAGATTAAATGCCTGATTGATAGATGATGGTTATTTATGATTAAAAAAGAAAGGCGTGGTTTCCTGGAATAATTGGAGGCCCTGCAGCCCCACTGACAGAAAATCTGCCAGAATGTTTCTTTCCAGGCTTGGTCAGACAACTCAGACACTCCCCTTTTCTATTTGCCTCTCTGGGAAATTAAAGTCTGCAGCCCTTTGGTGACCATATGCTAATTACTAGCCACTTGCTTCTAAAAGGCAGATCTTATCTTATCACTTGGCTGCTCAAAACTTTTCAGTTTGTTTTCCATCAGGCTCAGGGTAAAGTCTAAACTTTTGGACAAAGCCTCTTCTTAAGACTCTTTCTACACTAACCCTGTACTACATGTTCCAGACATTCTGAAGGTCTTTCATTTTCTGCAAAATTATAATTTATTGGCTGACTGGCCAGATGGATGGATGGATGGGTAGATGGTTGGGTGGATGGATGAACAGGTGGATAGATGGATAAACAGATCAATTAATGAATGAACTCCCAATTTCTTTCACAGGGGTACTTAGTTATAGTCCTTAAAATATCTTCCCTTAGTCTAAACCACTCTCTACCTGTGCATGTGTCTGAATCATATTTACTCACCAGGTGTTGAGGTAGTTGTACCCTTCGGTGATGTTTAACTTCACTCATGGTTTTAACCTGTCATCTTGGTTCAGCCTCTGGGAGGCCTCAAGGGCCTGGTAGTGGACATCATTTTCCCTGATTCATGTTACACTTAATTACCTCCCTCTGACAACCAGGCACAGATTTCTAGTGTTTTTCTCTTCTCACTCTTCTATTTTTTTTTAACTCAACCCTTAACACCTACCTATTAAATAGAGATGGCTGCAGTTCTTGGCTCAAATGGAGGGCCAAGATGAGTGACAACTTGTAGTCGAATCAGTCAGTAGATTTTCAACTTCTAACACAACACTTTTCCCCAGGTCTGAAGAAGATCTCCAGGATTATTTTTTCCCAAACTTCATATTAGTTTTGCAATAATAAAAATGCCTTATGCAGAAAAAAGTTAATAATTTTTGAGGCTGTATAATGGATACAATGGGTTCATTATTCCATTCCATTTGCATGGATGCATAGAATTTGTTCTTTTATCCTGTTGAGCTCTACATATTAAAATGAGCAAAGATATGAAACTCATGATACCTAAAAGATGTGTGTGTTTATGTCTATTATTGGAAGAAAGATATAATAGCCCAATTATATTGTAATACAGAAATATTATCCAAAACACAATTATTTTCACTTCTAAATGCCTTACCCCAGTCCCTGAGAATAGACCCACATTTTTAGAAGATGGCATTAATATTGCCCACGTCATTTTATGTTCTGCTTTATTCATTTCATAGTTGATCAAAAACATTTTTTGTATTTCCACTCAGTTTTATAATAATAATTTTTAATATCTGCATAATTTCCTATCAGGTTGATGAAACAACACTGAGTCCATCCATCCCCTATGGATGGACATTTTTATTATTTCTATGTTTTTGTTGCCATTGCTGTCATTGGAGATAATGTTGCAAACCCTAATAAAGGATGCTGAATATAGAAGATCTTATTAAAGTTTTTCATCAATTTTTCCTTTTCCAAAGAGTATTTGATTATCTCAGAACTCATAGTGTCCTTAATTTCTATTTTCATTTTTTCATGGTTTTCACACTTGTGGATCATCTTTCTTAATATTTTGTAATCGTCCCTTCTCTAACTTTAACCTTAAGGAGCATATTAAATACTGCTGGCACAAGCACACAGATCTGGTGTCAAACCAACCTGAATTCAAATGCTTTATCCAACCACTTAATAACTGTGAGAACTCAGAAGTGTGATTGAATATTTCTAGGCTTTAGTGTTCTCACCTGCAAACTGAGAATAGTAGAGACATCATAGGTTTATTGTAGAGTACTTTAAGAAAACTTTTGTTGCTACTCTTAATATTTTTATTATTACTGTATTTTGTTTAAATAGCCTGAAAAAGTTGAGCTCAGAAAAAATAGGACCAGGTCTGAAAACTGTAAAGAAGAATTTTTTTTTTCTTTTTTTGGTTTGATTTATTTGTTTGCTTGTTTTCTTTCCAATTTCCGTTTTCATAACCAGAGAGCACTCTGCTGGCAAAAGACCAATTTTACGGTATCCTCATCTGACTAGCCATACTAATCTTTCTCTGAGATATCTTCCCCTGAAACTACACAATACTCATAAAAATAAATTTTAAGGCCAGGCTTGGTGGCTCACGCCTGTAATCCCAGCACAAGGCCTCGTGGGCAGATCATGAGGTCAGGAGATCGAGACCATCCTGGCTAACGTGGTGAAACCCTGTCTCTACTAAAAATACAAAAAATTAGCTGGACATGGTGGTGGGCACCTGTAGTCCCAGCTACTTGGGAGGCTGAGGCAGGAGGATCGCTTGAACCCAGGAGGCGGAGGTTGCAGTGAACCAATATCGTACCACTACACTCCAGCCTGGGTGACAGAGCGAGACTCCATCTCAAAAAATAATAAATAAATAAATTTAAAAATAAATGGTGACAGTTTGGCCTAACGAATGAGTTTCCCTCATTTTTCATAATCATGGTGATTCACTGAAATGGTTTTGAAGTTTTCACCATTGTTAATAACTTCGTAGTCAATAATTCTGAGCGAAAAATATTTCCTTCAAAGGAGGATTATTTCCTTAGGATGAGTTTTTGCGTTTGGAGTAACTATGTCAGACAATTTAAACTTGACTCATTTTGAAATCATGCTTTTCTAAAGTTTCTGCATTGGGAATAACTATGCTTTTCTGAACTGTTGTACCAATTTTCTTACACCAACTAAACCTTTTTTGGCTCAGTAATAACTAGAGGAAAGAGAGTAGAGCATCCAAAAATAATGAATTCAGTTCACTTCAATATGACAAGATTCATGTTCTGGGAAATATCATACGTGCATATGTCTTGTTTTATATTTGTTGTTTCAGGCTATGTTTGTGTATCAAATAACCAAACAAATATTTCCATGGTAAAAATATTGTAGCTTCTACTTAGCAACATATAAGCAAAGATTCGGAAATTAACCTGGAAAGTGAAATTATGATGGGAAAAAAACAAAAAGAACATTTACTGTACTAAAAACTCAATGGACTGAGCAAAAATACAATAAATCTTGATTAGGTTCAGTCTAATTTTACCTTCCTTTACGTGTCTCACAAATGTTAGCCGAACAGCAGATTGCTTAAAATAACATTCTGCTTTTAAACTTTTGGGCTTATGGAAATCTTTGCTTGTGGTTGTTGTTATTAAGAAATAGTGATTTTCCTTTACTCTTAGTTATGAAGTTGTTCTAGATTAGAATGCCAAAGTGTGGGACTGTCTAAGCTTAGAATTCCCTCCACCATCCTTTCAGTCTCTCTCCCTCTCTCTCTTCCCCCCACCTTCTCCCTTTCTCTCTCTCTTGTATCTCTCTCTCTTTCTCTCCTTTCCTGTGTCTCCCCACTTCCCAGGCAGATTGCTTCTGTTCTGTCAAATGTTCATTCACCTTTGCTAATGAGTAGCTAATGGGTTTTGGCATCGTGGGACACACAGGGATTGAGAGGGCTGTTTGATCACGGGATGGCCTGGTGTGCTGTGATTGTGCATATGGGATCCTCAAAACCAGCCCCAGAGCCGTTTCCTAGTTTCCCCAATAGTTTCCTGGAACATAGGGTGTTTAGAAATAAAGCTCTATTTTAAAACCTCCGATTCACCACTTTATCTGGCTAACATCCTTCCCTCTTGGAATTGATAACATGTTGACTGTGAGTCATAATGGTAACTTCCTCATGAACATCTGATGTTGTGAAATTAACAAAGTCGAGAACTCCCCAACAGTTAAGCCAAGAAATGAATTATAAAAATGTACTTCAGTCACAATACCAGAGAGAATCCGGTTATGAATTAGTAACAGATGGGAAAATACTATTCACTTTCAATTTTACATAAATGTCTATAATGCTTGTTCTGATCATAAGTTTTTATTTCTTCCAGAGCTTCATTATGGTTCTAGCAAGATTCACCATTAAAAAATATAATAAAAAGCTTGGGTTGGGCAGATGCTATTTTTCTTTCTTCCCTCTCTGCTTGTTAAGCAAAAAAATAAAAAAATAAGTAAATAATTCAGGTGAACAATATATATATACATATCATTTCATTGCTTACTTTTTGCTTTACAAAACAAATTATTATGCATTTCCTCAAACCAGTTAGTCAGGGTATTTATTTTTCTTTTTTTAGATTAGCACCTGTGCCAGAAAGGAAACTGTCAGTTAATGAAGTCTCTAACTCCCTTTTTACTCCATATTACTACAGCTCTCACACAACCTTTAAAAGTAAAAAATATTGAGTATTTACAGCAAATTCTTGACATAAAAACTGTCTCTGTGAATTCACCAACAGTTGAAGCCAAGTGGTTAGATCACAGACAAAGAAAGAAGATAAATGCTCTTTGGTGTTCAGTTTGGTAGACCCCTGGTATATTTCCCAGCCTTGATACTAGTATCAGGCACAAAACATGAGCCTTCTTGGATTTCTCTCTACAGCCTCCTTCCCTGGAAAATTACCACCCACATTCTGGACCACTTGGCTGCCATCTTTGCTGGTGCCCTTGCTAGTTTCCCTGAGTTGGCTGGGGTCAAGGTTGAAGCCCTGGGCCTGGATGATCCTCACTTCCAGTACGCTGAACCATGTTGAGTCAGCCCTCCACTTCTGATCTTGAATGGACTACAACACTGTGAGGTATGGGATCCAACTACCTGAGAGAAGTTCAAGGGCAGATGATATAACCTTGAAGTGTGGAAGATCGGTCCTTCATGGAGTGAAACTTGACCAAAGGGAAATAGGAGATAGAAGGAGCTAGAGGAATAGATTCCTCCTCTTTTCTCTTTTATAGACCCTTCTCCTAAGTGTACATCTTTTTTGCAACACTCTCTGTGAACATCCTTTCTGCTGGGCCACCAGACTTGCTCAGCATACCTGATTTGCCTCTGTGCAGCACTTATAAAGTAGTGCTCAGCACTGAAATGCAATGCATAGCATTACCTCTTATCTTTCCCTGTCTTCCCTCCATTTTCCCCCACAACCCTTATTGTCCTGGGCTTTCAGCTCTCGGAGTATCATTACTGTAATCCTTGCCTCAATCCCTGCTTTCTAGAAATGCACTCTTCTACTTTGGGCATCATAATTATTGGTACTGTCCCTTTTCACTCTTTTAAGTGGTAGGGACAACTTCCCTTCAGAAGAGACAACTTTGGGAAAAAATAAAATGGAGTGTAGTAGTTGAATGGTGGCCCTAAAGAAAGATATGTGCTGATCCTCGGTACCTGTGAATATGGCCATATCTGAAATATAGACTCTGCAGGTGGAATTAAGGATCTCTAGACCTGATAATGCTGGGTTTAGGATGAGCCCTAAATCCAATGATGGGTGTCCTTATGAAACAGAAAAGGAGAAAACACAGAGAGAGACACAGAGAGCAAGGGGCCTGTGCAGCCACAGGCAGAGGAACTCTAAGAATTGCAGCAGCCACCATGAAGTAGGAGAGAGGCATGAGACAGATTCTCCCACAGAGCCTTCAGAAGGAAGCAAACTGGTGACACCATGATTTCAAACTCCTAGATTCTAGAACTCTGAGACAATATGCTTCTGTTGCCTTAAGCTGCCGAGTATATGATAATCTGTTACGGCAGCCCTGGAAACAAATACAGAGAGGATGAACAGTTGCAGGTTCTTTCTTTCTTTCTTTCTTTTCTTTCTTTCTTTCTTTTCTCTCTCTCTCTTTCTCTCTTTCTTTCTTTCTTTCCTTCTTTCTTTCTTTCTTTTCTAACAAGAGAGGAACTGGGCTTGACTTGATTTATGCTTGTGTTTATGATTTGGAAACTATCCACATTCCTCGAATCCCCTTTCAGATATGTATTTCTTGCAAGCAACAGTGCTTAGATCATAGACAAAGAAAGAAGATAAATGCTCTTTGGTGTTCACTTTGGTAGAGCCCTGGTATTTTTCCCAGCCTATAAACCCTCATTTATTCTAAGACCTACTTCATCGATGCTTTCTCATCACCTGCCCTCTGCAGTGGACTGACATACTTCCCAAGCAGAAGTCTTTCTCCAACCTGGTGGGCTCCAGTTGACCCTTCAAGAACTAGCCCAAATGTCATCTCTACTAAGATGCCTTCCTGATTTTTCCCAGTCATTGAGCACTCACTCCCTCCTCTGTGCTCTTGAAGTACCTATTTTTTTAGAGCGCTATTCACCCTGTACTGCAAATGTAAATATGATTTTTCATCTCTTCCACTACACCAATTTTTTTAGGTGCATTTTTTTGTGTTCAGGGTGGCCCATGAATTCCTATATAAAATAAACAGCGGGTCTTGTTTGCAAGGCAGGATGCTTGGTGCAGTGTCTAAGAACAATTCCAAATTCAGAAATTATGTTCCTCTCATATCTTTTTCATTCTAGCTAAGCGGCTTACTCCCCATAGCCAATCTTCCTTCCTAAATGCAATACTTTATTTGTGAAAGTGCTTTTTTTAAAAAAAGAAAAAAAGTGTGGGGGATATGGGCATTATTTTAGAGAGACTTTCTAAAGAACTATAACAAGTCTATTTGAATCTTTTATTTGGTATTAACTAGATATTTTATCATAAGTGAGCAGGGAGTTTCTGGTTCACTTGTCTTTATTGCTTTCTTGAATGCATTTCAACCTTTTCCATAATTCAAGTACATATAATCCCCAATCCTTTTTTCCTTCAAATTTTAACTCCTTCGCTATGTTCCTCATAACTCCTCCTGTTAACGTCTCTAAGAATTCACCGCTGAGTTGTCACCTTGAATGAATATATGCTTTGAACTCATGGTGAATTGTGCCTTTTAAATAACACTGTAACAATGGGAGTAGTTCAGCTTGTTTTACCCTTAGTCAAAATTACTTGTTCCAAGAATTTTTTTCTCCCCTTGATTCAGAGTAACCTGAGGGAGACCTGCTATGCAGCAATGGAATCTGTAATAGGTTTATCTTAGGAGGAGCTCTAGTCCCTGATCCTGGAATAATTAAGGAAATGTTCTTGATGTCCCTTTTGAATTCCTGCAAAAGGGCACAGTGAATATTCACTGCAGTTTCCTACTGGGTATATATATATATATATATATATATATATATATATTTTACTTTTGCCTCTATTCTTCCAACCTATTCTGTTCAACATCTGGCACCACTGTCTTCCCCAGGCTCATCTCCTTCAACATATTTTGTGCTTTAACCACAGATAACTGTTTGGAACCTGTCTCTGTATGCCCGCATATCCCATCCTTTCCAAATGGGATGACCTTTCTCTCTTTTTGCACCAGGAAAACTCGTCCTCAAAAATCAGAAAGAAATTTTCCTTCACCATAATGCCTGATGACTCAGAGGACTTTTTTCATGCCCTGAAATAATCTATTGAGATGTGAGTCTGTTCTTTGTTTCTTGTGCTCTAGGAAGCTCTAATAAATGAGATACACTTTTTTCTCCTCCATCAAAAGACAGTGGCTGAAACTTTCTATTCTGAATTTAGGTTTCTAGCCTGCATGGAGCTGGGGTTAAGCTAGGACAGGCATTCTTGACGTCCCACCAAACACACTTTCATAAGCACTGTCTTAAGTCATTCTGAGCAGAGCAACTGCTTATTGTTGTCTACAGAGATGTATGCTAAGGAGTGCAGAGAGATGAAAGGATGGATTCTATCACAGGAATAGCAGGGTGAGGGTTTATGATAAAGCAAAGCCTGGTTTGGGAATGTCAGAGTGTAGAGAAAGCAGCATCAGGAGATGGGCACACTTTAAGTGGAAATAAAGGAGTCAGGAAGGAAGATGGAAAGACAGGAAATTAAATTGAAGGTGAGAGAGGTGTACAAGCCAAGATCCATCTGTAGAGTTTCTAAGGTTTGAGTCAAGATCCAAGTCTGTTCAGTGATATATTGTCTCCAGTTCTATAAAGTGATGGGTCAGAAAATTACCATTGTGTGAGTGTTTAATCTATGCCCAGCACAGTGTTAGGTAATTTGATGAAAGTATTTCATTTAATCACCAAGTGACCCTGTGAAGGATGTATTATTAAACACGCTGTTCAGAAAAGGACACCAAAGCTCAGAGAAGGTCTTTGAGAACCAAAATGTGAGTTCAATTTCAGTATGTCTGACTGTAAAGATGTTCTTTTTAGTCTACTAGGTCATCTCGCCTTTTGAAACCAGGGATCTAGGCCATACCTGGTCTCATATAGGTATTGCCCCAGTGGTATCAGCCTCTACCTCATAGGAGAAGGACCCAGGACAAACAAAGCCTCCATCACCATTTGGAGGAACCAAATCAAGTTCTATAATGCCTAGTCCAGTCCCAACCCCTAATAAGATTCCCTCACTACCCAAGAAGGCAGTGGAGTAGTTAAAAACTTAACTGTCAACCTGGAAATTCTCTAAGCCCTTCTACCTCTCTCAGTCAATTGCTTTTCCCCAGCGTGGGAAGTAAAGTCCTGTTGACAGTCATAGGTGGAAGACTTCCACCTCCCTTGTGGGGATCTATCTTTGGCTAACTGTGTTGAGCCTCTTCTGTCATCATTAGTGGGTTCTTTTATGGCCTCCCCTGGAGCTTAAGACTTATTGTAAGTATCAGCCCTGTTAGAGGGTTCCAGAGGGGACCATTGGAGCTTTATGGAAACTTTTCCATCTGCTAAATGACCTTGAGAAAAGAGTTTAGTTACTGACTCCCTGAACTCATCTCTCCACCTTCCCAGCCAATCTCTGGGGTGTGATTTTATGTTTCTGACATCAACTATAACTTGAGAGTTTCACTCTATGGTTGATATAAAGTATTCATTTAATGACAGAATAAATTGGAGTTTCTGATTGACCTTGTTATATCCTTGTCAGTTAAATCAGTTCAAGTCTGGAGTGCATGCTCCCAATCTACCCAGTATGTGCCTGCCCCCTCCACCCTTACATGCACATAGATGACATTTCGTTTGCCGTCTTTCAGAGTCTGGGAAATAGATAATGGTTCCAGGCTCTAGCTCTTAAATCCCCCATCATCCATTAAGCTCCTTGAGATTACTCTGTGAATCACTATGGTTTAAGAACACCATGCCTTAAAAAAATAAATTGATAAAAGTATGGATTTAAAGACTTTCTCAGGCTTTGTGTTATTCTACAGGTGAGACTGCAGGGGAAACTATGTCTTCATTCACCTAGGGATCACATTGGAACCTGTGAACGACAAGACATTTGACCATCAACCCACCATTTCCACACAGAAGTGTCAGAGTTGAGAGTGAGCTGGGTGTACAAGAAGCAGCTGCAAGGCATCAGGGAAGTCCCTGAAGCGGGATAAAGGTATGTTGCGTTCAGCAAGATTATGCTGGCATGGAACAGCAATGTGACCATAAGTAAATACCCAAAGTGTGGATATTTACTCTAATATTTACTGTAATTATCATTTTTGTACTTGTAAAAATCATGCTACAATTATTTCTTGCAATTTCTCCATGAATGAGTATCTTCTACCCATTCTACAGATGCTGAAACTGAATCTCATATAGTTGTATATGTCTTTGTTTTTTTAGATCCTGAGTGTGAGGCTTGACTTTTTACTTTCTATGTGCCAGGAGGTGAACTTGAGATTGGGACTGAAGTTAGGCTGGGTGTGGTGGCTCATGCCTGTAATTCCAGCACTTTGGGAGGCTGACACAGGCGGATCACTTGAGGTCAGGAGTTTGAGACCAGCCTGGCCAACATGGTGAAACCCCGTCTGTACTAAAAATACAAAAATTAGCTAGGCATGGTGGCACATGCCTGTAATCCCAGCTACTTGGAAGGCTGAGGCAGGAGAATTGCTTGAATCCAGGAGGCGGAGGTTGCAGTGAGGCAAGATTGGCAACCGCACTCCAGCCTGGGCAACACAGCGAGAGTTTGTCTCAAAAAGAAAAAAAAAAGAGAGAGATTAGGGTTCAAGCTTGTTGAGAGTAATTTGAATGATGATTCTGCTATTGAGTTTGCCTAATGATCTTGAGCCCAGAAAGCATTAGGAGCCTAAAGTAAATAGACCCTGGAGCCAATGAGTCTGGATTTTTAGCTTGTCTTTTCTAGTCTGGAAAATGAGAAGTATAGTGTTTAGTTTCTGGAGATTTGCTGGGAAGTAAGTGAACTACTATTTTTGAATAGATGCTCAATAATTGTTGGTCTCTGCTTCTCACAGATTAGTGTCAAATGTTCATTGTTTCTAGTATAGCAAACTGTCTCGCCCATCACCCTCTGAACTTCCACAGATGTTTATCCATACCTATCTTAGAGAACCTGGCAACTTCTACTTGCGTTATGCACAAAACTAAGCCTAGTGCTACAAACAGTGGGAACAGGAATTCATCACTGAATCTATTAGTCAGGTTTCTCCAGAGAAACAAAACCAATAGAATATATGTACAGATGATGATAGATAGAGAGATAGATAGATAGATAGATAGATAGATAGATAGATAGATAGATAGACGGATAGCTATGTTGATAGATAGATAGAGAGAGAGAGAAAGACAGATATATAGGTAGATAGATAGTTAGATAGAGATATATAAACAGATTTATTATAAGGTATTCGTTGATGCAGTTTTGGAGGCTGACAAGTCCCGAGATCTGCAGAGTGAGTAAGCAAACTGCAGACCCAGGCGAGACAAGGGTGTCATTTCAGTCAAAAGGCCACCAGGCCTGAAACCCCAAAAAAGCAGCCAATGTCTAAGCTTCAGTTTGGAGGCAGAAAAAAGCCAATTTCCCAGTTCAAAGGCAGGCAGGCAGGAGAAATTTGGGGAAGGGTCAGCCTTTGTGTGCTATTCAGGCCTTTAACAGACTGGATGAAGTCCCCTCCCATTATGGAGTGCCATCTTCTTGACTCAGTCTAATGACTTAAATGTTAACCTCACCCAAAAGCACCCTCACAAGAATGCTCAGAATAATGTTTCACCAAACATCTGGGCACTCCATGGCCCAATCAAGTGAACACATAAACTCAACCATCACACTGAATAAGTGAACTTCTGCAAACTGGGCCCCATTAACTCCTCCTCTACAAACAAACACATCTTTCCTCCACCTTTGTGTTTCTCAGGCCATATTGGTTGCTCCTGCCTGCCTCCAGAGAGTTTCCTCTGGTAATAGGAGCACACGAGTTAAAAATCTTATCCTCACTTTGTAGTCACTCACACAGAGCATTAAGACCCAGTGTTCCTTGGGTTCTCCAACCAGCCTCTCTGCACCTGCTCCAGGATCCTCCTGTCATCTGGCTCTCTTCTTTCTGCCTTCTCTATGGAACCTCTGAATCCTACACATTTGATGCTGAAGGTCTTCCTCAAAGCTAATCAGGGTTTTTAAAATGCAGCTCAGCCCAAGTATGGGAGAAAGGAAATTGAGGCTTAAGCATAGCCAGCAACTTCCCACAGGCTACCCCGCTAAGAAACAGTGAATAGGGGATTTGAATACGCTGCATTTCTCTTCACTCCGCTGGGATTTCTCTTTTAGACCCTAGAGAAGCCAGTATTAGAAGATGAAGTGGCATCCCAAAGAAAGAAAAAGATAAACCATCAGAGGAGATAGGGATTGGAATAGAATAAAAGATAGAGAACTTCCTTCTCCAAGAGTTCTGTTTGCGTAAGTCAACAACAACAAAAAGAGGTATACTGTTATTTTGTGCGTCTAGCAGTCATAGTAGTATATTTTTAAAACAATCATTGGGTGCGGTAACGTTAAGAAAGGCACTTCATTGAGGTTTTTGAGCCTCTAAGAGATCGACAGTCTTAACTCTGGTGAAGCCAGGTGCTCACTGGGTCTTCCCAGCATTGCCAAGCTACAGAGAGCGGAGGCTGCATCCTCCCCCCTCATCTGTACCCTCATTGCTGATTTTATGGAATCAACCACAGTGACGAATGGCTCCGCATTTGGATGGCTGTCCCAGCTCTGGTCACAGCTGAAGCTCTCTATCACTGTTGACGTATGTGCACTCTGAGAGTTCAAGTGCAATTGGCCATCTGTCCAGGAGGCTGGAGCCATCCTCAGCATTGAAATAGCAATTGAAAGAGCCAGCTCTCCTCCAGCAGGCACCTGGAGCCAAAAGCTTGTGGCCACAGCCTCACCAGCAACTGAACGGGGCTGGGAAGGTCACCAGTTCAGCAGCAGGTAGAAGAAGGGGGTTGTGCAAAATAAATGGGAGTTCATAGCCATTACCTCTGAAAGCACCCAAGAGAAATGATTCTCCGAGTGAGTGGGGCAAAAGGCAGAGGGTGTGCTTTGTGGCTTCAGTCAAATTTGGATGTGAATATTTGCTCTACTCCCTGCAGGATGTGCGACCTTGAACATGTCACAGTATTTTCCAGTTGAAAAATTTCTTCAACTGCAAAATAGCAATAGACTCCTTTTTTCCTGCTACTCAGACCATTGTGGGAATTACTGAGGTGAAAATTGGCTTTGTCCATTAGAGAACAATGTACTGTTGTTAGCACTGTTTCCTCGGTGTGGTCAGCTATGGCCCACCTGCACAACATAGATTTTATTGTTTATGGAGGGAAATCAGTGGGGGAGAACCAGATGGTGTGGCTCAAGCTCATTTTAGGAAAAAAGCAAAAAAAAAAAAAAATTATGAGCCTCAGAAATGTTGATGAAAAAAGAGCCAAATGAAGATCCTTTACTTTTATTTATTTATTTTTTTCAGACGGAGTCTCTTTCTGTCACCCAGGCTGGAGTGCAGCGGCGTAATTTTGACTCACTGCACCATCCACCTCCTGGGTTCAAGCAATTCTCATGCCTCAGCCTCCTGAGTAGCTGGGATTACAGGCATCCACCACCACACCCAGCTAATTTTTGTATTTTTAGCAGAGATGAAATTTCACCATGTTGGCCAGGCTGGTCTCAAACTCCTGACCTCCGGTGATCCACCTGCCTCGGCCTCCCAATGATCCTTTACTTTTAATTGAAAGTGAGGCACATAATCAGGGAAAATTTAAGTAGCACCTACAATCCCAGCACTTTGGGAGTCCGAGGCGGGCGGATTGCCTGAGCTCAGGAGTTCGCAACCACCCTGGCCAACACGGTGAAATCCCGTCTCTACTAAAATACAAACAATTAGCTGGGCATTGTGGCGTGCCCCTGTAGTCCCAGCTACTCAGGAGGCTGAGGCAGGACAATTGCCTGAACCTGGGAGGCGGAGGTTGCAGTGAGCTGAGATCGCACCACCGCACTCCAGCCTGGGTGACAGAGCAAGGCTTCATCTAAAAAAAAAATAAATAAATAAATATAAAAATAAAGCCATGATAATAAATAAATATTCCCTCTCCCTTCCTCAGACTTGACCAGGTCTCCCTCTCCCATGAAACCACTGTTGCTAGTTTCCTGTGTATCCTTCAAATAAAAATCAATGTGTGGACAAGAGGAGCATTCTATAAAAGACACTTTTACTTTGTTTTTTATCACTAAGTATCTCTTGCTCCTTATCCTAACACGTGTATCTGTCTCCTCCTTTGCCTGACTGTGCAGTATTCCAACGTATGAATGTACCATTATTTACTTTAACGGTTTCTTCCTCCGTAACAACAAGTATTTTGTTATTATAAACAATGCAGCAAAACAAACATATTACAAAAATCATTCTTTGTTCATATATAGTAAAGGGTGGGATAAAAGCCTTGCTGAGTAATGAGACAGACACATTTATTCCCATTTTGATAAACCAATCAGCCCTTCCAGCAACAATGTATCCAGGTATCTGTTTACATATAGCAGCACCAAGAGATTTTACTTTCCCCTTCATTTACTTTCCCCTTCATTTACATATAGCAGCACCAAGAGATTTTACTTTCCCCAGAGCATTTGCTCATAGTATCTATGTATATTTTCATTTATTTATGTTTTGTCTTTTTGTTTTGTTGAAGGGTTGGGGGCGGAAATGATGTCAAGATAAATGAACCATGAAACCCAATTTATAAAAGAGCTACCCAGAATTGCAGCAAATGCACGGATACTCCCATCTCAAATGCACACCTACAACATGAGCTATGAAACCCAGTTTATAAAAGAGCTACCCTGAATTGCAGCGAATGTAGGGATACTCCCATCTCAAATGCACCCCTGCAGTGACATCTGTCAGGAGCCTATGGAGACAGCTGCCTCACCCAGAAGGCCTCTTGCATTTTTATTTTTGCAAATATTCAGCAGGGATGGAGGGGACTGCATCTGCTCTCTCCACTTTCTTCCTGGAGAGAGGAGGACATGAAGGAGAACAGAAGGCAAGGACAATACATTCCACTCACATTTCTAAGAATTCCATGACCGGAAGCTGCCACAAAAATAATGCAAAAGTCTGTCACCAATCACAGATGCAAGGCCTCACAGAAAGCTCACTTGAGCTGAGAGGTGAAGTTGTTCCCTGCAGATGCTCACATGAAAATGAGATAAATAGTGAACTCTTTGAAGGTAATTTATCCACCCCTTACTACCTGCCTTCCCAGATACACAGACAATCCTGTGTTTGCCACAAGCGGAAAAGAAAGGCGAGATAGGTTGCAATCCCTTCGAGGCTACCCCGGGTCATCTTTATCAAAATGATAAAATGTTTTGGGTCTTGGCAGCCCCCTGGGCTGACTCTGGGTTGGGCTTCCTGAGGTATTAAGGGGTGAAAGAGGTGAGTGCACGGCTCTTCCTGGGGCATCCCAGGGGCATCTCTTATGTCACCGCTGATAGCAGTTTTATCAAGATAAATCTAGTGCTGCTCTGGAAGGATATTAATAAATTATCTAGTAATGAAAAATGTGAGAGGAACCATACTCTTACATCAGGCTTGTGATGATTACTTTGATAGATGCACTGGCAAGATTTCCTCGACAAGGCAGAAATGAGAAACATGACACAGAAGCCTTTAAGGGTGACCTCAGAGGAAAACAGAAGTTGCTGGATGATACAGAAGCAGAAAAGGGAAAACCAGAGCTCCGAGGCACCGCGTGTCAACCACCAGATGGATTAGCTCTGCTGATCAACCGATCATGGAGTGTGGAGCCAGAAGCAGAAAGGGAGGAGAATAGAGAAATAAAAGGGAGGGGAGAAGACACAAAAGGCTTAGCTGTAGTCATAGCAGTGTGGGCTCTAGATTGACATGGGCATGGGTTGGAATCCCAGCTCTTTCTGGAAAATTGCTGAAACACCCTAAGCCCCAGTTTCCTCATCTGTAAATGAAAAGTATGGTAATAGCACTATGATATGGTTTGGCTCTGTGTCCCCACCCAAATCTCATCTCAAACTGTAATCCCCACATGCTGGGGGAGGGGCCTGGTGGGAGGTGATTGGATCACGGGGGTGGTTTCCCCTATGCTGTTCTCGTGATAGAGTTCTCACGAGATCTGGTTGTTTGGTAAGTGTGTGGCTCTTCCCCCTTCTCTCTCTCTCTCTTCAGTAAGACGTGCCCTGCTACCCCTTTGCCTTCAGCCATGATTGTAAGTTCCCTGAGGCCTCCCCAGCCATGTAGAACTGTGAGTACATTAAACCTTTTTTTTTTTATGTAAACTACCCAGTCTCAGGTAGTTCTTTATGGCAGTGTGAGAATAGGCTAATACACACCAAAACAGCAGAGTTGTGGGAGATTGCATGCAATAATAATTGGAAAGCTTTGGGAAGCAGTAAGTACTCATAAACAATAGCATAATCACTTAAAGTAGTGGGGTCTATGTGAAGGGATGAGAATTGTGGTTATGTTTACTATGAAAGAAGCAGGAACTAAGAAGAAGCTGTTAAAAAGGGGGACCTGGGTGCTCAACATTCCTTGACACAAATCATTGAGTTCCTGTTGCTCTGTTAGATTCTGCGGATGCTAACTGAAATTGGGCATTGCTTCATTCCATAAGGAACACAAATCCTAGTGTGGGAGACAAATGTATTAGTAGAAAAGTAATCAAAATAAAATAGAATAAGGGCTAGAAGAAAGGAGAGCACATACAAACTTACGGGTGGTTTTTGAATCAGACTGAGGGAAGGCTTGCTTGGAGAGGTAAACTTGAAATGGAATTTTGCAGGATAAATAGGACTCATCAATAGAGTGAAGAAAGGGAAATGTTAAACATGTTTCTTGTAGAGCAAATTTAAATGAAAAAAATCTGAGAATGGTATATGATTTGGTGCAATTGTAGTACAGAATGGGAACCAGGGAGCTTCCACCAAAAAGAAGAAGTTGGAGAAGTAAACCTGGCCAGATTAATCGAAGTCACGTTGTGAGCATGTGTGCAATAATGTAGTGAAAAATCACTGACTTTTTAGCATCTGTTTCTCCCCTATCTTAGCAACTGCTCCTTGATTCACTTTCAGAGACTTTCCTTTCCAGCATTCCCATTGATTTGTGAGCTGCAGAACTGCACACAGAAGGCTGGGGCAGGGTGGAAGAGCAGGGAGTCCCCAGAGGCACAGTCACCTGCTAATTCTTTGCACCTGAACCTCCGTGAGTACATGGTGCAGCTCACTGAAGGCAAGGGGGCATAAGGACTAAGAGACATCTTCAAAAAATGTGAAAATGGCTGGGCTCGGTAGCTCACACCTGTAATCCCAGCACTTTGGGAGGATGAGGCAGGTGGATCACCTGAGGTCAAGAGTTCAAGACCAGCCTGGCCAACATGGTGAAACCCCCACGTCTACTACAAATGCAAAAATTATTCAGGCGTGGTGGCATATGCATGTAATCCCAGCTACTCAGGAGGCTGAGGCACAAGAATCACTTGAACTAGGGAGGTGGAGGTTGTAGTGAGCTGAGATCAAGCCATTGCATTCCAGCCTGGGCAACAAGAGTGAGACTCTGACTCAAGAAAAAAAAAAAGTGAAAATATGCAGGTGGATTGTACAGCAGAAAGAGCTCTCCAAGGTCCAAAGAGCAGGAGCCTTGGTAGTGAAGGAGAGGGAGAGATCGAAGAAGTCATGCTGGGACTCAGATCCCAAGCCCTGCTGAAGGGAGAATCTTGATCTTACCTTCAAAACATTTAAAACCAATGGTGAACTGAAGCACACTGAAGCTGCAACCCAACCCAAACCCAGTAAAATTAGGATGAGATTAAAGGGGATGAACCCTTCCACTCTAATGTGGAAGTCTGAGAGGGGACAGAGTAAACCCTTTTCTCCAGTGGTATTTCTTGACTCAGGCTCCGTTCATCTTGTATACATAATGTCTTTTTTTCTTTTTCTTTTTCTTTTTTTGAGATGGAGTCTCACTCTGTCACCCAGGCTGGAGTACAGTGGCACAATCTCAGCTCACTGCAATTTCTGCCTCCCAGGTTCAGGCAATTCTCCTGCCTCAGCCTCTCAAGTAGCTGGGATTGCAAGTGTCCACCATTACCTCTGGCTAATTTTTGTATTTTAGGTAGAGACAGTGTTTCACCATGTTGGCCAGATGCTCTCCAACTCCTGACCTCAAGTGATCTGCCCGCCTTGGCCTTCCAAAATGCTGGGATTACAGGCGAGAACCACCACATCCAGCCCACAATGCTTTTCAAATACAGTTCTAAGATATTTAAAAAGTAGGCAAATGTGCTCAAATTAGCTAGAGAAAAAAAGCTGATTGATAAACCCATAGATGACCCAAATGTTAGAATTAGCATAAAGCACTTTAAGATAACTACTGTCAATATGTTAAAGCATCCAGTGGAAAAAGTGAACAATATGCATAAATAGAAGGGGAATTAAAACGAAACATTAAAACATTACAAAAGAAACAACTGGAAATGTTAGAACTGAAAAATATAATAGCTCTAAGAAAGAATCCAAACTCAAATGCCCATCAATGATAGACTGGATAAATAAAATGTGGCACATATACACCACAGAATACTATGCAGCCATTAAAAAGAATGAGTTCATGTCCTTTGCAGGGACATGGATGAACCTGGAAACCATCAACCTCAGCAAACTAACACAGGAATGGAAAACCAGACACCACATGTTTTCACTCATAAGTGGGAGTTGAACAATGAGAACACATAGTCACAGGGACGGGCCCATCACACACTGGGGTCTGTCAGGGGGTGGGGGGCAAAGGGAGGGGGAGCATTAGGATAATACCTAATGCATGCGGGGCTTAAAACCTAGATGATGGGTTGATAGGTGCAGCAAATCACCATGGCACACGTGTACCTATGTAACAAACCTGCACGTTCTGCATATGTATTCCAGAACTTAAAGTAAATTTAAAAAAAATCCATCAAATGAGCTTAACTGTAGCCTGAACGTAGCATAAAAATATAATAAAAAGTGAAAGGCAACAAAATTATCTATACTGATTCATCAAGAAAAAAAAAGGAGCATCACAGTCCTGCAGGACAAAAATCAAACAGTATACTATATGTTTAATTTGGGCAGGTGTGGTGGCTCACGCCTGTAATTCCAGCACTTTGGGAGGCCTAGGCAGGCAGATCATTTGAGGTCAGGAGTTCGAGACCAACCTGAAGTGGTGGTGTGTGCCTGTAGTCTCAGCTACTTGAGAGACTGAGGCAAGAGAATCGCTTGAACCCAAAAGGTGGAGGTTGCAGTGAGCCAAGATTGTGCCACTCCACTCCAGCCTGGGAGACACAGTGCGACTCTGTCTCGAAAAACAAAATTTTATATATATATATGTATTTGGAGTCCCCGTAGAAAATGAAAGAAAAACAGTACAGAAGAAATATTGGAAGATAAAAGAGGAGAATTATCCAATTTAAAATGCAGTATCGATCCACAAAACCCAGAAGCTTAATAAACATTAAGCAAGATAAATACAAAGCAAATTACACCTAGATACATTGTCATTCGATTCCAGAACACAAAAGACGTAGTGAAAAATCTTAAAAGTATCCAGAAAAAAAAAATACATCTTACAGCAAGAGAACAACAATGAGAGTTGGCTTATAGATACTTAATCAGAGACAAGGCAAGTCAAAAGACATTCAAATAACATCTTTGAAGTTGTAGAATTTAATTAATTAATTAACACATCTATCAACCTCAAATTTTCTACACTGTGAAAATGTCTTTAAAAATGAAAGAAAATTGAGAATATCTTCCATTAATAAGAGCTAAGAAATTTTGGCTTCAGCAGATCCATAGCAGAAGAAATGGTGATGGCTGAATGGTGGAGGCTTATATATATCTACAGGTAGGAATGCAAAAAAGTAAATATGTTGATAAATATAAACAATGATTTATTTTTATTCTTACATTTTTATCTTTTAATGCTCAAGTGAATTTTTACTTTAAATTATTGAATTAACAAATAGCTATTGACTACCTAAAGGAAGCATGATTCTAAGGTCTTGTGGGTTGACAACCCATTTAGAAAAAGCAGGTATGAAAACAATCATGCAAGAACAAGGCACAGATGGAGTAGTATTGCTACAGTAGGTAGCTGGTCAGGTAGGAGCACTGCAGGAGAGGGCTCCCTCCTACACATACCAGGACTGTCAGGCCACCATCAGGTGATGGTCAGGCGGTTGCTACAGTGTCTCTCTAAAGTAATAATTGGTCACAGCTGGCGTCAGGAGAAGGTGTGCTCCTAATTGATAGAAAATATCTGAAACTGGTGATCAGCAGCTTCCTGATAAGATCTCAGGAGTGGGAAGAAGTAACGCAAGTAACACATCCTTCCGGGTAACATCCTGGAAGTATGCCAATGTAGAAAACCCCAAGGCAAGAGGTCAAGCCGTGCACTTGGTCGCTCAAGTGGCCTGCCTGGCCCTCTTTCAAGTGTACTTTCCTTCCTTTCATTCCTGCTCTAAAGCTTTTAAATAAACTTTCACTCCTGCTCTAAAACTTGCCTTGGGTCTCTCCTTCTGCCTTTTGACCATCAGTCGAATTCTTTCTTCCGAGGAGACAAGAATTGAATTGAAGTTGCTGCAGACCCTTGTGGATAACTACTACCACTGCTAACAGCATGACTGGAAAGTCCTTTCAGTGTTGGTGTAGTGGCATTATAGCATTTAAAGGTAGACGGTATTTTTTACTAGAGACAAGGTTTCACTATTAGCCAGTTGTGGAGGCGGGCATCTGTAGTCCCAGCTACTCAGGAGGCTGAGGCAGGAGAATTGCTTGAACCCGGGAGGTGGAGGCTGCAGTGAGCCGAGACTGCGCCACTGCACTCCAGCCTGGGCAACAAAGCAAGACTCCAACTCAATAAATAAATAAATAAATAAATAAAGATAGACAGTAACGTTAAAGATGCACATTATAAACCTGATGACATCACTAAACTGAACAGAGCATTATTGCCTTTAAGGCCTTCCACGGATTTAATGAGTTCCACCTAAGTTACGAAGGATAATCTGCCTTACTTAAAAATTACACAGTCTCTGTATGACTCTCCCTAGATTCCATCCCTCAATCTTCCTTGAGTGCTGTAGGTGGGCAACATTGTTGTATGGGGAAGTGTTGAAAGTTGGTAGCATGGGACTTGAAAATTTATTTAGATTTAGAGTTTAGAACTTCTGTATTAAAGCCTTTCATTCTGAAAAAGGCTTAGACCAGGGTGTTTATTGATTCCCATGTTGGGGTGGTATATGCTATTTCTCCAGGACCAACTCCTGATCCCACTAAAAAAATTTACATTTCCTTCAGCATCTTCTCGTTCCAGTTACAAGGAGAGGCTTGTTCTGTAGCTATGGAAAAGTTTGACGTATGAACGGTGGCCAGATCACTGTGCAAATGCATATATGCCTATGCACATATATGTATATGTATGTGTAGGCATGCATGTATGTATTGTCAAAGAACGTATTCAATATTTCATAAGTTCTCAAAATATTTTCTGCTTTTTCCCCATCCCCCACAAAGGAATCGTTGAGAGGAGGCAAACTTTCTGGTTTCAAACCAAAGACTTTCCTAATATCTTACATGAACTGTATTTGTAGTTCATATCCCACACACACACACACACACACACAGACACACACACAGACACATATACAGACAGCCAGATAGAGGGGGCACCATTCTGGCAGTGAAGAGACTAATAAGTTGCCAATATAGCAGTGTCTGTATCCCTACAAGTTGACCTCAAGAAAAATCACTTCTCATATCTTTGATTTCAGCATCTGTAAAGTGAGCTGGCTGGCCTGGCTCATCTCTGAGGCTGTGTTAACTGTGGATAATCCTAAGAATCTAAGAGATTCACTTTACTTGGGTTCCTGTCCTGCCTTCTCCACCCCAGCTCAAACTCTGCGGTTTTGACTGACCAGCAGAGGCTCAGAATACACAATTCTGAGGCCAGGCGCAGGGGCTCACGCTTGTGATCCCAGCACTTTAGGAGGCTGAGGCAGGTGGATCACATGAGGCCAGGAGTTTGAGACCAGCCTGGCCAACATGCTGAAACCCCATCTCTACTAAAAATACAAAAATTAGCCAAATGTGGTGGCACGCACCTGTAATCCCAACTACTTGGGAGGCTAAGGCAGGAGAATTGCTTGAACCCAGAAGGCAGAAGTTGCAGCGAGCAGAGATTGTGCCACTGCACTCCAGTCTAGGTGACAGAGCCAGAACCTGTCTCAAAAAACAACAAATAAATTAATTAATTAATTAAATTAAATAGAATACACAATCTTGAGCTTGGAACAGGGAAGTGAAAAAGCACAGCCATTCTCTTCCTTGGGTTAGAGGCTAGGGTCCCTTGTGCTAACGATGAGTCTTCGCTCTTTAAACTGCCTTAATTACTCTCTACTATTAGCCATATATCTGTTTCTTCTCACTGATCCATCAACTCTGTTTCCTAGATTGCTCTGTTTACCTAGTCTTCCTTCTTCCCAGTCTCAATTCTTTCTCAGTCCTAGAGCTTGTGATGTCTCCTCTTTCCATCATTACATGATACTGCATAGAACAGTCACCAGGACATAAAGTTAAGTGCTCAGTGAAAGTCAGCTATTGTTAGTGTTAGTTACTACTGCAAGCACTCTCCTCCAATCACTTCTCCAACTTGTAAAAGTTAAATGAGAATCTGAATGTTTAGTTTGTGTGGATTATGAAAACCGACTCATCAACTCGAAGAACCCTGGTGATAGCACGATAGCACCTAGCACAGTGGTTAAGGGTGAAGGGTTCTAGGACCAGACTAGCTGGGTTGATGTCAGGAGTTTATGACTTATTGACTAAGTGATCTTAGAAAAGGTACTTATCTTCTCTGCACCTCAGTTTCCTCGCCTATAAAATACAGGTGATAGGTTGGGCACAATGGTTCATGCCTGTAATCCCAGCACTTTGGGAAGCTGAGGCAGGTGGATCACTTGAGGCCAGGAGTTCAAGACCAGCCTCGCCAACATGGGGGGACCCCGTCTCTACTAAAAATACAAAAATATTAGGTGGGCATGGTGACTCATGCCTGTAATTCCAGCTACTCAGGAGGCTGAGCAGGAGAATCACTTCAACCCAGGAGGTGAAGGTTGCAGTGAGCCAAGATTGCACCAGTGCACTCCAGCCTGTCCAACAGTACAAGATGTTGTCTTAAAAAAATAAAATAAGATAAAATACAGGTGATGATTATTATATCATGTTACCTATCTTCTAGTATGGTGTTAAATTAAAATGAGTTGTTTCACATCAAAGGGTTGGATCACTGGCTGACATATAAACTAAGTTTCAATAAATTGTAACTGCTATCCATCTATTATGAGATACTTTTACCTTCTCAGATTTGTAAAGATTTTATCTCTTGGGTTTCTCATCCATTAGACTCCCTTGCCACCATAAAACGGAAAGGCAGAAATAATCTAAATTTGTCTGACAGAATAAACTTATTAAAGTACAAATATGGGCCAGAAAGTCATGAGACTTTAAAGGGAAAAGAAAACTCTCAGTAGTGTTTGTTAAAGTGAGTTCCATGGGCCCCTTAGAGGAGAATCACCAGGGTTACTTGTGAAAACACAGGGTCTCTGAGACCTGCTCCAAATCTTCTGAATTACCTTCTCTGGATGGGACGCTAGAATCTGCACGCACCATTAGGCCGGTTGATTCTGAGACACTCTGAGAAAACTAAAATCAGAGTTGTACCTATAGTAACGACAACAGGAGGAGGCCAACGGCAGGAGGAAGCCACAGAATGATTTGACAGAGGAAGAACTCACAGAACTTGGCAAAGACCGGCTTGTAGGAGTGAGAAAGAGGAAGGTCAGCTTTGCAGTCCCTGCTATGTGGCATTTAAGTAAGGCTCCTGCTGCTCGAGTGGTAATGATGGCTCTCACGTATTCATTCCTCACTGTGTGCAAACTACGTGCTTGCTATTACCTCACTGAATCCTCACGATACCTTCCTGAGGTTTTTAATGTTTTAATAGAAATGATGAGTTGGAGCCAGTGTGCATCAGCTCATTGGAGTTGACCTTGCACAGTGCCTCCTACCTTTGCATTCACCCATGTTACACTGGTAACTTAAAGTCAACCATGATGGTTGGGCACGGTGACTCACGCGTGTAATCCCAGCACTTTGGGAGGCTGAAAAAGGTGGACCACCTGAGGTCAGAAGTTCAAGACCAGCCTGGCCAACATGGTGAAACCCCACCTCTACTAAAAATACAAAAATTTGTGGGGCGTGGTGGCAGGCGCCTGTAATCCAAGCCCCTCGAGAGGCTGAGGCAGGAGAATCGCTTGAACCCAGGAGGCGGAGGTTGCAGTGAGCTGAGATCATGACACTGCAGTCAAGCCTGAGCAACACAGTGAGATTCCATCTCAAAAAAACAAAGTCAGCCATGGTGGGAATATTTACACCACTAAAATTGGCAAATATTACAAACTAGGTCCTTTTTTTTCTTTTTTTGAAATCCATGTATTAAACCTTAGCAGGACACCACTAAACGTAAGTTCCATGAAGACAGTGACACCATTTGTGGGGTTTTTTGTTCTTTTTTTTTTTAACCCTCGCAACTGGGGTTTAAAAACTCCTGGGCTCGGCCGGGCGCGCCAGCTCACGCCTGTAATCCCAGCACTTTGGGAGGCCAAGGCAGGAAGATCACAAGGTCAGGAGATGGAGACCAAGGTGAAACCCCGTCTCTACTAAAAATACAAAAAAAATTAGCCGGGCGCAGTGGCAGGCTCTTGTAGTCCTAGCCACTCGGGAGGCTGAGGCAGGAGAATGGCGTGAACCCGGGAGGAGGAGCTTGCAGTGAGCCGAGATCGCGCCACTGCACTCCAGCCTGGGCGACAGAGCGAGACTCCGTCTCAAAAAAAAAAACAAAAAAACAAAAAAACAAAACAAAAAAAAAACCTCCTGTGCTAAAACAATTCTCCACAGTGACTTGCACAAAACAGATGTTTCATAAATGTTAAATTCATTAATTAGGTTAGCTTAATATCCTCATTTTTAACTCAGAAAACTGAGGCTCAGAGGTGTTGTCACTTGAAGTGTTACCAGTGGAGGGTGTCTAGGTTCTTGGCATTTTGAACAAAGAATTGGACAAAAACACACAAAGCAAGGAAAGAATGAAGCAATAAAAGCAGAGATGTATTGAAAACGAAAGTATACTCCACAGGGTCGCAGCAGGCCCAAGCATAGGGGCTCAAGGGCCCAGATACAGAATCTTCTCTGGTCCAAACCCGCTAGAGGTTTCCCATTGGCCGCTTGGAGCTCAGCTCATGTAAATTAAGAGAGGGCCAGCCACCAGTCTGATTGGTTGTGAAAAGCAACCAACCAGAGGCTGAAGCGAAAGTACCTCTGCTTGGTTGCAAAAATCAACCAATCAGAGGTACTTTCAATTTGCCATCTACCTCGCAGAAAAGGAAGTCGGCGTGACACCGCCTTAGGTTTCCTGCCTCCAGACCCTATTCTCCGGCCTCGGAAGGTTACCCAGCTAATACCTAAATTCTACACTGCCACAAACACAGAAAGGAGGCCCAGGGAGGGAAATGCCCTCAGACATTTCAAGCATCCCTCTGAAACGGCTACGTTGTCTGGGGTATATACCCTGGGGTTCGTTGTCCGGCACCAAGAAAGAATTCATGACACGGACACATGTGGGTGGGTTAAGGAGTGGAACGTTTAATAGACAGAAGAAAGGAGAGAGGAGAGCAGCTCTGAGAGAGAGCGAAGAGAGAGGAGAGAGGTCTAAAAAAGGAGGGAGGCTTTGGACCACAGCCGATTTTACAGGCAGGCTAGAGACGACAGTGTCTGATTTGCATACCGTTCACAGATTGGTTCGAACAGGTATGACGTTTACATAGCGTGTGAGGAAGGCTGTTCGCCTCACCCTAATCTTATTATGCAAAAGAGCTTTCCAGATGATCGGTGCCATCTTCTCTGCTCTTTATTGTACACGTGGCTGACAAAGAGAAGGGAAGATGGTGCCACCATCTTGAACATGTCTAGTTGCTAGTACCTGCCGGCATTCACTCGTGCAAACTCCCCCAACTTGCTTGTCTATGTCTCCAGCTCAACTTTACAGGCTGCTCTTTGTGAGAAAATGATTTGAAGATGCTTTTCATTAAACAGAAAAGCCTTACCGAGGACTCCCACACCCTTACTGTTTAAGTGATTTCCTCTTAACTCATATATCACCTCAGAAAGGACTCTATGGGAGAATCACCACGATCAAGACCCAGGACAGCTCGGGGAACTACAGGTCTCAAGAGAGCCAGCTTGTTTTACAATGACACGTGCCCCTCCATGACATGTGTTTGACAAAAATAAATTCTCTCTGGGCCTACAACTACTTAATTAGGCTATACTCAAATATCTCCAGACTTCAAAACGACAATGGAAGCAGATTAAAGCCAATCCCAGCCAACAGGAAGGGGTAGGGTTGCTGCTAGCAGTATTTCCTCTTTGCTCAGTAACCGACCTCTGGCCCTACATCTGTATTATTCGTCCAGGAGGATGGTCATGTTTAAAGGATTCCTTCTGATAAGGAAGGAATCTGATAAGGGGTTTCTATTCAGACCCTCCTAAACTACAAAAAGAAAAAAAAAATCATAATTTTGCATCAAGTTGGGTTCTATATTTTATTTTTACTGAGGTTTTGGGGTGGAGACAAAGCAGGCTTGGAAAATTGGATTTGATAAAAGAAGCAGGTACCTAATTGGTTTGATGACTTTTTGATGGGGGGAGTCAATTATACAGTATTGTTAATTAATCGGTCTTATTTTTGAGACACACCAACCAACTTGCAGGGAACGGACCAAGTATTTATTAAGCACTACTGTGTACCAGGCATAGTGCAATGTGGCCTATATGTTACCTCTTATTCACATGAAAATGATGTAAAGTTTGATGTTATTAACTCCTATTTTATGGTGAGGAAACTGCACACTGGAGGAGTTTCATGCCTTGCCCAAGGTCATATGGCTAGTGAGTGACAGAACTGAAGAAGCAGCCAGGAGCAGTGGCTCAGGCCTGTAATCCCAGCACTTTAGGAGCCTGAGGCAGAGGATTGCTTGAACACAGGAATTTAAGACCAGCCTGGGGAACATAGTGAGACTCCATCTCTACAGAAAATAAAAACTTAGCTGGGTATGGTGGTGCACGCACGTGGTCCACGCTACTCAGAAGGTTGAGGTGGGATGATCTCTTGAGCCCAGAAGACTGAGGCTGCAGGGAGCTATGATTGTACCACTGCACTGCAGCCTGGATGACAAAGCAAGAACCCTGTCTCACATTCAAAACTGTCCTGGACTGCATGCGGCCCACAGGCTGCAGGTTGAACAAGCTTGGTCAGAATCTGGGCCAGGACTTCCCATCAACAGATTTTCCCTGAACAGAATCTGAAGGAAGCAATGCTGGACTTTGGTCTATGCAGTGGCTCTCAACTGAAAGGAGAGGCAGTGGTGGTGTGATTTTTGTCCCTACCCCACTCCCAGGAGATACTTGACAATGTCTGGAAATGCTTTCTGTTATTGTCAGAGGCCTTTGAACCACAGCAACTGCATTTTGAGTGAGGGCTGGAAAATGAGGTAGTGACTTGCTGGGCTGCTTTCCCAGAAAGTTAGGCATTCTGAGCCTCTAAATGTGTACGTTTAAGGGAACAAATAAATGAGGTTTACTAAGCAGACCCAGACTTGGGAGTGTCCAGATATCCCAGTATCTGGAGAAAAAAACATTCCTAATTTTGCTTTAAAGATAATATCGATTCTTGCAAAATATAGTAATTAAGAAAAGTAAATAAGAAAATATAAATATAATATATATAGTAATTAAGAAAATATAAATAAATATACATATGTGTGTATATAGAGATACATATATGCGTATATAAGTATATATACACATATATAAGTATATATGTAAGTATATATATACACACGTATATAAGTATATATGTGTATATATACACACACATATATAAGTATATATATGTACTTATATATAAGTATATATATATATACTTATATATAAGTATATATATATACTTATATATAAGTATATATATATATACTTATATATACTTATATGTATATATAAGTATATATATGTGTGTGTATATATATATATATATAGTGTTCTCTATCAACTCACTGGCATTAAAATTTCTGACTTTGAGCTTCTTCACTTTTGTTAAGAATTAAAACAAAGCAGTCTTTAAAAAGGAAAATTAAAACAAAACTTTAATGTTTTTATTACCAAAGTAATATGTGTTCATTGCTAAAAATTTAGGAAATAGAAGCAAAGAGAGGCAAATAAAATTCTATGGCCAACCCTTCACCAAGAAATAACTGTTTATCATATTTTGGAAAACAAACTTCAAGTGTTTTTTTTTTTTAAATAAATACTTAGGTAAATGAAATTATTCAAAGAGGCCCTGCAATAATCAGGAAGGCATGCAAATTGCAGCAAATATAATAAACATAATAAATAACAGTAGCAACAGTAGCAGAACTGCAAGCTAACATTTCTGTAGTACAGCTTCTATGCCAGATGCTCTTTTAAGCCATTTACATTTAGGAATTAATCCTCTCAACAACTCTACGAGGTGGGTGTTATTATAGTTCCCATTTTCAAGATGAGAACACTGGTACAAGATAGACCATATTGGAAAGGACCAAGCTTACCTGTAGCTTCTCAGGAATGCACCTGATGTCTGCAAGATGAGGCAAGCATTCCTTCCGCTTTCTTCCAGTCACCTTTTGAAACCACCATGGCAAGATTATAACTGAGAAAATTATAATAGTTAAAGAGATTTGCCCTGGCCGAGCGCGGTGACTCACACCTGTAATCCCAGCACTTTGGGAGGCCGAGGAGGGCGGATCATGAGGTCAGGAGATCAAGACCATCCTGGCTAACACGGTGAAACCCCATCTCTATTAAAAGCACAAAAAATTAGCCGGGCGTGATGGCGGGCGCCTGTAGACCCAGCTACTCAGGAGGCTGAGGCAGGAAAATGGCGCGAACCTGGGAGGCGGGGCTTGCAGTGAGCCAGAGTTCGCGCCGCTGCACTCCAGCCTGGATGACAGAGCGAAACTATGTCTCAAAAAAAAAAAAAAATCTGCCCTAACCAACTCCATCTTGCTTCTAGATTTCTAGATTAGAGTCTAACCTGTCCTTGTTCATTCTTGGGTGTAGGCCAAACTAACTTTGAGAGGAACTTACTCATAGTTTAACTTTGAAACAAAGAGGACAACAGCCCTTTTCCAAAACAAAACCCCCTTCCTGCCTGAGGACTAGACTTCCTTTGTAGGGCTAACAAATTAGCCACAAGATTACAAATTCTGGTTTAGGAGTCATGTAGCTGGAGGCTACAAGGTTCTGACCCTCCCCAAATTGCTCCCGGGGAGAGCAACACTGTTGTAAAACCTAAGATCCGTGCTTGAGATATTTTGCAGACTTTGCACTTGATGGATCAGCTGGTACCACCTAGATGGATAAACTGGCTCATCTGGTCTTATGGCCCCCAAACCAGGAACTGACTGAGCAGAAGAAGACAGCTTCGACTCCCTGTGATTTCATCTCCTGCCCAACCAATCAGCACTCCCAACTCACTGGCTGTCCCCCATCCACAAAATTATCCTTAAAGACTCCTATCCCAGAATGCTCAGGGAGACTGATTTGAGTCACAATAAAACCCAGATCTACCAAACAGCCAGCTCTGCATAAATTAAACTCTTTCCCTATGGCAATTCCCCTGTTTTGATAAATTAGCTGTGTCTAGGCAGCGGGCAAGGTGAACCCCTTGGGTGGTTACACTTTTTGTATAACTTCTCACTTCCTGATACTAAAAGCTGTATTACTTTACCTGGCTGCTGTAATAAATTGACCATGCACCCCATGGCTTAAAACAACAGAAATTTATTATCTCAAGTGTTGGAGGTCAGAAGTCAGTATCGCTGTGCCACCAGGGCTATGCTCCCCCAAAAAAGCTCTAAGGGAGAATTTATCTTTCGTCTGTTCCAGTTTCTGGGAGCTGTCAGCATTCCGTGGTTTATGGCCCCATCTCTCTCTACTACATCCTCAGATTGCATTCTTCTCTGTGGGTTCCTCCAAAACTTCTCTCCCTCCACCTTTATTACTTCTTGCATTTCTAGTCTCCCCCGAGCTTCTCAGCTTTGTCTTGTCCCAAGTCCTCTAGGCTGTAAATCTCATTTCATGTGTCCACCCCTGCACTCCACCTCATCTATCTGTTTGGCTCTGCTTCAAAGCATTGTTCTTGGAAGGAAATTCAGATTTCTCTTGCTAACGCTGGCTGCTTCTCACAGCATAACTCAAGGCTCATTCCCTGTGAAGAGAGAGGGTGGAGAACAATGGCTGAAGAGTGCAAAGAGAGGCAAAGGAATTTGATTTCCTTCTTTCACAGTGACTTTTGTTATTTTCCTGCCAATTAACTCACTTGGCCAAGAAAAAATTTATTAAATCAGCTCGGCACCACTTTTAGCCATCCTGAACTTCTCTTTAGCACGACTGAAGAAGAAATATTTCTCAGGGAGAAGAGCAATTACTTGTTGAGAGAGTCAATCCTTTAAAAAAAAAAATCTCCTCCCTCTCCCTCTCCCTCTCCCTCTCCCCTCTCCCCTCGCCCCTCTCCCCTCGCCCCTCTCCCACTCCCTCTCCCCACGGTCTCCCTCTCCCTGTCTTTCCACGGTCTCCCGCTGATGCCGAGCCAAAGCTGGACTGTACTGCTGCCATCTCGGCTCACTGCAACCTCCCTGCCTGATTCTCCTGCCTCAGCCTGCTGAGTGCCTGCGATTGCAGGCGCACGCCGCCACGCCTGGCTGGTTTTTGTATTTTTTTGGTGGAGACGGGTTTTCGCTGTGTTGGCCAGGCAGGTCTCCAGCTCCTAACCGCCAGTGATCTGCCAGCCTCGGCCTCCCGAGGTGCCGGGATTGCAGACGGAGTCTCATTCACTCAGTGCTCAATGGTGCCCAGGCTGGGGTGCAGTGGCGTGATCTCGGCTCGCTACAACCTCCACCTCCCAGCCGCCTGCCTTGGCCTCCCAAAGTGCCAAGATTGCAGCCTTTTCCCGGCCGCCATCCTGTCTAGGAAGTGAGGAGCGTCTCTGCCCGGCCGCCCATCGTCTGGGATGTGAGGAGACCCTCTGCCTGGCTGCCCAGTCTGGAAAGTGAGGAGCGTCTCTGCCCGGCCGCCATCCCATCTAGGAAGTGAGGAGCGTCTCTGCCAGGCCGCCATCCTGTCTAGGAAGCGAGGAGCGTCTCTGCCCGGCCGCCCATCGTCTGGGATGTGAGGAGACCCTCTGCCTGGCTGCCCAGTCTGGAAAGGGAGGAGCGCCTCTTCCCGGCCGCCATCCCATCTAGGAAGTGACCAGCGCCTCTTCCCGGCCGCCATCCCTTCTAGGAAGTGAGGAGCGTCTCTGCCCGGCCGCCCGTTGTCTGAGATGTGGGGAGCGTCTCTGCCCGGCCGCCCCATCTGAGAGGTGAGGAGCGTCTCCGCCCGGCAGCCACCCCGTCCAGCCAGCCGCCCCGTCCGGGAGGGAGGTGGGGGGGTCAGCCCCCCGCCCGGCCAGCCGCCCCCTCAGGGAGGTGAGGGGCGCCTCTGCCCGGCCGCCCCTACTGGGAAGTGAGGAGCCCCTCTGCCCGGCCACCACCCCGTCTGGGAGGTGTACCCAACAGCTCATTGAGAAGGGGCCATGATGACAATGGAGGTTTTGTGGAATAGAAAAGGGGGAAAGGTGGGGAAAACATTGAGAAATCGGATGGTTGCCGTGTCTGTGTAGAAAGAGGTAGACATGGGAGACTTCATTTTGTTCTGTACTAAGAAAAATTCTTCTGCTTTGGGATCCTGTTGATCTGTGAACTTACCCCCAACCCCGTGCTCTCTGAAACATGTGCTGTGTCCACTCAGGGTTAAATGGATTAAGGGCAGTGCAAGATGTGCTTTGTTAAACAGATGCTTGAAGGCAGCAGGCTCGTTAAGAGTCATCACCACTCCCTAATCTCAAGTATCCAGGGACACAAACACTGCGGAAGGCCGCAGGGACCTCTGCCTAGGAAAACCAGAGACCTTTGTTCACTTGTTTATCTGCCGACCTTCCCTCCACTATTGTCCTATGACCCTGCCAAATCCCTCTCTGTGAGAAACACCCAAGAATGATCAATTAAAAAAAAAAAAAATCTCATCCCTCTGATTTTCTAATCCCTCTCTTTGAAACCACCATTACAAAATTATGGCTGAGACCGTGACAGAGGCCTGACCTAACCAACTCCATCTTGTGTCTAACCTCCAAGCTGTCCTTGCTCATTCCTGGGTGAAGGCTGAACTAGCTTTGGGAGGAACTTAGTCTATAGTTTAAAACAAAGATGATAACAGCCCTTTCTCAAAACAAACTATTTTTGTTTTGTTTTCTCAAAACAAAAATCACTACTGTACAACCTAAGACCAGTGCTTGAGATATTTTGCATACCCTGCACTTGATGCATCAGCTGGCACCATTAATAAACTGGTTTGTCTGATCTTGTGGCCACCACCAAGCAACTGACTCAGTGCAAGAAGACAGCTTTGACTTCCTATGATTTCATCTTTGATGTGACCAATCAGCACTCCCAACTCTCTGACTGCCCCCCACCCACTGAATTATCCTTAAAAACTCTGATCCCCAAATGCTTTGGAAGACTGATTTGAGTAATAATAAAACCCTGGTCTCCCACACAGCCAGCTCTGCATGAATTACTCTTTCTCCATCGAAGTTCCTCTGTCTTGATAAATGGGCTGTGTCTACGCAGCAGACAAGGTGAACCCGTTGGGCGGTTACATCTTCTCAAACCTCAGAGATGGGCAGACATGGGACTTTCTGCTTTTTAGAGTTACAGTGATGTACCCTTTAACTCAAGAAAGTAAAGTCAGGACTACGAATGAGCCCTTCGTGGGATGACATAGACATTCTTGTGTTTGTGTTCTGGGCACCCTTAGTGCTATCACGTGTCAGGGCAGGTAATTAAATAGCAAAGCAGAAACTATCAGGGAACAGCATGGATGGCATAGTGGACAAGAACTCAAGCCTGCAGCAAAGAGAGACATAACTTTGTTCCATGAGCTGCACACTCCTGAGTTCTACTTTATTTTAAAACAGACCCCATTTCAATCAAATATTTTATATGTACGCACATATCTTTGTACTTTGGAAATGAGAATATCTTCATATTCTTAACTGGTATTAAGTTTACAGTGTTGGAGGTTTCATTTGCATAATAAAATGCTTTGCAAGAGGAGATGAGGGTTAATCAAAGGGTTTTATCACTCTTTTTAATTATCTTCATTATGCCAGAACAAGATGTAAATTTTAATTCTACCTTGTTAGCTAGCAGATTCTACCAAACTTTGGATATCCTAATCATCTGTCATTTTTAATAGGCACAGATGCCAGTGATTTTAGCAAACTAAATGCTCTAAATATTGTAAGCTTTATTAATTTGATTGATATATCACTTTATATCATTTAGCAGTTATTAATGTTAAACATAAGGCATGTGTGCGCACCTGAGACAGAGGCACCTGTGAACGCCAAATTTGCCCCCTCCGTTTTCCTTCCTCATCCCATTCTTTATCAATCTACATTTTAAGTTCCCCTCTGTTCACACAGCCCTTCTTTTTTTCTCCTTCTCCTCCATTGAATCTGTAGCCACAGGTTGGAATTTGTGAGTCGTTATTTTGCATTGACCTACACCCTCTCTAAGTTTCTGAAAGGATAAGGCAACGTGTTCTTAGCTCACAGAGAGGAGAAAGATTTTCAAGGGGTGGACAGAGTGGGGACGTCTATGTAGGTGTTGGGTTTATCTGCTAAGCTCATCATAGAGGAGGTAGATGAGGTCTTCATCCCAACCTGGGGAACCAAAGGCATGGCCTGCAGATCAGATCACATTTAAGGGAGTACATTGCTGGGGTGTAAACACCAAAGGTAGCTTCCTCTGGGCTCCAGGAAATAAGCTCTAATGCAATAAGAGGTGGCTGCTGGCCATGGTGACTCACTCCTGTAATCCCAGCCCTTTGGGAGGCTGAGGCGGGTGGATCACCTGAGGTCAGGAGTTCAAGACCAGCCTGGTCAACATGGTGAAACCCTGTCTCTACTAAAATTACAAAAATTAGCTGGGCTTGGTGGCGGGCACCTATAATCCCAGCTACTTGGGAGGCTGAGGCAGGAAAATTGCTTGAACCTGGGAGGCGGAGGTTGCAGTGAGCTGAAATCGTGCCATTGCACTCCAGCCTGGGCAACAAGAGCAAAACTCCGTCGCAAAAAAAAAAGAGGTGGCTACCCCTGTTTGCTGCTTCTCTGCATCACACTGGTGGGAGATGGGGACATGACGCCAGAATCAGAGACACTGAGAGAATAGCCAAGGCAATCCCAACTGCCCAATGGGTTAGTTACAACAGGCATTTCTCATGGAACCTCCAGTGGAGTTTTAGAGAGTGTGAAAAGTGCTGTGTTGTAAATTAATCATGGCATTTGACATCACAGCCAGAGGAGCCCAGCTCAGATCTTTTACTGGCTATCTCACCATGGGCAAAATTACTTATCCTCTCTGAGTCTCAGTTTCCTAAAATGTAAAAAATGTGATATGTATTAATCAGGGTTATCTAAAGGGACAGAACTAACCGGATAAGTGAATATATGAAGGGGAGTTTATTAGGGGAATTGACTCACACGATCACAGGGTGAAGTCCCACGATAGGCTGTCTGCAAGGTGAAGAGCCAGGCAGCCAGGCCGAGTCCCAAAACCTCAAAAGTATGGAAGCTGATAGTGCAGCCTTCAGTCTGTGGCCGAAGACCCAAGAGCCCCTGGCAAATCACTGTGTAAGTCCAAGAGTCCAAAAGCTGAAGAACTTGGAGTCTGATGTTTGAGGGCAGGAAGCCTCCAGCATGGGAGAAAGATGGAGGCTGGAAGACTCAGCCAGTCTAGTCCTTCCACGTTCCTCTGCTGGCCTTTATCCTAGCCACGCTGACAGCTGATTAGATGGTGCCCGCTCAGATTGAGGGTGGGTCTGCCTCTCCCAGTCCACTGACTGAAGTGTTGATCTCCTTTGGCAACACCTTCACAGACACACCCAGAAACAATACTTTGCATCCTTTAATCCAATCAAGTTGACACTCAATATTTACCATCACAAGATGGATCAAGATATTGATCATGAGTTTTAAATGTCATCAAACATGTAAATAAAGGCCTAGCATGAATTCTGGCAGACAGCAGGTGTTCAATCATGGGAAAAAGGTGATTTTCTACCGTATCAGGGTTAAGGTCTCTCTGTGGATTTAGGAAGTCAGGTATAAAATTACCCAGGCATCGTGGTGCATGCTTGTAATCCCAGCTAGGTGGGAGGCTGAGGCAGGAGAATCGCTTGAACCTGGGAGGCAGAGGTTGTAGTGAGCCAAGATCACGCCACTGCACACCAGCCTGGGCAACAAGAGTGAAACTCTGTCAAAAAAAAAAAACAAAACTCAGCTTTAGTCCTGACAAGGAGTTACTCTAAATAATTTGGGGCAAATGCCTTCCTCTCTACCTGGGATTCTGTTTTCCTGTGGTAAAATAGAAAAGCAAGGCCAAAGATGGTAATATTGTGAGAAAGTAAATGATAGCCAGGATTGAGGTGGGAATAGGCCTTTATCTGGGGCTGGAATTGGGACATATCCCTCTTCATTTCCACTTCACCAATCAAGTTGCATTTTACAACTGATAACCAGTGAAAATTGCTATAAGAAGGACAGATCTTTGAAGTCTAAAAGTAGCAAGTTATAACATTAATATCCGTGTAGAAGATTGATATCTAAAAATGTAAATATGAATACAGAAAGATAGTTTTCAATCTGCTGCTCTTCCTACATACAATCTCTGCCCAATCTTTTCTCTATATTTTTCTTTTTGGAGACAGAGTCTCACTCTGTCACCCAGGCAGGAGTACAGTGGTGCGATCTCAGCTCACTGCAACCTGCACCTCCTGGGTTCAAGCAATTCTTGTGCCTCGGCCTCCCAAGTAGCTGGGATTATAGGTGTGTGCCATCACACCCGGCTAGTTTTTGCATTTTTAGTATAGATGGGGTTTCACCATGTTGGCCAGGCTGGTTTCAAATTCCTGGCCTCAAGTGATCCACCCACCTCAGCTTCCCAAATTGCTGGGATTACAGGCGTGAGCCACCGCGCCCTGCCTCTGCTCAACCTTTTCTAAGAAAGCTAACTCTGAATGACTCAAAGCTAGGTAAAGGTTTCCCTTGTTTTTTTTTTCAGGATCAGTATTGGAGATAGAATAACTGTATTAAACAGCCCTGCCTCCAGGCCTTGGCCTCGTTACAGCAAGCTATAAACAAGGATAAAGCGAAAAAAAAAAAAAAAATTGAAGGCTCTATTTCTCCCTGTCTGATATATGAAATCTAGAATCTAGGATTTTTGGAGCTTGGCATGTGTGTGTGGTTAGTGAAAAGAGGAAGCTAATCTCTTAGGAATGCAAAGGAGGACAAATGGTAGGTCCCAAGGCCTTCTCCAATAGCTTCTTCATTCTTTCACGTGGGCAATTACTCTTTTGTGTTATAAGGAGAACAAAAGTGGAAAGGAATTCAGAGGTCATCGCCATTCTGCAGGTTTGTTAAAACCTCTGGTTTATATCACTAAGGGATGAATCCTGATTGGTCTCAGGCAAACACAGCAACCACCACATTTCCAGTGTCATGGATTATATTGGGGATGCACATGAGACTCAATTCTGGCCAGGGATACATAAGAGAAACTCTTCTGGGTCCTTCAATGTTTGTACCACAGTCCTTGCTTCTGCTTTGAACCCTGTGGCAAGAGGATGTGATGTCTGGAGGACTGGCAGCTATTTTGTAATAATGAAGCAACATATCGCTAAGAGGATAGCAGAACAAAATTTTTGAAGTGGCCTGGGTTCCTTGCTAACATTACTGAAATGCTTTGTCCTGGTCCAATCATCTCCATATTTAATGCTAAGGAAACTATACACATTCTATGATTTGAGCCACTGATAATAAAAAAACTTATAAATCAAAAGGCATCTTAATACCTATTCTACTGATAGTGTCTACTCTCTATATTTTTGAGGGTTAACTTCTCTTGAAATTCAGATTGTTCTTGAGTAAACCTTACCCTTTTTCTTACTACCTAGGCAGACAAAGCTATGAAGCATGGTTTCCTTAGACTGATGGGGTGAAGGTGTCTTGGAGAAAGAGCTGAACCCAAAAAGTGGAAACAAAACCAGGAGATTTGGAGTGACTCCCAAAATGGCATCATTGGCCTATGTAAGGGGACATTGTTCTCACACTAATCCTGCCTCACACCTGATCATATTACACTCTTCTTAAAATCCTTCTAGGAGTCCATTTGCTGAGATCATGCCACTGTACTTCAGCCTGGGCAACAGAGAGAGACTCCATGTCAAAAACCAACAAACAAAGAAAGATGTTCATAGCAGTATTATTCATAATAGCCAAAAGGTAGAAATACTCTGAATGGCTATTAACTGAAAAGTGTGGTATCATTCATACAATGGAATATTATTTAGCCATAAAAATAACACATTTTTTTGTCTTGCTCAAAGCAATTCGTTCCCTCCTTGGTGTTTGGTGTTCCAGATTACATGAAATAATAACTGTAGCCACTTGTTCAAGCCTCGTTGTTGCATCTTGTTCTGTCTTATTCAGTGTTTTATTAGCATCTGTCTTCTTCCAAAGGTGTTTGTTGAGTTAGTATATGAAATACGGTTTTTTGTTTTTCTTTTTTTGTTGTTGCTCTTTTTTTTTTTTTGTCAGAGTCTCGCTCTGTTACTCAGGCTGTAGTGCAGTAGCGTGATCTCAGTTCACCACAACTTTTGCCTCCCGGATTCCCTCCACCTCCTGGGTTCCCAGGTTCAGGCGATTCTCCTGCATCAGCCTATCGAGTAGCTGGGATTACAGGCATGCGCCACCACACCCAGCTGATTTTTGTAGTTTTAGCAGAGATGGGGTTTCGCCATGTTGGCCAGGCTAGTCTTGAACTCCTGAGCTCATGCGGTCCGCCTGCCTTGGCCTCCCAAAGTGCTGGGATTATAAGTGTGAGCCACTGCGCCTGGTAGCATACATGGATTATGTAATGCAATGTGCTTAAAGTAGTTGCTGCTCAAAAAACAGTAGCTGCTGCCATTGGGTGTCATAGAGTGCAGTGGCACAACATGTGGGATTACCCAGAATGGAGTTTGAGTCCCTGCTTGGCAATTTGTATGCTTTGCAACCTTGTACAAGCACTTTAATTCTTTTGGCCTCATGTTGTTGTTGCTAAAGTGTTGATTAAAACATCTACTTCATGGGAGGCAGTTCTGAGAATTACACAAGAACATCTTAGAAAAGACTAAAACTTGGTACAAGTGAGGAAAATATAACAATAGGAAAGAAATATGAGGAAAGCCTTCAAATGCTCATTCCTAAAGCTGCCTCTGAACACATAAAGAAACAACTTTCTAAGGCTGGGATCTGAGAAACCCTGTGAAGGGGGATGAATGGCATTGAGAGCACTGTTTCCTAGTAGGTAACAACTGGTATCTCTACTTCCTAGACACCAATCCCTGGCCCAGGATCTATGGCTTTGGGTTCATGAGTCTACATCCAAGGGAATTTAAGTACCTGCAGGAGAGCACGAAATTGTAGGTGCCAGCCAGGCGCAGAGGCTCACACCTGTAATCCCAGCACTTTGGGAGGCCGAGGTAGGTGGATCACTTGAGGTCAAGGAGTTCGATACCACCCTGGCCAACATGGTGAAACCCTGTCTCTATTAAAAGTAACAACACAAAAGTTAGCTGGGCGTAGTAGCAGATGCCTACAATCCCAGCTACTCGGGAGGCTGAGGCAGGAGAATTGCTTGAACCCGGGAGGCAGAGGTTGCAGTGAGCCGAGACTGCACCACTGCACTCTAGCCTGGGTGACAAGAGTGAAACTTTTTGTCTCAAAAGAGGAAAAAAAAAAGAAATTGCAGGTGCCTATGCATGCAGTCTGTCTCTTTGTCTCTCTTATGCGACGTACACACACACACACACACACACACACACACATACACACATTATTATGATACGAGCCAAAGGCAACAACGTCAGGCCTCCCTTTCTGTGCAAAGCCTGATGAGTGGTTAACTTCAGCATCCACTCCTGGCTTGAAAACAATTGGAGAAGCTGTCACATCACATGCTTGGCCCAACCAATGAATACCATATCAAGAGGCCATTTTGAGTGTCAGCCTTCCAGTTCTGCAGAAACTATAAAGCTGATCCACTCTTTAAAATTGCCATAGTTTCTGGAGCCAGAGACTCAAGCTACCTGCCACCTCATGGTCAGAGGATCCAACCAGCTCCCTTTTAAAGTTGTGCACCAGGGAACAGATGCTAAATGTGTGGCATCCTTGTGGTAATGGCACAAAATAAATGGCCCAGTTAAAATCCAATTGTCTGAAAGTTTCCCTCAAATAGGACATTTTTACTATGATATATAAAATTCCTCTTGCAACAAGTGTCTTTTTAGTTAAAATCAATAGATGTTCTTTTTATAAAATCAAAGTGATTAGTGGTTTGGGTAGTTGTGTGTGTGAGTGTGTGCACGATTTTATATGAGTTAAAAGTAAATGTGGAGTGGAGGGAATGGACCAGTTACTAAGATTAGAATATAGTCCCTTTACAGAGATGCAGGAACCCTATGTCAGCACTGTGTGATAGAACTTTCTGAGACAATAAAAATATTTTATACCTGTGCCATCCAACATGGTAGCTACTCACACATGGAGTAATTGGCATTTGGCTAGTGCAACAGAGGAACTGAATTTTTAATTTTATTTAATATTAAGTAATTTAAATTTAGTTTTAAATAGCTGTATGTGGGCCGGGGCCGTGGCTCATGCCTATAATCCCAGCAATTTGGGAGGCCAAGGCAAAATCCCTTGAGGCCAGGAATTCAAGAATAGCCTAGGCAACATAGCAAGTCCCCATTTCTACAAAACAAAAAGCTTTAGCTGGGCATGGTGGCATGTACCTGTAATCCCAGCTACTCAGGAGACTGAGGTAAGAGGGTATCACTTGAGCCCGGGAGTTCAAGGCTGCAGTGAGCTGTGATCATGCCACTGCACTCCAACTTGGACAACAGAGCAAGACGTCCTCTTTAAATAAGTAAATAGCCATATGTGGCTAGTATCTAGCGTATTGGACAATACCACACTATTTTAATCCCAGCCTGGAACTGAGACCCTCAGAGAGTTCTTATGCTACAGATGGGCCTTGTCACATCCTTGGACAAGTTATTGCCAACGTATTCCCAAGGTCCTGGATGCTGGGGCAAAGATCTCATTGTTTTTTTATCATTTCCTTCGTTTTTCAGTGAGTAAGCAACTGTTAGGAACCTAGCCTTGTGCTAGACATTGAGAAATCAAATATAGTGTTGATGGCCCCAGAAGATCACAGTGGGGAAGACAGACTAGAAAAGAAGCAAGTGTAACCCAGGATTCCATGATAAATACAGAGCACCAGGTTCTGGGAAAGAAGTCACTCATCCCAGGAAGGGAAAGTGAGCATGGACTACTGGGACAAGGAGGATGGGAACAATTAGCCAAGAAAAGGGGAAGTGATTCTAGGAAAAAGGCTGGGCCCAGTTGAGCACAGAGGCTCACACTTGTAATCCCAGCACTTTGGGAAGGGAGACGGACAGATCACTTCAGGTCAGAGGTTTGAGACCAGCCTGGCCAACATGGCAAAACCCCATATCTACAAAAAATACAAAAATTAGCCAGGCGTGGTAGTGCACGCCTGTAGTTCCAGCTATTCAGGTGGCTGAGGCACGAGATTCACTTGAACCTGGGAGGCAGAGGTTGCAGTGAGCTGAGATTGCACCATTGCACTCCAACCTGGGTGACAGAGTGAGACCTTGCCTCAGAAAAAATAAAAAGTGAAAAAGGCTAGGCCCATGCAAACAATGGTGACCTAAGAAGATGTGGCCTTGTACCCAATTTCCATTTTCAACCACCACATATATTCTGCAAAGAAGGACAACTGTAAGGGAAGTTAGACCCTGGTTCTAACAAAGAAAGTTACAGGGTATATATTAAAGGTAACCAGGATAACACATGGATTGAGGGACCTTTGTCAAAAGTTCTGGAATAGGCCACATAAGAACTTGCAGGACTTTGTTTAACCTTGGATAACCCTGAAAGAGCAGGTATGATAATAGCAGAAATTACATTTCCCACCAGTCCGGGGGAGATGAAGAATTGTATTGAGAAATATCTAGATTTAGCAAGAACAATACAATATTCTTTTCAAGTAATGCTTTTTTCTTCCACCTATTAACAAAATCTTTGACAAAGGCCCCTCAATGCATGTGTTATCCTGGTTATCATCAATATGCTTATTTACCCTGCCACTTCCTCTGTTAGACCCAGGGTCTAACTTCCCTTGCAGTTGTCCTTCTTTGCAGACTTCTTCTGGGGGCCGCTTTCCCTTGAGGCTGCAAATGCAATAATGTCATATTCCCTCGCTTGTGCTGCACCTGTGTGAATCTCCATCCCTGCACCTGCTTGGGAGAAACATTCTCATCTTCTTTGGGAGTCAATGCTTTCTTCTATCAGTTTTTGGTCATGAATAATATACATTGTCACTTAACAGCAGGTCCTTAAATAGCCAATGTTAGTCCTAGGAATGGGTGGATAAATGCTCAAGCCGGTAAAGATTTTTTCTTTCTTTTTTTTTCAAGACAGAGTCTCATTCTGTTGCCCAGGCTAGAATGCAATGGCGTGACCTCAGCTCACTGCAACCTCCGCCTCCCGGGTTCAAGCGATTCTCCCACCTCAGTCTGCCGAGTAGCTGGGATTATAGGCACCCGCCATCATGCCCAGCTAATTTTTGTATTTTTGCAGAGATGGGGTTTCAACATGTTGGCCAGGCTGGTCTTGAACCTCTGACCTCAGGTGATGTGCCCACTTTGGCCTCCCAAAGTGCTGAGATTAGGGCATGAGCCACTGTGCCCAGCTGGTAAAGTTTTTTCTTAGTAATTCATCTGCTACAAAATATTCAGGAAATGGTATGCAGTTCATTATAACACACCAGAGAATATCTAATCCTAGAGTGCTAAATTCTTAGGGTGAGGGTATAATGGATATTTCTCAGACTTTTTGTTAGCAGGGTTTGGCTTTCTGTATCTGAACCTCTTTGTATGTGCAAAAGAAATTAACTACTGTGCATATGCCTTGGTAGCCATTATAGCCTGACTCGTATCAAATAAACTGAAAGGCCAGTGGCATGGGTTGAATTATGTCCCCCAAGAAAGATACATTGAAGTCCTAGCACCAGTAACCTCAGAATCTGACCTTATTTGGAAGTAGGGTCTCGGCAGATATAGTCAAGTTAAGGTGAAGTCACTATGGTAGTCTCTAATCCAGAATGACTGTGTCTTTATCAAAAGGGGAAATTTAGACAAAGACAGACAGGCATAGAGGAAAGATGATGTGAAGAGACACAGGGAGAAGACAGCCATTTACTAGCCAAAGAATGTCCAAGGCTACTAGAAACTAGGAGAAAGGTCTGGAGCCAACCCTTCCCTAGTGCCTTCAGAGGAAATATGGCCAAAACTGTGAGACAATGCATTTCTATTGTTCTAAGCAACCCAGTTTGGGGTACTTTGTTATAACTATCGTAGGAAACCAATATGGCCATTCCTCACTTCCTCAGCCTCCCTTGCAGCTACACTAGCATCATGTGACCAAGGTTAGCCAATCAGATGCATATACCAGGACTTGAACCAGAAAAGGGGCACAGCACCAGCATCCTTTACAATGGAAGAGTCATGCCAATAGGGCAGCGAGTAGTCGGTGGTGCCCTCACTGGACTGGTGTTGTGGCATGAATTTGCCCAAGGTTCTGGCTGTGTTGCCTTCCTTTGTTCCTGCCTGTTTCCTGAGGTTGGCAATTCTATGGTCCAAACTGAAAGCCTTCTGGTAAATTCCATTACTGCGTAAATCAGCAAATGATAGTTTCTTTTGCTTGTAATGAATAACCCCGGCTGATACAGATGGAGAACAATGAAGGAGTGTAATGCTTCCCTGTGGTGGTGGACAGGGGTAAAGGAGTCTGTAAGTGGAGTGTCAAGTGGCTCCAGGCTGGAGGAGGGGATAAGGATCCAGGAGGGAGTTTGGGATTTGGGAGAGCCTGACATAGACTGAGTGTGTGTAGTGTAAGGCAGGGGTGGATGTGTGAGGGTTGGTGTGGGTGTGGGTGTGGGTGGATGTGCACACACATTTGCACATTCTCAGAAACCCTCCCAAGGGAACGCAGCTGAACACGCCCATGGGGTGAACCCTGGTCGCCTGATGGAGCCCACTAAACAGTGTGTTCAGGCTTCACCGGCTCTGAGCAGGGCCAACGACAGTTTCCAAGTTTGAAAAATGAGCCCTTCACTCGCCTGGTGCTAATGCCTTTTTCAAAGAAACTTACATCTTGGAAATGTCATGACACATTGCAATCACCGAGAACACAGCCACGGTAATTGGGAGTGTTTCTTCAAGAGCAGAGCGTGTCAAAGAAGATACATGGCTCGAAGCATAATTTCCCGCAACAGTGGTGGGGAGTTGCAGGGGAAGGGAGGGTGTGCAGGAAAGCTGCCTTTGAAATAAATCCTGCCTGGAGCTCCAGCACCTGGGTCTTGTTCTGGGTGATGGGACAGCTGGCTACAAATGCGCTGTGTGACTTTGGCCAGTCCTATAAACTGCTCCGTGATTCAGTTTCTCCAACTTTCAAATGAGAGCGTCACATGCATGAGGCAACCACATTTCAATGAACTAATAATAATCATTGACATTTATTAAGCACGTACTACTTGCCAGGCACTAAGCACTATTCATGTATAATTGACTTTAGTCAAGTAAGAACCCCGATAAAGTGGACACCCCAATTATCGCTACTTAGAGGATGAGGACATTGAGTCACAGACAGGCTAAATATCTTTTCAAGGTCATTAGAATGTGGTGACACCAAGATTTGAGTACAGACAGTCTGACCTGGCATCTGAATTCATGATCATCACATGATTTACCTGTCACAGTGGGTACCATGTCATTGTGAAAAGTACAAAGTGCTAGTAAAATATATCATGTGTTCATGTTATCGATGTTGGGACATCTTTAAAAGAGAGTGTGAAGAAAACCAGAGCAGATCTGCTTCTAACTGCAACAGTTTTGAATAAACTATGAAAACAACAGAAAAAATAACTATAATAGCTCCCACTATGTGCCAGGCAGTAGGTACTTTCAATAAAAGATTCCAGTTTATCCACTCAGGAACTGAGCAAGTACGGCTACACTTTTCCCATTTTACAGAGGAAAGACTTTAAGCCCAGAGTGTCTTACATTCCCAAGATTATGCAGCAAAAACGACCATGGATGGGTGCAGTGGCTCATGCCAGCATTTTGGAAGGCCAAGGTGGGTGGATCACTTGAGGTCAGGAGTTCGAGACCAGCCTGGCCAACATGGTGAAACCCTGTCTTTACTAAAAATACAAAAATTAGCTGGGCCTGGTGGCACATGCCTGTAGTCCCAGCTACTTGAGAAGTTGAGGCATGAGAATCACTTGAACCCAGGAAGTGGAGGTTGCAGTAAGCCAAGATTGTGCTATTGCACTGCAGCCTGCATGACAGAGTGAGACCCTATCTCTAAATAAATAAATAGATGACCCTGATGGGATTCAAACTGAGATGGGTGGATAACAGAGGCTACACTCTTTCCTCTATAAAATGCTGTGATAGACCAGATTCCCTCCAAGGAACACACATTTAAAATATTTGAGCCTTCAGGCTCATATCTCAGAGAAAGAGAAAAGCACAAAGATGTTAACAAAATAATGTAAATATTAACATTTACTTGAAGAGGTTAAATTACCTGGAAGCCCTCGTTTCTAAAGGCCAAGCTTCTCTGGTCTCCGTTCTCAAAAAGTGCTATAATTGTTTCCATGAGGAAATTATGCAACCGATACTTGCTTCCTGGGACCTGAAGATTTCTGGGCTGTCTTCTAGGAAACAAAGACAAAGGAGAAAAAGTGCTTCCTCCTGTTCATCGCTTGCCATGGGACACGGGGTTCCTTCGGTGGGTTCCTGGGATGCGTGTGTGGCTTTAACCTTTCTGCTCTTCTTAGCCCACCACTCAAAAGCAATAAAGGGCATTGTGAAACCAAAAGTATCTAAAACAGAGCTCAATCCACGGAGACAGTTTACTTAGTCAAAGTTAAGGATATGCCCAAGACACAGGCTCAGGAGATCCTGACAACATGTGCCCAAGGTGGTTGGTGCACAGCTTGGATGTATACATTTTAGGGAGACACGAGACATCAATCAATCTGTGAACAATATACATTGGTTTGATCCAGAAAGGCAGAACAACTCGAAGTGGAGGAGGGGGCTTCCAGGTCATAAGTATGTTAGGAATAACGCTCAAAATCCTAAGGAAATTGAACACTTGAACAAAGGATTCTTAGCAAAGCAATTTTACGTGCACGCAGAGGGGTGCCTCCTTGGCCAGTGACCATAAAAGCACACCAGAACAAAGGGGCCCGAGAGCCTTTATTCCTGATGCAAGTCCTGCCCCTGTGACCTTTCCCCATTGGCTGGGGTGGGGTCGCACAATCTAAGCTAATCCTTGTTGGCTAAACGTATGTTTTTTTTAGATAAGGTGGGCATGTAAAAGAAAGCAGAGAGGAAAGGGGAAGGGGTATCTGTAATGAGCTAGAAAGTTAGTTCTCTTTCCAGATAAGGAAAAGAATGTGAGCTGGTACTGATAACACCTGGTACCGTGGCATGCCTGGGCATCTAACAAAGGTAAAAGGAGAAAAGGGGGGGTATTATGAATTAAAGAATAAAAGATTGATCAGGTTATTTGAAGAGAAACTTCATCATATCCCACAGGTACATAAGAGACAATTGATTGCATTCTTTTGAGTCTCGATGAGCCTTTCACTGAATACACAATTTACATGTAAGAGGAGGGTAGAGGAATAGTCACTTATACCTTCACCTGGCTTAGTGGAATAGGGCAGAGGAAGCAATCAGATGTGCATTTGTCTCAGATGAGCAGAGGGATGACTTTAAGTCCTGTCCATTCTTTGTCCACAAAAAAATTTCTGTGTGGGAAGATTATGAGGGAGGTATGTAGCTTTTCTACCTTTGTAGCTATCTTATTTAGGAATAAAACGGGAAGCAGGTTTGCCTGACACAGTTCCCAGCTTGAGTTTTTCTGTTGGCTTAGTGATTTGGGGGTTCTGAGATTTATTTTCCTTTCACGGTATTCAAAGACAGGAGGACTTAGGGTGTAAACTTTTTAGTAGAAATGAGACAGGAAAAATACATGGTGGTCACAGGAGAATAGAACATTCCAGGCAGGAGTTGCCCATGGTCAGCAAAAAGGAAACTGTTGAAATAGCTGCAGAAGCTAGGGGCCAAAAAGATCCTGAAAACCAGGGTGTAGGCCAAGCTGGCTAAGACCGACTGGACTCAACATGGCACTGGATTCGACCTAGGTCTCACCTAGGACCTCATGATACACTCATTCACATAGTAAACCACACACTCACCAGCACCATGACAATTCCGGGAACACACATATTTGGTATAACAATGGGTGGCACCACAGTTCCCAGAAGTCTTCACCTTTTTCCAGGAATCCTCATGAATATTCTACCCCTTGATTAAAGACATCCATAAAGACAGAAGCCCCAGACCCAATGTTGGATGCTACTCTCTCTCTTGAGTGCACCTGCAGTCGCCTTTCTTGAGTGTGTGCTTTTCCCTTTGCAATACATCTCTGTACTTTACTATTTTCTGACTCGTTCTGGAATTCTTTCTTGTAATGGCATCAAGAGCTTGGACATCAGCCAGGGTCGAGGTCCTACCAGCATTTGGGTACCTCCTCTAGCCCATCAGTATCAAAAAACAAAGATTTATTAAGAGGATAACACAAAGTGTGACTAAATATGAGTCCTGTAGAACTCCTGCTTTAAATAATCAGATTGATTTGTAATAAAATGGTCACCATTTGCTCATATGGATTAAAAGTTGCAAGTGTGCTTAAACATGTAGGTTGGTTGTCTTTCATATTTTTCTGTAATATGGGTAGCATTTTGATCTTCTGCCTTTCAGATGGAAGGGATAATAGAAGTAAGAAGAGTAAAAAGAGTCATAGTTTTGACATCACATGCACATAGCATTGACAATCAATTAATCAATTGTGACATTTACCAGCTGTGTGACATTGAACAAATTACTTCACCCCTAGACTCAACTATTTCTTTTAAATGGGGTCATATTTCCTACAATGAGATCCTTTATGGCACCAAATATGTCTCATTTATCTCACTAAATGAGATATAGTGGGTGTTCACTTAATGGATTGTAAATTATCAGGGTTCTGGTGAGTATTAAAAAAATAACTTATTTTGTAAAAGGCTTGACTTAATTCCTGATAATACTAGGCACCTGATATGGTTTGGCTTTATGTCCCCAGCCAAATACCATGTTTAATTGTAATCCCCAATATTAGAGAAGGGACCTGGTGGGAGGTGATGGGATCATGAGGGCGGACTTCCCTCTTGCTGTTCTCATGATAGTGAGTGAGTTCTTACAAAATCTGGTTGTTTGAAAGTATGTAGCCCTTCCCTCTTTGCTGTCTCTCTTCTTCCTGCTCAGCCATGTAAAACCATGCTTGCTTCCCCTTTGCCTTCTGCCATGATTGTAAGTTTCCTGAGGCCTCCCCAGAAGCAGAAGCCTGTACAGCCTGCAGAACCATGAGCCCACCTACCTATTTTCTCTATAAATTACCCAGTCTCAGGTAGTTCTGTATAGCTGTGCAAGAATGGACTAATACAGCACCTCATAAATAGCTATGTCTTTTTCTGCCATTTTCAGCCTCTCATTTGTGTCTTTAAAAATGCCACTCTGGACTTAGTCTTTCAAACTCTGCAAATCAACTGGACACATTTTTTTTAGAGTTGCACAGATATCTCAAATGGAAACAGAACCAAACTGAACCCCTTGACTGTCCCTCCAAAACTCTGTCTACCCACAGCTTTCCCTATTTCAAATGATGGTAATGCCATCATTCCAGGTGCCAAAAACACAAATAAAAGCACAAAACCCAAAACAAACAAATTTTTAAAACTTCCTTGGTTGATTTATATGATGAAGCTATGTTATTGATACATAAATGATCATGACCCTCACTACTATTATTATTATTATTTTGAGATGGAATCTTGCTCTGTCTCCCATGCAGGAGTGCAGTGGCATAATCTTGGCTCACTGCAACCTCCACCTCCTGGGTTCAAGCGATTCTGGTGCCTCAGCCTCCTAAGTAGCTGGGAGTACAGGCGTGCGTGAACACGCCCAGCTAATTTTTGTATTTTTAATAAAGACCAGGTTTCACTATGTTGGCCAGGCTGGTCTTGAACTCCTGACCTCAGGTGATTCGCCTGCCCTGGCCTCCCAAAGTGCTGGGATTACAGGCGTGAGCCACTGCACCTGGCCTATATTTTTATTGCAGATTGCATGCTTTACCACTGTAAAGTGATCCTTGTTGCATTTCATGAACTTTGCTTTGTATCTTTCCTTAGCAAAAAGTAGAATTTCCAGCTCTTCTTTTTGCTTGTTTTCTTCAGACGAAACTTTGCTTCTCTCGTTGATTTTAACTATGTCATTTCCCTTTCCAAATAGTTGAATTTGATTTTTATTTTTTTTACTTATTCTGAAAATCTACTCATTTTGTCTTCTGTCTTGTGTCTGTTCTGTTTGTTGTTGTTTTGCTTTTAGGGGCTTCCCTTTCTTTCTCTTATTTATTTATTTATTTTTTTGAGACAGGGCCTTGCTCTGATACCCAGTGGTGCAACCTTAGCTCACTGAAGGCTTGACCTCCTGGGCTCAAGTGATCCTCTCACCTTAGCCTCCGGAGTAGCTGAGGCCACAGGCATGTGCCACCACACCTGGCTAATTTTTGTATTTTAGTAGACATGAGGTTTTGCCATGTTGTTCAGGCTGGTCTTGAAATCCTCAGCTCATGCAATCCACCTACCTCGGCCTCCCAAAGTGCTGGGATTACAGGCATGAGCCACCGTGCCTGGCCAGGGCTTCCTCTTCTGACTTTTTCCCTAGGAATATGTTCTGGTTACCATGTACCTTTCCAATGATGTAAAGAGCATACATCTTATTCTTTACTCTATTATTGGCTAATATTAATTTTCTCAAGTCAGCATCATTTAAACTATATTGTCATGTGTGACTCATTTCTTCTTCTTCTTTTTTTTTTTTTTTGAGACGGAGTATTGCTCTGTGCCCACACTAGAGTGCAGTGGCACAATCTTGGCTCATTGCAACCTCTGCCTCCTGGGTTCAAGCAATTCTCTGCCTCAGCGTCCCGAGTAGCTGGGATTACAGGTGCCTGCCACCACAACCGACTAATTTTTTTGTATTTTTAGTAGAGACAGGGTGTCACCATGTTGGTCAGGTCTTGAACTCCTGACCTCGTGATGCACCCGCCTTGGCCTCCCAAAGTGCTGGGATTACAGGCGTGAGCCACCACGGCCAGCCATTTTAACATCTTTATAATCTGTCTTTCCCATAGAGTGTATGACTTTTGTTTGGTGACTTGCCCCATAGATACACTTTTGTATACCTGACTCATGAGGTTAGGTACTTTTCCTTGTCCCCACTGCAGCTCCGGCACCAAGCAAAAAGCATGGCACCCAACACAGGCTCAGTAACTTTTTTGATTAAAGGAAGGAATTTCTTCATCCCTTCTTCCTTTCTTCTCAGACTTTGCAAATACAATCTGAGAGTCAAACCCAGATGGTTTCTATGTTATTATTTTCATAAGATAGAGCTTTTTTTCTTTTGAGAATTATTTTTGGCCTTCAGATACAATTTTGTGATCATGCCTACAATGATCCTCCTCCCACTTACCAAACGCTACCCTAAATTTCATTACCTCTAATTCTACTTTTAGGCAATAACAGGTGTTCTCCTTTATGCAGAAAAAAGCCTAGTCTTAGGAGACAGAGTTGCCTCAGCCTCCATAAGATGACTGTGAGGAAAGAGGTATGAGGTGAAACTGGGTTGAGATGATTCTGTGCAGCGGGGAGGTGTTAACCACCAAATTCCTCAGTAGTGCAATGTAATGGATATTAATTTAGCACCTATTCTGTTCTGGATACCACGTAAAGTACTGGTTTAATATAGATGAATAAAACATGTGTTCATTCAGTAAATGTGAATTGAGTCCCTACTAGGCAGCAGGGACTGTACTGAACTCTTCGGATTTAATGATGAACTGCATAGACACGCTTTATGCCATACGGTACTTATGAACCCAATCATACCTCCTGTCTAATTGACACATAAAAAAATACTGGAATAAGAAAGAAAATATGGTTTTCTTTCCTTTAAAGAAAAGGAGACTTGAAGGAGATGAAACAAACAAACAAAACATCCTTGCCAGAAACACACACAAAAGTTTCAGAAATTCCAAAGGCCTTTCACTAAAAACTAGGTAAAGGATATTCTCAGCCAAGGGCTCAGGTACATCACTTTGAGAGACAAATTACCAGTAATCCAGTTAAATTTTAAATAGCATTATCTAAATGAAAAATATCCAAGTATGAGATATCCCAGCAAGAATAGCTCCAATTTCCTGCCTGGATGCTAAGTAAGGAATAGACTGTTTAATATCATCTTGATAACATTTTTATAGGTTCATGTTGGCCCATCAGATTGCAATTTGTCACCTGCTATCTAACAATTTTCTAATTCTTCGTCACTTTACAATGTAAAATAATAGGTACCAAATTGTGAGGCTTTTTTTTAAAATACTAAAAAAGGTAGAGTGAAAGTGAGGGGCTTTGTTTTTACCAAGTGATGCTTTTTCCTGGTTAGAATAAGAATGGTTGTCAATAATTCAAACACAATATGGCATTGAGCTCATTTTACTTTTCACACTGAATTAATTTGTTAAACACAAAATGAATGAGAAAAATCTCCAAATCTCTGTTTTCCTTACCTCCCACCCTTCCCAAAAGTTAGTGAAGGGGGACAATGTTGAGAAGACACATGTGTAGATTCACAGTACAAGGACTTGGGCAGAGAGTTAGAGAGCCTTGGGTTTGGATCCCAAGCTCAGCCACTTAAGGCAATGTGACATTGAGCAGCACCCA